>NC_000006.12:50705683-51351367 GCF_000001405.40 Homo sapiens
AAACAGATCCACAGGGGTTGGTTAGAAGGTAGGAGAGGAGCTATGTACCAAGGTGACCAGAACATGAATTATTGTGGATGAAGAAACACCTCCACACCCCCACTTCACTGAGACCATGCACAGGATGTTAAGGCAAAATGAAACAGAAACCTTTGGAAATTAGAAGGGAGGGAGTTAAGTCGGAGCAGAATTCCAGGAAAGAAGAGGCGGTACCCCTGAATACATTGACAGGGTGGAATGGAAGGAGAGGCTAAGGGTAAATGTGGGGAGAGAGAAAGAGGGAGAGAAGGATGGAGAATGAGAGAGGGAGGAAAGAATTGAGAGAGAGAGAGAGAGAAAAGAGAGAAAGACATGAAGGGAGGGGAAGAAAGAAGAAACAATGAAATTAAAAAAAATTTAAAGACCAAAATGTTAGTTAAGCCATGAGGAAATACAAAATAGACATGTAAAAAAAGGACTGGACTACCGAGCTGTCCATTCCCTGAATCCTGAACCAGTGACTTGGGGCTGAGAGGACACAAGCATCTGAATTCTAGCTCCAGCCCTGGCTCTGTAGCTCCAGTGGCTGTGTGACCCTATACGGCAGTAGAAGGTAGAATCTGATGGCTTCTGGAGTCTCCTCCAGCAGAATTTTCTTTGGTAACATCTGTCCAAGGCTCGCAAAACGGGCCCTAGGGAAGCAAGAGTCTCCACTGATATTGTCACTCTTTAGTTGCCTCCTTAACAACTCTCCCTCTTTTCAAATAATAGCCAATATTTATAAAGGCATTCCTTGTCCACGTTGATCTCAGTGATATATATATTCACTTACTTCTCACAACAGCTGGACCAGCTAAGTGTATTATTTTTCTCATTTTACAGGTGAGAAAATTAAGTAACTTGTTCAAGTAGAATTGATGCCCAAGAAGATGCCCAAGTAGGGTTGGTGCCTAGGCCCTATGGTTGCGGCTCAATTCGTGCAACCTCAGTTACCAGGGGGTCCCGGGGCCAGCGCGGAATTCGCGGAATTCACCAAGCCGCAGCTGCCTGCCGCTGAATGCGAAGAGGGCGCAGGAGACTGGCAGGTACAGCTGGTGGTCCCTTCGGCCTGATTTCCCTGCTGAGTGCCACAGCGTCCGAGATCCACGACTGGCCAGGTGGAGCCACCGACTCTGAAGAGAACCAGAGGCGGACCAGCCAGGGGAGAGGGCAACCCTGGGAGCACTGCACCCTTGTCGGTCCCCTGGAAAGCTAGCGGTAAGATCCGGGAGGCTGAATTTGAGGCCGCGGTAGTCCAGGCGACTTCCCCTGGAAGGTGTGACGATGACTTGTACTGCAAAAGAAGCCTAGACCAGGCCTCCGTCTGGGTGTTTTCTTTTAGGCGTTTGGAGAGGGATGGAGATGGTGGGTGGGGGCGAGGGGGAGGGGTAAAAAGAGGAAATTAAAATCCTGGAAAAGTTTAGACGCAACAGTAAAGACCAGAAGATGGAGGGGGACAAAGTAAAACTTCCGGATTTGGGGCCAGAGCCCCTGTGACCCAGGGATCACTCACACCTCCTTGAGTCTCACTTTCCCCATCTCACAGACCTGCTGAGGGGGAGTGGGGCTTGGGATGAGCTGCCGCCAAACACTTCCGTTTCCTCATCTTTTGCAAAGGGAATGCATTTGCACTAATACCTACCATCCAAGGGTTGAAAGAATGAAATGATACAATCCTTATGAAGGGCTCGAAACGGGGCCTGGCACGTATGATAAGAGCTCAATAAATGTTAGTTGCTGCTACTTTGCTGTTATTTTTTCGTTTATACAAAGAGGATAATAATTATATATGTCCTGAATGGCAGAAAAGGGGAGTGTTCTCAGGATCAAATGAATCAATACTTTTTAAAGCGTTGGTAAACTAAGTCTCCATATGCAATCAGAAGGCTGGCAGACGGACTTGCAAAGCCCCTTACATTGCTACAAGGTTAAACAACTGAAAGAAGAAAAAGAGGACAAAGTGCAGCCTCTTTCGGAACTCAAACATTTCTTGGCCGAAAGAGGCAATTTTCCCATGGGAGAAAGGCCTTAGCCAGAAGAACTGGCTTCCTGCCTGAAGGCGTGCAACCAGCCAGGAGGCCTCCAGGGCATCGTGCCCTCCCGGTCTCCGGTTCTGCTGCCTGGGAGTGAACGTCCCCTGACGCGGTAGGGCTGGCGAGGCAGGCTCTGCATGCGCCAGAGCTTCGCGCAGAGGGCGGGTGAGTTTGCGCCCTGCCTGAGCACAGCTTGGCAGCTGTTGCAGAAGGGCAGGGAGCCTGCCGTCTCAGATGAGGGCCTCGGCTCCAAGTTCCATTGTTATCAAACAGAAGACTTCAGAAGAGGGAGTTCTCCCACTTAATTTTCCACTAATACGTTCGCGAGGCTTTTTAATTGCTTGCAAATGCATTTTCTCTGTACGACTATGGAATCCGTGTTGCCTGTCGGCTGCAAGGCTAAGGCGGAATACAGATCCGTGTTAGGCTTTTGACAAACAGCCCAGGGGGCGGGGTAGGGTCGTGAAGGAGGAGGTTTTGAAAAAAAAAAAAAAAGAAGAAGAAAAAGAAGAAGAAGGAGAAGAAGAAGAAGAAGAAGAAGAAGAAGAAGAAGAAGAAGAAAAGAAGACGAAGAAGAAGAAGAAGAAGAAGAAGAAGAAGAAGAAGAAGAAGAAGAAGAAGAAGAAGAAGAAGAAGAGGAAGAGGAAGAAGAAGAAGAAGAGAAAGAAAAAGGAGTTTAAAAAAATCAATGACAACCCTTAAACTAAAATGACTGCAGAGTCTGTCAGAAATGTTAATTTCCCCTAAACATCCTAAAGTTATTTTAAAAAATGGCCTGCCTGGCCCGGCGCGGTGGCTTACGCCTGTAATTACATCCCAGCACTTTGGGAGGCCGAGGCGGGCCGATCACGAGGCCAGGAGTTCGAGACCATCCTGGCTAACACGGTGTCTACTAAAAATTTAGCCGGACGTGGTGGAACGCGCCTGTAGTCCCAGCTACTTGGGAGGCTGAAGCAGGAGAATCGCTTGAACCCGGGAGGCGGAGGTTGCAGTGAACCGAGATCGCGCCACCATACTCCAGCCTGGGCAACAGAGACCGTGTCTCAAAAAAAAAAAAAAAAAAAGCCTCCTTTTCTTGTTTGCAATTAGGTAACGTTTTACGCAACGTGGCACTTCTGTCATAGAAAGTAGGATGGGTGTAGAATACCGAGAAGTAGAAGAGTTGTCAAATTTGATTACTTGATCATTTATTAAGAATTATCAGATTTGATAACTGGAAAAGGGAGGGACCTTTCGAAAGAGACCCAGAGTCGGCATCAGCACAGGCCAGAAGGAAAGGAAGCAATCACTGGGAGGGGAAACCTCGCGCGTCTGCACATGAATGCCCGTTACCATGCCTTTTCTCTCCGAATATTCCGATCCATACAACTGGATCAAGTTTTCGATTGCTGTCTCTGCCCAGAATTGCCCTGGTGTTTGGAGCACTTTTCTGTCTTCATCTCGACTAGTGAAGAATAAATGAATAAACTAGGGGTTGGTTTACGGCATGGTGAACCCAGCATACTCTTCTTTTCCACCACCTGAAGTATTGCCCCCACCCACTCACCAGAGCTCTTGGGCATTCCCCAAGAGCAGTGACTGAGTGACTAGGAGAGGTTAGGAGCTTGGAAGAATCACACCACAGGAGGTCCTTGGACTAGAAGACGTTTCTGAACCATTAGAATCCGAAGTGACTGTGAAACTTAGACCCTGCTGTAAAAGGGCCCTGAAGGTTCCCTCTGTGGTTGTCTCTAGAAGACCCCAGGCTGAGTGCCTCTCGGAAGCCTACCAAGTGGAGGCACTGAGACGGTTGGGGATTCTCAAAATGGTGGAAGGGGGCCCGAGGGCAGATGGAATAAAACACCACTAGATAAGTCGCAGGAGTCCTTTGGTTACTATGGATTCTCTGAAGGCACCTCTGCTCTTCATGTTCATCCAAAAAAGGAGTGAAAGGGCAGAAGCTGGAAGCAGTAAGGAGAGGTGCTGATTTTCATACCTACATATCTTGTTTTGCTTTGTGGAATGAACATCATTCACCTATATGGGATCCTTAGTGCCCCACTGTTCTTTCAAAGACAGGGTCTTTGTGACCATGGAAATTGTTTCCTATTGTGTAAATTCATGTCTGGTTATACAGCTGCACCTCCCACTGGAGCAGAACATGCTAAATTTCATTCTTAGACAATGTACACACATGTTTGCCTAAAAGGCATAAGTATAAGAGATTCAATCCCATCTCTATCTATCTTTTGTTAAAAAGGAAGGAAAGGAGGGAAGCAAGGAGGGAGGGAATAAAAGAAAAAAAACAGGGAAAGAAAAAGAGAAGAAATGAAGGAAGAAGAAAGAGAGAAAGAAAAAAAAGGGGAGGGAGGGCAAAAGGGAGAGAGCAAAGAAGATATTCTGGTTGATTCATGTGTCTAAATACATCCAAGAAAATATTTTTGTTTCAAAATGCCCAAAATAATTCCAATAATTATTCCACTTTGCTCAGTATTATATAGGCAATTTTGTGGGAGAAGTGTATTCAAGCAATAAAAAAACAAAATCAATTTGCAATAGCAAAGGAAACCCTAAGTACCAAAAGAAAGAGAAAAAAAGAAAGAAACCTGAAGAAATACATGTTTATTAAAGCTAGGGATAGGCATGAGTTCGTTTGTAATTGTTCACCAACCTCAAACACACAGTGGAGTGGCAAACTCTTTCAGTGAAGATGTTTGAGATTGGGTGAAAACTGTAAAGATGTTTGAGATTGGATGTTGAGATTGGAGTGATTTGTATAACGCTGGCCTAGAAGCCCAGGAAGGAATTTGCAACTACCCCAAAACTCTTCCAGCTCTGGATTCTAACCAAGACAATAATGATATATATATATATAAAGATTTCTTTGCAGATTCCTAAAGTGACTGCCATAAGACATTCCTTCCTGGCATGTGGAGCATGGAACCAGAAGGAAGAACAGGAGAACTAAGTGCTGAGGAACAACCTTTTCAGCTTTTGGGGTGCAAGGCCAGCAGCGTGTCCACCATGCTCTTGCCGGCTATTTTGAGTGACTGACGCCGGCCTGGCCTCTGACTGAGGCTGGAATGCACACCACGGGTTCCCTGTTGGAGGGGGCCCCAGGCAATAGTCACCAGAGTGCTGTGGCCAGTTAATTCAATTATGCCACCCGCTGGAAAATGAGTGACCAATCACTCTCTGGAAAAGAAGTAAAACAGAGAAAGAGGAATCAACTTTGCTAAAAAGCCCAGTCTTTGGGTCAAGTCAGACGACACTTATTAATTGCTCAAGACTATTAATTGGATGGGGGGGTGTCTGACAGAAATGAACGCTACACACACACACATCACATCACACACACACACACACACACAGGCACCAAACACACCACACACCTGCCTCAATGAGTTTCTTTAGAAAAGGGGCGCGCTGAGCAACCCCAGAGCAGATGGAAGGGAGCGCTGACCAATATGTGCATATGGCATGGATGATTTCCTCAACTTTGTTTCTTTCAGGGGAAAACAGCTTTTTTATTTTTTTAAGTTGGAATGAAGTGGGAGGGAGCAGTTGGCCAAATGAAGTTTCCCTGCAGTTCAGATGCTGGTGTGGGAAGCCAAGACATAGGGTTAAGAGGGATGCTTTCTAAGGTAGTCAAGGGCCCTGGCAAGGGAAATCTCAAAACTAAAAGAGAGCCATTTTATCCTTCCTGCTTCATTTTCCTTAAGTACAAATGAAAGGGTCTTTTCTCACTCTTCAGGATCTTTAGTTTCCCCTCATGTCCACAAGAGTTCAACAAGCATGTAAGTTAAACCCTGGACACTCTTTGTTTGGATACCTAAAAGTCACTCAGGAAAGTGAACCATGAAAGTGGGGTTAGGGGGTGGAATGCGATGATTGCCAGTTAGTTGGTGATGTCCTGATGTTCACAGGGTCCAGGCTACTGGAGGTCATTCCATGGGGTGTACTCAGTTCAAGGCCAGAGCTCATTACCGAGAGTATCATAAAGCTATATCTTCTGAGTGCGGTGGCAGGGGTGAGGGGGGCTATGTGTGGCTCTTATTCCAGACAGGGACAAACATGTGGAACAAACACTCTGGGCCAGCAGGCAGAGCAGGCGGCCACATCTTCCTGAGCTTCCTCATTGTTGTTCCCCGGGGAGAGGGTTTTGTGTCTGCTGCCTGGACCTAAACTGGGAAGAGAAGGTACCGTCACCTTCAATGAAGGTGTATCTGACAGTAGGGGTGTTGGAAAGGAGATTGCAACATGTCTGAGAAGGGCTATCCTCTTCCATTTGACCGGGACTAACTGGGAAGCCAATATCATCCACCAGGAAAAGCGCACCTGGGCATTCCCCAAGATAACCTGCAAGTCCTACATATTCTTCCAGGGAATGGTCTGCACTTTCCCAGGGGCAGGGGTGCCTGAGTTAAGGTCGTGGGGGCAGTCTCCATCTCCCAGAGATGATTAGTTATTTTCTCCGTGGGTAAGCTATGGAGGCCCCACTCAGACCTGGTAAACAAAGACTCCACTGCAAACATTTTTGGGATTCAACCCCTAGAGCCAACAGCACTCATTTTACCCCTTTTACTTAAAGATTAAGTTGGATATTCTTCCTTTTTGTCATCATTGGTCTCTCAGTCTCCTTACTTCATTAGGCCAAAATATGGAATTTCAAGGAGGGGTGGGAGGGGGGCAGCACTGGCACACCTTGAAATAGGGAACAAGTGTTGGCTGCTGACCCCATGTGGGGCTGAAGAATCGTGTATCTCCATTTCAGACAATGCATTTCAATTCTTGTCGTGTGCCTTTGTCCATTTGTATAAAGCAAAGAGCTCTGAGTGACAGCCCCAGTTAGCCTGCATGAGCAGATCCTAATAAACCCTCCCAAACCCCAACCTAAAAAAAAAAAAAGCCACATGCCTGTTTGCCTGAGGCTTATTATTAAGACACCTTCTCAGCTTAAACACTTAAAAGCAAACCAAATGAAATGGCAATTAAGACTGAATTACCCCTTCTATCTATGAGATGAGTCTGTGGGGCCAG
Organism: Homo sapiens; assembly: GCF_000001405.40. Lineage (NCBI taxonomy): Eukaryota > Metazoa > Chordata > Mammalia > Primates > Hominidae > Homo > Homo sapiens. Next base: position 50,712,754 of record NC_000006.12, read on the forward strand.
CCAGTTCTTTCTTATAATGTAGACACTGAGGAGCAAAGCCTCAGTATTTCAGGTTTATAGCTACCACCACCCCCTCCAGGCACTAAACAACTTGGTGGAGGAAGCTGAATTTTGAAGGAAGGAAAGCTCAAAAACTGTTTGAAAGTCAAGAAATCCACTGAAGAGATGGAAATATGTGTGCACTGCTTCCTTCCTGCCCTCTATTTATAAAATATAACTTCCAAGCATTTAAGGGTTATTTTGGGGGTAATAGTGTTCAAAAACCTAATGCTACTGCTGAACGGTCTACACCCCACCACCACCAGCAGTGTTTCCAAAAGGGAAGAAGAAAAACACAAAAGAGGGGGGATATGGTTTGGTTTGGGGAGTGAAAGACAACAGTTTACCTAAATGTAGAATCTTGTCTTACATCTTTATTCCCTTGCATTTTTCCTAAATGCATTGCCAGTTACACCATTTCCTGATGATGGAAACTTGGGACTGTCCATCACCATTATTTATTTTTAAAGCTGCTGAAAAGTGTAAGCCACCGCTTGATTTTGCCTTTCAAAAAAGGGGAAAGAACCCAAATTCAATGTAAATATGGAAAGACCAGCATTGTTTCCACTTGGGCGAAGGCAGACACCCCAATCTGGGCAAAATTGATTCGGGTGGTTGTTGGAAAAAGCAGCTTTCAGCATCCAGGGAGTGGAACCAATAGGAATGAACACTTCCCCATATAAAAGGAAGCTTTAATTAATATATATTTCTATCTCTAATATACATATATTGGAGCTAGAGCTCTAGCTTCACAATAAAATGTGTGCAAATACTCTCCACAGAGATAAGTCCCCACCTCAGTCGGTATAGAAAAGCATGATAAAGGTTGGAAAAAATGGATAAAAATGTTGAAAGAACCTCCAGTTCCTTATTAGGCGAAGATACAATATTTATTCCTTGTCTCCTGGGATAAATCTCTTCTGCCTATTGTCCTCCCAGTTCTCAGTGCTGATGCTTAATTTTCAAAACTTCTATATTACCAAGGGACCTACGACATCAGCCAAAGAAATACTCAGCAAGTACAAAATCTGTTCCAGGGAGCTGCTTTTGTGCAGAGGGAAAATTTTGTTCCTACAGGTTTTTAAGTGGGTACGAGGCAAGGAGCTATCTGATCCGGGCAAAACCATTACAATTTAGATATCTACCTATAGAACATTTTTTTTTTCCTTTAAAAATTGGAAAATACAAGAAGTTTGGATTTTTTTTTCCCGATTCTTTTTTTGGAGGGGGAAATTGCATCGTAAGCTTTCGGAGAAACCCAACATGTCAACTACCTTTCCGGGACTAGTCCACGATGCCGAGGTATTATTACTTTTTTTTTTTTTTTTTTTTGAGCGCGCGTGTGTGTGGCGGCGGCGGCGGTGGCGGCGGTGGCGGCGGCGGTGGCAGCCTCCCCTGTCTCTAATCTATATTGGACCGTTACGTTTAATTATAATCTGTCTTTCGGGGGAAGTTAAGGAAGGAAAGGGGAGAAAGTTCGTTATGACATCTGTCGCCAGGGAGGGCAACTCTCTGCCACGTTAAGAAACATTTGCCATAATGAGCGGGAAAACATAATCTTAATAATAAAAGGGGGGAGTGAAGAGAAAGAGATAGAGACGGAAAGAAAGATTCTCAGAAAAGCAAAGAAAAGGGACTGGTGGGGAAGCAGTAGATGCACAAGGGGGATGGGGAAAACGCACCCCTTTTGGAATGGGCTTATTCAAGGAAAGGGAAGCAGAAAAGAGGGAGTCGGATTCCCTCCCTCGAATGACTAAGGAAGGGAGCAAGTTGAACGATTTGCACAGACTGGATTTTTTAAAATATATGGACAATGATTTTGAGCAGCCCGGGCCGAACATCTCGGCATAGACAGGCGCAGAATTTCGATGCTGGGGTCTAGTTAGAGTGGCAAGGCGCCCCGGGCCAGCGCTCTTTTCGGGTGGACTCGTTCCTCTGCTACCCGCGGCCCCGGAGTCAGTTGCAAACCTGGATCCCAACGCCAAGCTCCCTGCACAAGTTGGGCAGGGGCTGTGTGTGTGTCTGTGTGTGTGTGTCTGTGCGTGTGTGTGCGTGTGTGGTGTCACCCGCACCTATATAGGGTGGGGGATTTTTTTTCCGCTCTCTCGACTGTGAGGACGAGGCCGCCCACCCCCAGTTCGCCTGTTTGCAAAGGCTCTCTGGTGAAGACGCTGAGACCCGGCTTCGGCTCGGCCCGAGTCCTACGCGCTCGCTTTCCTTGGAGTGCCAGAGAAAGCTCCTGGCTCCGGGAGAGCGGCGCCTTGGTTGCAAAATGACAAACCTCAAGTTTTTCTGCTCTCCCTTTTCCCCCTCTTCCTTCCAGATACGTCACGACGGATCAAACAGCTACCGTTTGATGCAGCTTGGCTGTCTGGAGTCAGTAGCCAATTCCACTGTCGCCTATTCCTCCTCCTCTCCTTTAACTTACTCCACCACCGGCACCGAGTTTGCGTCCCCCTACTTCTCCACTAACCACCAGTACACCCCGCTCCACCACCAGTCCTTCCATTACGAGTTTCAGCACAGCCACCCGGCCGTCACCCCCGACGCCTACTCTCTGAACTCTCTCCACCACTCGCAACAGTACTACCAGCAGATCCACCACGGGGAGCCCACCGACTTTATTAACCTGCACAATGCGCGGGCGCTCAAGTCGTCCTGCCTGGACGAGCAGAGGCGGGAGCTGGGCTGCCTCGATGCCTACCGCCGCCATGACCTGTCCCTCATGAGCCATGGCTCTCAGTATGGAATGCACCCAGATCAAAGACTCCTGCCAGGGCCCAGCCTGGGGCTGGCCGCCGCGGGAGCAGACGACTTGCAGGTAAATAAGCATGCAGCGAATTTGTCTGCTCCCTCCCCTCTTCGCCCTCCCCCTGCCGCCCCATTAATGCTCCGACTGTAAAGCGTCTCTCTTTCTCTCTCTCTTCTCCTCTCTCTCTCTCTCTCTCTCTCTCTCTCACACACACACACACACACACACACACACACCACTTATGGAAAGTTATCAAAACAATTAGAGGAGGAGTGTGCCCGTTCTCTTCCTCTCATTGGATCCAAGCATTTCACCTGGAAGTGCGGGAGTCCGGGCGGCTGCGGCCCTCCATCTTTGGTTTGTCCTCACAGAAGTCTTTTGTGAATCAACATTTGTGACCCTGAGGGGATGAGGTGGAGGAGATCGAGGAGTCTGGGGTTGGGCCAACCGGACTCAGAGTAAGATCCAATAAATTGATGACCAATCGTACCCTCAATCTCCGCACTTTACAGGGTCTTCCGAGGCGTCCCAGGTGTTTGTCTCAGACTGAGCTTGTGGAGATCTTACTACAAACAGGCTTGTTCTAAGGAAATTGTTGGGACCCTAAGCTTGAACAAAAGTTTCACCAAATACACTAGATATCTGTGGAAAGTAAAGAATCGCAAATGAAAGTCTCAAAGTTCTACCCCAAGGAAATAATCCGCACAGTGCACTTTGCCAGGGTGTAGGGTTGAGTTTAATTCTCTCCGCCTGACGTGCACTCAAAACCGCAGCCCAGTTAGGTAATTTACAAGTTTATTTTTGCTCTTCCAGCCATTACATTTTACGTAAAATGCACCTCCTTAAAAAGATAAAAATGAGGCAGTAACGGTAATGAAAGAGGGAAAAAATAAAGAAGGAAGGAAGGAAGGAGAAAAGGAAGGAAGGAAGGGAGAAAAAGAAGAAGGAAGGAAAGAAGGCAGGTATTCAGACACTGTGGAGGCCATCACTCAATCAGATGATCTCTCTTCTACTTTATTTCTTAACACGTGTTTGCACATTCTTTACCAAAGATAGAATTTATAATTATGCAATTATGTTGCCATAGGCATATTTCAAACAAATGAGCCCACAAATACCCAGAAAATAATTCAAAAGACCCATAGTTTTAGCTCCTTTTAGCTAAAAGTGCAGTTCTACCTGTGAGTTCCTACTTTTTGTGTCTGCACAAAGCTGGCCACCTTCTTCACACTCTCCAGGACAAATAGGGAAATATTCTAAGAACATAAGTTGGAGACGTAAGAGATCCCTTGTTGCGCACAAAAAATCTTTCCTCCTCATTTACCTTTGAGCAAGAGATTATTTTTAAATTAAAGTGAAAGCCCTTACAGTCCCAACAAAGAGCCATAGCAGTAAGACCGGTGCACAAGAAAAAAGATTTGGTTCCATAAACCTTGACTTTCTACATTTATATTCACAAAATAATTTTATACGCTCAGGGCATTTTTACATTTTTCACAAGGATCCCCTTATGTCTCAAGAGGGAAAAAAATCTGCCATTCAGTGCTTAGCTCAACTAAAACCTATTTACTCCTTTTAATAGCCGCGTCTGCTGCTGATTTTTTTGTATCTGTACAAATTTTTTTTCTGTGCTAGGCACAAAGCCGAGCATTTTTCAAAAGAGCGGATTAGAACATTTGCAAGCACTAGACAAAGAGCGAATCCCGTGCAAAAGGACACCGTAGTTTATCCAATTTTCGACTTAGTGCCATTCAACTGGTCATTTATGCAATGTCATCCGACCAAACAACATGTTTTACTTATGAGGGGAAAAAGTTTGTTAAGTGAAGAAACCAAGATTCGTTTCTTCTAAGAAAATAAACATTGTAACCGTGCGCCAGAGAGTGGGAGGGAAAGTGATTCACTGCTTTGGAGAGCTTTGAGACCATTTATCATCTACATTTCAGATATTTTGAAAGCTTTTCTTCAGCCTATCTCTTTTTCCATATACGAATGTCCTTTTTCTCTTTTATTACTCATACTGAAGCAAAATTACTCATACTAAGGGACACAGTCCAAGATACTAGAAGAAATATAGTACTGTGTGTGATATACGTTTATACCTTTACATAGATATATCCATGTATGTATATATCATAATATATATCCATCTTTATCTATTTAATCTATGAATGCTATGTAGCAAGTTTGTAAATCTGACAAGTTATTTTCTTCCACTGTTCTTGCTCCAAGTTGGCAGAATGAAAAAGAAAGAGTCATAGCTACTTTTAAAACAAGAAATGGGGAGGGAGTGTGTGGGAGAAACCCGTCTCTCTCCTTTTATTTCTTCCTTTTTAAAACATTCATCAGCATATGCCTCATTTCAAATGCAACAAATGTAAATATACTTTTCCCTGCACAGAATTTTAAGTGAAAGTCCAATGGTTTGGAGGGCGGTCTAAGTCTGCCTAACAGATGCAAACAGTCTTGTGGCTTCAGTTCCATCTTTGAGTCCCCTAAAAAGATTTGCTATGGCCAACAAAGGAAACTGTCACACCTTTTCCCATCACCGCTTTAATTTATGCTCAGTCTCCAAGTTTTTTTTTTTTCATATTGATTTGATAATCACTTTAAGGCAGAACATTTAAAATAAGAAAGAGCTTGTGAGTAGGTTGAAAAGGGGGGTCTTACAGGCCTGCCTCAATATGGTGAAAATGGGGAGGCGAAAGGGAGCCAGGGTTGTAAAGGTTGTTTTGTAAAGTGGGTTTTTATTATGCACCGACTCTCTCCGCATTTACTTAACTCTTCACGGGCTGTTGGGTAGGTTAACACCCTTCAAGGCCTCTTTCATGTCCAATACCTCGTTTGTTTGTAAAGGAAAATGAGCCTTTAACACATTTTGATTTGGGAAAAAAGAAAACGACAGACAGGGAGAAATTTTTATTTTTCCTAATCAAAAATCAGCAAACTCTTTCCATCTTTCCAGCTCTAGGGATTCCTCAATCCATTAGGACTTTGAAGGCCTACAGTGAGTGAACCTGAAGATTTTTCCTTCATACGGCCCATTTTGGGTAGGATTACAGGATGTTCCTACATTTGGGGTAAAACAGAACCTCCATAAGACATCTTGTATCCTGCATATGAAGTAGCTCCTCTGTGTCCTCAAGAAACCCACAGTCCCAGACTTGACACTCTAGGTGTAATTTGCTCTACTCAGAAAGTGCTGAGTGTACACTGTCTGTATATACGCTGTGTGCCTTGATGGGGACTCAAAGGGCTTCTCATTCTCTTATGCCAAGATGAAAGACTCCCAGGCACTTTGAAGTGTAATATTGTATGGTGATGTAAAATGCATACCTTAAGATTTATACAACTTTTAGATTGTGGTTTTTCTTGCAATTTTTTAAAAAATTGTGTTTGCTGGCAAGCTTGCTTCAGCTCAATGCTTGCTTTCAAATGTCTACTGAAACAGAGTTCAGGGATGGGCTAGTCTAAAAGACTTTACCTACGTGGTCATGCATATGAGTATCCATTTAAGTAATTTTATTTCTGTTTCTTTTATTAAGGGCTCTGTGGAGGCCCAGTGTGGGCTTGTTCTCAATGGCCAAGGTGGAGTGATAAGAAGAGGTAAGTAACAAGTAACAACATGTTAACCCTAGACATTCTTCTCCTATCTCTTACTTTGTTTAGAAGATCTGGTTGTGCTCAGATTCCTTTTCTGATGATTAAGAAAACAATTATGCTTAGTCAATTATTCTAGTCCAACACTGGCATATCCACATTAAAAAGCCTCCTTTCTTTCATCAAGGTTTGAACCCAGGCTATGCCCATAAGACTTGTGATAGGAGATATTTGTTGCTCCTCACAGAACAGTGACAGAATCAAAGTTAGAGGCAGAAGGAAAGACAAAAGAAAAAGACAGAGAGAAAGAAAGAAAGAAAGAAAGAAAGAAAGAAAGAAAGAAAGAAAGAAAGAAAGAAGTTTCTCACACCCTCTTCCCCCAGCACTAATACCACATCCTCCAGCAGAATTTCTGGTCTTTTTAAGCCCTAAATGTGCTAGCCACAGCCTGGGTGTTTGAGATGATGGTGTTAGCTTCAGGCTTTTAGGGATTCTGTGAAAGGCTAGATCATTGAGGCTTCAGGGGAGGCTAATGAAACACCAATATTGTAGCTGCCCTTATTTTTCTAAGTGTCCAGGACATTTCTTTCTTTAAGGGAAGGTGGGAGGAGGAGGTGGTGTTAACTGTACTGGATAAAGCTTTCTTGTTCCCATCTGTTGAGGGAAACATCTGAATCCAGAGTTACCCATGGAATTGGAAGGTGGGGGAAGGCAAGAGGAGAGGAGAGAGCTGTTGCTTTCAGCTCGGGCACTAAAGGGGGCTGCATCTCAGATGTTCCATTTTGACAAAAGGTTTTGAACTATGACATTCTCAGAGCCTTAAGGCAGTGCAGATTTTGCTAGCTTCCCCTACTTAACTGTACCCAAAGCCTCTGAAGTTTATTTTTCTAGCAAGCTGAGTAACCCGAGCAGCACACAAGGCAAGAGGGACCAGCTGTTATCCTAACTTCATACGAATTAATAAGATGTGGTCTATTCACCAAGACTAATTCCTGCTTCAGGGCCACAGTTGTCTGCAGTAACAGAACACTAAAAACTGAGTCTCTTCTGATGGGACCAAATAAGTGTCCTTCAGCCCTTCTCCATCCCTTTGAAAGCTTCTTGAAAGATTTGCTTTTCCAGATAGAGAGATGTGCTGGTAGAAATCAGTTGCTTCTTTCATGTTTAAACTGCAGATTTTACATCCCAATGTCCAATGTAAACTCCATTTAAACTGAGGAGGAAAGAAAACAAAGGGTGCTTTCCTTTTGGAACTTGGTTATTGTTTTAGTGGATGCTGGTAGTTTACATTAAATTTAAAAGAGCTGCTCAACACTTCTTGTTTCACCCTATGGAGATTAAAACACACACACACACACACACACACACACACACACACACACACACACACACACATATACGTGGTATAACTCCACAAAGATTTTTTAAATGAGGAATATTAAGCTTGCCAGCCACGCTGGTACTCAGACCTATTGAAATGGAATAAAATAGGCCCAAGACTGATGAATATTGAATGCACTGTGTTGGAGGAGGCAAAAAAGATTTACACAGTGAACAGGGGACCAGGTGAGATGTGCTGATCAGGGGTCTGTTGGGACGGGTAAAAATAAGGTGAGGCAAGAACACTCAGGGCGCTTAGAGACTTCGGTGGTGCTGAAGGACAGCGCCACTAATTAGGGACGGGAGCCCGCTTCTCCCACAGCCGGCCTCTTGCTACTGCAATTTTGCATTCGCTTTCACACTTGACCAAGATCACCTTCTGAAATGCTTGGAAACTGCATCTGAGCGTAAGATACCTGACAGAGGGTGGAATTACTTGAGGCCGAGGAGGGAGTTAGAGAGGAAGAGGCTTTGGAATCAATTGAATTTCTGGGGAGAGATTTAAGGGACACCCTCTCACCCCCTCACTCAATTCCCAAGAAAGGCCAAAGCTCTTAGGTATCTCCAAAATGTTAGCTACCTTATCAGAGCCACAGAAATTATCTTCCTTAGGTGATGCTTTATTATTCCTGTAGAATTCGGTCCCTATTCGTTTCAACTAAAAATCATCGTCGAATCTGCTACTTGAAACCAAATATTGATGTCATATGAGACTAGTGAAGCTCCAGAGAGAAAGGGAATGTAATTTGGGGTTTACGTCTGTCTTGTTTGACTAAACCCCTCTTCATAGGAATTCAGATTTTAGCTGCTGAGTTTATTCCATTTCCACGTGTCTTAGAGAAAGGCCAGTTAACCTAGTTGAGCCTTGGAGAGGAGGGTGTGTGTCTATACGTGTCTGTTTATTCTGAAACAATCAATGTTCATGTCAATTTACAAGTGGATAGCAGGGAAGTGTATTCCCAAAAGAGGGCGTATATTTTGCTGCAGCCTGCCCAGCCCCTCATCTCAGAACTTCCTTTTACAAAACCCTAAAGAAGCCTATTTTCTCAATTGTCATGGTAGTACACAGGACCCCTAATATCAACAGCTCAGACTACTTGTGTTCACCAAAAATCAGGAAGACATTAACTCAAGTGCTGCTATACTGCTATACTTCATATAACCCGATACTGTCTAAAAGCTAAGAATGTCTGTTTCTTTTCCAGCTCATGCTTGACCCACCACATGAAACATGATTTATTGCAAAGCACAATTTTTCACCATTTTCTCTTTTCTGCTAAGTTCCCGGATTAATTTACATTTCTAATGGTTTCTAGAATGTACTATGGGAGGGAAAAAAATAGATTCCACTTCCAAAGACCCCAAATGATGTTCTTGAAGAAATATGGGTGACTATGTACTTTACATGAGTTAATCAGGGACATTGTCCTGGTTTGCAGTGGCGTGGAGGGCTTGGGCATTCTCAGTTGTTCTTCACATTTGGTGACTTCAACTTGTAAAGAACAAAATAGCGTCGCCCTGACTCATTTTGTTAAGTGGCAATTACATTATTTTAGCCTGTAATGAAGGCCCGATAGCCAAAGAATGCGTGAAAGAGGGGGCAGCAGCTAGGTAATTACCACCTAGATAAAATATTTGCCACTGCCTCGGAGGCGCAGCTCCCTGCGTGCTGACTCTCGGTTAATGGTGTACGCGATTTTGCCCGCAGCTCCGGCTCTCCAACCATCAGAACCAATAATCTTTACTTTACCCTGTGCTCGCGTATCGATAGCTTCTTTCGCCTCGGGCGTAGGCTTTGATATGTTAATATTACTGAGTAGCAAATTCTGCAGAGATCATATTAATGTTGTACGTACAGAGTGGAGCTTTGCCTTCGTTGAATATTCAGATATCGGGTTTCAAAAGGCATCTCTTGAAGAAATGAGGCTTCTATTTACAGGAGTCGTCTGTGTTTTTAATCATTAAAAAAAGAAAGAAAATCTCACTCTTTTTTTCCCCCCTGAATCTTCTGAGGCTCCCTTATGGCCGCCTCCCCTTTGCCAGACACCGGTCCCTTTCATTTCCTGCTCTGAGTATTTAATAATAAGTGAACAATGTTGATGACGATGGTGATGATGAAGCTCATAATAAATGGATCCATATTGGAATCGCAGGGTGGGGGTACAAGTGGGTAGTGGGCTGTGGACCTCAGAAGTGGGCTAGATGAGAAGACCTAGCTTTTCCTTACATGGGTGGAAAGTGACATTTTGGCCCTGGTCTGTTTTGTGAAATCGAGATGGCAACTAAAAAGGGGGGGGCGGGGGATGGGAGAGGAAAAAATGAAAAAAGTGAAGAGGGGAAGCGCCCTTGTTTCGCTTTGTGATCATTCTGCCTTGCAGCCCCAGGCTAATTTCAGAAGCTTAAACACTGCGGTAGCCTCTGGGCCACGCGAAGAGGGAGCGGACCCGGCCATGGGCAGGCAGGAGCGCTTTCCTGATTGCCCGTGGCTACACAAAATACAAACTACTTTGAATCAAAACATTTTGGAGGAATTAATATGATCTGAACTCTGCACGTTTTAAGAGAGTTTGAGTTTGTCAGAGCGCTTAGAGGTGACTGGCACGCCAAGGCAAAGGCATTTACGCCGCGGTACAAACATTGTCAGATCTGATTTAATTTCTTTAAAAAAAAAATTCCTTGAAATGGAACCTTAGCTTCAATTGCTCAGTCTGCCCATAACAGAGTAGAAGGACCTGATCGCTTTTCCCTTTAGCCGGCCTCAAGGCCGGCAGCAGGCTGCTTGGCAGGAGGAAGCGATTTCCTCTGCTTCTCTGGGTTTCAGGAAGGCCCAGAGCCTTGGAATCCGGGATGGAGAAAGCCGTGGATTCTTTCAGCAGCTCCTGAAGGAGTACAATTGGAGGAGCGTGGGAAGCCTTGCTCTTCTTCCTTTGTCAGTACTCTTCGGATTCCAGATGGATTACCTGGAATCACTACTCTCGCTAGCCAAAACTCATCTCTATGGTTCATCCATTATGGGTGAAGATAGAGCCAGAGATACACCTCAAGCCTCGCCTGCCTCCTTAGTCCCCAGTGCAGATTCTGCAGGTTTGAAATTCAATCTCCTTTATATGAAATCTAAAACTCTTGTACCAAAGCATCCAGAAGCATGATTTGTTGGAAATCTTTGTGGGCGTTGGGGGTTGTAGAGGGAAAGAGGTAGCTTTCCCACAGCCTACAGCCTTTTCTCTAATTTCTTTAACTGCTTTGAAAATCAGCAGAAACCAAAACACTTTTTGCACTGGGGAATGGGGATTAATCTCCCCCCAACCCCCGCCATACACACACCCTAATATACACCATTACACACCTACCGCCACATTAAACCAGCGAGTCTCTTCACGCACACCTCTCTTTTGTTCTGCCTGGAATCTACAAAAGGAGAAGCTCATTCGGCCCTGGTAATCCAGCTATACCTGTAATGTTATACCCTCCCCCCAAACAATTCGCTCCTTACACATCATCAAAGGCCTACTTGATTCCAATTAAGTCCGCATCCTTTGCTGTTTGATTACAATTAATATCTGCTGCCGTGGGGGGAGAGGTAACATGGGGGGAGGGGTAACATGGGGGAGGAGGGTTAGGAAGGGTGAGAGGCTAGAGAGGAAGCAGCAGAGAATAATTCTCCCCACCCAACTCACAGGCGCACCTCGCAGAAATGCAACCGCAGAACAAACAGGGACAGGAAACTCTTGTAATCGCTTACACATTTTTAATGTGTCAGAAAAAAAAGAGCGATCACTGGAGATGAAGAAGGGGAGAAGAAAAATCCCTGCCGTTTGTATTTCTTTCATTTGAATTGTAAACATCTGTTTGGCTGTAAGGCGAACAGATCATTTATTTTGCTCTCAAGATTTGGTCTAATTATGTCAACACCGACGCTACGACGAGTGGGGCGGCGCTGTGGCTTTGGAGAGGATGCGCGCACCGGCCCAGCGCCCGGAAGCCCGCTAGGAAGTATTGATCGCACCTGGAGAGCGCGCGGGACCTCTCGCCACAGCTGGGTGCGTTCTGAGACGGGGGAGGCGCGGAGGCCGTGAGTATGGCTCAGAGGCAGATTTAGAGGCTCCAGGGACCCGCGGCTCCTTGGAGACAGCCGCCGCTGTTTCCTCTGCCCCAGTAGCCTGGGATGAGAAGAGAAAAAGCTCACCCAGGCTCCGGCGCTTGTCTTTCCCATCCAGTTGCAGCACAGACGGTGGCGGGGTGTGTGTGTGTGTGTGTCGGCGGGGGGACCTGTCTTGTCCTACCCCGCAGTTCACACCCTGCAACGGGGTAGTTGTTTTTTTAAAAAAAAGTGGCGGGGTTGGGTGGCCTATAATCAGGTTGCCGAGCGTGCGTGCATCCATTTCCCATTGCACCTCCTTACAAGGTGGGGAGATAAGTAGAGCAAGTGTGAGCATCTTCATTGTTTAGATGGACAGACTAGACCCAGAGTCATTCGCCCAAAGTTGCGTGAGTCGATAGTTGGTCAAATTCTTACTTGTAGCCCGGTACTCTTTCCACTGCCCCACACTGTCTGCAGACACTGGCCAGATGTCCCCTGTTATGCCAAGGCAGCCAAGGTAAAGCCACCCCATGCTTCTTCAAACCGAATAAGATCTAACAAGATATGGCAGCTGGAGGATCTGCATCCATGTATTTTGTGCTAGTTTTGTCACACCTGAGCCAGAAGTCTCTGGCTGACTTCTTCCTGTAGCTATGGCAAAGTTATCCCTTTTAATGAAAGCCATGTCCTAGGCAAAGGACCTTGAGCAGATAGTTTCTGATTTCTTACCACTGTTACCATAGCTACCCATCAGAATTTGCAGCATCACTGAAAATAGAGAGCCCTATCTCCAAATTCCAAATTTAAAAATAGTGAACTTTGTGAAAGTATTGCTTCTGTGAACTGTATATGGAAAAGGGATGAACTCTGGAGAAGTTCTGCATGAATACACTGGCTATAGAATCAAAGACATTCTTAATTGTGATGCTGAATCTAGAATGATTATCACATAATTTCAATATGAGCTGACATGCAACACAAGCACCATGAGGAAGTTCAAGTAGTAACACTGGGGATGACTACTGTAAATGGCTTGGTGTGGGCCAACGTTTCATAACATTCTTCTTTGAGATCTCATCATTACCATCTGTAGTCTGGATTATCTTAAAGAAGTATCACTCCCTCAGCACCTTCAATCTAAAGGCAAAACCCTGGTGATATTGACCTACTACTTTTTTCCACCTCTCTAAAGAATAAATCACCAAGAAGAAAGATATCAGGTTCCCCAAGTTGCTGTAAACTCTACAAGTTGCCAAATCTTTAGCCAGGACTAGAGAGTTCCCCAAGGTTGCAGCAATGCCAGGTATCAAAGCAACAGAAATTCCCTTTAAAGATGCTGTGACATAAAAAATAAAAGACTCTAGAGTTGATGGCTAATCCTGAATACAAAATAAATCCTTCAGGCAATTTGTGTGTGCATAAAGCATACTCTTAATATGCAGCTTGTGTAACTTACCTAATAAATGTCTACTTGAGCATAAGCCAGAAGCCCAACCTAGATGTAGGAGAGGGAGACTCTGGGCCCAGGGAGTTAGCACGTGGGTAGATAGCAGACTCAGTGGCTTCCCTGGGAGCAGCTGGCTTTCAACACATAAGGTTCACTTTGCCAAAAGTCTTCCAGTTGGGGAGAGCCTGATCTAACAACTTCTTTTAAAAATGATAATCATCTACATCTCCCTAAATTAGGTTTCTAATCCACTGAAGATTAGTAAAGATAAGAAAGTTCTAAAATTGTGGTATTCCCTACCCTTAGCATCCAGGAAAATAATTCATACATATACTCAAACGCTCTGTTCTCTCACTTATCATAAACTTGAAGCTAACTGGCAACTGTGTGAGATTCCTTGTGTCCTCATTTGTATACTGGCTAGTATGCAAGAGAGGAAAGTTTATGTCAGAATATCAATTTGCTTATGATTTATAGTGACTGTGAGTAGAGATCCATTTTTAGAAGAGGGCTATGTGAATTTTGCATAAAGACATTGATTTCTCTTTGTTTAATATATTTGGGGTAGACTTATCTAATTCCTAAAATAATCAGGATCAAAATTCTCACAGTATGACTCTACACCACAGATTCATTAATACCTACCTTGCTTTCCTGTTCATCTAAAATTTTAAGAAGTCATTTAAGATTTTTTTTTGAAATGCATTTTGCATCTCTAAGTACAGAGTGAAACCGATAACAAAAGTGAAATGGTAGTCTTAGGTCCAGGAATCTGGGGGAACATTTTTATTGTTGTATTTTGGCTTAAAACTCGGTGAGAATATGAAGAGGGGGAAGTACAGGAGAATTTGTTTTTAGCTCCTAAAGCAGGTGTTTACATGGTTTGCCATTGTATTGGCTACAAGTTTGATGTCAAGAAATGGATTTTAATTTGACGATTGAGATTTTGAACTCTCAGATTTCTAACTGCGAACAGGTTTTCAGACACTGTCATGGAGGTTTTGGCAGAGTGCACAGGACCTAACTTCTAGCCTGAAGATGGTTGGCTACCCTGACATTCCCACTGATTACTCTTCTGGTTTTTGTTGGTTTGTTGTTTTTTGGAGGGACTTTAGAATGCTTAGGGAGAAAGATCTTGGTCTCCAGCACTTGCAAGGAAAACTTGGGTGACCAAAAGACAGTCAGGAAGAATTCCAGAAGGTACAGGGGTAGAAATGTTTTAAGAGTGGGGCAAGGTTAACTTTTTCTGTCTCCTCAGGTTTGGGATCCCTTTGCCTTTTTAAATGTCCTCCCAGGTTCTTTTGCAACCCAGCCCAGGGAAAATACCAGAATCTGAATGCCAGAATTTCTACCACCGGTATAATATTCCATATGTGCTAGTTAAGGGTAGGAGATACCTGGGAGGCAAGTGGTAAGTCCTAGTTCAGTGCTTCTCAAACTTTAATGACCATGTGAATCATCTGAGGCTCTCATTAAAATGCAGATTCTGACTCAAAAAGTTTGGAGGTGGGTCTGAGATTTTATGCTTCTAACAAGTTACAAAGTAAAAATATTTTAGACAACACTCTTCTGCCCATTTTTCTTCTCCCATCTACTTTTTTAAAACCTCTTTTCTCTCATAGAACTTGTCCCTTTTCTGGATATGGGTTGTAAGATTGACCCTAGCTGAAGAAACAAAATACATGATCAAAAAAGCCAACTTTGAATTTGCCTCGGACCCTTAAAAACTCTGCCTTTAGATTGCTCAATGCATTAGGCGGTTTTGGATCCCGGAACTGTATAGTCACCATGCTAGCAGGGTGGACATTGGCTCCAAAGTCTTGCAGTGGGGGAGGAATTGGACAGTGGGAAATGCTTCTCAGAGATGATCACCTTTGGATCGTCAAGTCCTCTTCAGTTATTGTCGACTGCCTGAGGATAGGGAACATACACTGTTGTTCCTGGAGGAGATTGAAGCTCAGGGGGCTTTCTGGAGCTTGGAGACAGAAAGCTTCTGTTCCAGGAACCCCAGCATGGCAATATTGCCTTGGTGATTTTGCTACTGACAATTATCTTTGTTTTGCTCCCTAATAGTAATAATGACAATGACATTTACAATTTACATTTACAATGACAATTATAAAAACAATATTATTGTCAGCTAACATTTAATAAGTATTATGATTACTATGTTCTGGGTCTTGTGCTGATATTGAGGGCTGGCATACAATAGAGGTATTTAACCTATCATCACCTGTATGGATTAGAAATTTCTTTCAATGAGTAACTGGTTTTTAGCAGTGCCTGGGATTGAGTGACTGTTTTGCCTTTAATTGGCAGATGGATGAGGAAAAGATGGCAGTTTTCAAACACTTTGGAAAAGACAGTAATTGTGGATAAAACATTTCCATCCATTGTGTACATTGTGCATCTGTGTGTGTACATAAACATACAACCATGTATAAGTAATACCTAGTCTTTGTGAGCTTAACTATTGGAATTCAGGTTTTTGATTAATTGAAGTGTTTCTTAGTGTGGATGTTGCCAAAATTAGCACTGGTGAGTCAGTCTACACTCCGTAGGATGCCAATGTTTCTAACAATTGTACACTCACAGACATTTTCACAAACATTGAAAAGACATGACCCTGAGTAGTATTTGAAAGAACATTTAGAGCAGCTCCCTGCGATGATCTGGGGGATATATAAGTACAACTGTTAGCATGTATTCCCAAATCCAGAATAGTCTTTTGATGTTAACTGCCTCTCATGCAGTTAGCTTCTTTCACTGTCACTAACATGTTATATACTTTTTTTCTCCCAAGGTGGCACCTGTGTGGTCAACCCCACAGACTTATTTTGCTCTGTCCCTGGCCGTTTGTCCCTTCTTAGTTCTACTTCCAAATACAAGGTGACCATTGCTGAGGTAAAGAGGCGCCTCTCCCCACCTGAGTGCCTCAATGCTTCACTCTTGGGAGGCATTTTGAGAAGGTAAGACAAAGCTATATTCTGGCACAGAATTTCTGCTAACTGATACCATACCCTCAACCCTTAGTCATGATGTCTTCCATCTGATAGTGTATTCCCCATGTGGTCAAGTCGTCTCATAATTTTCATCAGAATGTGAAATTTCAAAACCTAGTTTTTGTTTGTTTTTGTACAGAGCAAAATCAAAGAATGGGGGCCGCTGCCTGAGAGAGAAATTGGATAGGCTTGGCTTAAACTTACCAGCAGGAAGACGGAAAGCAGCTAATGTCACCCTCCTTACTTCCTTGGTTGAAGGTATGACTTTTCAGTTTAGCAAAATAATGCTGGAAGGTTGGCGTGTCTTTGAAACTCAGGTTTCTTAAATTATGCTGTTTTATTTTTGTCTGTACCATTAAGCAAGTCAGTTAACAGTTAAGGTAAATTTCCTAAATTATCTTGACAATGATGATTAAATTAGACTTAAGATTTAGATAATTCATAAAATATCATTTAATTTACTAATCTTGGTAGTAATAGGAAATAAGACAATGGAGGTTTTGGGTACTTCTCCAAATAGCCTCTAAATAACAGCAACATGAAATTGGCAGCGCTCTTGTCATTTGCATTATTGTTTATTTCAGAGTTTAAGTGAATCTAACTTAACCCATTGTAATTCAGTACAACATGATCTACAGGAGAAATAACCCTTTATGAAGAGTTCACAGGGGTCTAGGCATGATACTGAGCCTGAAAGCATATTGTATTAATCCTAGTAGACCTCTCTAAAGACATGGTGAACTTTCAAGGCTGTATGGGTGGATAAGCTCAGCTCAGTCAGAGAGAGGTTAAGGTTAACCAGTAGTATAGAAAGAGAAATGGAAATGAATATATTCCCAGAAGTTGTTTTATTTCCAACTTACCTCTTTCCTTTTTTTCTCCTATTAAGGTCTAAACTTTACATATTCTTATTCAGTCTTCTTTTAAGGAGAGTTATTATTGAAAGGCTTTTTTTTTAACATTGTGGGGAACTTTTTGAATGTCAAAGGAAAGTTTTTTCATCATGTGGAATGCTATTGTTTAAAATATAAAAGGCAGGGGCCTTTTGCCAAGCCTCACCTTGAACACACCTGTGTTACTTCATACATCCATTATTTGTCTATATGGCACTGTAGGAAGTAGTGAATGAAGCACAAAACCAAACATCTATACTTTTTTTCAGATTTTCAATACGTAGCATTTATTGTACAACACTGAGAAGTAGTGTGTTCTTGACATTTGTCTTGGCAGAATTGCTTTGGTGATTTTGCTCTTAACAGCCATCTTTGCTGTGTTCCCTGATAGTAGTCACAATAATAACAACCACAACAATAACACTGACAACTGACATTTACTGTGTTACTATTACCATGTTCTAGGTCTTGTGTTGTGTTTGCCTGCGTGTGCTGGTACTAAAGGCTGGCATATGGTAGATGGCTTTAACCTATCATACACCCACATTGGGGAAGAGCAAAGTAGAAAAAAAAATGACTAATGGATTGATTCCAAAGGGAGACAGATTTCTGCACATTTTAAGTAAAAATGTGGGTTAAAATTATAGTTATCATTGTTTAAAAATATAACAAAACAGTTGCTCAGGATAATAGAGGGGATTCAAGAATCATATGGGTGGTAGGACTCGAGTAGTTCTCAAACCCAACTCCACAGAAGAGTCAATTGAAAAGATTTCTTACAAAGTGCCTAGGTCTCATTCCCAAATCAACTGAAACTCATTCTGGGGTGATGGCTTAGGCATCTAAAGTTTTTAAAGCTCCCCAGGTGATTCTGATGTATAGTGGTGTTTAAATATCATTGATTTAATTGTTCCTTGGAACCCTTTTCACCACCCGGGATGATTGTGTATGAATGCTCATGAAATTTCTAATTGGTGTGAAAATTATCAATCCCAGTAAAGACTTTTCTCCAAGCTGTCTATGAAAGTACTGGTCAGTACTAACGGAAGACCCACAAAAACTATGTTCACAATTCTTACTGATTTTTATGGTAGCCAAGAGCACTGGGATATCCTGCATGGGAATTATCAATCTGTACTAGCTTCAAGGGTGCAGGTCAAATATGTGGAATCCTAGGATGATCTCTGGAGTCTTGCCATCCTACTCTTTCTGCATACCTCTCCTATCCCAAAAGTGCCCGACTTGTATTCTATTCCTGTGGCCTCTGCTCAGAGATAGCTATCAGCCTTGGCTAATGAAACAAGATTTTATCCTTTTGAGGAGCATCTTATCTTAATTGTGTGCTTTTGAAATCCCCAGTATCTTCAGGATGTAGAGAAATAAATCTTTCACTATTGAATTCCAGGCACATTGATGAAACCTTAGAAAACAGATTTAGAGTCAAAGAGATCTTTTGCGCCCTTCCGCTCTTGACATAGTAAGACCCTCAAACCCACTTTCATACACACACACACACACACACACACATTGAAGTTTTAGTACTATGTACAATATTCTCTGACATTTTAATTTGATTCCATATTTTGTTTCTTTTAATGTTCCTTGTAAACCCACTACATTTATTTCACAACTCACTGTCGAGTCATGAGTCATGACCTACAGTTTTAAAAATTACAAGTTATATTGGGGTATGAGGAGAACATAATCTTTGACATACAAGGACATTATATCTACATTGAAATAGGCTTCATTATAACCCTGAGCTGACATGAAGAGTGACTTCATTGTTGATGACTCTCTTTTATATTTTTATCCCCATATTTCAGTTGGGTTGGTGGTAACAGCTGATGACTCCTTTCCAGCCAGCAAGATGCCATGTTCTGAATTAGATCATGGCCCCTGGAACTCTGCAGATGGTATTAGGTGTATACAGAATAATAGTAACCCAACTCTGATTCATCAAACCTCCTGGGACATTGAAATCATTGATGTTTATCAGCATTTTTGGCAACTTGATCCAACATGGGTCTAATGTTTGTTCCATTTCTACAGTTTTACTCCTGTATGAATTTCACCATACTTACTATTTCTTGTTTATAAATTCTTGGATTGACCGTGTTTTTGAGTAATGTTTTCTCCCTCAATCAAATATTTTTGCAAGAGCCAGAAACTTTTTAGACATTTTTATTTTCAAAAATTCAAAAACTAGATTTTTAGTATCTAAAACAGGCCATTGGCTTTCTTATATGGTCTTTCTATGGTCTTGTGGGAAAGAATACGAATATTTCTTTCATCATTTTTAAACTGAAATCTCTCCTTTATCTTCTGGATTTTCTATATTAACTTATATGTGCATTTTAATTACCAACAGTTAGTAACTTAACTTTTCTCAACTATCTCTAGAAACTGTTGCTGAAATTGTTATAGAGTAGTCTAGCTATGACCAGATGAGTAGTTTCTCAAACATCCTAATGGCCCAATACATTACTGGGGTTCAATCATACCCCCACATTTTGGCATAATATTGAGCATAGGAGAAAAAAATATCTAATTGATTGTATTCCTCACAGAGCAGACTTAGAAATAAATCTCATGAAGGTTAAACTTCTACGACTTTGCAGTACTTGACTCTGCCTCTTTGTGGGGAAGATTTGAATACAGCCTTGCCATTGTTGATATTTTCATAGACTACCAATGAAGGAATAGTGTGTGGGGACCCTGGAAGGCTTTCCACACAGAGATGATGTAATCTTTGTGAAGAGCCAATCAATGAACATAAGTGCCTTATGATGGGGATTCAAATTAGCAAATGAACATTTGTTTTTCACAAACAACACTTGTTACTGACATAACAGGTTTCATTAGCATATCCCTAGGTTTCTATGCTTGCCTTTGGTTTTTACTTTTAAAAAATTATTTTAAAAATCATTTTTCCTATATTCCTTTTAAATGGAGTCACTGTATGAATAGCTCCTAGCTTTGTTTTCAAATCCACATATTAGAGCCATTATTCTTAGAAATCATTTTAGGGATGTATAAGATAGGGTTATTTGATGCAAATTTATACTATATTCCAATAATTCACAACTTTTCTGTTACAAATATTATTGTACCTACGAACTAATAGGATGAAGAACTTTAGACTAACTGAATGTTTTTCCACCTGATAAAGTTGTTTGAAAAGTGAACATTTTAGTAAGGCAGATATTTAGACTGGGGATTTTGGGGGGTCTACATAACATAGATTGTTTAATTTTGAATGAGATAGAAATATTTGAATTGAGTCCCACGAAAGCAATACCACATTTAATTTCTTTTTCAACTCATATGTCTTCATCTAAGTGGTTTAAATCTATAGGTAATAATTAGATATAACTCCTTGTATGCTGTTTTATTACAAGTCTCTTCTTTCCATTTTCCTTTGCTAATTACATTGCTCTCATCCATTCTAGTATCTACAATATCAGAAAGATGTCAGTCTCTGAAAAATACAGTGGCTTGGATTTGCTTAACTGATCTTCTTGAAGAGATGTTGGAATAATTTTATACTCTTCTAGAGTGGAAATAATTCTCTTCTAGAGTGGAAACTATTCTCTCTAGAAAACATTCAAGGAATTTGACTAATATCATAATTCTAGTTTTAACACCCTTGTTATATGTTTATTATTCTTGAATTGGCAACTTCTGTGGATGCCTCCTCCATATTTTACTTCAGAAGTATGTTTGCAGAGTTGGTGGTTATTCAAATAAATACAAGGAGTCAATGACCTTGTCCTTCCTGCATATCACTCCCTTCTTATCTAGGAAGTTCCAAGATGAATGACATCGCAGAGTATTACCAGAAGGGAATTCTGTCTGCCTGAGTGGTGTGCTTCCTGGGACAGTTTTGCTGCATTTGCAAAAGCTTGTGTAACCTTCTCAGCCAACACTCAGGGTTCTGAAAGTATAGATTATTTAAGCTCGTAAATATAAATACCTTGAGCTGAAATTTGTTATGATAGAAGATCAAATTCTCTCTCTCTGTCTCTCTTTCTGTGTATGTGTGTGTGTGTGTGTGTGTGTGTGTGTGTGTTTAAACAGTGTGGGACAATGGAGGGTATAAATATGTATCAGCAAAAGAAAGGGAACCAGTTCCAAATATTGTGTATGATCTCCATCAATCTTTCTCAGTTTAAATCCTTAGTAACTGTTGCTCTTGTCTTTCATTTCAAAATATATACTCTCAGACCCTATCTTGGACATCTTAGCTCATGTAAATTAGTTGTTTTGTGCCACTTGCAAAATCTATTAACCCTTTGCCTGGTACTCCTCCCACCACCTCTTACCCTCAGAATAATATCATTTTTGAAGTAGGGCCTGACTTTGGACTGGTTACTTAACCTAGCTGAGCTTCATTTTCCTAATTCATAAATAAAGACCATCATATCTATAATGATGAGGATAATGCCAGCTGTTATAACAGTTCCCAAAATGTCTTTGGCTTAACATAATAGAAGCTAATTTCTCACTCATCGCAGTCTGATGTGAATGTTCATTATCAGGGACTTTTTTATTGTCAGTGTCTCATTCGCAGACCCAGGGACCCAGAATTCTTCCATCCATAGCTTACTCTGCCTAAGTCTTAGGAATCCTATTCATTTAGCTCACAGATAAGGAAAGGCATAATGGTGGAAGTATACTGCTTCTTATCCACTCTAGCCAGAAAATTACCCAGTTACTACTATTCTCATTCTATAAGAACTAATCACGTGACCACACCTTATTGTGAGGATGACAGTGGGATATGCTAGAAAATGTAATCTCTAGCTTGGCAGAGTCTTCTCCGAAACAACTCTATCATATATAAAGAAAAGATAAAAATTTTATGGTCTGGCACCCATATCTACCCACAACATCTGACCTATGTTTCTTTTGCAGGATTAACTATATTCACATAGATTAAACATTTGCACAATAGGCCCCTCATAGAGCCACTAAATAAAAATTAGTACATGTATCCTAATGTGTGGTTTCTGGAGTCAAACTTGTCTGAACTCACTTCTACACTTGCTGTAAGGGAAGACACATAACTTGTCTGAGCATAAGTGTCCTTATTTATAAGGTGGTGTTAAAAAATAACACCCTTCACATAAGATTGTTGCAAGGGTTAAATCAGAATGTTTGCAAAGCACTTACCATAGTGCCCAGAATAAAGTCATTATTCTCAAATGAGAAAACTAAAAGCAAAGTGAGAATAGCTGTTATGCACAGGATTATACAATTGGGTGCAGCAAGGATGAGAACCCAGATCTTCTGGTTTGCAGCATCATGGCATATTTTCCATTTGGATTTGTGTTTGTGGCATATATCATGAACAGTTTCATTGCTGAGTTACTTCTGAATTTAACTAAAGTAAAACTCACGGATAGAAAAAGGGTTACCAATCTTTGAGCCTGTTTTTCACGTTAGATTGGTCCTCCCCTCCTGCTAGGAACCCTGAACAAGTTTCTTGAACTTTCTTATGTCCAAGCTTCAAAAACTTTGTTCACTAGTACAGGGTTTTTAAAACCTGATGAACCTTCTGCTTCTACTTAATCCCTCAAAGTTAGGGGGACATTAAATCTTGGTTTAATCTCTTCTGGAATAATTATCAATAGTATCCATTGTACTTTTTAAAGGATGCCAGTTCATTAAGTTATTAGTTACAAGATTCCCCTACAAAACCTTTTTATTCCACTCTGGCCAAACTTCCAAAAGGCAGTAGAAAGAAATCCTACCACTTGGTGGTATTTCCCTTCTACCTTTAATCTTGAGCCTAAATTATTGCATTCCCAAGAAACAAGGGAAAACAACCGATTTGTCAATGAACTCTTTCCTATAGATAAGGTCTACTAAGAAAGTTTTCTTGATGTGATTATTCTGTGACTTTGGAAAGAAGTATCATTGACTGCATGAGACTTGTAGGCTTGAAAACCGGAATCATTTTGCCAATTATTAGGGATAACATCTGTTTAGGGAATGCTCATTGTAAGTCATTCTTCTCATAGAGTTTAGAACAAAGCTAATATTCTCATTGCTCTTACACAGGTACCAACAATGGGCTTTTTTTGGGTGGTGGTGGTGACATATGAAACTAAAAGTCATATGAAACTTGAGCAACTCATGGACCTCATTTCCCAAATAGCTCCTTCACTGGCCTTCTCCAGACATTACTTTCCCACATTAGTCCCACCTTTGGGAGAAAGGTTTTCAGCTTTCTTCTAAAAGTATATTTGATATGAAAAGTGTAGTGCGTTGACCTCTTGTATTAATAGCTCTAGTTGATGTTCACTTTAGTCAGACAGTCTCACCTGGAAAAGCTCTGCTGTTCCCTTTTACATACACACATTCTGGCACTCACAGTGTCTTCTTGGAGACAGTTTTGCATAGTTTTTAGACTATTAGGTTTCGTATCATTCATAAATGTCTTATTCTAAGCACAGAATAATTTCTATCTAGGAGACTCTGCTTCAGTAATTGGTAATTAGATAAAACTTATTGTTATCTATTATCTAAAAACTTAACATTTATCAGTATTCAAAAATTGGTTTCAATGAACCTAAAATAGTATCACACAATATTATGGATAAATATATACCATATTAGAGTATATCTTTTAAAATTATTTGCAAGCTTTCTAATATCACTCCCCAGGGCTGCATTTTAAGATTTCATTCATTTCTGTGTGGTGGGGATGGTATTTGCATGTAGAGGCAGAAGGAATAGGATACTATATATACGTCACTGTGTTTGACTATGTGCTTGGGTGTCCATAAACTCCTGTTCCTACTCATGGTGACTGTGCCACATAAAGACAAATATAGCCAAACCAATTTGCCTCAGTTTTTCCCTTGCCACCTTTGATCTAGCTCATTATTCTCTCTTGCACATAGTGATGCTCACTAAAAATAACGTTTGAATTCTCTTCTTAGTGTCTTTCTTTTCTTTTTTCTATGATTCTTCCTTTCAAAACTTAATGGATCAACTAATGCTTTATTCCTTTTTTTGTTTTTTGTTTTGTTTTGTTTTTAGAGACAGTCTTAAGAGCTCCGTTGTCCAGACTGGAGTGTAGTGGCATGAACACAGCTCACTACAGCCTCTACCTCCTAGACTCAAGGGGTCTTCCTGCCTCAGCCTCCTGAGTAGCTGAGACCACAGACACATGCCACCATGCTTGGCTAATTTTTGATTTTTTGGTGGAGATGGGGATCTCACTTTTTTGCCCAGGTTGGCCTGGCTCAAGTGACCCTTCCGCCTTGGCCTCCCAAAGGCTAGATTATAGGAAAGAGCTGTGGCCCCCATTGCTTACATTTATTGAAATTTGTAGGTATTTTAATCAAATTGCAGGCTGTAATTATTCTTAGTGATGTCTAA
Source organism: Homo sapiens (assembly GCF_000001405.40). Lineage (NCBI taxonomy): Eukaryota > Metazoa > Chordata > Mammalia > Primates > Hominidae > Homo > Homo sapiens. The sequence goes on from NC_000006.12 coordinate 50,737,340, forward strand.
CTTTTATTGAATAACAATGGAAAACTTGGAATTACCCACGTTCCATCTACAATAAACATTTGAGTTCAGAATTAAATCTAAGAATAAGGCAAAGAGTAATTTTACTTTTTGATTGATTAATATAAGTTTAAATAAATAATACAAACAAATAGTTCAGGATTCAAAAGTTACAGAAAAGTATTCAGTAAAATACTTCCTTTTCACTCTGTTCCCCAGTCATTCAGTTCCCCTCCCAGAAGAAAACAAATGTTATTAGTTGATCTTTTTCCTTCCAAGGATATATGTGTGTATCTCTTTTATTCATTTTTAAAACAAATTATAGCATTCTGTAGATACTATTTTGCAATCAATTTTTTGAGTTTGTCTTAGTGTTCATTCTTTTTTTTCAGTGCTTACAAGTTGTTTGTTCTTTTAAAAAGTCGTGGTATTTCACTGAATGAATTTATTACAATTTATTTAACCAGTCCTCTTCTGAATATCATTTAGGTGTTTTCAGTCTTTGGCTATTACAAATAGTGGTTCAATGAAGAACCTCAAACTTATATAAATAGTTCCACAGATATGCAAGTACATATCTTCAATAAATGTCTAGGAATGGCGTTGCAGGGTCAAAAAATGATTTGCATTTATAGTTTTGATTGATTATTGGCAGATTCTCCTTAATAGTGGTTGCAAATTTATAATCCTATTAGCAATGAGGGTAAGAAGCATTGACATTATAGTACTTTCCTGTACTCTAAATTAAACAGGAGGCTATCAATTTTTTTATCATTGCTTATTTGATTGACTAAAAAAACCCTCTATTATGAAGGAGATTCAGAATATTCTTGGACTTTTATGAGCTTTTCTATTTACTTATTTTGTATTTATGGAGTAATATTTGTACTTTCGTTATTGATTTGTAAGTTTTCAGTCTCTATTAGGAAAATTGGCTTATTAAATGTTAGTATGTCTTTCATATGACTTACTTTCATTTTTCAGTTGGCTGTTATGGGTTTTTGTTTATTTGCTTTGTTTATTGAGGTCTTTGCATGCAGAACTTTTTTACATTAATATAATTATATTTTCACATTTTATTTCATGGCTTTTAGTTTTAATTGCAACACTGTACAAGGCCTTTTTAATTCCAAGATCATAAAAAATACCATGTTATCTTCTAATTACTATGTGGTTTCATTTTTCTATGTTTAAATCTATGATCCATCTGGACTTTTGTTTCATGGCCAAATGTATGCTACAGATCCAGTTTTATTTGTTTTTTTCCAGGTGGCCACCTTGTTGGCTTAACATTTTCTATTGATAATCCACCTTTTCCCTACTAACTTTAAGTGCAAGCTTCATCTTATATTAAATCACCCTTAACAAATATGCTTTTCCAATAGGCTGAAGTCTTTGTTTCCCTAACAATGCTATCTCTACTTCTACTACCACATTTTCTCTTTTGTCTATAGAGTTCATACCATATTAGCCAAATAAGGGAGATCTCATCATGCAAGAATCCAGCCAGATAGAGGCTCTTATAGTTTCATATTAACTCGCTAGTGGCTGCTTTCCCTTTTGTATAAGTCATAGAATCCTTACATTTTTGGAAGATGTGCAGTTCATCCTCACCTACTGCTTTCTCTTTATCTTAGGACAGTGGTTTCTCAACTCTGGTTTGAGAGAATTACTTTAGGAGCATTCAAAAACTGCAGATGCCCTGGCACCAGAGATTAATTGATACGGGGTGAAACACTTTTTTTTCTATGATACTTTAAGTTCTAGGGTACATGTGCACAACATGCAGGTTTGTTACATATGTATACATGTGCCATGTTGGTGTGCTGCACCCATTAACTCGTCATTTACATTAGGTATATCTCCTAATGCTATCCCTCTCCCCTACCCCCACCCCACGACAGGCCCCAATGTGTGATGTTCCCCACCCTGTGTCCAAGTGTTCTCATTGTTCAATTCCCACCTATGAGTGAGAACATGTGGTGTTTGGTTTTCTGTCCTTGGGATAGTTTGCTCAGAATGATGGTTTCCAGCTACATCCATGTCCCTACAAAGGACATGAACTCATCCTTTTTTATGGCTGCATAGTATTCCATGGTGTATATGTGCCACATTTTTTTAATCCAGTCTATCATTGATGGACATTTGGATTGGTTCCAAGTCTTTGCTATTGGTGAAAAACATTTTTTAAAGCAAATTTCTAGGTTATGGGAGTAGCAAGGGTTGAGAAAGCCTGCCTTCAAGTATAGTCTATTTTATTAAATGGCTCCACTGATAGAGGGATATACTCTATTTTTCTATTTTTCATAGGTTTTTCTGTATATATTTAATTCTTTCTAACAAGTCTCTTTTGCTCTAGTTCTTCCCTATATTCTAGGAGGGGATGCTTCACAAGACTATTGTCATAATTAACATACTGTTAACATAATCTGAAAGCTTTTTCATTTAACAAATGTCTACTGAGTACCTATTGTGAATCAGATGCTGTGCTAAGTGCAGGATATTGAATGGGGAATGAAACTTTCACTTTGAAACACAAAGTGTTGGTGTTTGACAAAAGCAACATCAAACTAGTAAAACTACTATATTATAAGGCACCTCTCCAGGCCATAGATCGTATGATGTATAGAGCTGTAGAATGCATTCCTTTCCGAAGAGTCTGGGAAATCTGTAAGTCAGGGCATCAGATATACTTACTTTGTGCTTCAGCTCCAGGGTTTGCTAAAGCTTGATAGTATAAGAATTTACTTAATTCGCAAATTTGCTTTCTAATAGATAGTTCTTGGAATAATCCCATAGAATTGAATGTGCTATTTCCCTATATGTGAAAATAAAATTCAAATCATAAATATATGACTGGAGTTTAACACATACAAATTGTTATTTTCATTTAATAACATTGGGTTTTGCAACACTAAGTTAAACTCAATTGTTTTTAAGGCAATATTGTTAGAGTGACAGTTGATGAGAATTATCTATTGAATAACAATGTACAAGTACTGCTTAGTAAAAATTAGTGTTAAATATTAATTTTTTAGTTGTGTAAAGTAATTTTTTTAAAAAATACCATAATTTTAAAGAAAGAATTTTGTTTGTTTGTTTGTTTGTTTGTTTTGAGATGTAGTCTCACTTTGTCGCCCAGGCTGGAGTGTAGTGGCACAGTCTCAGCTCACTGCAACTTCCGCCTCCCGAGTTCAAGCAATTCTCTGCCTCAGCCTTCTGAGTAGCTAGGATTGCAGGTGCCCGCCACCACACCCAGCTAAATATTTTTTTTGTATTTTTAATAGAGATGGGGTTTCACCATCTTGGCCAGGCTGGTCTTAAACTCCTGACCTCGTGATCCACTGGGCTTGGCCTCCCAAAGTGCTGGGATTACAGGCATGAGCCACCACACCCGGCCTAAAGAAAGAAAAATTCTTAATGACTGTATAACAGATTGAAAGTCAGGTATATTTATTTTTATTGTTAAAATGCATTTAAACCTGCTTCTTATAAAACTCAGGATCTTGGCACAATGTGCAGTTTTTCCTTAAAAAACATTTTGCCATTAACTTTCTATTTCAGAGCAACATCAATGAATGTCACTTAAATTTTTCCTAATATTTCTTCCTAATTTTTTACTTTTTGCTTTGGAGTGTGGAAAAATGAATTCTCTAAAATCAACGAGCAAATTTATCTTTTACGTTCTTGCTATGTTCTGAAATTTATTTGTGCCTGCTTTTTAAGAGATATGTTTAATATAAGTATTAAATATCTGTATTTAATATAAGTATTTAATATAAGTATTTAATATAAGTATTACTATTGAAAAGATGAATATCCTTCATGGTTTTCACTTTTTTAGTAGGTGGGGTTACTACGTGGCACATACAGCCTAAAGCCTTGCTCTTGGAATACTTTTCTCCAAGCACCAACCTGATCCACCTACACACCCATGTACCCTACTTCTTTTTTTAAACTTTTATTTTAAGTTCAGGGGTACAAATGCAAGTTTGTTACATAGATAAATTTGTGTTGTGGGTGGTGGTTGTGCCAGTTATTTCATCACCCAGGTATTAAGGCTAGTACCCATTGGTTATTTTTCCCGATCTCTCTCCTCCCACTCTCCACCCTCCAGAAGACCCCTGTATGTGTTGCTCCTTTCTATGTGTCCATGTGTTCTCATCATTTAGCCTCCACTTATAAGTGAGGACATGTGGTATTTGATTTTCTGTTCCTGTGTTAGTTTGCTAAGGATGCTGGCCTAAGACCTAAAGACAGAAATACCATTCTATCCTACTTCTAAAATATGTAATTATTGAAATGATATGGAATAAAATGAAGGTATTTCAACTTTAGTGTGTTGCTTCAGTTGTATTAAATTAAAAAAAAAAGGTGCATGGCCAAGTGCTGCAATACATTGAAATAAAGGGATAGCTTAAAGTAGCTCTGAAAAAAAAAAAAAAGAACAAGAACAAGGGTGTTCTACTTCTCTCCCAGGAGTGAGGTGATGGCAGCCATACTTGCTGTTTGGAAATCAAACGGAAAACATCCTGGGGCTTTCCTGGATTGCTCTTTCCACCACAGGTTCTTGCACTTCAGTTCATTGTTCATATAGACATTTTGTGCCACCACAGAGGCAGAGGAGCTCATGGATTTTTATTTTCCCAAATCAGTCAAACTCCTTACAGTCATGTTAATATGCTTTTCTGACTGTAAAATGTCTAGTTTTCTTAAACCTGTTGACTAAGACATCTGTTGTAAAGGACTTAACTATAGATTTGTCATTGTTTCTGAATACCATGTGTATTTTAATTAATGGATGCATTTATTCATTCATTTTTGGGCCCTCACACACAAAGCTTCTGTGGCATGATATACACATTTTAACTACATATCAGAGTGTCTTCACTTGCCACTTCTTTTAATGTAGCATTGCTATACATCCTGTAACAATGTTATATCACAAGCAGGAGAAAGCAGTAAACAGAACTGAGGGAAGGAAGGATCTGGCTGTCAGTGTAAATGTAAATAGCAGCTGTCCCACTCAAACTGTTTTTAAAACTGCCACACGGTGAGAGCTTTGCATAAAATGGGACAGATCCGCAGGAATCAGGTTTTAGCACAAAATTCAAGAGGCGTGCTGCCATCCTCCTGTTTGCCCTGTTTTACCTCTCCCACTATTGTGCAAACAGTAAAGAAAAAGGATTGGATGGATGGATGGATGGATGGGTGGATGGACACATAGACAGACACACATAGATAGATAGATAGATAGATAGATAGATAGATAGATAGATAGATAGATAGATAGATGATAGATAGATAGACTCTGTTAAAATGTTATTTAAATATCTGTTTTGGTGTGAACAATAACAATGTGCAGCTATATTAATACATGTAACTTGACTTGCTGTACAAAGATGATGCCACTGATGGTATTATCCTGTTAGTTACAAGATACTTTTGAAGCCTAAGGTCCACATGAGTTTATCCTCTGGTCAGGTGCTGTAGCATTATTTGATGGGTCAAGGTTTAAAACATTTTTACTTCCAAATTTGAAACTTCTCAAATAATCTCCCTTCTATCATTTTTCAAGCAATAGTGAGTGTCCTGTATGGCATAACAACGACTTTAAAACACACACACACACACACACACACACACACACACACACACATCTTTGTGCCATTTCTTCTGCCAAATATTCACATATTTTCTTACCTTAAACTGTGACCCCCCATTAAACTAGCACTATTCAGATTAATATAGAGATCCCTTCCATTTAGTTACATCATCTCTCTATTTAAAATAGAAGAAAAAACAATGATGTTTTCCACCACACAGATATTAAAATTGCAACTAAAGACGTGCCATTGCTCATGTGAAATATGTGTGGAGAGGGGCATGATCAGAATTTACAAAACATTAACCGCACTAATATGTTTGCTTATTGCAATACCTTTTATATTAAACTAGACTTTTTTGCTAAGGCCTAGAACAGGAGGTCTCACCTTGTGAGAATGAAAAAAATAGTATATTTTGTTTTGTTTTGTTTTGTTTTGTTTTGTTTTGTTTTGTTTGGAGACAGAGTCTTACTCTGTCACGCAGGCTGGAGTGCAGTAGTGTAATTACGGCTCACTACAGTCTCAACTTCATGGTGTCAAGCAATCCTCCGGCCTCAGACTCCTGAGTGGCTAGGGACTGCAGGCATGCACCACCACATCTGACTAATTTTTAAATTTTTGTAGAGATGATGGGGTCTTTCTATGTTGCCCAGGCTGGTCTTGAACTCCTGGGCTCAAGGGGTTCTCCCGCTTCTGCCTCCCAAAGTGCTAGCATCTTTACTAAGGATATTTTCATTGATATTAACTGTTCTCTTTTGTATATTTTGTATATCTATAAACTTTCCCTCCCTTTTCTTCATATTATCAGCTATTTCATTTTTTCCTGGTACTTGTAATATAATATCTTGTATTATATACTGTCACCATAATAACAACAAACATGAAAAGATTATAGGTAATATTCATATAGGTGCAATAAAAATTACAAAGTGCTACTAAGATACTTGTTGTTGTTGCTACTATTATTGTTATGACTATCATTTTCCTGGAGACAGGCAATCTTTGGTACTCTTTTATAGTCCCCATTACTTCTACCTAGCACTGTGCCTTGAATAAGGTAGGTGAGTAGATGCTTAGTATTAACAGATACACAGTACAAACTTGATTTTATTTTTAACTTTTAGGTTCAGGGGTGCATGTGCAGGTTTTAATATAGGTAAACTGTGTCATGGGGGTTTGGTGTACAGATTATTTCATCACCCAGGTAATAAGCATACTACACAATAGATATTTTTTCTGATTCTCTCCACCCTCCTACTTTTTACCCTCAAGTAGGTCCCAGTGTCTGTTGTTCCTCTCTTTGTGTCCATGTGTTCTCATTGTTAAGCTCCCACTTATAAGTAAGAACATGCAGTATTCGGTTTTCTGTTCCTGTGGTAGTTTACTTAGGATAATGGCCTCCAGCTACTTTTGCAAAGAACATGATCTCATTCTGTTTCTGGCTGCATAGTGTTCCATGGTATATATGTACTACATTTGTTTAGAAAACTTGATTTTTTAAATAAAAGTTTAGTGGACAGGTAAGATTTGCCTTGACTGAGCTTTAAAAATAACATTGTTTTCCAGATTGATTTTCATCACTTAATTTTACTTTGCTGGGAAGCCATTCGTACCCCATTTCTTAAAAATTTACTTGGGTTTAGGATTTTGTGAAAGAACAAAGTTATTCATGATTTTCCAAAGTTCTCCGACTTCCTCGAAAAGTTATATGGACCCTTCGCAGGTATTTTAATAGGTCTCATGGAAAAAACATCTGAATAGTTTAGACACACTAAGAATAGGTTGTAGGCTCAGCAGCCACAAAATGACTTGTCCATGGGGCCATTTTGCTTGGGAATCATGTGTAAAACCTAGGAAGTCAGTCTGGTCTAATGGCCAGAGCCATGAGGGGAATCAACACTTCTGGATTGTGTTTCTGTTTTTTTCCCCTCAATTTTCCACCTATCCCTGCCTGCTAAGTCACTTCTCTGTTCCTCAATTTCCCCTCATTCTTCCTCATTACCTCCCCTCCTCCCCCCAAAAAGGTCTTTTTTCTTGAATAGTTTAAGTAGGAAAAATGATTTGTCTGACCACAGCCAGGAGTGAGGCTTGAGCAAAATGCAAGACACTACTGTTATTAAGGTTGGATACTGGTGAGAAACTCACTTGTGTTATCTGCCAACAGGGGAGGCTTTGCACTTGGCTCGGGATTTTGGCTACACTTGTGAAACAGAGTTTCCAGCCAAAGCAGTAGGAGAACATCTTGCCAGACAACATATGGAACAGAAAGAACAGACAGCAAGAAAAAAGATGATCCTGGCGACCAAGTAAGCAGAATGGGGAAACCTCTGTGTGCTTTCATCTTCAGTATTTTTTTTTCATTTTCTTTGAAATGAGGAAAACAGTCTAGAAGGCACCCGTTCTCTAAAACAAGGAAGGTCTCACACACAAGCAGCTAGATATATTAAACAAGGACTTTCTACCCTTTGGTGCCCAGGCAAGGTTTACAAACTGCCCTTGATTAGTGATAAGGCTGTCATTGAAACTGATGAAAGTTCTTGGAAAACTTCTCCAGAATATGCAGAAATCCCTTGGAGAAAAACATGTTTAGGAAATGTAGATCCCAGGCAAATATGTCTTTGGTTGCTATGTAATTTGGTCTAAGGCACTCATTTTGCCTTAATAAATGAGGGTAAAATCTCAAAACACCATAAATGTTTGGGGAATGTGACAGAAGATGAGGTCACACGTTGGTGAGAGGTACCAGGGAGACCTCTGGGACCAAGGATCACCATGAGTGTCCCCATCCTCTCTTGTGTATGAGTAAGTAAATCATCCTTGTACTGCCTCATAGTGTTATTGTCTTTTTTTTTTAAGGTATAATGTATTTCAAAGCTTCTGGAAATTGTAAAAAGCCCAATTAAAATGCAAATTAAAATAATGAGGAAAACGATGTAGACAAATTTGACAATACAATAGGAAAGGGGGAAGCTTGCATAAGATGACTTATAAATTCCTTGACACTTGAAAGTTCGTCGATAATTAGTGGGAATACTACCATTTATTGTGTAAAAATCCAGCAGAACCGCAGATAGCACTGCAGGTTACGTTCAAAAGTTTTAGAGGAAAATCCTTCTGGTAGTAACCAATTCTTGTTATCCTCTCATTATTGAAATAAGTTATTGATACATATAGGCCATTAAGAATCTTAAATAATTTTTAATTCTATATTAAGATTTTAGAACTGATAGTTTCAGCTGGTTAAACTGTCATTTATGAACTAATTTTTTATTCAGGGAAAAGTATTTTGTTTGTTTGTTTGTTTGTTTGTTTGAGACAGAGTCTCACTCTGTCACCCAGACTGGAGTACAGTGGTGCGATCATGGCTCACTACAGACTCACCCTCCCCAGGTTCATGTGATCCTCCCACCTCAGCCTCCCGAGTAGCTGAGACTACAGGCATGAGCCAGCACACCCACCTGGTTTTTGTATTTTTTATAAAGATGCATTTTTGCCATGTTGCCCAGGCTGGTCTCAAACTCCTGGGTTCAAGCAATCTGCACTCCTTGGCCTCCCAAAGGGCTAGGATTACAGGCATCAGCCACTATGCCCAGCCTTAGGGAAAACTTTTTAAGAGAAAATCTAGGGCAGAGAGTATTAAAAACATCACTTCTTAGAAACTGATAACAAGTAATTATTTAATGCCTTTACAACATACTGGCTGAGATTTAAATTGGCTCAAAATGCATAAAACCAAAACTAAATATTCTCTTTTCTACCAGCTTCTTATGTAACATAGGACTTTTTACAAATTTAAGGAGTATATGGGATACTTGCCATCTCACAGGTTTGTCCAAGACACTTGAGTCCCTTAATTGAAGTTTACACACTTGCTGTGGCTGGCACTGTTTGGACTTAGGATTATATTTATCTATTGCTGTTCTGAAAGTACTAGATTATCTCATCTTGTCCCAAAGAGAAGAAAAGCAAAAGTTGGTGGCAGAAGGAATAGAGAAAAAGCAAAACAAGATTAAGAGGAAGGGAATAGCAGAAAGAGAGTATGAAGATCAAGAGATAGAGAAAGAAACTTATAAGGCAGGTATAAAAGTTGGACTTAAAATCTGGGAATAAATTTTGTGAAGTGGAAGCCCCTGAAAACTTGCTAGTAGAAAAGACCTAAATCTGAACCTTTTGCATATTTTGTCTTCTGGGAGTCTTTATCTTTACCATGTACTCATTTCCTTTTCCAAATAACTTATTGACTAAATTTTTTTTCCAAATAATTTCAGTCATATTTCAGTTTCTCCAAAAGGAGCTGAAAGCACATATAGTTAGTTTGAATCCTTTGCATTACCGTAGGAGAAAGATAAAGACTTGTTACAGATCAAGAGAATTATACAGTACTAGAATTTAGGTAATATCTCCCAGGTGTTTCCATAGCATATCATCCTAGCTGGCAGGATCATGCAGGTTTACCAATGCACATATCCATGTGAATTTTACTGTTGTCCCAAAATACAAATTTCCAAGAGAAAGCACCTTCATTTTTCCTACATCAAAATGACTTGGTTGTGGTTTTATCATGCATATTCAAAGACCTTCACTCCTTAATCCAGAGAAACACTTCATCTTGTCCTCCTTCCCCCAGGAATGGTTTTGGAAGTATTCACCACTACCATCATCAATGCAATAAATACAATTCCTATTTTCTTGGAGATTCCCATCATTCTGTTGAAGTGTGCAGCAGTCTCCAAGCACATTCAAATTGGCACCGAGATTGTGTTTTAATAGAAGTAAATGCTAGAAGAATTTGCGGGAGAAATGCTAGAAGAAATGCATCCATATTTGTCAAAATTATACTGAGACATCTATTTTCGGGTAGCGTATTTGACCAGGTAGTAGTATTTTCCTTTTACCTGGGATCTAAGTAACATACATTATTTTAGGTGATATTTTGAACTTTGATTTCATTAAACATTGTGAGAACATGTAATTTTATTTTATCTGTCTGCTCATAGCTGCACATTTGCAGACCATTAAATGTCAAGCAAGAATTGAATCCACTCATTTCAATTAACTTATCTTACAGAAGAGTAAATAGGAATAAACACCTGAAAATTATAATACAGCTTTATAATTTTTTATTTTTGTTACTTATATGCATCCTATCTTCTTATTGGACTATGTGAAATAAAAATCAGAGACTCCAGTCATAGCAAACATACGTAATATAACCAGTAATCACTATAACTAGATAAACTAGGGAATGTGTGGAAATAATACCCTTTTTGTGCAACATATGAATGGACCCAACATGTGTTCTGAGAAGTTTCTAATTTTACACCAATGGTAAAGCATGAGGTATTTTCATCAATTAAAATGGTAAAAGTTAATATTAAGTAGCCTATATGGATATTCATTACATCCTGGTCAGTTCACCTTTATTCATAAGACTTGGACAACATTATAAAAAATATATATGAAATCTAAAATTTATTGAATGAGAGATCCAATTGCTAATCTACATTGTCAGATTGGCCTACATATTTCTTTTTTACCTCCATGGATTACAGATTCAGTTGTCTTTAAGTATATTGCCAAGTATACAATTGTATAAAGGGCCTATTAATTAAGTGTCATTAGTCTTCTCATGCCACCTTATTTCCAGTGTTTTGTTGATTAAATATTTTGTGTAATTTAGACATTTATTTAGGCGAAAGAATAGAAACTGAAACATTTTTTGAATTCTAAAAATGAATCAGACAAAACGTGTTTATTTGGTTAATAGAAAACATATTTAAACCTTTTGATTGAATTTAGAACTAAATATGTCTAACATTTGATCTGCATTAAGGTAAAGCAGAATAGTTAACAACTTTTAGTGTTACCATACTGTTAATCATCTAAGGGTGAAACATAGAATTTGGATTTCAGACATCAGCTAAAAACTTACGTCCTTAAGGACAATGATGTAAGTGATAAAGTTAGAATGTATGATTCACTGAAGATCATCTTGTGTTACATAATTCATAATATGACATTTTGCCTTGAGATGTAAGATTGTTTCTTTTTGTAGATTTATAAATAAAAAATTAAATAAGAAGGAAAGTAGTCATAAAATCATAATTCTGTAAGTGCCATAATGAGATGATGATGATAATTGCCTACAGGGAATCTACAGGATTGTCATCTGTTTTCAAGTCTAAGCTTGAAAGTGAGTGAGTTAAGCTGTAGAATTAAATATAAAAGGGGGAGATATAATATAATATAATATTACTCCTGGTAGATCCTCCTGTGTGAATTATTTAGCATGAGTTAAATTTTTCCACCTCTTTAGCTTTCTCTAATTTCTTCGTCAATTTTATTATAACTTGCTGTATTATTCATACAGGAACAAAGTTGATTTGTCAACTTAAAAGTTTATTCCATTATCCAATTAATTCTGATATTATGCCACAATAACTAATGTTTCAATCTTTATTTTAATGTTTTAAAATTTATTTTAATCTGATAGAAAAACTAAAAGACTGCTAAAAACAAAAGTCTAAAAACAACACCAATCTTTCTTTGTAAGAATGGATCGTAATGATGACCTACCATACAGTAATTTGGAAATGATAGCATGAGGCTAAATTTAAAATTTTAGTTAGAAATTTCCATAAACAAAGACAACAAATCTATATTAAATAACACAAAGCACAAAAGATTATGATATACTCCTCAAAATGGCACCAAACACTTAGATTAAGTTGCATTCATTGATTAAAATATGGGCAATACACCTGAAAACAGGTATATTTCATAAAGCAACTGAGTCTCACAACAGAAAATGTGAGGAGTTCAGAAGAAACTGTCTGAATGAAAGTAGAAACACACAGTTGTTAAAAGCATGTATTCAGATGCTGTATCTCAGAGATCCAACTGGCCCTTTAGGAAGGGGATGTGAAGTATCTTATTTCACTGAAGCAGATAAGGACTTTGTTTTTCCTATCTCTGACTCCTTTTTACTTTCACCTGTGTTCTGCAAACATGAATAAGGCAATTTCTGTGAAATGACACAATATTTGAACACTGGCATTAAACCAGACCCTCATTGTTCATTTAAAATATCATAAGTGATCTTTGATGGAATTCAATAAATTTTAGATACCTGATTAAGAAGTCCCCACTGATTTTTAACTCAGTGATCAATTATTTGTACTTCAAGATATTTTGTCACTTTTTGGTAGTCATTTGTTGATGACACAAATGCCTTGCAGCAGAATAATGGCCGGGTTCATATTCACTTGAAATAATTTGACACTTCTATACCTGTCTTTGTTTACATTGATAATCAAAGTCAGGGCTACATTATTACATTTTTGCGACTGCCCATTGTAAAAACAGACAAAAAACCTAATTACTGTCATATTATCCCTTGATTTATGGAGTCACCTCACTTTAGATGATGGATGTTTTTAAGCAATTCTTTGGCAATCCTTTACTTTTCAGAGACTGGACTAATTTAGTGTTTTGTTGTTAAAATACAAAAACAAAAACAATATCTCTTTGTATAGTGTATTCTGCTTCTTTAGAATTATATCATTTGGAGTGTACATCACAAAGTCTTTACTGTTACATTGTAACACTGTAATTAAACTGAAACCAATGACCAAAAACCATAACCATTTAAAGCAAAGAAATGCAGCAGAAAAGTTACCTTGAGGGTAATTTTTGCAAGAAATTGGCTTACATGGAACATAATATAACCATTTTTTGTGAGGCTAGTGAACTAAATTACTGGTGATTATCTGCTTCAAATATTAGCATATAAAGTTAGCTCATAAGAATATGAACTCTAATGCAATATTGGGAAAAAAGGATTTTCCAAAGTCTGTTTGAATAATGGCTCTGAAGTAAGACTGTAACTTTAATTAAATTTGTTTACAGATATTATGTCTTAAAAAATCACATTTCAATTAAAAAGATCATAGTGATCATTTCATATGGGGTTCCCCTTATCCTGAGGTTAATTTATGAATAGTCATCTTAAAAATAAACATTGGTCTTATCAGTGCTCATGGATTGTTATTTGTTTGAAATGTTGTATGATTATCCTATAGCCGTTGAGAGCAAAGTCACCATTATGAAACTCAACTGTATGCTATGAATGGAACTTTTGAGGTTGCTTTATGAAATGTTATCTAGACTTCTTTTAAAAGAGAGAACAAGCCTTTGGTTAAATATCATGGGATGAAATTAAAGCTCAATTTGAAAATTTCAATTTTAAATTTGATTCTTTTATTTTAGACAAATCTGTAAAGAATTCCAAGACCTCTTGAGCCAAGATAGATCACCACTGGGATCCTCCAGACCCACTCCAATTCTAGACCTTGACATCCAGAGACATTTAACACATTTCAGGTAAGACTGGTTTTCCAGTTTGCTCAAATTCTTTACTAACCCAGATGCTTGTATTCCTATCACAGTTCTATTTAGAGATACCACTTATATGTTTATATGGTGACTGTCCTAGTCCTTTCAGATGGGCTATAACAAAATACCTTAGACTGGGTAATTTATAAACAACAGAAATATATTTTTTACAGTTTGGAGGCCTGGGAAGTCTGAGATTAAGGTGCCGGCAGAGTTAATTAGACAAAGGCTTGCTCTTTGCTTCAGAGATGGCACCGTCTCCATTTTCTCCCACATGATGAAAGGGCCAAACAAGATCCCCTGGGCTCTTTTATAAGGGCACTAATCCTATTCATGAGGGTTCTGCCCTCATAAGCTAATCACCTCCTAAAGACTCTATTTAATACTATTGCATTGGAGATTAGGTTTCAGTATATGAATTTGGAGTGGGGTGGAGGGGACACACATATTCAACCATAGCAGTGATTGACTGAATTTTTTAAAATTCCAAGCTTGTAAAATCAAATTGAGAGAATAACAATGCATGAAGCATTTTAGATTGGAAAATTTTATATCTTTATGCATTGTTAGGAAATCATTACTTTACAAAAATGAACAATATTATTTCAAATAATACTTAGCACTTTTGGATGAGGGTTCTGAAATCTTTTAAATTGTTTTTTATCTTGGTGACACAATTGTTTAATGGAAAGATGCCGTGACAGAAATTAACAGGATATCACTGACTGGTTTTCCAGAAGTATGTTAAAAATTTTGATGCAATTAGAAACTGCAAATGGTTCTTAAGTTAGACCACACAAGAGCATGAAATGTATTATTGGAGTCATATGTAACTAGCCTGCACATTGTGCACATGTACCCTAAAACTTAAAGTATAATAATAATAAAATTTAAAAAAGAAATGTATTATTGGAAGCATATTTTAAATTTCATTTTCTGATGTGTTTTTGGAATGAAGAAAATATTTATCTGGTTAGTTTGTGCCCCATATGGAAGTGAGAAAGAACATGTAATTACTCAGGTGCCTTACATTTTTAAAACTCTAGAATTTTAATGCCTACATGATAGGCATATTGTATCCTTTCTAAGTTATTATCATTTAGTTAAACAATGATAAGGAAAGACTAATACACATTAAATATTAAAATGCTTTCAATACCTGTCAAAAATTGTAAAGCTGTTGAGGAGGGCACTTCATTATATAAAATAACAAGTGTTTAAATAAGTTGAAATTTAGGCTGCAACATCAGAGACTGTTAAATAGAATATTCTATTTTACAATATGTCACAAGTTTCCTCAAGATGTAATAGACACACATCTCTGAAGACTCAACTTAGGATTTATCTTCCAAAAATGCACAAAATGTAGGATATATTTCACAGGACTTCTCTCCTATCACTCAACTGAGCTAGTGATAGAAGTGTAATAAAACTGGGGGAAAATAAAAAGCCCAGATGCTATGAGCAAAAGGTTTTGGAGTCAAAACCTTTTCAAATCCTTGTATCTGTGAGCCCTTATATATGTAAGCTGGGTTGTTTGGGGTAACTTACCCACTCATTCCAAACCTTTATTTCCTCAGCTTCAAATGGGATAAGAGCCCCTTCATTATATGGTCATAGGTGAGCTAAAATGAGATAAAGAATGTAAAGGAAGCATTTAGTAAATGACGTATCATTTACCTTCACCACCGATCCAAGTTTAAATTTGTCTCCAGCATTACATCTACACAAATATTTTTCACATTTTTGTTTGTGCGCATAATAAAAGGATTTATAATTTTTACAAAAGATCAACTCAGAACTTAATTTTCATTGAGGTTTGATTCCGGATTTAAAGAAGTGTGTTAAATGACAATTTTACTCTGAGAAGGAGCATACTATTAAAGTACAGAGAAATGAGACTCTGTCATGTATGCTAGATTATTTCCAATTACAGATGCTGAGGCCTTCATCAGATAGTAAGCCATCCTTTTTATGCTCAAAACAAAATAGAGCACCAGTCAAACATCAGCTACAGTGTGAAATAAATAGGCAAAACATTTGTTTCCTTAGCATAGGCACAACTTGCTGATTTGTCAATACATTAGTCAGTTGCCAACTTAGTGCCACAGAACTCTTTAGAGAAAACTCACTTCAAAACATGAGCTGAGCATTTTCTTTGTGGGCTTTATATGCTCTTATTTACCTCCCCATACAGAATATGGGAACAAGCTGGTGTTACTCAGAGTGCAGCTAAATATATGGTAAATGGCCACCCTCACCCCTAGTGAAAAAGAAAGTGAGATTATATTGGAGGTATAAAACTCACAAGATTATATATGGCTTCAGTTTCTTAATCACAATTTCATGCATAACCATATCTTAAAACTTTCTAACACTATATATTTACTTACAATAGTATCATCTATAAAATGTTGATATTATTTATATATTGAATATTTTGAATATTAGAAAGTTATGATTTCCCATTTATTATGATTTTTAAATGTTTGCCAGAATTGTTATTTTTCTTTAATTGTAGTCAAAATTATTTATGTAGATAAAATCTTCTGATTTCATACCAAAAGTAGTAGGATGATACAAATCGCATAACCAAAGATTTCTTTATAGCAAATTTCCTACTATATCTTTTTCTTAAACTGTGATTAAAAATACATAACATAAAATTTGCCATCTTAACCATTTCTAATCAATTCTGTAGTGTCAAGCATATTCTCATTGTTGTATAACCAATCTCCACAACTTTTTTATTTTGTAAAACTGCCTCTGTACCCATTAAACAACTCCCATTCTTCTCCTCTCCCCAGCCTCTGTCAACTACCATTCTGTTTTGTGTTTCTGTGAATTTAACTACCCTAGACATCTCATATAAGAAGAATCATACAGTATTTGCCTTTTTGTAACTGGCTTATTTCACTTAGTGTAATGTCTTCCATGTTCATCCATGTCATAGCATGTGTCAAAATTTTCTTCCTTTTAAGGATGCACAATATTTCTGTGTGTGTGTATGTGTGTGTGTGTGTGTAAGTGTGTATGTGCCTATATATGCCACATTTTATCGATTCATTCATTGATGGCAATTGGGTTGCATCCACTTCTTGACTATCATGACTAGTGCTGCTATGAACATGGGTGTGAAAATATCTCTTCAAAATCCTGGTTTCAGTTCTTTTGGATATACACCCAGAAGTCAAATTGCTGGATGATATGGAAATTTTATTTGTCATTTTTTGAGGGCCTATTCTACCATTTTCCATAGCAGCTATACCATTTTACATTTTCACAATAATGTACGGGGTGTCTATTTCTCCATATCTTCACCAAATAGTAGCCATCCTAATGGGTATGAGGTGATATTTCATTGTTGATTTGCACTTCTCTAATGATTAGTGATGTTGAACATCTTTTCATATGCTTCTTAGCCATTTCTACATCATCTTTGAAAAAATGTTTAAGTTCTTTGCCCACTTTTTGACCAGGTTATTTTTTTTTATTAAGCTGGAGGTTTTTATATAGTCTAGATAGTAACCTCTTCTTAGATGTATAATTTGCAAATTTTTTCCATTCTGTACATTTCTTTATTAGTCTGTTGATTGTGTCTTTGGTACATAGTTTTAAATTTTGATGTCGTTTAATTTGTTTATTTTTTACCTTTGTTGCCTGTGCTTTTGGTGTCAAATCCAGGAAATCTTTGTTAAATACAATGCAGTAAAGCTTTCCTGTATTTTTTCTTCTAACAGTTTTACAGCCGTATGTCTTGTTTTGGTCTTTGATTCATTTTGAGTTAATTTTTGTTTATGTTGCAAGGTGAGGGTCCAAGTTCATTCCATTGCATGTCTTAAATTTTATCATTTTAAACAAAAGATACATGATTGGCATTTCCAATTGAAACCCAAAGTGAAGGTTCCTGATGTAGACTGAATTTAAATGTGTGTAATTTCTTTACTGCACATTTATTTAAAAAGGCATCAACAGAATATGTTAACAATAGGATAGCAAAAGTCAGCTTGTTGCTTAGCCTTGAAATATACTCTGCTCTTTACAAGTATATTTCTTAAACCTGGCTTTATATCAGAATCGCTCTTGAAACTGTAAAAAAAAAAAAAAAACTCAAGGATTGGAGGACATATTTAATATTTAAAGATTTGATTCAGTAGTTCTAGGGCTGGACTCAGGTATCTATGTTATTTTTAAAACTCTCAAGTTGATTCTGATAGGTAGGTTTAAGAACCACAGTTCTACGATATTCCGTAACTATAAGCTTTTTTTCCCCCTTTGGGAGAAGAAAAACTCCAATTCCTTTTTAAAGTGTTACTGAGAATTCTATCAAGTTTTGTATTGTATACTAATATATTAAAAACATTCTACTGGGAGCCCGAGGTGAAAGGATCACTTGAGGCCAAGACTTCAAGACCAGGCTGTGCAACATAAAGAGACTCCATCTCTACCAAAAGTTTTAAAATTAAAAATAAAAATATTCTACATTGATGATTCTACTAATAATCTGGGTAAACATGTGTTAGCATACAGCATGTCTTTTTTATTTTTATTTTATTTTATTTTTTGTGAGAGAGGTTCTCAATCTGTTACCTAGGTTGGAGTGCAGTGGCTCAATCATGTCTCACGTACCCTAGACTTCCTGGACTCAGGTGATTCTTGAGACTACAGGCATGTGCCACCATGCTTGGCTATGTTTTTGTATTTTTTATAGAGATAGGGTTTCACCATGTTGCCCAGGCTTGTTTCAGCTTTGTAGGCTCAAGCAGTCTGCCCACCTTGGCCTCCTAAAGTGCTGGATTACAGGCATGTGAGCAACTGTACCAGGCCGAGTGTGTCCCTTTTAAAATTTTCCGCTGACAGTGACAACTGTAATTTCGATAGAACCATTAGCTCAAGAGAAAGATGAATTACGAAGGAGACATATCACATCTGACTTTGAAAGCAGACAATTGTCAGAGTGTGATTTTCCACCATTTTTACTGAATGCTGGCTGGGAAAGAAGTGAAGAGGGAGTGTAATTAGATAGGCATAAAGAATACTCTAATTAACACCATCAACTTGTGTTACTATTCTATTTAGTTAAACCTCCTTCCTAATGCAGACCACTTAAAAGTATACCTTATAGGTTGGCTGATTTGGTGCCTTGAGAACTGTGGCTTACTTTCAGCAGATTTAATATGTCCAGACAAAGCACAAATAACTACTTCTAGTTTTCCATGGCAGTTGACATATCAGTGTGTTCTGGGAAGCCGTATGCATAGCAGTGACCCTTCTCACAATTCACAGCCTGGAAAGCTTCTTGTTTCCATCAAAATGACAGAAGGCAGACTTATTCATTATTTATAATTTACTGAGTACCATCAACAGTGTGTATTGTTGTAGAGAACACAGCAGACACCACAACACAAACGAGAAGGGGGAAAAGATTTGATTGACATCTGCAGAAGACCCCATAGACTCACAGTTCCTGGGAATAGTGGTGGCATTAGAACAAGGTGGCATGGGGTTTCACGGTCAGAGTAGCCTCAGCTCAGATGGAAACCCAGAGCCCTAACTTTTTTGAAATGTTAGGAATTCCCCTCTTTGAGATTTCAGGAAATCTTAAAATTTTCCCCTGTTGGTCTCTTATGTTCTCATAATCTCCTTGAATCTGAAGTCAAGCAAAAGCACATTTGACAGTGTAGTAAGAAATTAGACTATCTTGAAGGCTCAGTCCAGGGAAGACACCCTGTCCAAAAGATGAGAAAACTTTTTTTCTCAGCATGTACCTTGGGAGGCTGAAGTTTTGTTGTTTGCGTTATTTCTAGTAGAATTATTATTTATTGTTTCTACTATGTTAATGGCAGGTAGTGAAAAGATGACTAGAGGATTATCCCATTCTTTAGAACTTCTAAAGTGGAGAATAATTATATATATAATTATTCTATATATACAGAATATGTATATCTCTCTATATAGATATTCTCTATATTCTCTATATTCTCTATAGATATATATATCTATATAGAGAATATATGTAATTATTCTATATATAGAATACATGTAATTATTCTATATATAGAATATATAATTATTCTCTCTATATAGAATATATATAGAATATATATACTTATTCTATATATATATAATATATATAATTATTCTATATATATATAATATATATAATTATTCTATATATAGAATACATATAATTATTCTATATATATAGAATACATATAATTATTCTATATATATAGAATATATATAATTATTCTATATATATAGAATATATATAATTATTCTATATATATAGAATATATATAATTATTCTATATATATAGAATATATATAATTATTCTATATATATAGAATATATATAATTATTCTATATATATAGAATATATATAATTATTCTATATATAGAATATATATAATTATTCTATATATATAGAATATATATAATTATTCTATATATATAGAATATATATAATTATATATATAGAATATATATAATTATATATATAAATATATAAACTTATAATATACAAGAGTGATGCTACAATAGAAGATTAAGCATACTGGTAATTTTTCCTGGGGAAATAAGGAAATTTCATCTTTTTATCCATAGTACATAGCGAATAGTATGTATGCAATAAATATATGTAAATAAATGTAGATTATAATAATATCTCAATTGGGTCCTGTGTATATTCTCCACTGGTTCATTCTCAGGGCCATGATGTTTTAATTGGACGATGGACTAGGGAAGTAAAATGATCAATGTGCTTAATTCTCCTATTTAACTCATAAATTATCCTGACAGCCTACCTTCTTAGAAATATACCCTCTTACTACTGCCTTGGGAAATAAGGAATGTATAGACAGTCCCAGACATTTGTGTGCTTGCTGGTGATTAAATTTTCTTCATTGATTCTCAGTGTTGGAAGGCCCCTAACATTTCCTACTCTCCTTCAATATTTAGACCTTCTCTCCAACGTCTCTGTCAAGTTATCATCCATCTCAAGCTTGGAAACTCTCAATAATAGACTGCTCTCTATCTTTGACAACTCTATTAGAAATGCCTTCCTTCCATTTCCCAATGTCCCACTTCTTGTGGGCTTTACAGAGTTACTTTCATCCTGGTTCCCTCCCACTTTCTAAAGGCAGTTCTCATGTCTTCCCTAGTTTTCTCTTCAAGGGTTATTCATTCCCATTTCCTTCAGGGTTCCACATGTGACATGCCTTACAGTCAACTCAACTGGTATTTTCTGATTGCTCTATTCTTGGCAACACGCTGAAGAGCAGATATTTGTCTCTACTTAAATGTGAGCATGTTTAGTTTTCTCCAAGAAGCCTAAAGTGTGCATAGTTTTTGTTTTTTGTTTTTATTTTGTTAAATTTTCTTGAGATGGAAAAGTGGCTGGGAAGGTCATCAACGGCGGGCAGTTTTCTTCACCAAGCATTCTTTAGTGTGAGAAAAGAAACAATGAAATTTCAATTAAATCTGTAATCTCAAAAGCAAGGGTTAGCAGATATGAGTTAGGGGAGATCTTCCTTGCTAAAACTGGATTTTTACAAGGAAATGCAAAGATGGGCCTAGGAGAAGGTTCAGAAGCCTGCCTAAAGTTTACTCAAGCAATGAATCTTTGTCAGGAGACACATACATTAAAGCATCCATGGCAGGGCTTTTGATGAATTTTTATGGATTTTTAGATTTAGCACATAAGAGACTAGTGGTTAAAACAATAGAAGCCAGAGGTAATTGTTTCTAATTAAAAGTTGCAAACATGACCCTGTAATAACTACATGTGTGAATAATTGGCTTTGGGGAACACATACATTGTGGAAGAGTTTGGTTAATTTTTATTTAAATATTGTCTATCTTTGTTGAGCTATTGACTGGAGAGAAATCCACAGAGAGACAATATGGCATGGTGGGAAGCACTTGGAATTAATTGTCAGGGGATCTAACTCAGTCTCCACTTGGTTACCAGCTAGATGTGTGGATTTAGAATAGGCATTGCACCCGTGTGACCTCTGCATGTTCATGAGTCAATGCAGTTAAGCTGGGTGATCTCTAAGGTTCTTTTTAGACCAATAATATTTTACTCCATTCTGAATTTACTGATTCATTTTAAATCATTACTTATGCTGAGTTTCTATATCATCTCATATCTGCTTTTTATGTTTTCTCAACTTGCTCATCTTAAAACATCAACAGTTCGATAAAATTCATTTTAAAAAGCTTAGCATTTTCATTCCTCTATTCCAAACAGAAAATACATCTGATAGGGAGAAATGTAACAAGATGGTTAATGTACCCCTATAAAAATCTCCATTCTCATATGTAAAAATTATGGTGCAGGCATCAAATGTTATCACTTTCAAGAAGCTGACTTGGATGTAATTGATTGTAGTCTCTTCTAATGTATGTGCAATGATTTTTATTTTAGCCTGCTTTGCTAATGAGCTGAACTGAGGTAAAATGGAGTCACAAGGACCCATTCATTCCCCTTTGGGACCTCAAAGTAAGTGGCTGAGGAGAACAGAAGGAATGTGACTTTAGGGCAGTGGATGAGCACACATCTCCCAATCTGACAGAGATTCAGGGTAGTCATAAACATACTTCCCCAAATTGAGTTTCATAGAGCACTAGTCAGTCCTATGAGATGCTCTCTGAAAGCGTTTCATGGCCAAGTGTTTTTTTGGTTAAAGAAACCCTAATTATTATACCTATCTTGAAGTATGACAATGCATATTGGCATACCAAAGACTCCCAGAACCCTTTTTGAAAGGAGGTAATACCTAGCCACAGTTTCTAAAACTTGATCATGAAAACTGTTTTTAAATCTCAGAGTACATATTAACATTACATAAAACTAAGATTCCGCAGAAGGTCTTGTGGGAAATGCTGCAGAAGTTTATCATCCTCTTTTTCCCAAGGAGGAATGCAGACATAATAGTTAGGCATTATTTCTTGGTTGTAAGGAGACATACTGATTTTTTTCTCTGCATTTAAATGGAATGAGGGTTGTTTAAAAAATACTGATGCTTTGGATTCATCCCAAACCAATTAAATCAGGGTCTTTGGGGTGGGACACATACATTACTATTTTTGAAATAAGCTTTGTGAGTGATTTCTTCTATGCATCTAGGGTTGAGAACCACCAACTGAAGAAACCACAGAACATTTGAGAGTGTTGTCAAGGTTTTGCTTAATGAGTTGATGTCAATGATTCTTCACCACCAGAGAACTAGATACTTTAATTGTGTATCTTAATTAAATTCCATTTTAAAAGTACTTGGGACCATGAGATAAGATAATCTATGTAGAAAATAAGCATCATCAACTGGTTTCACCTTTCATCTGCTTTCTGAATCATTTAGGCTACAGAGAATAGATGCCATTGAGTTCTGGAGGATAAGACCCAGTTACATGCCCCATGGTAAGGGTCTCTCTCCATGGCCTACATTTAGAAGTTGTGCTGCTTTAGAGATAAAGTGTCTAATACTCAGAGCCGTGAGAGGAAGTAAGGTTGGGCGGAGAAGACCTACAATTCTTTGCTGTTGTTGTTGAGGGTCTGTTCCCCAGACTCCCTCTCTACTGGCTGTTCTCATGAGTAGAAGGCACTTATCTAGTAGCCACCTAACACTGTAGTGAGATTATAGACTGCACTTGGACCTAAGCCTGTGGTAACTGAATAATCTTAGAGGAAAGGAAAAGGAGATTTGTCTTCCATTTAAATCTTACTGTTTGCATCCTTCCCAGAGGGCTAAAAGCAGAACTGAGTGACATCAGTATGCAATTCTAGAAATAAAAAGATTAGTGATAGTAAACACCCATTGAAATAATGCAACATAACAAAATAATAGGAATAATAACCCAAACACCATTTCAACCTTCACACACACCAAAAAAAAAAAGGTGAGGGAGAAAAAAGCTTGCTTGCTTTTTCAGGTAAAAAGTTGAAACTTTACAAAATGAAATTAGCTTTTAGTCAAATTGCTTAAATGATGATGGCAGGCTATTTTCTCTTGATTTTCAGTCTTCTAGTTTGTAGCATGATAGTGTCTATTACCTCCAGCTTTTTGTACCCCAAAAGAAAGCTAGAAAAATTTATCTATGGTTGGCAGACACAACTGAGTGATCTAATCTTCAGTGACAAATACTAAAGAGACTTTCATTTCCTTTATAACACATATTGAATCAGTGTTTGCTTAGTAGGTAGAAAGGTGCTGGATACCAGGCGCAACTCTTGCCAAGATAGGAAGAATTCAGGAGAGGATTCCATAGAAGGTTGCTTCAGTCTATGTTTTAGAAAATTGCTTTACTGGTCTAATTTAAATTAGTTTAGACAAATCAATTAAAGTAAAGATAAAGCATTTTTGAAGGACAATTAGAATAATATGGACACAGCTTTGTAGCATTTATCTAGCATACAATTAAGCTAGTGAAATGTAAACTATACTTACTTAGATTAGAGAAAGTAAAATAGCTCTTATTCCTCTAACATTCAGATTCCTATACTAGCTTACATTCTAAGTAAGAACTGAAGCTTTGGAGATTTTAAAGATAAATGTAGGTAAGGCCTTGACCATGAGCAAGAAATGCACTTAACCAGGGATTATAAGGTGCAAAGAGAAGTTTGTGAAATTCCTATTATATGGAATTTTCTGATAGGTCCTCATCATTAATGTCAAGCAATTTCTAAGTATAAACACTGTCCAAGTTAAAAATGGATTGTTGCTACCACCTTATTAGTAAAACCACACAGGGAAAAAGAAGAAAGGATTAAAGTGTATTTTCTTTCCAACAGCAGTCTCTTTTCTTCCATCCTCTATTCTACCTCTTCTCTTTCATTTGTGAGCCTCAGTTTCTATAGTTTTGACACCCACTGTTAAGAGAATACAGTTTGAATGGTTGCAATACATTTCCATGTAAAAAGTTATAGACTATATCAGTAAAACATTCAGGTCAAGGCCACTGGTCAAGAAGAAGATGCCATTTTACAAGTCCACAGGTGCACACACACTCTTTCTCTCTCTTTCACACATATATGCATACACATACACACAAACACACTACACACACGAGTGCAAAATCTCCCTAGGAATGGCTACTCTACCCAGTGGTATTCTTCAAATCATTGAAATGTAAACACTTAGGGAAGAAACCTGACACTTAAGAGGAAAACGGAAAAGTAGAGCTTCACCTCTGAATTCAGTAAACAGTTACCTCCTTCCTGAACTGAGCCAATTTGAGGAGATGGTTTATGTTGCAAGAAAGGTGCTTTAGAGAATGTTAATTGGGAGGTCTAGCAAAATAGGAGCTTTTAAAACCATGAATAAAATTAGGAAGATGACTGTTAAATATAAGTTACATTTTCCCTAACATCAGGTGCCATAAACTACACTAGTCTGAGTTTTCTCAGCAGGTGATGGTATTGTTCACAGTCAGTTGTCAGAGCCTTTCTGCTCCTCAGTGTGAAATTAGTAATAGGAAAATGAAATCAATGAGCTGTAATCTAGTTAGAGACAGAGAGAGACAGAGAGAGAGAAAGAAAGAGAAAATGAATGAGAATATAGTCCAAGGTAGATGCAGTCTCTAAGTCCGCCTAGCTATGCTCCAAACCTCAAATTTTGACCTTTGCCTTTTTAGTTTAGACTTTACTGATTTCGTAAAGCTCTTTCCTATGAATAGCCCTTCAGTCAGATCTTCTTCTTAGTATATTGCGACACTAATTTGCTTTTTACCCAAGTGGACATGTTTTCCTTAATCTCCCCTAAATTTCCTATCATTGATTTTGGCCCAACAATTAAGCTGTCTATCACACTAAGGTTTTTCAGAACTTTGGTTCTGTTATACAATGCAGAAACTTTCCTCTTTATTTTAATACCAGCCATTAAGCTAAAAATCTATGATGCCTTCAATCACATTGTTAATTAATGTGTCCAGCAGAGTGGGATTAATGACAGCCTTGCAGCACTCCACAAGAGACATCTTTCAAGGTTGACAACTGCCCTTACATCCACACTTTGGGTGTCATTGTACAACCAGCTGTGAATTTCCCTTACTTTGCTGTTATCTAGCTTACCTTCCTCCTCCCCTCCAACTTTTCTTACAGTATGTGGGGAGACTTTGTCAGATGCATTGCTGAAATCCTGCACTCAATTATATTGCTACTGCTCTAATAACTCATTTATAAAAGGAAATACACTTACTTTATTACATATCTTACTAAATCCATGCAGCATTTCAGTGATTACTTCTACTTTTTAAATACTAACACTTCAGCTTTTTAATAATCCATTGTGAACAAATTGTCATAAATCCATTCAATGGAATACTTACCAGCAATAAAAAGAAACAATATATTGATAAATACAACATAAATGAATCTGAAAATTATTATACTAAATGAAAGAAGCCAGTCATGAAAGTCTATAGACTTCATGATTCAGTTTATATGAAACTCTGGGGAAACGTGAAAATTATAGGAACAAAAATGAGAGCAGTGATTGCCAGGAGCTGGGGCTTGGGAGAGTGAATTGACTGGCAAACACACGAGAAGCTTTTTGGGTAATGGTGGTAGTTACACCACTGTGTGGGCTTGTTAAATTTCAACCAACTGTAAGCCTGAAAAGAGTAAATATTACTATATGCAAATTCAATCTTGATAAATTCAAATTTTGAAAATATCCCATTACAGAAATGTGTTAGACTAATTAAATATAATTTAATAACCCAGAGTTTCTAAAATCTTTTTTCCTCCTGCTTTAACTATTAAGGCATGTCTCTCTGTTTAATTGTACTACTTTATGTCCCATCTTCCAGGATTTCTCAAAGATTAAAGATTACCTAACAACTTCATTGTCTCTGAAACATGTGCTTGTGTTTTCTTTGTCCATAAATAGGTGATTTCTAGACTTAAAAAAAGGTCTCAATTTTATTTATTATACTATTGCCAGCTTTAAAGATTGAGCTCTGAAAAGAAAGCAAAGAATTATTTAATCTTTCATATGCTAACAGAATACTCTTCCCTGCAAACATTAGGCCTATCTGCACTATTCCTTTTTCTCATTCTTGGAACAAAACTTTGAAACAAAACCCTACAAATCTGGGCATCAAAGATTCCCAAATGAAACCAAGAAACATTTAGCTATTCATTAATTCAATTATTACATACGCTGCTGTGCAATATATCCATGCAATGAAACTACATTTATATCCCTTTAATCTATAAAAATAAAAATAAAGGAATTAGTATTGTAATTAAAATAAACGTAAATAAAACTGTTTAAGGAAAAAATATCACTGCAGAAACTGGTGTCCCCACTCCTTCTTCCCCAGGCTAGACGCCTCCTGGAGGTGACTAATACCTAACTGCTGGCAGATAATGTCAGGTGAAGTATGCATTGATAATAATAGTTTTCCATCTCAGACCTGTTTATTTTCTTACCAGCTTTATTGAGGTATAATTGACAAATACAAATAAAATATATTTAAGATGCAGGATATGATGATTTGATATATATTGTGAAATGATCACAACAATCAAGTTAATACATCCATCACCTCACATAGTTACATTTTGGGTGTGTGTGGTGACAACACTTAAGATATACTCTCTTAATTATATCTTGAATATATATAATTTTCAAATATATAATGCATTATTCTTAACTATAGCCACCATGCTATACAGTAGATCCCCAGAACTTATTCATCTTATTACTGAAAGTTTGTACCTTTTGACCAACATCGCCCCATTTCTGTCACTTCTTAGCCTCTGACAACCACCCTCTACTCTGTTTTTATGGTTTGGCTTTTTTAGATTTCACATATAAATGACACCATACAGTATTTGTCTTTCTGTGTCTGGGTTATTTCAGTTAGCATAATGTCTTCCAGATTCATTCATGTTGTCAAAATGGCAAAATTGCCTTCTTTGTTATGGCTAAATAATTTTATATACATCTTGACTATTAGAAATAATGCTGCAATGAACATGGAGTTTAGATATCTCTTTCAGATACTGGTTTCATTTCCTTTAGATATATAACCAGAAATGGGATTGCAGGATCATGTTGTCATTCTAATGTTTAAGTTTTTGAGGAACTTTCATAGTGTTTTGCATAATGGCTGCGCCAGTTTGCTTTTCCACCAACAGTGTGCAGGGTTAACTTTTATCTACACCCTCACCACCACTTATTTCTCAGCTTTTTGAAAATAGCCATCCTAACAAATGTGAAGTGATATCTCATTGTAGTTTTAATTTGTGTATCACTGATTAGTGATGTTTAGCATCTGTTCATATACTTACTATCCATTTGTATGTCATCTTTGGAAAACTGTATGTTTGTGTCCTAAGCCCATTTTTAATATCAGGTTATTTGTTTTTTTTTTCCTATTGAGTTGCATGAGCTCCTTATATATTTTAGATACTAATTTTTGTACCAAATGTATGGTTTGCTAATATTTTCTCCCATTCCATGGGTTGCCTTTTCATTTTGTGATTGTTGCCTTTACTGTGCAGAAGTGTTTTTCATTTGACCTAATCCCATTTCCCTATTTTTGGTTTTGTTGCCTGTGCTTTAGGTGTCATGTCCAAAAAATAAAGCCAAGACCAATGCCAAAAATATTTTTCCTTCTAGGAGCTTTATAGTTTTGGTCTTTTATTATGTTTCAGTTTTTAATCAATTTCAAGTTCATTTCTGTGTATGGTGTATGGTGTAAGATAAGGATCCAATTTTACTTTTTTGCATGTGGATACTCAGTTTTTCTAGAACCATTTATTGAAGAGACCATCCTTTTCCCATTGTGTATTCATTAAGATCTTGTCAAAGATTAGCTTACTACATATATGAGGGTTTGTTTCTAGACTCGTTCTGTTCCATTGGTCTATGTGTCTGTTTTTATGCCAGTACTATACTGTTTTGATTACTATAGCTTTGTAATATAATCTGAAATCAGTAGCATGATATTTTCATCTTTGTTCTTGTTTCTCAAGATTGCTTTGGCTATTTAGGGTCTTTCATGGTTCCCAATGAATTTTAGTGTTGTTTTTCCTATTTGTGTGAAAATGCTGTTTAAATTTTGGTAGGGGTTGCACTGAATCCATAGATTGGTTTTAGTATGGACATTTAAAAAAATTAATGCTTCCAATCCATGAACACAGGTTATCGCTTTCCATTCATTCGTGCCTTCTTTAATTTCTTTCATTAGTGTCTTATAATTGTTAGTATACAGATCTTTAATCCTCTGTGGTTAAATTTATTCCTAAGTATTTTATTCTTTTTGATACTATTTATTCCTTTTGATACCATGAGATTGCTTTCTTTTTTTTTTTTTTTTTTTTTTTTTGAGACGGAGTCTCGCTCTGTCGCCCAGGCCGGACTGCGGACTGCAGTGGCGCAATCTCGGCTCACTGCAAGCTCCGCTTCCCGGGTTCACGCCATTCTCCTGCCTCAGCCTCCCGAGTAGCTGGGACTACAGGTGCCCGCCACCGCGCCTGGCTAATTTTTTGTATTTTTAGTAGAGATGGGGTTTCACCTTGTTAGC
Source organism: Homo sapiens (assembly GCF_000001405.40). NCBI lineage: Eukaryota > Metazoa > Chordata > Mammalia > Primates > Hominidae > Homo > Homo sapiens. Next base: position 50,766,878 of record NC_000006.12, read on the forward strand.
CAGGATGGTCTCGATCTCCTGACCTCATGATCCACCCGCCTCGGCCTCCCAAAGTGCTGGGATTACAGGCGTGAGCCACCGTGCCCGGCCTGCTTTCTTAATTTCTTTCTTAATTTTTCACATAGTTCACTGGTACTGCTTAGAAATGCAACTGATTTTTGTATCATGCAACTTTATTGAATTCATTTATTATAACAGTTTTTCACAGAGTCTTCAGGATTTTCTAAAATCATATCATCTGCAAACAGAAACAATTGAACTTTTTCCTTTCTGATTTGGATGCTTTTTATTTCTTTCTGTTGCCTAATAGTTCTGTCTAGGACTGCCAGTACTATGTAAAATAGTAATAAAAGTGGTAAGAGTGGGCACCGTCTTCTTGTTCCTGATCTTAGAAGAAAAGTTTTCAGCTTTTCACTATTGAGTATGATGTTAGCTGTAGGCTTGTCATATATGGTCTTTATTATGTTGAGGAACATGATTTACCACTTGTAGTAAAAATCTGATATACCTGGATTGTCAGTTTTGCTCTGATGCTACCAATGTTATTCCCATTCCTCTTCCTCACTTTGTGACAGAGAGTTTAGCCTCACCTGTTTTCTTCCCATTGTCCCCTCTGTGCTATAGTTTTACATTTGTTTGGGGATTGTTACTTCTTTCTCCCAGGAATTTTATTTAAGTCCTCTCATCACTTTGGCAAGTTTCTATCCTTTGGAAGTAACACACCTGTTTTTCAGGCATGAGGAAACTAATCCCTTTTTCATCAGTATCATCAAAGAAATTGTGAGTTTCTTTGAGTGGAATTTCAATTGGCTGAGAGAGGGAGGACACACAAACACACAGAAATAGGAATAACGGTCATGTTTGGGTATTAAAAAGAGATAAGCTTGAGATAAACTTTGCAAAAATAAGGTAATAGAGCACGTGATTACATAGGGTGAAGGAAGGCAACCTAGGAAACATTAAGAAAACTGATATGACCTGTGAATCCTCTATAGTCACTGTTCTTTTACAAATGTAGCATAGACATGACTTATCTAACACAATGCAAGTTGTCTCCAGGGCCTCATTGAGGATAGAGTTTTAGAATTTAGAATTTAAGTAACTTCTATATTTTGACTGCCTATTTCAAACCATCATGGGCCATTTAACCCTGGTGATATTTGCATGTGAAATGCGCTCTCATCAGTAATCTGGTGAAATTATATGCAAATGCCAAGGGTAACTTAAATATCAAACCTGTAACTGAAAAATATTTTCCAAAGTTGAAAATCATCTCTATTGTCAAAGAGTTTGAAGATTTGACTATAGTTCGTTACCTTGCAGGTGACCTTAGTCTTATTTTTTTTTTTTTTTTCCTGTCTAGGATCAAAAGTCAGACCTTCTATTTCTAATTTTCTTTTTTTTTTTTTTTTGGAGATTCTACATTATTCCTCTCTCCTTTTCTTTTTTCTCTCCCTTTTTTTTTTTTTCTTTTGAGATAGAGACTTGCTTTGTTGCCCAGCCTGGAGTGCAATGGTGCAATCGTAGCTCTTTGTACTCTCAGGTTCCTGGGCTTAAGTGATCCTGCCACATTGGCATCTCAAGGCTCTGAGATTACAGGCATGAGCCACTGAACCCAGCCCCCTCCTTTTCTGTATGTCACTGTGAATGAGATACACACCTATTTTTCTGGATGACTGGGGCTAAAAGAATAGCATGATGTTCCCAGAACTTTTTAAAACATACTGTGATTGCACACTTCTTTTTACATTATTGTAGTACATTAGATTACTTTAATTATTTGGGGTTCATAAATTTCACTGAAAACTGCTAGAAAAGAATCTTTGCCTTACATTTATTATCATTCTGTGCAGTGTGCTATGCATATTTTTAATATGCAGGTAATGTTAAATTAGGTAATTAACAAAATTTACATAATGTTTTTCATATTGAAAGATGACCTTTCAGGTCATGAAAGTCAAAATGACTTTTTTTTATATTGAATATCCTTCAATTGATTTTAGAGTTCTTTGTTGAACGAAGTGGCTTTTTTTTTTTTTTTTTGAGACAAAGTCTCCCTCTGTTGCCCAGGCTGGAATGCAATAGCACGATCTTGCCTCTGCCTCCTGGGTTCAAGCGGTTCTCCTGCCTCAGCCTCCTGAGTAGCTGGGATTACAGGCATGCACCACCACACCCGGCTAATTTTTTTTTTGTATTTTTAGTAGAGACAGGGTTTCACCAGTTGCTCAGGCTGGTCTCAAACTCCTGACCTTGTGGTCTACCTGCCTTGGCCTCCCAAAGTGCTGGGATTACAGGCATGAGCCACTGCGCCCAGCCCTGAAGTGGTTTTTCAACTTCCATAACCTGTGTCCATGTCCTTGATTTTAATAACACCATAAAGATGTTATACTCTTAAATTGAAGCTTAGAGTTGGAAAGAACCTAGCAGATGTTCTTGTTAGACTACTGTCATTTTACAAGGCTAAATAACTTCCTCCAAATCACGAAGTGCCTGACGTCAAAGCCAGTGTGAGGACTTGGTACACTTGGTTCTCAATCCAAGGCAAAGATGACAATGCAGACTGCTAATGATCAGATCCATATTTTGGAACAAGAAAGCCCATCAGTCAAGAAGTGATACCAGCTTAAGAGGAATCTTTAAATATGGAAACAGCTCTTTTCTCAAAGTGGATAATAAAAGCATTTATATATAACTACCTACCTGTGCTTGATTTTTAAAAACCCTGCTCTTAGGCAGGAAAGTGAGTAAAAAGCATCTGATTTTACCAGCCATCAAGGCTGCCCAAGTACAAAGTTAAGTCAGAGGAACTGAGCTAAAACTGCCCACAGAAAATGTGATTTCTCAGAGAAAAATGTACCCTCAGCCTGGGAGGAACATAAGTACAGAATATCCAATTTCTCAGGCAAATTATTTAACTTCTCTGGGACTCAGTTCTTCGTCTGTAAAATGGAAATAATATTATCTAGTTCTTAGTGTTGTAACTAGAATTATATGAAGTGATACAGATAAAAAACTTAGAACAGGACTTGACATATGTTCAGAACTCAAAAATTAGATATTAACTTCAATAATACCCTGTGAAACTAAATAATATTGTATATTCTGCTATAGATGAAGAGGTGAGTCACAACAAAGAGGACATGCCAATATAGAAGAAAATTTAAAAAGGAGCTCTAAACAGGAATAAAACATGAGAAAAGAGACAGTTTGTGCCTGGGGTCAAATATCTGGACATTAATGGTTGGCTTTACCCAGTTCTTTTTGTGGGTATCACCATGATTAATTCTTCCACCACTCCAACAATTCCATTTGTTGTCCAAGATCCCAGATAGATTTCAAATTATTTGGCTTCCCCTCTAGTTGTCTCATTGTAGAAATAGAGCTTAAATTATTTTTCCTGTTTGGCAATGCAAGACCTTGTAGCAGAGGTGTGGATATAGTAGTTGAGCAGTGATGATGTCTTACACCACAAACTTTGGTGCAGATAATTGCCCAAGCATTGGCCATTGTTGTTTCCCACATAATCAGAGATGGGAATTTTTTTTTCTTTTTAATATATGTTAACTATGATGGAGGCTCAGGGAAGAAAGATGGTAACAACCTATGGAATAATGAGGGACATGCAGAAATTTTACCCTCTACCCAGAAAATATACCCAGCCAACAATCTCTATCATTTATCTAAGACTTTGTTTAGATCTGCATCCTTCTGAGCCCTTTGCGTAGACTAATAAAAACAACAACCCCACATGGTAGATCTTACTATTACCTCCACTGAGGCATATTAATAGGCTGCCTTAAACCCCAAATCCTTCATTTGTATTATTATAAAATATTATTATTTTTGCTGTTAAAGATTATGTAACTTAAGAAAGAAAACTATAGGTAGCTAAAATATTATGAAGGGTGGTATATCTGATTCAAAAACTACTAATGTCATAATAACAGTTACAAGCTAGGACTTTAGCAGTTAATGGCTTTATTAAATGTACTATACACATATGCACAATGTTGTATATATATATATATTATAACATGGGCATACTATGTGACAAGGATGTTTTTCTATATTATTATGAGACGTAGGAAGCAAACTGGTAGTGTCACTTCGGGACAGTTAACATAAGTGAACAATCTGGGTAGCTTCTGTTCACAAGAAGACTAAATCTACAGTTATGTGTTTGTTCAACCAAAGATGACATTTGTCGTGGTTGGAAGAACTACCTATGCTGAGGTTACCATAACATTCCTTATATTTGCTTATTAGTTTTTGTTATTAGTTAATTAGTTAGTTTTCGGGACCTAAATGTTGGGTGGCTTACATAAGACAGGGTTTTATTTCTCTCTCATTTAGGAGTCTGGAGATGAATAGGTTCCTTCTAACTTGTTTTGTCCCTGCCACCTAAGCGATTATCTACATAGGGCATAGCTACCCTTTTAAGCAAGTGGGAATTGCATGTATCACTTCTCTTTATGTTACATTGTGGGTAGGTTAAGTCCCATGTCCAAAACTCACTGCAAAAGAAGCTTGGAAATGTAGTCTCCAGCTGGATGGCCATATGCCCAGATTAAAGTGCATTACTATGGAAAAGGAGAATGAAGTCAGAGGGACAGCTAGCCATGAGGCACACTCAGCCAATTATGATTTCTTCATGTGTAGTCTATGCCATATATGCCATTCTTGAAAGCAAGATGTTTCCACACATAGAATCTAAAGGTGTGTTTTCCAGCTACTTCTTAATGAGGTGGAGAATCAAGTCATGTGTTAAATATTTAGACTTGGTAATAATTAGTGCGTATCAATCAAAACCACAATGAGATACCATCTCACACCACTTAGAATGGCGATCATTAAAAAGGAAACAACAGGTGCTGGACAGGATGTGGAGAAATAGGAATATTTTTACACTGTTGGGGGGACTGTAAACTAGTTCAACCATTGTGGAAGTCAGTGTGGCGATTCCTCAGGGATCTAGAACTAGAAATACCACTTGACCCAGCCATCCTATTACTGGGTATATACCCAAAGGATTATAAATCATGCTGCTATAACGACACATGCACACGTATGTTTATTGCGGCACTATTCACAATAGCAAAGACTTGGAACCAACCCAAATGTCCATCAATGATAGACTGGATTAAGAAAATGTGGCACATATACACCATGGAATACTATGCAGCCATAAAAAATGATGAGTTCATGTCCTTTCTAGGGACATGGATGAAGCTGGAAACCATCATTCTGAGCAAACTATCGCAAGGACAAAAAACCAAACACTGCATGTTCTCACTCATAGGTGGGAATTGAACAATGAGAACACTTGGACACAGGAAGGGGAACTCACACACCGGGGCCTGTCATGGGGTGGGCGGAGGGGGGAGGGATAGCATTAGGAGATACATCTAACGTAAATGATGAGTTAATGGGTGCAGCACACCAAGCTGGCACATGTATACATATGTAACAAACCTGCACGTTGTGCACATGTACCCTAGAACTTAAAGTATAATAAAATATATATATAAATAATAATTAGTGCATATCAACTCTATTAACGACAAGTCTTCCAAACTGGTCCTACATTTCTTACATAGTCAAGAGCAATACCTTCAACTGTGTTGTATCTTCCACAATGCTTAGCATCATTTAGGAACACAATGAATACCTGTTTAATTGAATGTTCTGAATTATATGGAGAGATTTGCTATTTCACATGATACTGCAAATCATTCACCTCTTTTTTCCTATCACTTCTCATTTCCAGTTTGATCACTCATGGCTTTGGGACTCCGGCAATATGTGCAGCTCTAAGCACTTTCCAAACAGTTCTCAGTGAAATGCTGAACTACTTGGAAAAACACACTACTCACAAGAACGGCGGAGCGGCGGATTCTGGCCAAGGACATGCCAACTCGGAGAAAGCTCCCCTGCGGAAAACTTCAGAGGCTGCCGTGAAAGAGGGCAAAACAGAAAAGACAGACTAGCTACATCAAACAGAATCTATTTCCAGAGAGTCTTGCTGCTGATATTTTTTCTAATATATATATCATTGAGGGTGACTAATCTTCAGTGGACCAAATCTCTACCCTTCCCCAACCCTCCATAAAAAAACAAAAATGGAAATGAAAAATGAAACAAAAAAGGACAAAACCAAAAAAAAAAGAAAAAAAAAGGAAAACAGCAGTGTAACTGTGTGATGAAATTGTCACCTTTTAATTTTATGTTATGATAAACTCCTTTGTGCACGTAACTTATTGTCTGAATTATATACATCACAGTTTTTAAGCACTTCTGGACTTTGGAGAGGCAGCACATGCTTTTTCACATCTAACTGATGCACTTTCTTACCCAACTATGTAGGTAGGGATCAGAAAGCATAACCAAACTGGAATCCACCACCAGTACTTACAGCTCCAGTCTTTCTCGACTTAACTCCCTTTAACTGAAGAGTGCCTCATTCCACTAAATAGATCAATCTGGAAATTAGTCTATTAATAAATATTTGGGTAACTGAAAAGGGCAGTTATGAATCTGTGAGTTGACAACAGATCTAAAAATTTTGATCACCCCTAGCCCGCTTAACTACCAGTGCCTTGGCGGTATTTAAAAATTCCAGGAAACTCTCTCATATCTATGACATTCCCACCTAATCCCAGGTCCATTTTACCCCACCCCAATAGCTAAGAAGATACTGGAAAAGTATATTACCCAAGGGATAAGAGATGAACTCTTCCATCCATTCTCTTCACATCACCAACCTAGCAATTCAAGAAAACAGACCCACTGCATTTAGTGGGTCAGGGCAGGATGGATATAGGAAAGAGTAGCTTTGCCTCTGTTGGGCTCCTGATGGAAAGCAATGGCATTGTTTTGCCTGGAAAAGCATGGGAATAGGAACAGTGATCTTTCTGGGAAGTCCTGCTTCTCAGAGATGGGAGAAAAGAACAGGGACCTAGGAGAGGCCCCTGGAAGTGCTGGTGGCCAATGATTGTATGGTTAAGATGAGAGCCTTCCTTTTTCTGCTTTTGTGCTTCTTCTACCTGCCCGATGGCTGTATTCTAAACCTTTAGAGGCACAAAAGCATTCAGGTCTGTGTTCAATAAAGAGAACAGAAACAGTGATCAGAGAAAACTTTTGCTTTTAAGATGCTTTCTTTTTTCATAGCTTGTTTTTATAACTTCATTGTCCTTTAGTTAAGACACTGAAAACAAGAGGTTCCTGGCTGCAAAGGCAAGGGGCTAATTGAATGAAAGTTTGGTCCGTATAAACCTGAATGTGTCAAGAAACCTGATTGGTATCACATTGTACTAACCTTTCTACTATTAACAATTCTCAAACTTCTAGGCCAATAAAAATGTAGGTCATTGTCTATGTAAAAGGAAAAAAAGAACTCTTTTATTAATGTGTGGACTCCTGACAGTTTAAGATGAAAACATTCTCCTCTCATTAACATATTTAATTACTTTTTAAAAGCCTCTATCATATTATAACCCCATGGGAAATATTAGTATTATTTTTAATTGAGGGGAAATAGCTCAAGAGTTTTCATGTAAAGATCACAAAAACTGTTTTTACCTAACAATAATTCTTAAAAATTATTTGACCTTGATCTTCAATCTTGTACAGAAAAGTAGAACCATACCAATGAAAAATTAGATTTTCTAGCCTAAATTTAATTAACAGAAAACACTACTAAGGAATTCCATAACAGAAGAGCTTAAAATAAAGAAATGTGAAATAATGAATTGTGATTTCATGTGTTTAGTTCCATTTTTAAAATTTTTCTATTATTCATGGCTTAAATTTTTTTTGAAATAAAATAGAATAAAGCCAAAATTCTGCCGCAGTTCCAAATTTTCTCACAAAATATATGATTTAATCTTACATGATATTTCCCATATTGTAAAATATACACATGAAATAAAAATGATCAATATTTCAGTTTAATAAGTAATAGGAAAGTTATGTACAGATAATGTGGACAATTACTTCCTCAATTAAATTTCCACATTAACTTGCTTTTATTCTATTTATTATTAACAATACATATGTATTTAATATGGCATTTTGATATGCATATCTGCTAGGTACTTTATGTAGTTATATACCATGTCAAATGTTCAACAATAATCAGACAAAAAATTAGATCTGGCTTATATTACCAGCTTACTTTTTCACCTTTAGCTGTGACTAGTTGGCATTCTAAACACCTCAATGGGATGTTATTACTTACTAGCCTTGGAAACAAAAATATAACTACAGTGCATTTTATTTACCAGGATTCAGGGTGTTTTAAGAGCCTTAAATGGACAGCGCCCATCATTTAACTTAACCAGCCACTAGGATATAAAAGAATTGATGGACTGGTCATATTTAGAATCATTATCATATTCTAATAGACATTGTTAACATACCAACTTTTGCCTTGTATATAATAGGTACTCACCACTTTTTAAATAAATGAATAAATGAATGTGTGTGTGTTCTTTGTCCAAAATGGGCCAAAGGACCTTTTAATTTTGATTTTTTTTCAGTACTCAGTGCTTTAATCTGGTTTGCTTCCTCCATTGTAATTTATAAATAATTATTTTTATTTGAATAAGAAAACATTTCCAAGAAGACACATTAGTTTCAGATAGATATATTTCATATGGAACAATAAAGAAAACTAGTTAGTTATTAGGATTTCAACAAAAGTGAAGTTATTACCTTTATTGTAGTTTATGGTAAAAGAAGATGGCTTGGACCGGGTGTGGTGGCTCACGCCTGTAATCCCAACACTTTGGGAGGCCGAGGTGGGTGGCTCATGAGGTCAGGAGTTCAAGACCATCCTGGCCAATATGGTGAAACCCCGTCTCTACTAAAAATACAAAAATTAGCTGGGCGTGGTGGCAGATGCCTGTAATCCCAGCTACTCAGGAGGTTGAGGCAGGAGAATCAATTGAACCTGGTAGACAGAGGTTGCAGTGAGCCGAGATCGCACCATTGCACTCCAGCCTGGGGCGACAAGAAAGAGACTTCATCAAAAAAAAAAAAAAAAAAAATCTAAATAAATAAAAAGTAAAAGAAGATAGCTTGAAAAAAATCTTTCTGATTTTTAATATTATGATAAATAATGGAAATGCTTTTTCAGATAAACTATTACTTCCCCAGAAAACGTATTCAAATCTCTCATACTTACCCCAAATTAATAATGACAGCATAACAGTTTTATATTTAAAACTTAATGGAAAGTAAAACTTTTATACAAAGATATGTTTGTTTTAAGACTGTTTCAATAATCCATTTAATGCCACTATCATGGATATGTCGAGTTACCATTTGACTTAAGAGTGGTGGCTCTAGAAAAATTAATGAAAATTCAATTACTCTGTTTCTTCTCTGGAAAGATCAGAGCAATGCAAAAATGCCCAATCGATTCTTCTTCTGCCTTCTTTTTAGATGCCTTAAAAATAGAGATAATCCTTCCTGGCTTTTCAGTTCCTTTTTTTCCCATTTTTTGAGAGTATGTTCTCTTCAATGTCTAGAACAAAATATGACCCTTTGGGACCTATGAGTACCTTGATCCAAGTGTGACAGTGATAAGAGTTCAGCCCTCTGTCATGTAGTGCTTTTAAGATAAATGTGTCAATAAACTATTCTTGTTAATAATGAGTAAGGTAATACAAAACATTTTCCTGTATTTTCTTGCTTCTATGCCTCTTTGGAAGCATTTTAGAGCAGTGGAATTTAAAATATATATATATATATATATACACACACACACATACATATTTGAATTCTTTACACAATGAGTGTGCCATCTCCTTACAAAAACCAAGTCAGTATGTGAGAGGTGTCATGACCTATAGTGTCTAAGAGTATGGACTAGAAAGCCAAACTATCTGGTTCAAATCAAGGCTCTCTTACTTGCTACTGCCTGACTCTGAGCAAGTTGCCACACCTCTCTGTGCCTCCTCCATTTTCCCATCTGTAAAATGAGGATGATAATAGATACCTACTCACAGAATTACTGTCAGAATCAAAGACTTGGTGTATCTAAACTGTTTAGAGCAGAAAAGGGGCATGTTAGTGCTATGTGAATATTAGCTACTGTCTTTAATACTTAGAATTTGGACAAATCATTTTTTATCTAGAGATCAGTTTGTCTTCAGCTTATTGTACCCTTTCTATGCCAGACTTCGTCCTAGAGACTGAAGATACAGAGTGGAATAGAATATTTTTATTGATGTCAAGCTTCTCATATTCTCCTATGAAGATAATAGCCATTAGAATATGGTATGTGTCATGATGAAAATACACACAGGGTGCCCAGCACAAGCCAGACCAGGATCTAGGAAACAGGAGATGGGGGGAGATGGGAGAGTGAAAAATTGAGGAGGAGAGTTGTGATCAGGGAAATGGGAAGCTAGAGATCGGGAAAAAGGGCTTTAGGATTCTAGGAGACTTAAAAACATTTGGGGCAGTAAGCTATTTTGAAAACTAACAGACACACCTTGTATTTCTGGTTATTCCTACCTTCCTTCCACATTTTGGGGCAGCTAACATGTTGCCTGCACTGCCTCAGGGAAGGAATGTGACCCAGAAGAATGGAGGCAACAAAAGTTTTAAAGAAACTTTCATAAAAATTTTCAGTTTCAAAATCTTAGGCTCTAGAGGGGACTTGAGATTTAAAAGCATCTCAGTCAGGACCTTATTACTTCCACCCGCTCCGAAACCTCCCCCACAACACCACACACACTGGAGACCAGAAAATAATCCATAGGTTGGGGAAAGAACAAAGAAGAAGGAGTTTTTTTTGTTGTTGTTTGCTTGTTTTTTGAGATGGCGTCTTGCTCTGTCGCCCAGGCTAGAGACGGTGGCACAATCTCGACTTATTGCAACCTCCGCTTCTTGGGTTCAAGCGATTCTCCTGCCTCAACCTCCTGAGTAGCTGGGATTACAGGTATGTGCCACCACGCCCAGCTAATTTTTGTATTTTTAGTAGAGATGGGGTTTTGCCATGTTGGCCAGGCTGCTCTTGAATTCCTGACTTCAGGTGATCCACCCACCTCGGCCTCCCAAAGTGCTAGGATTACAGGCATGAGGCACTGCGCCCGGCCAAAGGATAATTGTTTAAAGCTTAGTGTAGCATTGCATCTCTGAGATAGGGCCATGTCCTGGGGGTGAGGTTGGGGTGTGAATCTTGTTATAGAGGTGGAATTATGTCCTCATCCCAGAGAAAAGCCCAGCGGAGGAAGAAAGCCCAGCACAGTACAGAAGCAAAGAGCTGTCTATGTGATGTGCATCTAGGCAGGTGGCACTCAGACAGACTCACATTTCTCCTAAGGAGTTTATTTCAAGATGGCAGGGACAGACTAGCATGATGTGGATGCAAGAGGAACAAAGGAAGCAGCACTTGAATATTTCAGGTTCACCCAAGAGCAATCCAGATAGCTGGCAAGTATGCAGATTCCTCATAGGTTGAACATAAGGACACACAAGAAAAACCTGAGACATGCCAATCAAAGACTAGATAGGAATTCAGACCTTCCCCCTACTCAGGGATTTCAAAGAGAATGAGTTAAACAAGTGTTAGAAGGCCGAAAGAGCAAAAATGAGACACTGAGTCACCCAAATGCTCGTAATTGAAAAAGCAGCTACCATCCCCAGAAATGGGGAAACAAAAGTAAGGAAGTAAAGTTACGTGAATGTAGGAACTTTGAAGCAAGCACACCCCTACCCATGGGTGTTGCTTGAACCTCTCTCTGAGAGAACCCACCTCAAGATTAATGCTGGCAGATTTTTTGAGAGGGTAGAGCGTCCTAATTCTGGGAGTGCAAAAGAAGCTGGAAGCTGGAGCCTTAACCTACCTCTTCTGCTGGAAGGATGATAGCAGGAACTGGAAATATGCTGGAACATCCTTTCCCCCCTTTCTTCCTTCCTTCCACTTCCCATCTGTGCCCCATTGCAGAACCAAATTAGAATCCAGCTTGCAAAGGGTTATGAGAAATGTAGTTGGCAGACTTCCAGGCCTAGCATCACAAAATACAGAAGCCAGCATCAACAGATGAAGACCTAGGCCAGATGTTCCTCCATGTCTGGTGCTACATAAGCCCTCCCCATGAAACCCTGGGACACATATGTAACCCAGGAAGACCCTGAGTGTACTGAGAGCTAATTTCTGCCACATTTCCAAATGAAGGCTCAAAAATAGAAATTAAGTCACATTATAGAAAATAAAGTGACATTTTTCATATAGCCAAATTGGCAGACACACCTACTACACAAGTAAATTATCTATTTCAGCTACTTCCCATTTGCATCATAATTTAATAAGACCAAGACACTTAAGAAAAATTGAAATAACTAAATAAATCCCCATAAGAGTCAGAAGAAAAAAGTTTAATGTGGCCATGTTGGTTATTGCCAGTTAGAACCTATTGTAAGTTTTCAAAGCTATTCTTTAATATTGCATTTCCTTAATTTTTTTATATCAAGAGCTATTTGGAAAACAGGCACAGAGGTATGATATAAATTTATGTTTAGTCTTCCTTCCAAGTTGAGTCATGATGTCTTACTGTCAATAAAACCTAACTGTGGGTTTAAATATTGTCTTTTGTTTTCTCACCATCAGCGTTCTCCCTGGGCAACATAATGTTCTACCATAATTTCAATTACATGTCTTTTCTCATGGCAGAGACCAATTGTCATCTAACAAAGTCCAGTTTTCCTTTGTCCTGCCGTATATTCCCATATGAGAGATTGGCAATTTTTTTTAAATAAAGGGCCCAATAGTAAATATTTTAGTCTATGCAGGCCATGTGGTCTCTGTTGCAACTACTCAACTCTGCTGATGTAGCATGAAAGTAGCTATAGACAATATGTAAACAAACGGCCATGACTGTGTTCTGATAAATCATCATTTACAAAAGTAGGCAGCGGATTGGATTATTCCTGAGGGCCATAGTTTGCCAATCTCTGACCTAGACTAAACTTCTTGTTGTTTGCAGCCATGCGATTAAGTTATCTCCAGAGGAAGAGTGGGAGTGATACTTGCTACTTCCAGGATTTACCAGTAAAAATCAGTCATGCACTTTTCTCTGTGTTCTGTCCTCTTCTACATGAGTTATATGATAAAGTTCAGAGCAAGGATTCTCCACCTTGGCACTATTGATAAAGAATTATCTGGCACATTTGGGGCCAGATAATTCTTTATTATGAGAGCTATCTTGTGTGCTGCAGGATGTTTAGTAGATTTTTGGTTTCTATGCAGTAGACTTCAGTAGCATCCCTCACAATTATAAGGAGCCAAATTATCTCCAAACATTGCTAAATCACTCACAGTTGACAGCCACTGTTTTACAGATGGCAGAGACACAAGATAGAGAGTACCTGGATCCCGGAATGGCCACATGGAGAAGAAGCACACATTATTTTGACCTAAACATATATTATTTTAAGCCACTGAAATTGGGATGAGGGAGGCTGGGAGGGTGTATTTACTACTGTAGCTTGCCTGTCTTGGCACAATGCTAATGAATTATAAATCCATAATATTCTTCCGCACTCCAGATCCATGTTGTCCATTTTCAATGGTTATTATCATCTTATGAAAAATAGCATCTTCGAACTCAACACACATTAAAATATGGAATCCTAATCAACCTCCCTCAACTAATTACACATCCCAAATTTTCTATGTTTGCTAAAGACAACTCCATACAGTTGCGCAAGACAGAAACTTGTGAACCATCTTAACTATCCTTATCTCTATCCTCTCTTACAGTTAATCACTAGATTCTGATAAATTAATATAAAAATATTATAATAAATTAACTTGGCTGGGTGCGGTGGCTTACGCCTGTAATCCCAGCACTTTGGGAGGTCAAGGCATGGGGATTGCCTGAGTTCAGGAGTTCGAAACCAGCCAAGGCAACATGGCAAAACTCCATCTCAACTAAAAATACAAAAAATTAGCTGAGTGTGGTGGTGATTGCCTGTAATCTGGGCTACTCGGGAGACTGAGGCACAAGAATCGCTTGAACCTGGGAGGCAGAGGTTGCAGTGAGCCGAGATCACGCCACTGCCCTCTAGCCTGGGTGACAGAGCGAGACTCTGTCTCAAAATAAATAAATAAATAAAGTAAGTAATTAATTTGTCAGGACCTAGTGAATATGACTATCAGATAGCCAATCACTTAGTTCCGGGCACTAGCAACTCATGATTGCATTACTGCAGTAGCCTCCTAACTGGATTTTCTGCCTCCAGTCCTGCTTTTTATTCCATTCTCCTCACTGGAGAGATTCATTGTAAAAAGTAAATATGATTTGCACATCCCAAATAATCCTCTTCATGGCTTGCTATTGCCCTTATGACAAAGTCAAACTTCTATACAATTGACAATATATCATTCTGACTTGGCCTTGCTCTCTTCTCCAGTCCCTTTCAGCTTTATCTTGCTTCCCTGTTTCCCCCACATCATCCCCTCCCCACACACACAGTCCATTGTCTAGCCACATTAAGCTTCTTGGAATTCCTGAAACTCTTCACAATCTAAGAGTTTGCCAATATGGTTCTCTTAGCTTGGAACATTATATTCCACCATCACCATCCAGCTCCTACTTATGATTCAATCAGCACAAAAGTCACCAATTCAATGCAGCTGTATTCATTTTCTACTGTTGCATAACATATTATCACAAGCTTAGTGGCCCAAATCAACATCCATTTATTAGTGCACATTTCTATAGGTCACAAGCTCAGCTACGCTCAACTGCGTTCTCTGCTTAGATGCTCATAAGGCTAACTCAAGGTAGCAACCAGGATGGGATCCTTTCTGGAGGCTCTAGGGAAAAATCCACTTCCAGTCTCACTCAGATGGTTGGCAAAATCTATTTCCTTGGTTGTAAGACTAAGTACCTATTTCTTTGCTGGCTATAAGGGCTTGTTAGCAGCTCTGAGGGGCCACTCTCAGGCCTTTGTCACATAGTACCCTTTGTGTTCAAAGCCAGCAACAGTGCATCCAACCAACAAATATCTCTCTGACTTTCTATTCTTCTACCAGCCAGAGGGAAAAAAAAATCCCGGCTTTGAAAGGACTCATATGATAAGATTATGCCCACCCAGCTAATCTCTCTTTTGATTAACTTGAAGGCAACTGATTAATAGCTATAATTTTATTTGCAAAATGTTTATCATCTAAGGTAATATAATCACAAGTGTGATATCACATTATATTCCCAGTCCCAGGGATTCGGATAAGAAATCTTGGGAGTTCATGTTTACAATTTTGCCTTTTGCAGACAACTCTGATTTTCTTTTCTTTTTTTTTTTTAATTTTTATTTTTTATTATACTTTAAGTTTTAGGGTACCTGTGCACAATGTGCAGGTTTGTTACATATGTACACATGTGCCATGTTGGTGTGCTGCACTCATTAACTCGTCATTTAACATTAGGTATTTCTCCTAATGTTATCCCTCCCCCCTCCCCCCACCCCACAACAGTCCCCGGTGTGTGATGTTCCCCTTCCTGTGTCCATGTGTTCTCGTTGTTCAATTCCCACCTATGAGTGAGAACATGCGGTGTTTGGTTTTTCGTCTTTGTGATAGTTTGTTGAGAATGATGGTTTCCAGCTTCATCCATGTCCCTACAAAGGACATGAAGTCATCCCACACCATTTAGAATGGCGATCATTAAAAAGTCAGGAAACAACAGATGTTGGAGAGGACGAGGAGAAATAGGAACACTTTTACACTGTTGGTGGGACTGTAAACTAGTTCAACCATTGTGGAAGTCATTGTGGTGATTCCTCAGGGATCTAGAATTAAAAATACCATTTGACCCAGCCATCCCATTACTGGGTATATACCCAAAGGATTATAAATCATGCTGCTATAAAGTCACATGCACACGTATGTTTACTGTGACACTATTCACAATAGCAAAGACTTGAAACCAACCCAAATGTCCAACAATGATAGACTGGATTAGGAAAATGTGGCACATATACACCATGGAATACTATGCAGACAACTCTGATTTTCTAAACTATGTTTCTTTTCTCTCCTTTGTGTTCCCACACCACCATTCATCACAGTTATGTCTTTTTTTTTTTTTTTTTTTTCAGATGGAGTCTCGCTCTGTCACCCAGGCTGGAGTGCAGTGACACCATATCGGCTCACTGCAACCTCCACCTCCCGGGTTCAAGTGATTCTCCTGCTTCAGTCTCCTGAGTAGCTGGGATTACAGGCACCCACCACCATGACTGGCTAATTTTTTGTATTTTTAGTAGAGAAGGGGTTTTACCATACTGGCCTGGCTGGTCTCAAACTCCTGATCTCAGGTGATCTGCCTGCCTTGGCCTCCCAAAATGCTGGAATTACAGGTGTGAACCACCGCACCCAGCCCCACCATGTCATTTATTAAAGACATTTAAAATAATCATTTGCCTTAGTATCTCTCCTATAAAGCAAATAATTCTCAGTCTTTACAACTATCAAATGAGGACAATTATAGCACTTACATCATTGGGTTGTCATAAATATTAAATAAAATATTTCATGTAAAACAAGAATAATGCCTGAAACATAGTGAGGGCCCAATCAATGTTAGCTGTTAATATTATAATAAATGGTGGAATCATTCCTGTTAAATGTCATTAGGATTTAAAGAGAAAATCATGTATTAATATCTTGCCTATGGTTGCATTCTCAACCACTAGCCCAAGTATCTACCTGGCACATGGTTGTCACATGTTCATTCATTTGTCATAAATGATGGGAAAATGAAGGAATGGAATATATAATTCAAGGACTAGCCCAAGGTATGTAGAGAAAATATGTATGATTACCTGGGAGAAATAAAAGCAAGCATAAATTATTGGACACCCTAGAAGTGTTTTCAGATACACAGTGTCACAATGACAGGTATAAAATATCTCGTGTATTAACACAGAAAGTCAGTATCAAGCTCAGTCTCCAATGTATAAGTTCTACAGGTAAATTGTTAAAAATCAAGATTTAGATAAAATAGTAATGGAAAATAAAACTGATGGCTATTGTCTCATCTACAGCAAAGCATTCTTTGTTTAAATTATTAGATCCTCAAATACCATCATTATATCCTGAAAAGGATATAAATATGTTTATTGTTTCCATTATTTATTGGAGCCTACTTACCAGTACAGTCAAGATGTTTTGTTTGTTTGTTTGTTTTTTCCTGGGAGTAGTGGAGGGGATAAGGAAAAGCTGCATTTCCTTTCTGGCTTTATAAATGTTTACCCTAATTAATTAGCTTCCATTTTACAGTGGTTCACTTCCATTTTATAGGTTTTTGTTTTCTTAATGAATGACAGAATTCCACTGGAAATTATGGTCTTTTATCCTAGAGGTTAGAAAGCTATAATGACTCTGCAACAAGATATTATTGTAATGGTTCTGTTGAAGGGGTTTTGGAGAAGATTGCTTATGACTTCCTTAGATCATGAGGAAAAGCAGTACTATGCTAAGAGCACACTGCTCATAAGTTTCTCCCCTATTGTCTGGCTAAATCTATCCAGTATGAATACATGAATTTAATTGTTACGGAGACATGTATCTCCTCGAACACATAATAATAACTTCAGAAATTCCAGATTTCTTCACAAATTGATCAAAGCTAAAATTCTAACCATCAGTAACCCATCATATTTAGTCAACAAAGACCTTTTTGAATCTGGAACTTTTTGAAAAAATTATCTTGTCATTATCAAAATGGAATCAAATTAAAATCATTAATTTATTTACTCAACAAATATATATTAAGAACTTACTATGTGCCAGTCAATACATTAGATGCATAATAGAAGGTGCTGAGTAAGTTCAGCATTCAAACTTTAAATGTTATTCAATCTTTTGTTGTCATTAGTCTTGTTTATTTAAGACTCAAATTAATTTGAGGTCTTAGATCTGAGAGCATCTGTTCATTTCCAGTGGCTACAAATAGCAATTCTCATTCTGTACTTATTTTTGAGCAAGCCCTTTATCACAGACTAGAAATATTTTATGCTAGTAGGTATTCATTTATGCCCCTAGATCTTTTTAAACGTAAGATTTAAGACAGCTTCTAGGAACTTATAAAAATAATGAAATACCATAAATTAGAAATAGCTGAAAAAGACTAAGGAAAATTAATGGCAGGGCAATAAAATGGAGCCAAAAATGAGCCTAATAAAAAATAAAAGCCAGATGCAGTGGTGTGAGCCTGTAGTCCCAGTTACCTGGGAGGCCGAGGCGGGAGGATTGCTTGAGCCCAGGAGTTTGAGGCTGTAGTGTGCTATGATCACACCTGTGAATTGCCACCACACTACAGCCTGGGCAACATAGGAAGACTTCAACTCTAAAAGAAACAAAAAAAATAGAGATATGACTATTTTCTACAGGCATGTAACAAATTTGACTATGAGCATCCCAACAGCCATTGCAAAATGGAAAAGTTGACCATTTATTCCATTCACAGTGTTTGTGCTGAAGACTAAACCAAAACAATTGTTCAGCACAACTATTTCTGATACATAATTGGGAAAAAAAGTGTTTCGAAAGAGTATCTGGAAAACCCATCAACAATATCCTTTCTGCAGATTAGTTTCTCAACCTTGGAACCATTGACATTTTGACTAGAGGGAGTCTGTCCCATGGGAGGCTGTCCCATGCATTGTAGGAGGTTTAGCAGCATACTTGGCCTCTACCCACTGGATGACAATAGCACTCCTCCTCCAGCTGTAACAACCAAAAACATCTCCAGACATTGCCAAATGTCCCCTGAGAGCCAAAATTCCACATCCCCCGACCCCCATGCCTTGCCTTTTAAGGGCCAGTGCAGTAGATCCAACAAGGAGAAAGACTGTTTCTTAGACAAAAGGCATTAATGTCAAAATACAATTCAGTAAAAACAAGAGCCTTTTTGGTCAGAACAACAGTCCAGTTCTTCAGCTTTCTACAGGCTTGGGTTAATGCAAGGTTGTATTTAGAGAAACTAATATCCACCCATCAGGGCTTCTAAGGCTGTTACTCTCAGTTGAACCTCTGATACATACCAGGTTGCTCTGATTTCATGATTGTCCTTCTAAGTAAATATTGTCCCAAGTTACACTTTTTTTTTCCACCTTCCTTTACCCACACCCTCTGGTGGTACTCTTCTACACCAACTCTGAACTTAGCTATGTGACATTCTTTAGCAATGAGATAGTAACAGACAATACAAGCAGAGACTGGAAAAATCATTGCTCATCCCCCATCCCCATTACCTAGAGGACAAATCCAGACTAGCCTGCCAGAGGAGAAGGGATTTTGTGGAAAAGAGAAGAGTTCCCAGCCAACCTCTCAGACGACCACAGATGCATGAGCAAGTCTGACCAAGCACAGGAGAACTCAAACAAGATCAGCCAAACAGCCCAGCCAACCCAGAGACTCAAAAATTATAAATGGTTGCTGTTTACATTCCTTACGTTTTGGGGTAGTTTGCTATCTAGAGATACGTAATTGACAAGTGCCAATTTAAAACTGCTGTGCTGGAAATAGGTTGACATCCTCTTAGAAAAATTGAGGGGCCAATAAAGGACTTCTCACCTCTTCTATGAGTGAGCTGATGATATATCTGCTGGAAATACCCCATATAGTAGCCAAAGACACCAGACCAGTGACGAAAGTGGGTGGTGAAGGCTGTTTTATAATTTAACATAACAAGTATATCTGTAGGGTTTTGTAAAATAATTTTTGATGATAAAATATATGTTGGGCTGGGCACAGTGATTCATGCCTGTAATCCTAACACTTTGGGAGGCCGAGGAAGGAGAATTGCTTGAGTCCAGGAGTTTGAGACCAGCCTAGGCAACACATAGCAACACCCTATCTCTACAAAAAAGTTAACAAATTAACCGGGAGTGGTGACATGTACCTGTAGCCCCAGCTGCATAGATAGATAGCTAGATAGGTAGATAGCTAGCTAGCTAGGCTTGAGCAAACAAAATTTATATATATACATATATATATATATATATATATATATATATATATATATATATATATATATTTAGGCTTGCGCAAACAAAATTTTCAGCCACGATTGAAAATACCAACACTCTCTTTTCACTGATTCAACAAATACATATGGAATTACTCGTCTGAGCACGGTGCTGGGTATGTGGTGCTGAACAAAATGGCCCCTGCATCCATGGAACCGGAGGGAGGGAGCAGCACTAGGGCCCACGTACAAGACTGATTAAAAGGAGAGCCTATTGTCAAGTTTCCTGGATCGTGACCTTGGCTTGCAACTGTCCTATGAGGTCCCACAGATATATGCTTTCAAATTGGGCATAATGTTAGGCAAATTACTCTTCATGCCTTGATTTTCTTATCTGTAAAATGAGGATGATAATACTAACAGTACTGCCTTCTAGGACTGTCGTGAGGCTTAACTGAATGTGTGCATGCAAATTGCTTAACAGAGGGCCCAGCATGGAGAAAGCCATTTTGAGGGCAGTTTTGCAAAGAATTAGGAGTGAGGAACATGTTGGAGTTGGACTGTTTCAGTTAGAATTTAGGCTCAACCACTTTCCTAGCTCTGTACCCTGGAAAAGTTCCATAACCCCTCTAAAACTTAAGTGAAGTGGGACAAATGACATAGTGAGAATTAAAGGTGATAAACCCTGTAAAATACATAGCATATGCCTGATTCGCAGTAAATGCTCATTCAGTTATAATTTCATCAAAACTAACAAATGTACAAATTATGTTAAAAGCTTTTATGAAGAAAAATATGGCAGATATTTAACTTAGACATGGAGGGGCAGGGCAAACCCTCTCTAATTGAAGGGACAATGACCTGAGGGAGGAATTAACCAGTCCAAGGGGAAAGGAAAGAGCATCCCCCAATGAAGGAACAGCATGCACTGTTCCTGAGGAGGCCCCTGAGAAGGGAGAGAGCTTGGGATTTGTAGAAACTGTCAGAGGTCAGTGAGATTGCCATGAAGGAGTGGGTGAGCCAGGAGTACAGGTGGAGAGGAGGCTGCGGAAGTGTCCAGGGCCATGTGGCCTCACTCTACATCCTGTATTTCATCATAAATACAATAAGCAGCGAGTGAGGAGTTTTAATCTAGAAAGTGATGAAATCCAATTTACCTGTCATTCTTGGAAGGCTCTTAATGTCTGTCCTTTGGCTCTCTTATCTCACACCTTTTTTCTTCCAATTTCCTTCTGGTTGCAGAATAGGTAGGCGATTTGGGGAGCTTGGAAATAAATGTTTTAAAATCTTTTTAGGAAAACAGATATGTGCAAGTGGGACCAGGTGAAGAAGAAACAATTGCCCAGCCCTCAGAAATATAAACATCATTGGCATCAGCAAAATGCCAACCCTGCCTTCTTTTAGAGGGGGTGAAAAAAGAGAAAAACTACTCCCATCTAAATCCTTGAGGTAAAAGTCATCTACATTTACAATACAATTGTTTACCCAGAAAGTAAAGGACAAGAGATTTAACTTCTGCTCTTAGACTTAAGCCACTGTAATATATGGAAATTTGTTAAAATTGATATGTGAAGTTGAATGTTGCTTTGGATTGATCAATAACTTAAAACAAAATTAATCTTCCAAGTGTGATTTTTTAAAAAGATTTTATGCCTTGCCTTTAGAATTTCTAAAAAAAAAAAAAATTCTAAACCATTGGTCTTGTCTGCTATCATATTTTGAAAATACTTTTATACACACAACCCCAAAAAGTGAGTGTTTGCTTATGTTTCATAAGTATAGCAGTTCTCATTTTAATAATTATGACTTATGGATTAAATATGTTATATGAAAAAATATTATAACATTAAATTTCAAATTAACTGGACTTCTAGAATTAAAAATAATAATTAAAATATTATATATACAATTGAAAGCCACTTAAAGGCCCTGGTAGGTAGCCATTTAAAAGGATCCCCACTCCTAAATATCTGTTAAGTTTGGCCAGAAAATTCTCCAAGACAGCTTCTGAAGCCTTAACAATTTTCAAAATTAAAAAAATTACAAAATGTTTAAGGAGAAATGTATTTGACCATATTTTATTATACTTGATTCTTCTCTTTACATATAAACATATAAATTCAACATTAACAGAAAAGGCAGGCTTGAAGTTTACTGAAAGATGTATCAAACTTCAAGCACTCATAAAAGTGAGTATATGGAACCCTCAATTATCATCCAATCTGAGAAAACGTCTGCAGACAGAATCAAGCTGCACAGATCTAATGCACTAAGGCCAACTGTTCACAAAATCTCACCTATGCAGACCCACTACAGGATACGTCCAGAACAAACGGTTTTTAATAAAAGAAACAGATGAATGTTCAGTCTTGTTTTGGCCGCATAATACTTTTGTAGCTTGTACTTTAACTAAAACAAAGGCAAATCTGTTAGGAGACAATTCTCCGTGGGTCTCTTGTGTTTCTACATGTATTTTGCACTGACTATTTCTGTGCTGAACTGTCTTTTCAAAGATGTTTTTATTGTGTACCATCGCGGAAGATAGAGATAGTGTCTCCCTTTTGAGCAAAGGGCGGGATTGCTTATAGCCTTAGTAGGTAGAGATGATATCCCCCTCCAGAGCAGAGGATAGGCATGCTTCTGTTTATTACCCATTATAAAATATTCGTGTTCCATAAGTTCAGGTTTGCTCTCTTTTAACACAACCCACTGCATGTATAGGTGTCAACTGACCCTCTTCACATAGTTCTGTGAAAACTGGGAACTGGCACAAAGGCTTACACTCTGGCTACTTCTGCTACCATGAGTAATAAAGCTGTTGGTCTCTGAACTACAAGTCTTGTGTCTTCTGTCAGCTTATGTGAAACTGTGGCAGGCTAACTTGTTAGTTTGCAAGTAGAATCTCAGCCCCTTCACATTTCTTGACAAAACCATTCCCTGAGGAATTCTCTGCTAATTCATGCCTTTAAATAAATCTACATATATGGGAGGATTTAATCTATGTTCAATGATATATTCCTATCACCCAAAACAGTGCTGATGTGAAGTGTCACCAAAATATTGATAAATAAATGAAAGAAATTAGAAGCATTATTTGGAAAATGCATGCATAATGCAGGGGTTTTGCCAAAAAATAAAATAAAATTTCTGGCATTCCAAAAGAAAGGGTTTACAAACTAGAAAATGGTGCCCTGTATTAAAACATATTCTGAAAATATTTCTTAGAGCTTTAAGCAATTCCATTTAATGAATATTGGTTCCCAATGCTCATGGGCCAAAATTTGAAAAGTTTAACAAGGCTTAGAGACCCTTTATTTGTTTTTGGCCTGCCAGCCTCTCCAGCCTTATCACCCACCAGACTCACTGAGGGCTCCTGGGCAGATCTGGATCATTTTTAGCAACTTGACAGGACAAGTCATGCCATCTAGGTCTTGCAAATACTCTTCTCTTTGCCTGGAATGCTCTTCACCCACCTCCTTCCCCTCTCACACCTATGAATCCTTCAGGTCTTAGTTTACATACCAGATACTTTGGTAAGCATTCTCTGACATCCCTTACCACTTAATTACCAACTAAAACTACCACCTAAACCAAGATTAGCTGTGATAAGAGCACACTCTTCTTCTACTACCTCTGCGTTATATTTGTTTACTTTTTTCACAGCACTTACCACTATCTGAAATTATCTCATTTATTTGTTTAGTGATTTATTTCCTGTCTCCATGAGATTGGGGTACCTGACACGAAGTAGGTCATCAATAAATATATTAGTCAAATAAGTAAAGAATAAATGGAGGGACTTTATAATTCTTTATTATATTTCCTTATTCATTTATGAGCCCAACTGGACTGTAAAGTCTTTAAAAGCAGGAACCTCACCTCTCATTTCTACAGTGCCTGGGACAGCAGCAAAAATTGTTGCTGTAATGATAAAGATTGTTATAGCAAACCACTCAAATACTTACAATAAGAGGAGCTATTTAGAGAATTTTGAGTTGAAGTGAACCAGAAATGAAATGCAATATAGCCACTGAATCCTTTACAAGAAAAAGCAGTATTTGAGATGATATGGACTTGAAATCTTATACAGGACAACTATTAAAAATTACTGTATATATTGCTTTTCTCAGAAAACTCTTCTATCTCTTCCATTGTGGCCCACTCTTCTCTACCCACTGGTTCCTCAACTTCCAGTTTTACTTTCATCATGGCTAGAAAGTAGCTGAGTTATAAATAGCTGGCATTGCCTGGCAGTCTCCAATACTGGGATACCTCAAAGAGTTGTGATCTGGGAGAACATTTAGATTTTCTTACTTCCTTTACTTTCTGACTTCCAAATTGAAACTTGGCACAGACAGAGATAACTATAATAAAAGGAGGAACGAGGACAGTGTGGATGTTGTGGATGATAGAGATGTGTACATGTGAGTGTCTGCATATGAAATATGATCAAGCAGGTGGTGAGATCAAAGAGTAAGTGCTGAGACAACTCTCTGCATATCCTAACATATTTCCAAGTATGGCATAAGCAAACAAGGTTTGGAAAAAAATTATCTATGCAGGTGGAACTCTAGAAAAAGATCTCTGCCCTAAAAATGTTTCTTTAAAGTTACTTTTAAAATGTTAATTCAATAGTTAATAAATAAACTAATAATTACAGGACACAGATTTATCTGACTATAGCATATTTTAGTAACTACTAGCAAAATTGTTACTAGTATTTTATACCATAACAACTTGGTACTTATGGTCTACCTGAAATTTATCCAGTTTGTGACAGCAATGAATTACTCAAAAGGGCAACCACAAAGTCTTTCTGCAGAATTCGGCTCTAGAAGAAAACCGAAAAGCCATTTACCTTATTAAATAAACTAGTAATCACAGGGACATATTTATATTCCCTATAACCCATTCTACAAAGGAAACATAGTATAGATATTATTTAAATACAGAAGGAATTAACAAAGGCAATTGCAAAGTATAGGCTTCTCTGGTGATGAGCAGTTTTGAGTCACATACCAACTACCAATTCCCTGAAGAAGAAAAATATTAAATGAAATTTTTTTTGTTTCACTTATAACAAGAATTAATATAATGTCTCTTTTTCTTTAATTTTTTTTCACAAAAAACTGTCACCTTATTCTCTATCTTCAAACATATCTGAATACCGTACTTTCAAAATAGCACCAGTATTTCCCAAAGCCTTCGTGCTACAGAGTGTATTCTACTGCCCTCTGCTGGAAGAGGAAGTGAGTTATCATTCATCAACGGGATTGCTGGAGCAAGTGAAGGAAAAAGTTGCTCCCATATCCATTCAACAACTAGTTATTTATCACCTACCAGCCAATGTACCAGATAAGTGATAGATCAATAGATAGACTGATCTATCAATCTACAGATTCAGAATATTATTCAGAGACAAGATTGGTTCTCTGTGCTCTACAACTATGTTAGATCTATTTATAGAACAAAGTTGAACTTCCTCAAACCTGCAAAGTAAAAATAGGACAATATTTTTAAAATAACAAGTGACAAGCATGTAATGAGTGGGGAATATGGAAGGATTAATCCTAACTAATGTGCAGATAATTAATAAAATGAAGCTTCTTAGTAAAGGGAAGGATCTAGGTTAGAAAACAGGAGAATTGGTGTCAGATAAATAAAGAAGGAATAAATGGATAGGTAACTGAAGACCTTATCATAACATTATAATTCTTTATTACATTTCTGTGTCCATTTATGAGCCCTTCTGGACTGTAAAGTCTATGAGAGCACTTAATGCAACGTTCAGTAAATGATTTCACTGCTCTGTGCTGTGGTTCTCTTATCTTTAAAGTAGAAATTTTTCCTCCAACCCTACAAGCATATTGAGGGTGACAAATAAACACTGTGTGTTATTTTGTACGTGTGTGTGTATGTGAATTTTCTTACAGTATGGATGTTATGTTTAATCTCATAACTTTATTTGAATCATGGATTTAATTCAAAGTTTCCAGAAGGTTTATGTGAAATATAATGGCTTAAAATCTTAATTGGTCCCAGTTTGGGAACATGTTGTATCCTTCCTTGCCAGTTACTTTTGACATTCATTTTTGAGTCTAAATGATGCATCTTGACTCACTGAATCTTTATTTGGACTCAAACACACTGGCTCAGCAATGTGGTTTCAATCACTGGGCTAAGAACTAGCATGGGTTTCATATTCAAACAGACTTGGATTCAAATCTCAGCTCTAACAAAATATTTAATAACTGTCAGAGCAAACACTTGCATAACGTGTACCATATATAGCAACCCCATGAGGGAAAAACTGTTATAATTCTCATTTTACAAATGAGAAAACTAAGCCATGGAGATTGTTCAATAACTTTTACATACTTAGTCATATAGTTATTGAGTGGTGGAGTCAGGATTCAGGCCCAGGTCTAAAGGCTCTAGAACTCTTGTTCTTAAACCTTACATTGCGCTGCCTATCTTCCCCGAATCATATTTTCCTAATACATAAAATGATAGCAGAGAAACCAAACTGAATTCAGGGAAGGATTGGGGCAAATGCATATGAAGCATAAAGCAGAGATCCTGGTACACAGAAGGTGCTGAATAAAATTGTTGCTAGTATTTTAAGGCTTAACAACTTGATACTCAAAGACTACCTGACCTTCATCCAATTTCTGACAGCAATGAATTACTCAAAAAGGCAACCACAAAGTCTTTCTGGAGAATTCAGCTCTAGAAGTGAACCAAAAGGCCATCTTTCCCACACTCTTCATTTTAGAGGTAAGAATCATGATGCCCAAAGAACTTCAGAGGTTTACCCAAAGAAGCACCAAAACCGGATCCCGGAGTCCCTCATGGTCAAATGGGTTTGCCATTTCCATCATGCTGTGTTTTCTTCTGATATAGCTTGCCATCTGCTTAGCCTCACTTCTGGAAAGTTTTGTGAGAAATTCTAGACTGCCTTTTATGTGAACTCAGATGATGGTACACCTCATCAAATCACATACATCGCTTGAAAAAGCACAACAGAAAAATAACTATGGTACATCTTCCCTATTAGATTATTAGATATCATGGCAGCACACAGATACAAAATATTTTCAATTTCCTTCCATGACTCATACATGTTTTATTTTTCCTTTGTCCAAGTAATCAACCCTGGATTTCTAGCATGGCCACATTTATTCAAAAGGAAATTTTATACACACACACCACCCCCTACAAAGTTTCACAGGACCACTTGAATCTGAATTTTCTGAAGTCTTTAGTAAAATGAAAATCCCTAGACTCTACTCCTGATTTACAGAATAAACTGAATCAGTATTTCTGAAGGTGGAGACTTAGAAATTGTATTAAATTCATACCCCCCATTAAAGCATCCTAAAGCTTGAAAACTACCACCTTAGGGCAGAAAACTATGGTTGAGCACAGAGGAAAGCACATTATACATCTTAAGCCCACATTCCCAGGACCGAGTTTGATTTTTTGATTTTATTTTCTGCTCCCACTCCCTCCCCGATGCCCATCGTGTGTTTCTCTCTTCCTTTCTCTCTCTCTATCCCTCTCTCTCTCTCTCCATCCCTGCCTCTCTCTCTCTTTCTCTCTCTCTCTGTTTCTTTCTCTTTCTCTTTTGCCTTTTGCCTTCTTGGTAAAAATGGGATCTGTATAGGCTAGAAGATGCTTATGAATTTCAGATCAGTATTTATGGTTATGTATACGTGTGTGCCAAGGACTGTTGGCTTTAATCACATTTCTTAATTTATTTATTGCAGCATATTTAAATTCAATATCAAAATTTATTTCTGACACTGGCAAAAATCTCCATGGAAATAACTAGGCAGTTCACCCCTAAATAACAACTCATTTGGGGTGAGCTAATCACACAGAATAAGGTCGCTTCAGGACTTTGTGGGGCTAGTGGGTTTCAAGGACCTCTCTTTGGCCAGTCTGCTGAGAAAATGAATCAGGGGAGAGAAAGAGGCATGAAAAAGCACACCCACCTCCTTCAGGTAGCTCAAGCACTACCAGAGTCCAGGCTAACCGAAGGATGGAGGGGCAGGAGACCGGAAGGCTAATTGATAGGAAGGTGGAGGCCCATAAAAATGTGACCAGCTGGGAGAAAATGGAGTCCCCATGGAGCTTTGGAAAGGAGAGAAAAATACCCTTTTCTTCACTGAATAACCTTTTCTTTCCCATGGCTTTCCCAGGCTTCTTTTCTCTCGCCTATCCACGGCCAGGTGGGTTTGATGGAGCCCTAAGTTGGCTTCCCCTTTCCCTACTGGACTGATATTGTGTGCACAACTAGAGTGGGTGTTAGGGTGAGATTTTTCTACCTCCCACTCTTACATCTTAAGTAATGGGGCAACCCCATTATCTACATAATTCTGGGCCTAGAATCTACATGTACACAATGCACAGAATAGTTCAAAATGAATATATTCTCATGGATCATTATTTAGAAGCAATATCAGACCCAGAGACCACAGTGTATTACAGTTGTCATTCCTGACTTACAGAGTTTTCTTGGGCAATACAAGATGTCCTCCCTGAAGTTTCAATGGTATTAGGAATGAAGTCTTTTGTTTCCCTCTCCTCAACCCACAGAACGTCTTCAGCCCCTATTAGCCCCTTAACCATTCCATAATGTGACCTCCAGTACAGAATATTTACACCCTTGGTTGCCTCAAAAGCTTGATGTGGTTCCTCCAAAGGATCAAAATATTCTTCAGATCTTTCTTCACGTGTCTGCTGCTTCTACCTGTGTAAGTAAATAGCAAATGGGAAGGTGTCATTACTATACATTACTTATGAGCCACAAAATTCTATAGTTCATTCATAAACCATCTGGTAAAATAGGCTTGTACGACTTTAAGTTGGAACATTTGAGGGGAATTCCAGTTAGCTTCAAGTCAGTTTCCACAGCACTAATTGGTACATTCCAGCTGCATGTGATATCTTAAAAAAAAAAAAAAGCTCTAAGCCTGGCACAGGGCTCACGCCTGTAATCCTAGCACTTTGGGAGGCCAAGGTGGGCGGATCACAAGGTCAGGAGCTCGAGATCAGCATGGCCAATATGGTGAAACCCCATCTCTACTAAAAATACAAAGAAACTAGCTGGGCGTCGGGGCTCGTGCCTGTAGTCCCAGCTACTTGGGAGGCTGAGGAAGGAGAATCACTTGAACCCAGGAGGTGGAGGTTGCAGTGAGCCAAGATTATGCCACTGCACTCCAGCCTGGGCAATAGAGGGAGACTCCATCTCAAAAAAAAAAAAAAAGAAAGAAAGAAAAAAAAGAAAAAGAAAAAAAAAGCACCGAATTCCTACCCCTGTTAATATTTCCATCTAGGAGTTCCACCATCTATCAATAACGATCAATTATTAATGTACATACTGTTGTTAACTATAGTTTGCCATGGTACACTAGAACTTATTCCTTCTATCTAACTGTAAGACACTTTCTTGAAGATATGGGAAAATCAGCTTATATATCTATGGTCTTTTATAATAAAGGGCAAAATTTATTGTCTAGCCTCTAAAGCCCTCATTTAGTTATTTAATAAATATGTATTGAGGACCTAGTAGGTGCCATGCAGTCTTCTAGATACTGGGGATATATCAACAAAAACAACAACATCAGCAAACCTAGACTGTGACCTCACTGAGCTTACATTCTAACTTGTGTTGCTTAACAGGAAGAGAAATAGCTGGGAAAAAAGAAGATTTTGGTTCTAATCTTTATCTTCTAACTTATTTCCTGTTACCCATTTTACTTATTTTGACCTCACAGCTTTCCTTCCTGTTAAATGATTGTTTAAAACGAAAATAGGCTGGATGCAGTGGCTCATGTCTTTAATCCCAGAACTTTGAGAAGCCAAGGTGGGAAGATCACTTGAGACCAGGAGTTCAAGAACAGCCTGGGCAACATAGCAAGACCTTGTCTCTACAAAAAACAAAAATAAAAAATTAGCCAGGTTTGGTGGCCTGCACTTGTAGTCTCAGATACTTGAGAGGCTGAGTCGGGAGGATCAACGGAGCCCAGGAGTTCAAGGCTGCAGTAAGCTACGATCACACTGCTGCAGGGCAGTCCAGGTTCAAAGTTAGGTTTAGCCCATGAGGGTTCTTGGTAGCGGGATGAGGGAGAGTGGGGATGAATGAGGATGGTTAATGGGTGCAAAAATATAGTTTGAATGAATAAGGTCTAGTATTTGATCATGCAAAGGGGTAACTAACTGTAGTCAACAATAATTTATTGCATATTTTAAAATAACTAAGGGAGTGAGATTGAAATGTTCCTCAAACAAAGAAATAAATGCTAGAGGTGACAGACACCCAATTACCCAATATCATTGAATGCCTATACCAAAAATCACATGTACCCCATACATACATATATACACCTAGTATGTGCCCATAATAATTAAAAACCTAAAATTAAAAAAAATACCTTTTACTTGCCTCATTTAGGTGGATTGAAATTTGATAAAGCAGCATAGACACAGAACATCATATACACAAAAGCATGCAAGAGACATCCATGAGATATACTGAGGATGAGCCTCAAAGAAGTCTTAATCTTGCTCAAGGAGATGGCTGTGCTGTGAAACATACAGTGATGATTAATTACCAAGCTGTATGCTGTTGACTCCAGCTTGTAGTCAGAGAAATCAATGAGCACCTGAGTAATGAGAGGGTGATTTAAGAAAAACGTAAAACTTGAACTTATTCCCAAGTAATATTAAGGTTAGGCAGAGTAAGAAAAGTATAGCGATGGGAATTGATACATAACTGGTGTACAATGATGAGGACTGTTTAATAAGAAATGGAAGAAATAATGCACCAAGTAAAAGGCGTGAAAAAACATCTGGGTGGCTTTAAAGTCCTAAGAGAAGTTTTGATGTAACAGAGAGCCAGTGGAGGGCTCAAGCATGAAAGAGAGATGCTGACAGTCCTGTCTTTGGAGAGTGTATACTAGATGCTGATTTTCTGCTATAAATTTCTCTTATGAATAAGCATGTCCTGACATGGTCAGCCTCCTCCAATGATAAGAAGCCTTCCCTTTATAGACCTAGCAAAATCCTAAAGTCTTGGAAGAAGGGGAGAAACGTATGTATGCTCTGAAGAAACCTGTCATCACCACACCACTGGATCCTCCATCTCTACCTATTTGGGAAGACCCTAAAAGTAAAGCAAAACTTTTGATTCAACTTTCCTCTTTCAGGCCAAAGAAGAATAGCTTGGTCTTCAATCATGGTCATTCCATAAAGCAGTCCAAACTCGGAAGACTGGGAAAATACAATTAATATACTTTTGATACCTAAATGTAGTAGGTGGCTGGAGAAACTATCTTACTGTGTTAAGACTCTCAGAGTAATGTCGTCAATGAGTTAAGAATAGGTTTAACGGCCGGGCGCGGTGGCTCACGCCTGTAATCCCAGCACTTTGGGAGGCCGAGGCGGGCGGATCACGAGGTCAGGAGATCGAGACCATCCTGGCTAACACGGTGAAACCCCGTCTCTACTAAAAATACAAAAAATTAGCCGGGCGTAGTGGCGGGCGCCTGTAGTCCCAGCTACTCGGGAGGCTGAGGCAGGAGAATGGCGTGAACCCGGGAGGCGGAGCTTGCAGTGAGCCGAGATCGCGCCACTGCACTCCAGCCTGGGCGACAGAGCGAGACTCCGTCTCAAAAAAAAAAAAAAAAAGAATAGGTTTAACAGGAAATCCAAAATCAAAATGGCTTGCATGAGAAAAAGTTTATTTCTCTCTTATATAAAAGAAGTACAGAAGCAGGCAGTCCAGGGTTGGTGTAGTGACTTCACTCATCAGTAGTCCAGGCCTCTTTCTGTCCTTCAGCTCCACTATCTGAACACAAGCTTCCATCTTTAAGTTTCAATACATGGCATCGTCATGCCTACACTGCAGACAAGAGGAATGAGAAAGAGACAAAGAACTAAATGTACCCGTCTCAGATGAGTTGCTCCCTTTGAACAGCCTTCCTAGAGCCTCACACCACATTGCACTTACAGTTCACTGGTTATGTGACCATATGACCATCAGAGGCTGGAAAAGACAATCTTTCAGCAAGTTTTATTCCTAGTAAAAATGAATTCACTAAGGCTATAAAGAAACTGAATTTCAAAGTCTGAATATAAATTCATTACAAATGGGAACAGAACAAAGTGAAAAATGGTGATAGTGATAGTTAAAGAACAAGATCTAAGTATTTTTCCCAGGATTAGACAAGAAATCAAAACAAGAACCAGCTGTCACAACTGGGTCTTTTCTTTGGCCTTATAAATTGCTGAAGAGTGTGTTAACATACACTTCACTCAGATTCTCTAAATATTAACATTCTACCTAAATTGCTTTATATATCCATTTGAGAATAAATCACAGACATAACACTTCTTTACCCCAAAATATTTCAGTGTGTGTTTCCTAAATTCAAATACATTTTTATATAGCCACACCCTAATTTTCAAAATCAGAAACATAGTATTAATAAAATATTACTTATAATTTACAAACTTGTTTAGATTTCTCCAAATATACCAATAATATATTTTACAGCAAAAGAAAATATCAGATTATATCTTGCATTCAGTTGTCATCTTTTTAATCTCCTTCAATATAGAATAGTTTCTCAGTCCTCCTTTTATGATTATTAACAGGTATTTTGTAGTGTATCTCTGATATTGTATTAGTTCTGTGCTTCCTCCCCACAGAGGAAAAAGAATGACTTTATAATGGAGATACCTAGCAGACACTATGTTAACGAAGCAATCAACATTAATAGCACCAGCAATGGCACAGGTTTACATCATTTGCCTTTGATATGATGCAGTTGACAACACATAATTCCAAGCTATCCCTACCAAAAATGCATAACAGAATCTAATTTCATGTTTATTTCTTGTAATATGCTAAAACTATTCAAGCAAAAACATTTTTTCCTTACACTATTATTGTAATTGAGTGATGAACCATGTGTGTTTCTATTTCAGGCACTAAATTAAACCATCTTATTTACTTCAAGATCTAGATTGTTTGCAAGAAAAAGGTGAGTCCTATTAAGAAAATGATGCCAGGTATTTTTTTTCACTCATTATCATATCCGCATTTCTAGGCTTCCATAATTTCCTCCACTTTTTGTATCTAACCAGTTGTGTTCTCACTCTTTCTTTGTATATAAAAGCGTAAACCCAGAATCTGGTGAGCTAAAGGGGAAACTTAGTTCCCATCCAATGTTCTAGATTTTGAAAGAGAGAACATTGCTCATTATGTTATTTTTTTAACCACCTCCTAAAGTTGCTTTGTGTTTCTTCACTCTAATCAAAAGATAAAAAAAGATTTTAAAGTATTTGTTAAAATTAATCTTGTCTCTTTTCCCATGAATGCCCAAAGTATAGTATTGCCATTATTTGCATAGAGAATGAAAGCTAAAATGTTCCCATGGTCTAATAGCAAACTATGCCAAAATTTAAATTTTCAGAGCCATTCCCCATTCCTCATGAAACCCAAGCTACCTAAGTAATGAAAAGAATCATGTTTTATTTATCACCACTTATTGTTTATCTTCATTCACCATATTTCATTTATCTTGTTTCATTTTATAACAGAGGTTAATCTGGAATGTCTGATTTTAATTACAGATTAACTTTATACAGAACTTTTAAAGTATGATTTTTAATATAATTTCTTACTGACCTCAAATCCCTTGGACAGGAAATGTCAAAAACTTCTAATAATGTTCTTTTAAAGATTACTTTAATAATGATCCAATGAATGGGGCAAGTGAGACCCACTAAAAAAAAAAAATCAAAGAGGTAAAAGCCAAGAGCCAGCATATATCAGTAAGTAAAAATAGAGTCAGGCTTTCTTTCAAAACAGCATAATGTACAAATTATGCCTCTTATTCCGTGGACCCAAAATAGTCTCTTAACCATGCCATTCTTTCTGTTTTCTCTACAAAGCAACAATTACAAGCAAGCCTCTGCTGGATTTGTTCAACTAGATGTAGACCCTCTCCCCAAAACTGTTCTGATTGATCAGTAGAATATATAATATATTATATACATGTTTATTTTAGGTTCCAGGATACATGTGCAGAAAGTGCAGGTTTGTTACATAGGTAAATGTGGGCCATGGGGGTTTGCTCCACCTATCAACCCATCACCTAGGTATTAAGCCCCAAATGCATTAGCTATTTTTCCTAATGCTCCCCCTTCCCCCACATCCTACCCACTGCCAGGCCCCAGTGTGTGTTGTTCCCCTCCCTGTGTCCATGTGTTCTAATTGTTCAGCTCCCACTTCAAAGTGAGAACATGTGGTGTTTGGTTTTCTGTTCCTGTGTTAATTTACTGAGGATAATAGCTTCCAGCTCCATCCATGTCCCTGCAAAGGACATGATCTCATTCCTTTTTATGGCTGCGTGGTATTCTATGATGTATATGTACCACATTTTTTTAATCCAGTCTATCATTGATGGGCATTTGGATTGATTCCATGTCTTTGCTATTGTGAATAGTGCTGCAACAAACATATGCATGAATATGTCTTTGTAATAGAATGATTTATATCCAGTAGTGGAATTGCTGGGTCAAATGGTATTTCTGGTTCTAGATCTTTGAGAAATTGTCACACCATCTTCCACAATGGTTGAATTAATTTACATTCCCACCAGCAGTGTAAAAACATTCCTATTTCTCCACAACCTTTCCAGCATCTATTGTTTCTTTTTTTTTCTTTTTTTTTTTCTGAGACGGAGTTTCACTCTTGTAGCCCAGGCTGGGGTGCAATGGCAGGATCTCGGCTCACTGCAACCTCCACCTCCTGTGTTCAAGCGATTCTCCTGCCTCAGCCTCCTGAGTAGCTGGGATTACAGGCGCCCGCCACCATGCCCAGTTAATTTTTTGTATTTTTATTAGAGACGGGGTTTCACCATGTTGGCCAGGCTGGTCTTGAACTCGTGACCTCAGGTGATCCACCCACCTCGGCCTCCCAAAGTGCTGAGATTACAGGCATGAGCCACTGCGCCTGGCTTATTGTTTCTTGACTTTGTAATAATCACCATGAGATGGCATGAGATGGTATCTCATTGTGGTTTTGATTTGCCTTACTCTAATGACCAGTGATGTTGAGCTTCTTTTCATGTTTGTTGGCTGCATAAATGTCTTCTTTTGAGATGTGTCTGTTCATGTCCTTTGCCTACTTTTTAATGGTGTTTTTTTTTTCTTGTAAATTTAAGTGGTAGAATAATTTTTAACATATCTGTAGTCAACCACATATGAAATTTTTATATCTAGGCTTTAGGATTTTATTACAATTCCTCTAAAACATTATTTTAGAATAATAAACTGATATTAAAACAAAGGTGGTATTATTGCTGCTTTTTTTTTTTTTTTTTTTTGAGACGGAGTCTTGCTCTGTCGCCCAGGCCGGACTGCGGACTGCAGTGGCGCAATCTCGGCTCACTGCAAGCTCCGCTTCCCGGGTTCACGCCATTCTCCTGCCTCAGCCTCCCGAGTAGCTGGGACTACAGGCGCCCGCCACCGCGCCCGGCTAATTTTTTTTTTTTTTTGTATTTTTAGTAGAGACGGGGTTTCACCTTGTTAGCCAGGATGGTCTCGATCTCCTGACCTCATGATCCACCCGCCTCGGCCTCCCAAAGTGCTGGGATTACAGGCGTGAGCCACCGCGCCCAGCCTATTGCTGCTTTTTTATCACCTCACTCTATACATAATATTTGAGTGAGTTGCACCTCTGAACAAGAAATATTTGACTATATCAGTGAGTGAATTAATCTATCATCCTATACACCTTTCCAGTTACCCAGGAAAATAAATAGTGGTTTGTTGTTGTTGTTTTTATCTCCCACCAAATGAAATTGTTGGCTAGCTGAAGAGACAGACTACTACATGCCTTTTGGAAGTGTGAGCTAACTCCTTAGAAGCAGCCTGGAGGGAAAAATAACATTCATTTTCACACTCAGGAAGAACCCCGGATCCTCTGCTTGGATCCCCTCCCAGTTCTGGGAAGCTTCCCTTCTGGCTTGCAGATAAAGGCTTCAGGTATCATGTTAAGGTAGGTCAAGTTGAATTCAATTCACCTTGAGTCATTTAATTAGTTTTAGAACTTTGCCTTAGAATATAACTATGAAAAAATAGCAGTTAAACAAACACATATTACAATATCATTAATATGGTTTCTCAGTTGCAGTTAGAAAAGGGTTCTTTATACTTTCACAATTCCTGACACCCAATCCTCCTGTGCCTCTCTGTTTTCCCTCTCTTCTGCTTCCTTTCAGTTTTAGTTGTACATCTACCTTCTCCCAGAAACCCTCTCTGATTAAAATCATGCTCTTACTAATAGTAGCTTTATCTCCTATTGGTTTTCCTTTTAGGCTTCATCAGACATTTCTATGTACAAGTAGGCATCAGCCTCACATGCATTGCTTCTCTAATTAAATACATATTCTCAAAAGATAGAGGATTTGGCCTTTAGTTTCTTGTCATCTCCAGATCCTACCATGGTTAGTACAGTACATGAGTTAATACACATAACACATACACTTACACCATTGCTTGGCACAGAGAATCACTTAAGTGTTAGCTGTCACTGCCACAATCTGAGGTGCTCAACACAAGCAGTTGGCATCTAATAAATATTTGTATATTAATGCATAGTTCATTCATGTATCTGATTTTAATTTTTGTGCTTTATTTTCCCATGCTTAAGTTACACTGATGAGAAAGACATATTTGAAAACTGCATTAAATTAAGAGAAATGGTGAATTCAAAGTGTTACTACTACTGTGAGTTACAAAGGCTTGGCAACTATCATCATGGCAAAATTATAGTCTGATTTAATCAAATGCAGTACTTTCTTATCATTACCTTTCTTTCCCCAGAAGAAAGAGGGGATATTGTATTAACTATTACAAAACTTTGAAAGGAATCTGTAAGTTGTTATGTCTGAGTGTCAGGGTTTGTGCACGCGTCTTGTGTGCTTTTAACAAATAGACCTGATAAGTTAAAGAAAAAGATGCTTAAGTCATTTCTGATGGTTAGTGTTAGTAGTAAATTGCAGAACCAAGTTTGATAGAGGGAAAGAACTGAGAATTAGAAGGTTGAAGAACTGGGGTTTTGTCTCAACCCAGCCATCTATGGCCTTAGGCAAGTCACTTCATTTTTCTGAGCCCTGACTCCCTCCTTTGTAAAATGACAGGCCTGGTATAATGGTTCCTTATGGTCCTCTCTCTTCCAACACTGGGATTTTGAAGTCCTCACAGAGGAGAGTTAGAACTGATTATTCAACCCCATTCTGCTTCCTTAGAGTTCACTGACATTAAATTGCAATTTATATTGAGTAACATATTCAATTTGTATTAAAAATATGAAGTGTGCCACTCTAAAACTACATTATAGAATTTTTTCTCAGATATTGCAGGGAAACAAAAGAATTTACCAGTACTAAGTCTTCTTTCATATTCTTTTATATCCTAGATGATGAAGATCTCATTTCTCTCTCCAAAATGTCCTTTTTTAATGATTGGTGTTTGCTAGGGGAGGTTGGACAAGCAAACCCTAGACCAGAGTTTCTCAACCTCAGTACTATTGACATACTGATAATTCCTTTTTGTAGAAGCTATTCTATGCATTGCTTAATGTTTATCAGCATTGTTGGCCTCTGCCCACTAAATGCCAGAAGCAGCACCACCTTCCATGCCAACTGAGAATTTAAAAATGTCCCCAGACATTTCCAGATATGCTCAGGGGATCAAGATTACCCACCTGCATGTTGAGTACCACTATTCAGAGAATCAGCAGCCTACTACATGCTGTGTCTGTTTTCTTCTCTTTCTTTAAAATTTTACACTTTCTCTATTCATCTTTCTTTCCTTTCCTCTATTTGATTTCTCTTTCCTCCTTCTTTTATTCTACTTTTTTCTTCTGTCTCTCTTATATGGGATCTGGTTTTGCCATCGTCCAAACCACTGGCCTGTGGAAGTCAAAGTAAAGCTGACTCTGAGCCTTGAAAGTTTACACCGCTAAGGAGTCAGGTTTGCAGTCAAATTTAGGCTCAAATCCTATTTCTGTCATTTAAAAGTTCTATAAAAATTGATGAAATTTACTTAATCCCTTTGGGCTTGGTTTCCTTATCTGAAAAACTCAAGTAAGAGTGCATTTTTCATACACCCTGTGAAGATGAAATTAAGTGAGCAAAGTAAAGTACTGTGCTTCATTTAGGGCAGGAGACATGGTGAGGTCTCAATAGGTGGCAGCTATTAGTTAATACTGTTAGGCTACTAGACAGAAGGAAGCAATTTCGAGAGTAGAAAAGACCATAATAAAAAGTAAAGCAGTGTTGCTGTTGTCAAAACAGGTAGAATCCTAATCAGTGTACATAAAATAAATGTGGAGTAAAGGGCAGAGTTAATGATGGTGGTCCTTTGTGTCTTTCTGCCCAGTTAAATCCACAAATTACTAATTTAATTGAAGTGCCTATAATGTGACCATTTCACATAGGAGTAATTGCATTTATTCTCAAATATAAGTTGATGGTATAGGGTATATTAATATAATAATCACTCCAAAATAAATGGTGTTCTTCTTCCTTTGAAGAAAAAAATAAGTGTTGGTTGGAAATAATAGTTTAAGGCACTAGATAATATTTGGATAAAAGGCTAGAGCTGGTATGCTGCTTCTTTTCAGATCTCATGTGACTTGGAGGGCCCTGGAACTCTGGTCTCTCTTTTTAGCCAAAGTCATTTTTTTTTTCTTTTGAGTTGCTTAGGTACAAGGTCACTTTGGAGCCACTGTCATCACATTCTCTAAAATTGTGTTAATCATTTTCTAGGACCGTCCCTCTAGTTAGAACTGAAATAAAAAGTATTTGCAAAAACAATATCAAGGTCATTAATAAGAAAGACCCGTTGCCCCAAAACACCAGGTTAAGGAGAAACCATAGTCAGACTTCCATTATGGATTTGTGAAAACCAGAAAAGTTGCTTCCAAGTAAAGCTGTATATCCTAGATCATTTCTATCATCTCCAATTACTAGTTGTTGTCTGATCTGCTCTCTCCCTGAGCTGTATTTCCACAGAAGAAAGGCTTAGAAAAGCTGTCATTCAATATGCTTGAACAATCACTCACAACATCTAGCTTCTGGATTCTGAGGTAAAAGACCAGGCAAGTCTAGGTAGTGCGTGGAGTCGAGGCCAAGGCTAGCCTTCACATTGGTTCATAGACCAATGCTCTTTGCTTTCCTTGGACCAAGAGCCAAAACCTAAGAGGTGGTAAAAGATGTGACCCTGGAGATAGGCTTCCATTGGCAAGTGTACAAATCAAGATTTAGAAATGCTCAGAGTGAAACTTCATGGGAGAAAGTCACCACTAGCAGAATATGGAAGAGTTTCTCCTAAGAAATGCAGAATCTCAGAGCCTGAAATGAAGCAAATAGAAACCCCTATTGATATGGTTTGGCTGTGTCCCCACCAAAATCTCATCTTGAATTGCAGCTCCCATAATTCCCACTTGTTGTGAGAGGGCCCAGGTGGGAGATAATTGAGTCATGAGGGTGGTTTCCCTTATACTGTTCTCATGGTGGTGAATAAGTCTCGCAAGTTCTCATGGTTTTGTAAGGGGTTTCCCCTTCCACTTGGTTCTCTTTTCTCTCTTGTCTGCTGCCATGTAAGATGTGCCTTTCACCTTCTGCCATGATTGGGAGGCCTCCCCAGACACGTGGAACTGTGAGTCCATTAAATTTCCTTTTCTTTATAAATTAGTCTCGGATATGTCTTCATCAGCAACATGAAAATGAACTAATCCATACACACACACACACACACACACACACACACACACATATATATGTATTTAATTTACCAATCACTAATCACAATTTTTATTTTTAAAAAACTTTCTGGCCGGTCTCAGTGGCTCACGCCTGTAATCCCAACACTTTGGGAGGCCAAGGCGGGCGGATCACCTGAGGCCGGGAGTTTGAGACTAGCCTGACCAACATGGAGAAACCCCGCCTCTACTAAAAATACAAAATTAGCCAGGCATGGTGGCACATGCCTGTAATCCCAGCTACTCGGGAGGCTGAGGCAGGAGAATTGCTTGAATCCAGGAGGCAGAGGTTACAGTGCATTGTCCAAAATTATCAAGACAGCCAGTAAGAAAGAGCATGAAAAAGTGACTGCCCATGCTTAGTTGGGTCTTAAAATATTTTTTAAATTTAATTTAGGTTGTAATGATGGAGTTAATAAAAATATTTTATAATACAGCAGGAAAAGAACACTCTTCATACTTTCTTTGTAAATACTAGTGAAAGTTTTATAAAGAGTTTTCACATTCCTTTGCAATTAAGGAGGGACTTGGAAAGAATTGCTTCTCTTTACTTGTGTGCTTATGTAAATCACTTAAAGGTTTTTGAAACTCCCTCAAAGGGAGCCTGGCTTTGAGTGTGTTCATTGGAGAAATGTTCTGCAAAGCATTTATTTCTTTTAGGGATCAAACAACTGTTCCTCAAAAATTATTGCAAATAAAGGCCTAAAAGGCCCTTCATCCATACCCTAAATAAATAAATTTGCTTTTCTTCATTCTATAAAGCCACCCACATAAATCCTATTAAATATGGAAAAAAGTGATAATGACAAAAGCAAAACAATCAGACTGACAGACCAATAAAGCTGTTGAGTATAATTACTGTGATGTTGTTTCTACTAATTGATATCAGATAACTTATGCATTACAAGGAAACATGGGCTCAGAAATGTGTACAATTCCCCAATCAGATAATACTTTTACAGATGCAGAAATAATGGAATCTTCCACATGTATCTCTCAATGCCAGTCCTTTACAATGATTAATCTGCTGAACTCACAATGCAATATCAAGCTGAGCACCTGTAGTAGAATCCCAGCATCTTGGTGTTGCAAAGGACCTCCTGCCCAGTGTTATATAGATAGACCTCCTGCCCCAGCATTACCCCATTCTAGACTGAGGTCGTACAAACTCTGCCTGCATCCTACGGAGCCTGACAGTTCACCATAATCAAAGATGCTTTTTCTAGTGCTTGAAATTTTTAGAAATTTTTTTCCCACAGTGAGTTATATCTGCCTCCTAGTAGAATCTCCCTATTGATCTTATTCTGTATCTTTAGAGCAAAAGAGAATTATTTTGCCTAAAATGCTTTGAACACATTTGAGCCAGCCACTTTGCTATACACTGGCAATATAGCAGTGAACGAGACAAATGACAATTTTTTCCTCAGTCTAGTTCTCCTTCCCCAAGACCATCATCAAATATTGAAAGACAGCATTCACATTCCCAAGTTTTCTCTGTGTTAGTGTAAAAATTCAGTTTTCTCAACTCTTTCTCCCTTGGCATGACTTTCAGAACTTTTTAAAATCTGATTGCTTTCTTGTTTTTGTTTTTGTTTTGAGATATGGTCTTATTCTGTCACCCAGGTTGGAGTGCAATGGTGCAATTTTGACTGAGTGCAATGGTGTAATTTTGACTCACTGCAACCTCTACTTCTTGGGATCAAGTGATCCTCCCACCTCAGCCTCCTGAGTAGTTGGAACTACAGGCACAAGCCACCATGCCCAGCTAAGTTTTCTTTATTTTTTGTAGAAAAAAAAGTGTCACTATGTTGCCTAGACTGGTCTTGAACTCCTGGGCTCAAGCAATCCTCCTGCCTCCGACTCCCAAAGTGCTGACATTATAGTCACTGTACCTAGCCTGAGTGCTTTCTGAGACATTTTAGTTTATCAGTGATAGTCATAGCGCAAGCCACTCCAGTTGGACACAAGTCCTGAAATGCAGTTTTACCAACATAAAAAAACTGTAGGATTGCAACTTTTCTGCGCTTAAACCAAGTTTACTAATGCAACCTGGGATCTCACTTACTCTATAGATTTTTCATTCTCAGTAAGTTGTTGGGCATGATGCTGATGTGGTTACTACAGTCCAGAAACCATAAGGGCCCTGAGTGGCAAAAATCTGTGGGTATTTTCATGTCTTCCTCTGTCGGTCTATGAGGCCCCCACTTCTTGCTCATATTTTTGTTATTTTTATCTTTGCTAAATTATAGCTTTTGGGATTTGTTCCAGAGTATTGGCCTGTTAAAATATTTGCGAATCCTCATTCTGTAATCCAGTGTACTATTTTCCCTGATGTTTAGCACCTAGAAAGTAACTAACATGTCTTGTAAATATTCTTCAAGTCTTTTATATTAGCAAGAATGAGACTAAGGACAAAGTCCTGTGGCAAACTAACTATTAAAGCTACTGTCTTAAATTGTTTATTATTAATCAATTAATCTCTTTGGGAGATAATTATTCAAATAACTGCAAATCTGAGATGGAAACAGTAGATACAACACATACTGAGTGGTTTCCTTATACTGGAGGTCATGAAAAGCATTTTATATGTATTATCTCAATTAATCATGATGACTATTCCCACACAATGGCTATTGTCATGCACATATTTCATGTAGGAAATATGTTTAATAAGGAAATATGTATCATACATAGCAATTGAGGCTCAGGGAGGTTAGGTAATTTTCTTTTTTTTTTTCAGATTTTTTTTTTTAGTATTTATTGATCATTCTTGGGTGTTTCTCGCAGAGGGGGATTTGGCAGGGTCATAGGACAATAGTGGAGGGAAAGTCAGCAGATAAACAAGTGAACAAGGGTCTCTGGTTTTCCTAGGCAGAGGACCCTGCGGCCTTCTGCAGTGTTTGTGTCCCTGGGTACTTGAGATTAGGGAGTGGTGATGACGATGAAGCATGCTGCCTTCAAGCATCTGTTTAACAAAGCACATCTTGCACCGCCCTTAATCCATTTAACCCTGAGTGGACACAGCAGATGTTTCAGAGAGCATGGGGTTGGGGGTAAGGTTATAGATTAACAGCATCCCAAGGCAGAAGAATTTTTCTTAGTACAGAACAAAATGGAGTCTCCTATATCTACTTCTTTCTACACAGACACAGCAACCATCTGATTTCTCTATCTTTTCCCCACATTTCCCCCTTTTCTATTCGACGAAACCGCCATCGTCATCATGGCCCGTTCTCAATGAGCTGTTGGGTACACCTCCCAGATGGGGTGGCGGCCGGGCAGAGGGGCTCCTCACTTCCCAGAAGGGGCGGCTGCCAGGCGGAGGGGCTCCTCATTTCTCAGACAGGGTGGCTGCCAGGCAGAGGGGCTCCTCACTTCTCAGATGGGGCGGCCAGGCAGAGATGCTCCTCACCTCCCAAACAGGGTCACGGCCAGGCAGAGGCGCTCCTCACATCCCAGACGGGGTGGTGGGGCAGAGGCACTCCCCACATCTCAGACGATGGGCTGCCGGGCAGAGACGCTCCTCACTTCCTAGACAGGATGGCGGCCGGGAAGAGGCGCTCCTCACTTACCAGACTGGGCAGCCAGGCAGAGGGGCTTCTCACATCCCAGACGATGGGCAGCCAGGCAGAGATGCTACTCACTTCCCAGACGGGATGGCGGCCGGGCAGAGGCTGCAATCTCGGCACTTTGGGAGGCCAAGGCAGGCGGCTGGGAGGTGGAGGTTGTAGGGAGCCGAGATCAGGCCACTGCACTCCAGCCTGGGCAACATTGAGCACTGAGTGAATGAGACTCCGTCTGCAATCCCAGCACCTCGGGAGGCCGAGGCTGGCAGCTCACTCGCAGTT
Source organism: Homo sapiens (assembly GCF_000001405.40). Lineage (NCBI taxonomy): Eukaryota > Metazoa > Chordata > Mammalia > Primates > Hominidae > Homo > Homo sapiens. The sequence goes on from NC_000006.12 coordinate 50,810,557, forward strand.
AGGAGCTGGAAACCAGCCCGGCCAACACAGCGAAACCCCATCTCCACCAAAAAAATACGAAAACCAATCAGGCGTGGCAGCGCGCACCTGCAATCCCAGGCACTCGGCAGGCTGAAGCAGGAGAATCAGGCAGGGAGGTTGCAGTGAGCCGAGATGGCGGCAGTACAGTCCAGCTTCGGCTCGGCATCAGAGGGAGACCGTGGAGAGAGAGGCAGGGGCAGGGGCAGGGGCAGGGGCAGGGGCAGGGGCAGAGGCAGAGGCAGAGGCAGAGGCAATTTTCTTAATGTCCAAGATAGTAAGTAGCAGATCTGGAATTCACACACATCTGTCCTACTCCAAAGCTCATATCCTTCATCAGAGAGAAAGACAGTCTCCAAATACCATAACATCACTCAACCCAGATAATGGAGCCAATGAAAAACCTTTGAAATGTCTTCATGAGCTCCAGATACACTGTGTCTCCAATATTCAGTCTAGTGAATTTTTAGCAAAAGGAAATTAGAACATAAGGAATTATCTGTTCTTCCTGAATCCATGCTAGTTCTGAGATCTCTTCATTCCCTTCCAGAATTGACTAACTGCACTTTGACAAACTAAACTATCATTTTCTTAGGGAAACAATAGTATGATTCCCCATCTGTAGTTTCTAGTATCCATCTAGTATCACCGTTTTTTGTTGTTTTTTTTTTAGACCGAGACTCACTCCGTCGCCCAGGCTGGAGTGCTGTGGAATGATCTTGGCTCACTGCAACCCCCACCCCTTGAGTTTGAGCAACTCTCATGCTTCAGCCTCCCAAGTAGCTGGAAAGCTGGAATTACAGGTGGGCACCACCTCACCTGGCTAATTTTTGTATTTTTGTATTTTTAGCAGAAACAGGGTTTCACCATGTTGGTCAAGCTAGTCTCCAACTCCGGACCTCCAACTCCAGACCTCGCCTGCCTCAGCCTCCCACAGTGCTGGAATTATAGGCATAAGCCACTGAGCCTGGCCTTAGTATCGCTCTTTCTGAAGAATGAAGTGTTTTCCAGCCTTTGCTATTGGACATTGGTTTCACTCTGCATACTTTATCAAAGATTACTAACCATAATTGTCAAGATTATAACTGCAAATTCTTTTAGTACATTAGATGTTATTCTTGTAGACATACATCCTTGAATTTTTCAAAGTGCCTATTAAGTACTAGTTATTAAAATAATATTCTCTTCCCTCAAGCTATATCTATGGTCTGAATGTATGTGTCCCTCCAGAATTCATATGTTGAAATCCAACTCTTAATGTGTTGGCATTAAGAAACGAGGCCTTTGGGAGGTGACCAGGTCAGGAGGGCAGAGTCCTGGTGAATGGGATTAGCGCCCTTATAAAAGAAGCCTGAGGGCTAGGTACGGTGGCTCATGCCTGTAATCCCAGCAGTTTGAGAGAGCGAGGCAGGTGGATCACCTAAGGTTGAGAGTTCGAGACCAGCCTGGTGAACATGGTGAAACCCTGTCTCTGCTAAAAAAAAAAAAAAAATATATATATATATATATAAGAAATTAGCTGGGCATAGTGGCAGGCACCTTCAGTCCTGCTAGTCAAGGTGGCTGAGGAGGAGAATCGCTTGAACCCAGGAGGTGAAGGTTGCAGTGAGCTGAGATCGCGCGACCGCACTCCAGCCTGGGTGACAGAGCAAGACTCCATCAAAAAAAAAAAAAAAAAAGCGTGAGAGCTTGTTTGCCCCTTTTGCCTTTCCACCATGTGAGGTAACCATCTATTGGAACAGGCCCTCACCAAACACTGAATCTACTGGTTAACTAATCTTGGTCTTCCCAACCTCTAGAACTGTGAGCAATAAAATGGTGCTGTTTATAAACTACCCATTCTAAGGTATTCTTTTTGGCCATACATAAAAACTTATTTTTATTGCAAACAAACAAAAAAGAAGAAGAGAAAGAGAGAAAATGGTCAGAAATACAACACATAAGATTAGGAATTTAACAGCATCCTACATTCTGTCCTAATGGCAGCATAATTAATAGGAATGAATGGTCATGTTGCTTCCTGCCACAGCTGGGAAGTATTTTTTTTATAGCAGCTCCTACAAATTAAGACACGGTTTTCTTATCCTTTCTTTGTTTGCTTTCTTCTAAGATCGTATTCCTAAAAAATTTTTGTGATTATCATTTACTAAAAGATTGGAACCAATTATTTTAAACTCTCTCACAGAGGGCTCCAGAAAGATGAGGCTTGCTGCAACATGCTCAGAAAGAACACTTTCATTTAAATTTTTTTGGCTGGTCCCAGTGGCTCACATCTGTAATCTCAGTGCTTTGGGAGACTGAGGAAGGATTGCTTGAGGTCAGGAGTTCAAGACAAACCTGGTCAACATAGCAAGACCCCGTTTCTACAAAAATAAAAATAGAAATTAGCTAGGTGTGGTGGCATGCACCTGTAGTCCCAGCTACTGGGGAGGCTGAGGTGGGAGGATTTATTGAGCCCAGGAGGGTGACGCTGCAGTGTTCATGTGATCACGCTACTGCACTCCAGCCTGGACAACAGGGTGAGACCCTGTCTCAAAAGAGTAATATTTAAAATAAAAAAATTAATTAATTACTACTTGATGCTTTTATCAGTTTCATAAAGTCCATTCCTATGGAAGAAGCTTGCATATCACCTAGTAAATTCTCCTTTTTTTTTTTTTTTTGAGACGGAATTTTGTTCTTATCCCCCAGGCTGGAGTGCAATGGCGTGATCTTGGCTCACTGCAACCACCACCTCCTAGATTCAAGCGATTCTCCTGCCTCAGCTTCCCAAGTAGCTGGGATTACAGGCGTGCGCTACCATGCCCATGTAATTTTGTACTTTTAGTAGAGACGGGGTTTCACCATGTTAGCCAGGCTATTCTCAAACTCCTGACCTCAGGTGAAACACCCACCTCAGCCTCCCGAAGTGCTAGGATTGCAGGCATGAGCTTCTGGCCGAATTCTCCTCATTTTATCAACGAGAAAACTGAGATCTGGAAAGGTCAGAGGACTTGCCAAAGGGAATATAACTGGTAAGTGAAAAACTCATCTTATGTCAAAGAAATAAAAAAGAGGCATAAAATGAAGATCCTTCCCTATTTTTATCAGAATGTCAAATCGTGAATTTTAGGAAGTAGTTCCAATATAATGCTAATTTCTCCCAAATGTCCCTTGTATTTATGAGACACTTCAGCTCTGATGCTATACATTGTATGTGTTTATTCATGCTTTAAAGGTTATATTTCTGCTCTACATCTTTCAAAGTCTTTATTTGCAAATTTTTTTCCTCACAGATGTGTACTGGTCTACTGGTTGCATTTTGAAACCAAATTGTTTAGTATTCTCACCCTTCAAGATTTCTCCTTCTTAAAGCAATAATATGGAAAACATCCACAATGATGAAAGTACCTGTCCTCCTGCATTAGTCATGGCAGAGGAGACACACACCTCTCACATTTTGAATGTGAAATGCCCATTGGTGTTGAAAACAATTGTTGCATGGCTGTTTGCATCATTTGCTTCAGCCCCTCATCTTCCTTTCCTTAACCTCTTTACCTCCAAGAGATAGGAATTTCAAAACTGTCCCCTTAGCCACTTCATACCCCCGTAGTTAAACAGAAAAGCTTAAGGGGATCAGGACATCTAAAATCTATAATGAAATTACTATTGCTCCTCAAAAGTCCCAGGGAAAGGGTGAGTTTTCACAGTTACAGTTATTTTTATTCTCACAAGTGATTTCAACTCAGTATCTTTTACAAATTTACAAATGTACCATCAACTAAATATTATGATTAAAGTAAGAAATGCTCTTTCCTGTTTAGTGCTTGCCTCAATCTCGATAATTATGAAGAGTCAGTCTAAAGATAACCCCACCCACATTTCATTTTTTAAAAACACTCCTGTGCAAACATTAGTCCCTCCTATTTTGTTTCCTCATACCAAGTCACTGAAACCTATATGGTATCAAAGCCCTAGAAATCTGAAGGCAGGTGCTTAAATTGTAGTTTCAGACATTCAACAGTATTTTGTTTCCAAATTGATGATAAAAACACCTACTGAATCTTCCCCAAAAATATAATCATGAGAAAGCTTAAGACAGAAACATGGTAGGAAAATTAGGAGCCAGACTGCAACAGTAAAAAATGGAGCTGTCATGTTTTATCATTTTTTAACTTATCAAGATCTGTTATATGGATGTCGTGTCTTATTATTCAACTCAGCAGACAATAATGCTTCTGATGGGTAAGAGGTGGGGCAATATCTGAGGATGCTGAAGTAAGACAGTTTTTCCTTCCTCTCTTCTTTCCTTTGCCTACTTATAAATCCAGGACTATAAAAAATAACCCTGGACATACTCAATGATCCAAAAATACTGTCTTCTTAACTTCAGAAGGAAAGAAGTAAGACAGCATCATGAGACTGTGGGCAAAGCGTTGAGTACACAGTCTGAAGACCTATATTGGGTTTCCCACCTCCACTTTCTAACCAGGAGTTTATTGCAAATCCCTGGTTTTTAGAAGCCTCCACTTTCCTGACCCCCCGCTAAGTGTTTTGAGACAATGATGATAAGTTAAATTGTTTATGAAGCAATAGTACCACATATATTTACCCACAGATACTATTTTAATAAATTTTCACAATCATTTCCATTTTGTAGTTCAGTGCACTGAACCTCAGGCTATTAAATAGCCTGCCCCACCGCCTAGAATGAGAAAGGCCAGGGTGCAAACTTGGCACAATAATTCTAATTCTTGACTTTTCTAATTTTATTATTTTTGTGCGTTGGGTAGATGGAAAGGGGAAACCCAGGGAGACTGTGTAATGGAAAAAGAAAAGGTGGTACAGTGGGCATCTGCAAAGGAAGATAGTTCATGGAGTGTTAACCCACAGGTGCAAAGGTGAGGGCTAGTGGAAGGAAGGAAGTCAAATAAATTTAGATAATTCATAATTAGATTTTTAGAAGAAAGATGAAAGAAGACATGAAAGTGCTCCTAGTTGACCTTGATTTAATAATGATATTTTTCTGTACATTTTTTAAAAAACAGTCCTGAACATACTTCGAAAATCACCAGCAGAGGGCTTCATGCTGGGTGCATTTGCTTTTAATTATAGACTCCGACATTTACTGAATAATATTCCCTCTATATGAGGCTGAAAAAAAAAGAGGGTATGAATAATTCTTTTCTTTGCTGTTTTAAACTGAAATAAATGCAAATGAAAGAGGAAAGTACGAGTGTTAACTATCTGGGATGTCTCAAGTGCGGTTCCACCTAGGAGAGCATGTGCGTAACCTGAAAAAGAAATATGGACATAAGGCAAGATAAAATAACGAGGAAAATGCATATTTTACTCGTTTAATTTCCTTCAAATCCAGAGTTTGTTTTGCCTTTGTGTTTCCATTTACTGAGTTCTTGCGGGAATAGTTTCCCTACGTCATGTGATTGAGTGATAACGCGAAAGGTAATAGAAAGTAAAAGCAAGAGAGGTAGGTTCAAGTTAGGAAAAATTTTCTCCGTAGCGGCTGAGCTTTTATTGTGCGTTTCTTCGGGCGTTTGAACTTTTTAGATGCTGGAACGATCGTTTCTAAAATTAGTAAATATCATAAGAAGTGAACTTTAAAAATGTTCCTCTCAATACCAGGTTTTCAAGAACGGAAAGAAACCTTTGCCGAAAAAGAAATCAAGGAGACTTGCAGGGTTTGCGTCTATAAAATTCCGACAGAGGGCGCTGTTGCCCGTTCAATGACAGGGAACGGTCCGTGGGAACGGTTTACCTTGCAATGTCTAGGACTTTTCGAATAACGCCCACGTTAAAAAAAATAACTAGGATTTTAATTATGGTTATGTATTTTGAAGGTATTTCTCTATATATATGTGTATATTTTTAGGTTTATGCTTCATTCTTAATAAAACCAGATTTGTTATTTTTCAGGTTTCCTAAAGAACTTAAATTTTAACCAAATATCTCAAGATATTTCCACTTTAAAAAATACCTAATACTAGCATAAAATAAAATTACACATAAAAAGTTTGAAATTATTCATATATAAGGCTATAAAATAGTTATACTAACACAATACCTTATATTATTTTAATTTATGTGTAAAATTATCTCTTGCAGGTTTTGTTTTGTTAAATCTCAGAGTTTATTTATTTTAGACTAGGCAATAATATACCAAAAAGATATTAAAAGGTGTTAAAAGCATTTAGAGAAAAAAAGTGAGATTTTTCCAAATGCATTTTATTTGGGTTGTAATGATCTTTAGGTAATAACAATGACAGAATTATTGATTTGAAAGGGAGAAAACAATTATTTCCATTAATTAAATGTCTTGTGCCTGGAGAATCTGAACTTCCAAGTCTATAATATTTATCTTTCAGATTATTGATCTGGCACTGATTTTAGTTCTAGAAGTCAGGGGGTGTGGAACCCGTTTCAAGTCCCACCACACAATAAGATTAAGAAAAATCCCTTCTCATCTCCTAACTAGCTCTGGAAGCAAAGAAGAAAATCTTTGCTGATGCTCCTAGTGAAAAATCTGTATAGATTGTGTATGATTTAAGGTTAACATTTAAAGGGGAAGAAAGGAATGGAGAGAGAAAGGAAGGAACGAAAAGGGAAATGAAGGAAAGAAAAAAGGAAAACAAAAAGGAGGAAGAGGAGAAAAGGAAAGACGAAACATAAAAAATTCAACCGGAAATAAGGGGTTTATTTCTGAAGTTCCTTCTGAAGCACCTTCTTTGTGTTCTTTTCCTTTGACTTATCTTTAAAAATTAAATTAAAAATCTGCAGAATTGTTTATTCTGCAGTTCATGAAGCTTCTCCTTGGTTTTGATTGAATCGACGTCCAACAAGGTTGTCCGGAGCCCTGTACTCAAACAGCGTCCATCCCTGTTCGCGCAGAGCTGCACACAGCAGTCCTGGATTTAAAGACAATCACCCTTTGCAGATTCACTCTCACCAGGCTTAATAACTTCCACCCCAAATTGCCCCATCCCTCCTCGGTCCCTCCTGGCATTTCTTTTCTGTCCCAGGCGCAGAGATCCTCTTCTGGGCGTCTGTTCCGGCTATGAGAAGCTCTCCGCACCCTGAAAGGGAGTAGAAAAACAGAGGGGATGGGAAAGGGGGAACAGGGGAACAGATGAGTATTCATTTCATGATAAAATTCAGAATCCCTGCGCCTTAAATGGTGCCCATTTTCTAAGTCTGGTTAATATTGTTCTTGTTGCTGATGATGTTTTCCTTTTTAAAAACTATATGAATCATCTTATTAAGAAAAATTATACAAAAAAAAGAAGAAACTCCACATGCACTAAAATATTTTTCACTATCTCTTTGAAGACATTCTGCTTAAACCTTTTCAAAGATTCGGGTGGCCCTTTCTTGACTCTCCATGATTAAAACCACTTACAAGTCATACACAACAGATGCAAATATAAAATGTCCTTGGCCTCTGCAAAAAAGGCTCAAAATTAACCTTGTCTGAACGTGTGCGTACGTTGCTTCCAACATCTGAAAAAAACTTGATAAAATGGAGACTCCAGCCAAGAGGAATGGTGCATGGAATCCGTTGAAAATGCATACAAACAACACCTAAAATAACAAGCAGCACAAACTGAGGTGTATTTAAGTTTCCAAAGGTTTTAGGTAAAATGACCAGAAAATATTAGAAATGGTCATCAACGGTGGCTAGCTTTTTTGTTCTATGGTGACAGAGATAAAGTTAAAAAAAAAAAAGTTGTGTAGCCATCAACACAGAGATAGTCCTTAAAATCCCCCATATCCAGCCTTTCAAAATACTCTCTTCCGGAACATACATGAATAGGAGGGAGCTTTTGTGTTTAAAAATCTTGGTAAGTGTCCCCCTTTAAAATCTACATAGAAAATAGGGGACTGATGGCCCCTGGTTTCTCATTATGAATTGCAAAGACTTCAGTTAGTGGCTACAATGATGTGTCATTTTCGATATAGAAGTTATAAAATGTATATATTATATTAATCACCCTGAACAACTCTTTGTTAAATGCACATTTGGAGTCTGCAGACTGTGTGACCCAGAGGTGCTTATATAACTATATGTGGGTGTCTGGGTGTAAATACGGGTTTATGATTTTTATAGTATATATGTCTGTGGGTTGCATCTAACTCCTGTGTGTGCAATAATGTTTTTTCTCTTTGCTGAGGCTTACTTGTCCAGCCTATTGTTTGAGACAACAGATATAAGTTGCGATGGGAGAGGAGCGTCGGATTTGGTGTGTATCCCCCATTTCCAATTATAGATGGATCATTACAGACAGCGGAGTCCTGAGAAGCCAGACATCTGCTCCTCACATGAATGCACTCACCTCCTAGAGACCAGGCTGCCATCATGCTCTGGAAGCTTGTGGAGAATGTCAAGTACGAAGATATCTATGAGGTGAGTCGACACCCCCAGATGCACCTTAGAGCTTTGCAGATAGAGAATTTGAGCTTCTTGATACCCCAAATGATATATATTTTTAAGCTATTTACTCGTAGATTTCCGGTCGGTTTTCTCAGCTTTTTTTAACTTTTAGAAAAGCTGGCTAGGGAAGACTTCGCTGCTCTGAAAAGGGACTTTAAGGCTGAAATCTGACAACTTTAATTTAGGAATGTTTTTATTTATTTTATTTTTCTTTCCCTTTTCCTCGCCTCCCCCCACCCCACCCCACCCTTTTAAGCTCTGATGGGGAATGTGGTGCTACTGAATGTGGGCACGCTCTCAGAGAAAATCGAGATTCTGATAAAGTCAGGGGCTTTTCTCGTTTTAAGTGTGGAAGAGAATTGGGTTTTCAAGCCTCATTTGTAACAGACTCGGGCTTTTAATTTTTATTTTCAATAAAATTTCTGAAATTGATAACAAATGGTTCCAAGTAGAGGACAGAGAATTAGCGGGAAAGAAGTAGATGGCTGGAGATATGGATGGATAGAGCAAAATAGAAGTCGTAGCAGTTTATTAGTTTCTGTTTTCTTGTGTTTTGCTTCCTTGAGGGTCACTGCGTCCGAACAGAAATCGCAGCCGCCTCCTGTGTGGGCATCTTTCACGGAAATTTCTGCCCACGTTCAATGCGTACGGGTCTCTAGCACTGAGGCTAGCTCAACTCTTCGGGGCAGGAGAAGTTGCGCCCAGCCAGGAGGACGCCAGCCGCCTCCGGGGCCCGGACCGCGCTCGCCAAAGCCCTTTTCCGGCTCGGGCGAGGGCTGACGCGGCCAGACGGCTCCGCTACTCGCGGGCGAGGCGGACTAGGCGGACGAGGCGGCCGAGGCGGGCGAGGTGGGAGAGGCGGGCGAGGTGGGAGAGGCGGCCGAGGCGGGCGAGGCGCGGGGCGCGCGGCGGGCCAGGCTGGGGACCGGGAAGCCCGCGGAGCCTCGCTTTTAAGCGGAATGGTCTGGGACAGCCCCAGGTGGTTGCCAGGGGAAGGGAGGAAGGGAAGGTTCTGCTGAGACGTCGAGGTTGGAAATAAAAACTTCGGAAAGGCGAAGCGGATTTAGAAAAGGAGGGAAGTCGAGGCGGGCGAAGCGGGCCATGGAGATTGCTAAGAGGAAAAGTTGGAGAGAAAAGGAAGGAAGAGAAGCAGACTCCCGGGTGGCGGGCGCGGGCCGCTAGGTCAGACGAAAGGTGGAGGGATGCAGAGGCTCCCCAAAGAGCCGAGAAAGACACGCGACCCCTCCGGATCGGGACAGCTCCTGAAAGCCCGGCGCAGAGCCGCCTCGAAGATCCTAAGAGTGGGCGACTCACAGGCGCGGCCGGCAAGCTCCTGGGGGACTCGGGCTCGGACGAGCGCCCACAGGCAGCGCCTGGCGCCCACACCTCCTGCCCCCCCCCGAATCCTAATGTTGGGGTGTGTGTATGTGTGGAGGTATGTAGGAGAGAGGAGGAGGAGATAAGAGAGGAGAGGGAGAAAAGCAGGAGAGAGCGCGAGAGAGCAGAGAGGAGAGAGATTGGTCTTGTTGCTGAATGATGCTTGGGGTTTTCCTTTTCTCTTTGTGGTTGTGTATCGACTGTAACGAAGAGCCGCGCCTACGCGCCTGGTGGGGATTGTTTCGGTTCGGCCTCCTTTTCTTTCCTTAACAGGCGGGATAATGGTAAAGTCCAAGGCGCTAGAACTGTCCTAAAGAATATTAGCGCCCAAAGTGGGCATGACATTAGCAAGCACGGGGCCATGGTGAAAACAGCTCAAGCTATATGCATGCAGAGGCATTTCAGTGGGTTCTAAAAAGTAACCAGGGTAACATTCGTTCTTTACAGAAAGTAAAGTAGCTAAATGGAAAAGGAAGGAGGGAGAGAAGAAAGGAGGGAGGGAGAGAGGAAGAGGGAGGGGTGGAGTGGAAGGGAGGGAAGAGAGAAGAGAAAAGAGGGGAGGGAGAGAGAGAAAGAGAAATAAACAGGGAGAGAGAGGGAATATTACAGGTGGTCCTATCTGCCTAAATTTTCTGCTCAAAAAACAGAATCCGCAGCTCGGTGGAAGGAGCCTATTTAAGTCTGGACTAAGGTTGAACTTTAACAGAAATGGCAGTCAGGCCAGTTGAACGGGTTCCTGAAACATCCAAAAAGGTTTTCTGTTGCCCCTGGCTTTGCCTGGAAAGGATAAGTTTAGTGTATTTGAAGATTGATGGCGTATGTTTTAAATTGAGGTAAAAATCGCAAACTATGTGAGCACTAAACAGGAAAAGGCTGCACAGGAATGAAAAGCCTCCATCTCGCTTCTGTCCTTTAACAAATGAGCATAATCTTCCACATTTAGCAAAAGTCTGCAAAAGTCACTGTAAATAACCAGGCCCACCAATTTGCCTTTCTCTCGCCTCCAAATGATGAAGCAACCCTTTTTATTTTGTTTTTGTAATCCTCACACAAAGCACCCAAGGCGACCAAGTCCTCCGGATTAGGGAAGTCTCTCTCCAGGTAGGAGGACACCTCCATTCTATACAACCTCCCAGCACTGTTCTCCCTCACTGCCTTATCCAAAGGAGCAGGGGCTGCTTTACTCGTGTCCCCGGCACAGTTAATTGAAGTTCTGCCTCTTTCCTGCTAAACTTTTTCCCCAGTCTGCCTTTGCCAGCCCCCTCGTCTGATTACATCTAGTAATTCTCCACTGAATGAACGTCATTTACAATAGTAGGGGAGCTCTGCGCTCGCTGCTGCTTCACGCTCCATTTGTCCTCTATTCTCCCTTTAAAGTACTCGTGTAATATTAATAGTCATGAATATCAATTATTATGAGGCGGTGTAGGCAAGCGGAGGGAGGAAGGGGCGGCCGAGCAGTCTGAGCCCAGCTTCGGGTGAAAGAGGACTGCATCTGGAGCCCCGAAGAACGGCAGAAGAAAAGAGGCCAAAAAGACAGCAAAGAGACAGATGAATAGTTCTGTCTGTGTGTGACAGGCATCGCCAATCTTGTTGGGGTGGGGGGCGGGTGTAATTTTTTTTTTTTTTTTTTGATGGCTTGTCCTGGAAACACATCAAGCTCAGCTCCTGTGTCCAGCTCGCTTCTCTGCTGGACTCCTTGATTTTTTTTTTAATCATTGTTTGATTTTGAGCAGTAACCAGGCTTTTTTTTCCAGATGTTAGTCCACACCTATTCATCCATGGTGAGTTTGGATTCACGTGTTACCAGAATTGCATGCTCCCTCCTCTCACTGTCTCTCTGTCTCTGCGTCTCTGTGTGTGTGTGTGTCTCACACTCTCTGTCTCTCTCTGTCTTCCTTTGAGCGCCTTTGGCTTGGTAATTTAGCACCATAATTGGACGAGGCTGCAGCTGCTTCTCTCTGCATTGTGTGTTCTCCGTCTGAGCTCCATGAGTCAGCTGGGAGGGGAGAGGCCGAAAAGAAAAACTTTTTATTTGCCATTGCTGTTTGGAAATTTAGGTGACTATTTCTGCAAAAAGAACCATGGGGAGTTTACCATGATGTTTCCAGAGAAGAGAGGGAGAAACAAAGTCCACCTCCCTCATATACACACCTCCCCCTTCTTCTTTCACTTAGTTCACACTCCAGATAGGACCAGGAATAAGTTGTCTGGGCTTTTATTTCCCCCCACCCCAACTTTAGTTCCTTCATTTTCACATCCTGAGTATAACAGCATTAGATATAGAAAAACAGTCTTAGAAATAACTCCTATGAACCACAACTCAACTTAATTCATCATTGGCTTAGGATATGATTTCGAATGAGATCCATTTCAATGAAACACTATTTAAGTTATTTAATTTCTCCTGGAGAGGGAGGAGTGACTGGGAACTCAGACCAGGTGGATTCCTTGGAGCTCTTGGAATGATCAGGTTGTGTGGAAAGCTCCTCCTAATCAGCCAGCTGCATTTCCAGCGAAGGCAGAAGTTGGTTTTTAATCAGGGGGAGCAGCACAGCAAATACTATGAAGTTTTATTTGTTGTGATTTGTACCTCTGGAAGAGTTAGAAAAAAGTAGTTAAAAACACCCAGAGGAGCAAACACCATATGTAAGACTCCTACAATTTTAATTAAGGCATTTAGAATCTCCCTCCATACACACTGTTCCTGTACCCCTGCCTTTTGCCTGCTTTGCACTCCCCAAAAAGCGGCTAAAATGTTATAGTTAAGTGGGTGATTCCTTTCCCATTTTCTCCCCAAGCCTGGGGTTTGAAATTGCTGAAATCATGTGGCCCTCTGAGTCAACTTGGGGGTCTAAGTTTCAGATCCTTGCTTCCCTTGTCCCGGGAAGAGCGTACAAAAGCCGGGCTTCTCCATTTGTCACTTGTATTTTTTTTCTTCCTCTCTGTACTCTCTGTCTCTCTCTGCCTCTATCTCTCTTTCTCTGTCTCCTTCTCTGGCTCTCTTCCCCTTCCTCTCTCCGCTCCCAGGACCGGCACGATGGTGTCCCGAGCCACAGCTCGCGGCTCTCCCAGCTGGGCTCGGTGTCCCAAGGACCCTACTCGAGCGCCCCGCCGCTGTCCCACACCCCGTCGTCGGACTTCCAGCCGCCCTACTTCCCACCCCCCTACCAGCCGCTCCCCTACCACCAGAGCCAGGACCCCTACTCCCACGTCAACGACCCCTACTCCCTGAACCCACTGCACCAGCCCCAGCAACATCCCTGGGGGCAACGGCAGCGGCAAGAAGTGGGTTCGGAAGCCGGCTCTCTCCTGCCCCAGCCTCGGGCCGCCTTGCCCCAGCTCTCGGGCCTTGACCCCCGGAGGGACTACCACTCGGTCCGCCGGCCGGACGTGCTGCTGCATTCGGCGCACCACGGCCTGGACGCGGGCATGGGTGACAGCCTCTCGCTGCACGGCCTCGGCCATCCCGGAATGGAAGACGTCCAGGTAACCACAAACAAACAAACAAACAAACAAAAAAGACCACGAATAAGGAATGCTTCTGGAGGGGGGGAGGTCAGGAGAGGGCAGCTCTGTCTCTTTTTGGGGAGTTTGTTCCCATGTTTAGAACAGGACTAGACAGTCATATAGAACTGTTTATGTGTGTCTGTATGTATGGCTCTATAGTGGCGATTTCCAGAGGTCTAATTATGATCATCCAAACCACGAGAAATTAAATCTTGAAGAAGAAAAATATGTATTTGCTTTGATACCTTAAGATTATTAGAATAAAGGCGAATGCTTTTGTCCTGCCTCAGCTACCATCTCCTGCATATTCTCTAGTGCTTTGTGGAAGCCAGCTTGGTACCCCTTCTTTACCAACACACACACCCCATAGTGGGGCTGTCCTGCTGACTTGGCAGGTGAAGACCTGGCTGCCTAGAGGCTAGAGCTTCAGAATGAAGTTCCAGGGGCCTCTGTATGCTCCAGAGGTTGCTGCTGAATTTGCAAAGATTTTGCTAAGCATGACAATGAGCTCTGATCATCTAAGCCAGGTCTTGCTTTGAATGTCTCATAAGCCACAGAGCTTTTTTCCAAGAGATAGTTGCAGTCCTCATCTGAGAAATAGAATATATGTGAAGGAGAAACTCAGAACGCCATAATTCAGGAGTCCATGATGGTAGATACCATTTTGGAAATTCTTTTCACTTTTTGGTTCATTAAGTGACTGTAGTGTAATATTCTCCACCTCCCTCTCCTGGCCTCCGCCTATATTAACACTCTTCTCTCCCCACTGCCATCATCCCAGTTGAGAGGCATCACGTGTTTATTTCTTAAAACAAAAGGCTCAAAACACTCCCCCTACCCACCCACTATCCCATCTGCAGTCTACACAATGGAGCCTGATTTGGTTGAGAATACTTGGTTAAACTAAACAAAGAAACATCAAAGAAATGATTCCTAAAAACTGTTTGGGTGATTCTGAGCAGGTCTGCTTTTTCACCCTAAGTTAAATAGTTGGCAGAAAAGATAAATATAGTTTACAGGTATGTAATTGACACTTCAGTTTCATTGGCATAGTTGTATTTATTATGCATCCTTTGACATACCTCTGAAGCAAAGGAAAATAAAATGGGAAAGAGAAGAGGGTGCAAGAGTCATTCTTCTGTACCTTGCTGAAAAAAAATAGTTTTAAACAGTTAAAATGTGGTGACAGCATCAAATGCTGTCTGTGTGTGGTCTATGATTGTTTATTGTTTTAAAAGAAATTCAGTTATTTATTTTTTTAAAAAAGACGGAATTACCTGATTTGTGCCTGGATTTACTGATAGTAATAAGAGTGATGATGGTTTTGTTGATTTAACTGAGCTTGACTGTTCCTGGCTAGAGATATTGCTCATTTCTGAATATCATATGAAAAAGGAAGTATTTAATAGTTTTTTTTTTAATGCATTGGGGTAATATGTGTCTCGAGGGGAAAAGTTTTTAAATTAACCTTTCTGAGTATGGTTCAAAGTGCTGGATAATGAAAGTGGATCAACTCATCACCATTACTGTTGATGATGCTAATGCCGGCCCTGTTACCACCACCCTACAGGCCAAGTGACTCTAGCGAAGGAACTCAGAAATTTTTCCCCCAAAAGAAGGAGCAGTTTTCTTTAGTTAAATGTTTTTAAAGAAATAATTGAGAGAGGTCTTTTTGTGTTTGGTGAAATTCAAAGTCTGAGAGAAAAACAGGGCCAGATCAGTGCACATTTGGGAGAATAGTCTTGTCAAAGCGTCGGAAAGGATTTAGTGTTTATGTGAACGGAGCACCTCGGGGCCAAGTTGTTGCTGTCGGGAATACAGACCACAGAGGTAGAGAGCTGAAAGGAGAAAAGCAGCAGGCAGCACACCGGAGCCACTTGCAGGCTCTCCACTCACCCAACCCCCACCCTGTTCCTCCCCTGCTTTATCTCATTTCGTCACCTGCCGGGAGGCCCACGGGACCTTCTTGGGACGACCCCTATAGTGCAAGGGACACACCCTGCTCCTGTCCCTAGAGGGAAACAGCAAAGACAGGGACGGTCTCTGCCTCCGCGGTGATGACAGACCTCCCAAGGCCAGGGTGAAGTTGACTGATGCAGGGCAGGTGACAAAGACCAGGGGTTATGTTTCCAGGACCACAGCCTCGAATCCGAAGGCTTCCAATCATCTGCTCAACACAGAAGGATCCACTTCCGAGTTAGGAAGCTGGGGTGCGGGGGCTAAAGTTACACAAGCAGGTTGGGATTTCAACGCTCTCCCTACAGCTATCGAATGGGTGGCCTGCACTGGTCCAGTCTTTAAAAGGGCCTGCACTGGTCCAGTCTTTAAAAGGACCAGAGAGTGCCTAGGCCTGGACCTTAAAGTCACTTGTTCCGATCTCAAGGACCTCGTGTGTGTTCCAGATCCCCTTGAGCCAGGGAGCTGGCAGACACTGAGGGTGCTGCCCTGCCTATGGGTCGAGGGTTTTGTTGTGTGACCCAGATGCACCACACTCAGGGCCACAGCCCCCACCATGAGAGAAGAGAAAGAGGAGAGCTAATTCACCAAATGCTTCTAATATTTTTTTAAATGAAACTATAAAACCCTGTCAATTTCTATTTCAATTTACTCACAGGGGCTATTAAACTAGCAAATCGCTGTTTGGGTTCTGGGTATGCTACATTTCACCCATTGTGCATGAGCGCGCGCGCGCGCGCGCGCGTGTGTGTGTGTGTCTAGTTGGGGAGGGGGCTACAAGTGTTAAAAACTCAGGAAAACACCTACAGAGAGAGAGACAGAGGGAGTGAAAGGACACCTAGTTTGGGATTTGTTTAGTTGTCATGTACACCTCTTTTCTTCTTCCCACCTTTGCTCTCTTACCTCCCATCACCTCTACCACCCATGAATATAAACATATAAGGATGTTAAGCCAACTCCCCCCAAACACATACACACACTCAAACACACCCGAGTGTCTTAAAGCAACCCCTGGTATCACTTTTAACTAAAGAAGTCTAGTAATTACGAGTCTGAGTTGTTTTTCTGCGCTTCCGCATGCAGTCCTAATTAAATCTTTACGATCCTCCCTGTGACGATTAAGCGCCAGCATGCTGCGTGAATATCCTGTACAAAAACCCAGCAGGCGGCCGTAATTAGATAGAAAATCAGACAAGAGCCTTCTCATTAACTACCACAACTACCCCACGTCGCTGATGAGGCGTTTATACATATTTACGTACAAGAGTGAGGGTAAGGTGTGAGGGCTCCCGGGTCCAGGCCAGTGTAAGTCAGGGTCTGGCTGCCCAAGGCACAGGAGAATATTTCTGTCCTGCCTGGACACATTGTCACTGTATACACATGATCATAGAAAGGTGTGAATCGTGTGTGTTTGTGTGTGGCAGGGTCCCCTGAGGAGTTATGAACAAGTTACATGAAATATTTTTAAAACACCTTTTTACTATTTCCTAAGATGTGCATGGCATGTTGCAGCAAGGATAACAATTCCTATGGAGAATAACAATTTTGCTCACTTTTCTGAGAACAAAAGAGTGACTATTAAAAATGAAAAGAAACAAATTAACATGCCCCCTGTACGATTAGATCATCTCATTTCTAAAGTTTTGCTTGTTTGGGGTAGACAGTCTTTTTCTTGTGATGAACTCACACTGTGAGGATGCAGCATGAGTCGGTGTGAGTGCTGTGAAAACAGCTCCTCACTCTCAAGCCCTTTGCTTTTTACTTCTCTATAAAGTGGGTAACAATTTGGTCCCAACTTAGGTTTTGAAGGGTCAAGAAAGTAGTTGTAGATTTTAGAAAGACCTAGCATTTATTTTCTTGGTAGGGAGAGAAAGGGAATCTACTGCTTTTGGACGCCCTGGGATGCACAGCCAGAACTGTTCATGTGTATTCTGACAGTAAGAAACTTGCTCCAACAGCTATTTCCTCTCAGAAGTGCTACCAGTGCTCAGAGTTGAAACTTTCCTTCTCTGGAATGAAACTGTGGCACAGAAGATGAACATTCCTTGCGATTACCTAGGTGCTGACTGGGAGGATCTAGACCTTTGTGTGTGTCTGCTTGTCTGTAGTTACTGCCTTCCTAACAGGTGTGCTCCTTGCTGGGAAGCAGCATCAGCAGGACTGGGAGGGAGGGTAAATTGTGAAGGTTCCTCCAAGAGACTGTCATTGTGCAGCAAGAAGCTCATAGTTTACAGGAACGTGTATGGGCTGTAATGGGTGTGCAGTCCTAGAGGCTTGCAAACATGTTCCTATGTGTTGCTGTTTGCATTCCATTCCAAATTGCTCAGACTTTAATTAAAATCCCATAATGTAAACTATTATGTATTTGTAAAATGGCTCTGGGGTTAAGATGCACTGGGATAGAATGGAAAACACAAATTGCTCTTACTAATATTGGTGAAAATCTGTCAGCTGTTGCCAAATTTTTACAATTCATAAGAGCAAATAATATAAAGGTTTATCTGTCTAATATCTATGTTTTATATAATAACTAAACCAATGTTGCATCCCAGATGTCTCTCAAAGTTTTCTTTCTCCACTTCTTCCATTGGAAAAATTTATAATTTGAGTAAATTTCATTTCTATGTCTATTTGGAGGTAATAATAATAATAAAACAGCCCTTTGTGAATTAATATAAATGGAAATAACAGAAACTCCAGTTTGGAATAACATGATTTATGTGTGCAATTCTTTAATATCCTGTCAATTTGAATAGTGATGTTTTTATATTCACAGTCAGTTGAAGATGCCAATAACAGCGGCATGAATCTATTGGACCAGTCTGTCATTAAAAAAGGTATGGATAATTCCCCCCAAAAAGTAAGCAAAGTTCTCTCATGCATTAACGTCTTTATGATGAATTTTCACTTTGGGGGAATTCATTATTTGACAAGACATAAATGTTTGTTCACAATTATAGGACAATGGCTGTCAGATTAGGGGAAAGGGCATGTTGGGAAGATGGAAGTTGGGCAAGGGAGAATGAAAACATCAGACACAAATTCAGATGAGTGAGACAGACTGTTGCAATTTTTCTCATGGCATATTTGGTAGCCATTCTTGATACATCTTAAATAATTGAGCTATCATCATGTGTGGAATTGGCTGGTAAACACTGGTTTCAAGAAGGTGCTACAATTATTTCAATGATAACTGGAGTTTGCTGAGTTAAAGCTTATGTTATTGAGATAGCTCTTTCTTCGTTTTGTATTTGATTTTTTTGGTGATAATTTTGTTCCCAGTTCTCTATGTTTTATGAGTTGTTTTTATTTATTTATTTTTTCATTGTGCCAAATTTGTTGCTAAATATGCGCATCCTGAGAAGCTGAGACAGCCTATGCACATTTCTAAATCTTCCTACATATGCATTCATGATTTAGTGTGACTGTGGAATCACCCCATACTGTTAAAGGGCATGTGATATTAACAAATGTTTGCAGTCTCTTGTACAGCTGTAAGCAAAATAATTAACTAATTAAACTAATTAAATGTAATTACAATAACTCATTTTGGGTGTATTGCAGCTGCTTAATTTTTTCTGCTTTTCTCTGACAGTCACTGAGAGAATGCCTGGCGATTAGTGTAGCTGCTAAAAGGCCTGAATGTCACTCAAATGCCACAAATTTAGGAGTTTAAATGTGTAAACAGTGCAATCTTTAATTATCACAGGAACTGGCATTTGACGATACAATTTTAATACTGTAACCCTTTCTCATGGATGTCGAAGAAATTCTGTCTCTATATTTAGTGTCAACAATCCTCAGCTTTCAATCATTTATGATTCACTTGAGCCACTTGACATTCAACAAAAACAATTAAAAGAAAAAATTCTTTGGGAAGTAATTCATCCAGACTCAAATGGGATAGTAGGAGGGTTGTGGAATAAGGATTCCAAACAGGGTGAGGTATTCTAAATTGTCTTCTTTTACAAAGTCAGGAAGAGTAGCTTTGAAAGGTGGGTGGGGGAAGCTGTACTTGCAATGATGCCATTTGGCCTTGGAATGAATATCCTAAAGTATAGTAAGGTTTGGGGCATAACTATTTATTTTAGTGGTTGCTTCAAACATCTCTCTCTCTCTCTCTCTCATCTTCAAATAATATTGTTTTGGCTTTTAATGCCAGCTTTTGGGTTTGCTAGGATACCCAGGCTCGGTGCTTAAATTTGCAACTGTGCTGACTGACAGCTCACTTTTCCTGTTTTCTCTTGGGTCTCCTCTTTCGGTTAATTGCTGGTTGATTAGGGTGGGGTCGGGGAGGAGCTTCTCCATTGGCTTTTTTCAGTTTGTTTTAGTTCCTCCTCCCTTTTCATGGAAAGCTAGAACCACTTAGCTCAGGGTTCTGTATCCTAGCAACATCATTTGGGCTGGCAGGGGAACATGCCCAACAGATGACCAATCAGAAATGTTATTAATAGCCAGTCCAATAAAAATATTTGTAACTTAGCTTGCCTAGCAAAACAGAGCTGAAGATTTTCTTAGATGTGGGATGCTTTGGTTTCAGAGCTTGTATATGTTTGTCAGTGAAATGTGAATATTTATGTGCAAGGTTGTCTCCAGGAATAAGAAAAAGAGAATAATGACTAAAGTTGATGGTTCTGTTTTTGGAAACAGAAGAGTACATTTTATGTCCCCCCAAATGTACAGCTTTTTAAAAAATGTGCAGCTTAAAATATTTAAGTAGCATCCCAGTTACTTTAATTGATTCAGAGGGTGTGGTATGAATATGATGAAATGGTAGGTCAGTTGCATTATTTAATATTTGACATATTTGCTTTATTACATGAAGAAAAGATCCTATGTCTTTTTTCTTTAGAGAGCCATAGGCAAAATAAGAATACGAGGTTGATTTACTTTTCTAACTCAGTATAAGCCACTTAAAGTTGTGGTGAGTTCATTAGCCCCTTCCCCTGCACCCTAGTCTCTTTGCTCACCATCTCCCCAATTATGAGAGATGTTTCCAAGAGATGAATTTTGTAAAAGAGGTGAGAAAGTCTTGTGAACTAAATATTCTAAATTTCAACACCTAGAAGAAGGCTTAGTTTCTTAATATATTTTCTAATGGGCTTTTAGGCAGATAAAAAAAAATTCTACCTCATTAGTAACAGATTGGCAAGTGGTCTAGGTTTGGGGGTCTCTGAGTCTGTGTTTATGAAGCTAGAAGACTTAGGCATAAATGATGCATGTCTCTATCTCTATGTCTCTTTCTCCAGTTATGGTAAGGCCCCTTCTAAAATTTAACCAATCTAATTTTTCACCTGTGTTTATGTCACCCCATAGATTATGGGCTCCCTCTCTTGTTATGTTTGCTATCTGGGCTTAGCTGACATTTCTGAAGTAATTTAGTTAAGAGGAAATGAGTTGTTCCCAGTAGAGAGAGCAAACGAGTGGAGTGAAGGTAGCCAGCGTGATAAATGGCTCTTTCATTTGAAGATCTCCAGAGCTCGTTTACGGCTAATTTTCTGTATTGGCCCCCTTTGAGCTATTAATGCAATCTGCAGGGACCGTGGCCCCTCTCCTCTTAGCTGCCCCATTAGAGCTCCCATTAAGCTGCCTAGTCTCAACTCCATGGCGGGAGTGGGCGGGGGGAGTAATGAAAGGTGCTTTTTAAACTCTCCTAATCTAAACCGGCAGAGGGTGGTTAATACGATTTGAAGGGGGCTGGTCAATGAGCAATCAATAAAGTAATAATGAGAAGGATTCGGTACATTAACAGTCTAAAAATCCAACGAGACATTAAAAAATCATTCTTAACTCTCAGTTCCATTAAGATTAGAAATCTGGGGGGAGGAAGAGGGTGTACCCAGCTAATAAAAATGATCACTGCCACCATCATGTTGCTTAACTCAAAAAAAGGCTCACCTAAACTTTAAGAAAAAGTTTTTGGTGCAATAAGAAGCCAATATGCAATCTGTTTAACACCTTAGACAGCAGAAAATATTCTGGGATTTCTTGGAAAGGCTAGCGTGGCTGGAATCCAAGGTTCAAATGTTGTGACTGTGGGGCATTTTCATTGGTCTTAGGGATATCCTGTTTGGTTAGTTTCAGTTCATCCTCCATTCTCTCCCACTTTCTTTCCCGTTAGTTCTGGCCCCTTCCCCACATAAACACTTTGACTGGTGTGGATTTTCTTTCATGGGAAATAAAGAAATTGCCAAATTTCTATTACAATTGATTCTGTTGGGATTCTTCTGACCTAGAAGGTAAAATGCTCTGAGAGTCTGTCAGAGTCTCTGAACGGTATGAGTTTCCTCTCAAAAGGAAGAAGTTCCCATTTCCAGGTTGGACTTGGATCCCAATAGCTATTTATCAACTAGAGACCCTGAGAAACACTGCAGCCACTCTTTCAAAGTCAGGTAGGTTAGACATTCTTCTTCAACACTCCAAGTGCTGAAACTGAGAGAGACAATAAATGACTTTCTCAAGGTCCTATACACCATGTAAGTGATGAGACTCAACTCAGTTTCCAGCCTTTTAGCCTTCTAGACTCTGTCCCTATAAGATGCCAATACTGGATGTTTGAGTTTTTTAATATCCCTGCTTTATTTGTGGAAATTATTTTTTTCCCCACAATTTCAGTCCCCACACTTATACATGCACTATAGTTGTGGAATAAAATTTTACACTCAGGTACATGAGGAAGTGTTTAGATCTGAGGAAAGGGTGCTTTGCTGGTGAGAAAAAGAGTGCTAACTTTTAGGGGCCACTTTGAGTCAGTGCTAAGCCTCCTGGTTGTTTCCCAATGTCATTTACATCTTTAGGTCAAGAGTGCCTTTCGAAGGTACTTACCTTATGAATCTATAAGATAGGTTCATTTCTTCCCTTCTCCTCACCAGCAGATAGAATCAAATACAAAGTTCTCAAAACTATAATTTCACACTTAAGTTTAAAGAGTAGAGATTAAAAACTAGCCTATTAACACTTTAGCTCTTCTATAGTCAACTAATGAATAGTATTTTCTCTAATCATTTTTCTTTCCTCTCTTTTAAATAAAACTCCAGCCATGTTAATGAAATATTGATCTGTTTTTAGCCTTTTTTTACTTCTCCCCAGCATAATGCAGCAAAAAAGGGAGGGGAATGAGTTTTGTGGGTGTTACATCCAGAACTTGGCCTTGACACCCAACTGGGAACTGAAGAGGAAAAAAATACTTCTAATGTATGCACAGAAAATTGTAAACATGTAAAGAACTGAAAGCTTCATGCTGAGTTTTGCCATGCCCCATTTCCTTACTATTTCCTGCTGTCGCTTTAAACCTATCTCAGTCATCTCTGGGTTCCATGAGCAGGAACAGTGTGCTCATAATTACTAACAAATCAACCAGGCCCTGTTGAGCTCTGGGTTTATTGATAAACTGGAAGAAAGCAGAAGGGAAAAGACAAAGAAAGTAAAATATGGGGTTAATCAGGTGAACTAAGCAGGTGTGAAAGTGGAAGGGAAAGTAGATTATGATGGAGTTATGGATCTAAAGGAAAGTTGGGACAAGAAATGTGTCAGATCTGGTCTAGGGGACCAATACTAAGGAGAGAGGTTTAGAACATGAGGATAGGAGGCTGGGAACACAATTGTGATACTTAAATTAGAAAATGGAAATATAGTCCAAAGCACATCTTCTGACATTGTCCTTGCTTTGACTGGAAGGGGAAAAAACAAAAACAAAAACAAAAACAAAAACCTTCCCAGAGAGGGCAGTGTACTGACAGAAGCTGATTGGATTGGGGGTATGCAGGTGATAATGTATATGCAGAAAGGTACTCAACCCATGGCAGGGAGCAATATACATTCCCCAAAGGAAATAGCTCTTGTCGGGTGAATCAGGCAATTAACAATAGTGAAATTACAGGGTGGTTTATAACATTTCTTTAAAGGCCCGGCTTTTCCAGAGGTTTAGCTTCTGGGACAGGGAGAAGCAGGTAAGATTCCAATACTCAGTGGGTATTTGGTTATCCACTGTGGGAAGCAGGAAGTGAATTTAGTACTTTCAGCTTAGTGGAGTTGGTTGTTATTTAAAAAAATATTCTAAATAGTATTTAGAGATAAATATGTTGCTAAGTATAGAGGTGAGATTTTTATCTAATTTATTTCTATAATTCATATCATGTTAAAATTACAAAGGGCCATCTATATTTTGGAAAATAAGTTTTTCCAAGTTTTCATAATGCCAACTCCCATGATTGTCAATTATTTGTTTTTAATGCCTTCACTATGAGTCTGAATTATGGAAATCAGCACTGTTGTGAAGAGTAAGATAGACTGAAATAGATGCCCCCACCAATCACCTGTCTATTAAGTGACTTTAACTTCACATCTCACTCAAATCTGATTAACATTCACACTTCAACTTTTCATTGATTCATTCTTAAATGGGAAGCAGATTCACTGATGAGAAAATGAGGGAAATCAAAAAGAAGGAACACCTCTCTATATCCCCTGTCCCCGCCCCATGACAGGGCAGAATATTTACTCTGTTGCCAACATCAATTCATCCATCTGGGACAAGGTCTTGGGCTCTGTGGACAGATCCATAGATCCTAAAATGCCTACTGGGTAGTAGCAGAAGGGAATGTTTTAGTCTCCTCATCCACTCTTGTAATAAAGCTCTTTTCCACAAGGTGTTTGTAAAGGATCTAATGAAATTCATAGTAAATAAAAGATTTGGGAGCAACCTGGCTTCTAGGAGTCTCTAAACAACTATGGAGGTTTGTATACTGGAATCTGTGGTAGAGAGAATAAACTGTTAGAGAAATACACAGTATTGGTTAGTCTGTTCCATAGAAGGGATGTTATGCATCTTGTTTGATATATAGGGTTCTAGGCTCCAGACGACAGAAACAGCCTATCTTTTCCCCACACAATTACAAAGTGAGATAGACTTTATCAAATAGGTAGGGTTGGAAACCTCTTTTTTCACACCAGATGCATGTTTCCAAAGATTTTTTGGACTGGTGATCGACAAATACCATGAAGATTTGGAGGCCTCATATCCCAGTGGAAGAAGCAAAGTTACAGGGAAAGTCAGGAGGTATAGCCACCTGTTTAGGGGCCTGTAAAACCTACATAAAGAAAATGGGCTTAAGCAGTGAAGTCCAAGGGAAAATACTGCCAGGGAACTGGGAGATGGACTGTTCCTCATTCCCAGCCTTCTGGTTCCACTGAGCCTAGCCTCTTTCTGACATGCAGATGACACTGAAACACAATTAAGCAGAAATACAGGCTGGAGAGGCTGAATGCACCAGGGTAGCAGTGGCAACCAGCTGTCAACTCTTATTAACTTCTGCATAAAACATACCTTGAGTGCGGTTTGTTATCAATTACTTGCCGAAAAGAAACAACTGGGGCAAGGCAAGACCGCCGCTCATATGAATTAGAGTGATTGGTTGATTGATCAGGGCACCTGTTGTAAATCATAACTGTTCCAAACAATCACTAGCCGGTGCTTTAATTTGTAAACAAAATTCATGTCACTGCAGAATTGCTTTCACTGAAGATGAGCATTTGGGTTCCTTTCTAAATGAATCTGTTGTTATTATGTAGGGAAGAATGGGGCCCACTTTAAAGAGATGAGCAGCTGTTTTGGGCCCAGCTCCCCAGCTCAATGGTATTATTTGTCTGTTCTTGGGCATAGTATCTGATGGGGTCCACCCTCCTTATCCTTTCTAGTGATGACCATAGATCTGGGTCCAATAGGAAAGGAGGAAGGGGTTTCCATTGGAATTACCATTTTATATCACCGCATGGTGATAATCACCGTCAGGCTTCAGCACCAAATGAGATAGGCATTATTATCCTCAGGAGACAGATAAGGAAACTGAGGAGGTTCAGACAGAGTCAGTCAGGTGTCTAAGGTCACAGAGTTAGCACACGATGGAATAAGATTTGCCTGGTTCCCAGCACAGTCCAAACTCTGGGTTGTTTGATTTCTTGATTTGGGTAGTGAGCAGGACTGTAGCAAATGACACTCATATGTCTACACACGAAGTAAGTTTCCAGAGGAGGTATGGCTTTGCCATCTGTTTGTTTACAGCTCTCTGAACGCACTGCAGCCCCACTGGAATAAACACTTCCTCCCTCAGCTTTCCACTTGGTGTCTGTCCTGTGGCCTCACACAGAGACACATTCTATCAGCCGGTCATCAGGATCGAAACTTGGTCACCTTTATGGCAATTTTTTCTCTCTTTCTAGTTCCAGTTCCTCCCAAATCGGTGACTTCTCTAATGATGAATAAAGACGGCTTCCTGGGAGGCATGTCTGTCAACACCGGCGAGGTGTTTTGCTCCGTCCCAGGCCGTTTGTCTCTGCTCAGTTCAACTTCGAAGTACAAAGTAACTGTGGGAGAAGTTCAGAGACGGCTGTCGCCCCCTGAATGCCTCAATGCATCTCTCCTCGGCGGAGTCCTCAGAAGGTAACCCCACCACGAAAAACAAAAACAAAAACAAAAAAACAAACAAAAACCCACCAGTTTTTATTTATTGGACAGTGAGGAGAAGGTTCCAGCAAAACCCAATCTGCAGTCTGACGCAGTTGCCTAGCAACCGGGTGGCCGGAGCATTGCTTTCGCGCAGCGCTTGGGAGGATCCGCGGCCGCCACCTGCTCGCCCACAAACTCTAGTGTCCTTGCATCCAGGCCTGCCCGCGCCGCGCAAGTCCTACCGCAGATTTTGCCGCCCTGGGAACCTTTCACTTTCCTGGCCCTGCGCCTGGCGCCTCTCTTCCTGTCACCCCTAGGACATCTCAGGGGGCATTCTCCAGCCTGAGTACAACGCGGAACTAACAGCCCCCCAGCCCCCCCACAAAAAACCCCATAAGTTTCATGAAGCAACTCTCTTCATACCTTCAGTGTACTCTTTCTCTTTTATTGCATGTTTTAAATGCAGTTGGCACCCAGTGAAATTGGTCTTTCAACCTGCTGATGCACTGTAACCCAGTTTGATAAACTCTTTTTCTAAATTTGTGACATCCCTCTTTCAATAACACCACCACCAATAATAGCAATAATATCACTTTAGAAGTATTTATAGGTATTCCTGGGAGCCATTCAGGTGCTTCACAGTATTCCACAGCCCAGAGACTGACTCCTCCTCGTGGAAATGTGAGAGAATGTGGATTTTATCTTAAGATGTAATGCCTCCCTTGAAGTCCCTGCCAATGCCTGAACACTTTGGCAGTGTCCCTGATATGAAAGTGACTTTGTCTGAGACAAAACTTTCCAAGATGACCCCTTCTGGGGGTTGACAGTCCTTTTCTTTCCTAAAAGTGACTGTATGAATAGTACAGCAAAAGAGATTACAGTAACTGAGGATTTTTACTTGTACTTTTGTCCATACTTTAGCACATACAAGGAGAATCTTGGGAGAAATTAAGGGTGTGACCCAGGAACTTTCTCATTTTGAATCCTCTTCCTCTGCCCTCCTTTGATTCAGTTTTCAAGTGAGTGCTTTGAGCCTCAGAGTGTGGAAGTTTTCAATCACCCCCTGAACATTAAGCCTGTATATATAAATTTGCAGAGATGAAGTAAAATAATCAATATAAAGTGCTTATCACATAACTACACTTCCAAAAGTGTTAGTTTTACTGTTATTATGATCATCACCATTTCGATTTCAGTCTGCCCTCTCCTTTTAACATAACACCATATACAGCAACTCTTGACCCCTTCCTCACAAAGCCCACCTGTTGCAGCAAGTGCGCTCTCCTCTCTAAGCCACCTGGCTCTTATCCTCTTTTCAGCAAGGTTGTGCTTGCCCAGTTTCTGCTCACCTCACTAACTCCATGACAAGGAAGGAACATGCACGTGCATGTGCAGCTTCTACCTTCTCTAGACCCATAACCTACACCTAATTATTCCCATCTGGTATCCTTTTTTTTTCTTTTCTCACAAGATAAAAAAAGAACACTCAGTTAAAAAAAATTCTCTGTATTGCAGAAATTAAGCAAACCTCAGCAAACTATCAGCAAATAACCAAAAGGAAGGGGGAAAAATGTGCTAACCTCAAGTTAAAACCTCTTCAAGCTCCACTGGGCTTTAGATTGCTAAGTCTAAACTTTGTTTCAGGAACACTCTAAGGTTAATCAGAATGTTAATTCTTGCAATTTCAGAGCCAAATCGAAAAATGGGGGGAGATCTTTGCGAGAAAGGCTAGAAAAAATCGGTTTGAATTTACCCGCGGGCAGGCGCAAAGCAGCAAATGTCACGTTACTCACCTCCCTGGTGGAAGGTAAGCAAGACGTGTGGCCATTTCACGAAGTGGCTGAGCTTAACTGTCGGCTGGAGGCTGACATTTTACACATTTCATGATTAACTGGAAATCGTTGTGATTGTTGTGCTCTTATGAGCTGGATGTCAAGCGGCTTCTTGAGAGAGGTTCAAAGGTCCTTTTACTTAGAGGAAGCCAGCAGTTGTAGACAGGGCAAGGGAAGTATTTGAGAGTTCCTGTGCTCTGAAAAGTGCTCAGGTCCAGCCTCCAAGACAAAGCAGGGGTCACTCCTGCTGTCACGTGCAGGACATCCTCTATGTGAACTCTTGCAAGAGTAACTCTTTAAGCAATAATTCATTCTATACCCCTTCACCTTGCCAGATTTGAATTGTCAGTAGTAGAAAACACATTGCATTCATGACCCCTAATGGTTATTTTAAAACTTTTGTCACTCCTAGGGCCAAATCTGCAGATTACCTGGGACATGTTGTTATTGAAATATTGATAGCTTAGTAAGGCCAATGATAGCTAGGGGAAGATTGGGGAGGAGGGGTGAAGAAATATGTAGGGGAGTCAGGTATTATCTTCAATGTAGATTCATCAATTGTGAATTATAGGGTGATAATTGCAATAAGCACCTTATAATTTGCTCATCAGTTTGGGTTTGGGGATGATATTTATGGTATGTAATAAACAAAATCATCTACACAGTCCAGAACAAGAGGATCTGCAGTTGAATTTGTGGGAAATAATATGAAATACAGTCAGATGGTCCTAATGGAGGAAGATGCAGAATTTTCTCTAGCATCTAGCTTGTAGGTCTTGTGTTTTAATTCCATTTGTATGGGTGTAATATTATGATGCTCCTGTAGAGAGTTGGTTTTAGAAGATGGAATATTAAAATATTTAGGCAGCAACCATTAATCATCACAGTTACAGGCCTTATACTTGGCCATTTTTAAGGCAAAGTTGCTTGGCCTGAACACCCTCCAGAGGCAGGAATCACTGAAATTTCCAGACCACACTTACTAGTGGTTGACTCTTAGCCTGGAAGTTTCACATTTTACCCTTCAGGGAATTGCTAATATCATAGTCCTCATTTTGGAAAGCAATCAAGGTAACCTTAGCTCAAGACAGGGATTTCAGGGGAGAAGGGAGGAAACTGGAAACCCCACTAAAATTCCAATATTTGTTTGGCAGTTTTTGGTTTTGTGACTCCTTGTAAGCACCATGCCTGAAGTCTTTTGTTGTTATGATAATAATGATTAAAAGTAAGTCATCCTCCTTAAAAATAATGTAGCTATGGGGTATTTCAACATATCTGTTTTTCATGTATGGGATCTGTCCTTGAACCCCAAAAGGCTGTGTTTAAAGGGTAATAATGCTTTACTTGAAAGGGGCTTTCACATAAGCTGAGTAATACCTTAGATACTCCAGTTTTCTGTAGCTGCTGTGTCATCTTTGTGCAGTGAAAAGTCCTGAAGTAGGAGGATGATGACAGGAACCTCTGAAGGGGAGAAACCTGAAACTTGACTAGCAGGAAAAGTGACAAGGAGAATTATTATTTCATTGCAGATAGAAATACTCTTTCCATATACATTTTACATATAGTGTTTAATATATGTGGACATATATACACATGGGCTTGTTTTTATATATTTGTTGGAATACAGTTGTAGCAAGATGATGGTCACTTTTAAATTTTATTTAAAGCAAGTGTGACAGATGCTTTAAAAAGAAAGAGGAATCTGGCTTAAATGTCCAGCCAAATGTCCAAATTCAATTATAAGGTGGCTCTTGACAAAAAGATTAGGGTGTAGGAGACCCCGTAGCTATTCAGGGGATGTCTAGCTAGGAGTTGGCTCAGGGAGAGGCAGGAAAAAGAGACAGGAGCAAAGTTGGTCCCACCAATTTTAATTATAGCTTGAGAATCATTTTTCCTTTAGGCATCTCTCACCTTTGCTTTTGGCTCCAACAGCTGGCCTTCTCTGGAAATACTAACAAAGCTGACAAGGGAATGTCTCCGCCCTGGGATATTTAGGGCCTGGGTGCTGATTATTACCTTTACTGCTGTCTTTTTCAGGAGAAGCTGTTCACTTAGCTAGGGATTTTGGGTACATTTGCGAAACGGAGTTTCCCGCCAAAGCCGTCTCTGAGTATTTGAACCGGCAGCACACAGACCCGAGTGACCTGCACTCCCGAAAGAATATGCTGTTGGCCACCAAGTGAGTTTATTAGACTCTGGGCCCTCATCTCACTCCCAGCTGGCTAGGCCACCCGACTTTGGAGTAGGTGGTGGGGAGGGGCAGAGAAAGAAGCCAGAGGGTTGTCTAGAAGTAGCATTTGCAGCCTCTGGCAAGCAAGGTAGGCAGAGTTGATGGGCTACAGGTTTGTCTCAGGTGTCCTCTCTGGGGAAAATGGCTTTGTTAATCCGAATCCAGCCTTCTTACAATTCTCTTCTATCACTCTGGGGATGTCAGGCAGATCTTTTCTGAGGGAGTTCTTGTTCCAGCTCTTCCCTGGATCCGAAGGTGCATATTTCTGCTTGGGTTTCACATCTATCTCTCTGTCGTAGCCACATAGCCATGTGTGCTCGCTCAGGGAGTCTATAAAACCCACGTGTACCCATCTCTACCCACAGCTCTAATTACTCCGTTTCCAACGTTGCTGTTTGTCATCTTCCACAGACTTGTAAAATTTACTACAACTCCAGAGGGGAAAATAGTAAATCTCTGGCTAAATTTAGGTCTAGAGCTCATTTGAACTTTTACAGTGGGTTTTCTATTTATTTGATTTACTCCTGTCTTTGGCTTCGGTGTCATATTGTTGGTGTTTTATGGCCGGCTCAGGCCTGCAGTGGGCGGCGCTGCGTGCGCCCGCACGTTTCTCTTGCAGGCGCGGCCCAAACAGCCGCGCTCATTTATTTAGTGTTGGAGGACGCGGTTTGTCCCGTTGACAGCGTAATTTAAAGAAATATATGGAAGGCTGAAAAATCATTTGCTCAAATTTGTCCAGATGTTTTTGAGACGTGATTGGAATTTGATTGCCCCTTTCCGCAGGGTCAAAAAATATTAATGTCCCAGAACTTTAATTGCTTACAGACCCTGGTTTGGGCTTTGAAGATTTAAAATGTTTGACTCTAAGCATTTGTTCTCCCCAGTTCAGAATGTCTTTTTTGGCACTTTGGTAATGAGTACAAACTTAAGGAAAGACTTTACCCATCTCTCCCAATGATCAAAACCTGGCATCCACCCTCTTTCTTGAAGGTTTTCATCTGCTGTATCAACCAGCAGTAAAATAGGTATTTGTCAGTAGATTGCCCTCCTGCCCCTTGCGCTGGTGTCTGGTGAGGCACGGGGTGTGTGTGTGGGGGGGATCAGTTGTGCTTTATAAAAGAGGAAGGGTACTTTAGGGAAAAAAATAAAACCAAACTGTATAAATCAGATAGGACCCACAAATGACTCTCATTTCTCTAAGGTATGCATCTAACTACCCACTGTCCAAGCACTGTGGCTTCTCTTAGGCCAGCACTTCTGAACCTAGGGTATCAGAATCAGCTGGTGAGCTTTTTCAAGATATTTCTGTATGGGGCTATCCTCAAATCTTCTAAATTGGAATTACTGGAGGTGGGGGCCTGGGAGTGTGTGTTTGAACCCCACAGGTGTTTCTAAGGTGTACCTCTTAAGAGCTTAAAAACTGCCCCACTTTGGTCAGAACCCTTATCTATTTCTTCCTGGTTGTGAGGATGTATGTGTGTACTTCAAAGGGAGAATCGAGGGTGCCTGTTAGTGTTCTCTATCCACCCATCTTAAAACCAGCAACAGTTTAGCTTCTGTGACTGGGTGGTATTCCTCATCAGATTTAGCCACTATCCCAAAGTGGCAGCACCCTAGGAAAGGATGCCCCAGGATTCTTTGAGTCCAATCACCTGCCCTGTTTACCTGTTGGCTAGGCCAGGTGTGGCCAGGTATCTGTGAGTCGGGCCAACCCATTGTGGGTCTAGGACTGGAGTGCTGTAGGTTTATTTTTTTCCTAAACCCCACAGACCCATAGGCTGGGTACAGGCAGGTGGACATGAGAAATCTGCCCATCTGTGAAAAGCTGTGGCCTTTGGGATGCTGTGTGTCTGCCTGCCAGCCATTTGACCTTCAGGGCTAGAACCATCCCATCCAGCTCCTATATTAAAATTTCTCAAATAAGCTCAATCCATAGGTAGGCACGCAGGATTTCTAAGGCTGGGAGATTCCTCTAAATTGTAGGTGGCTTGAGGAAATAAAAACCTTCAACAAATAAAAATCTATCCTCCCTAGTGTCTTAACAGCCTACCTTTAGGTTTTATTTAAACTATATGGGAATCCTTTTATATTGACAACAGTCTGGTTATACAAAGATTTTCAGTGCCCTACACTTGGAAGAAAGAAAGGAGGGAAAGGCAGAAACTAGCTCCCTCCCCCAATACTGCAGGTAAACAGGTTTTTGCTTTGAATGGAATCAGCATTCTCTAGAATAAACAGTTTCTTGCCCTGGGCCATGGAAGGCTCCAGCAATCTGCTTCAGTGCCAGGGACAGGCTTGTGGCCGAGGGGCCTAAATCTTTCAGGGCTTTTTGCGCCTGATCACCAAGAGGTTGGAGAGGTGGGAGGGGCGCGGGGGAAACAGCTCAAAAGAAATGCCAGGTAAGAGCTCAATATTATGAAGTATTAAAAATCAACTGCTAAAGCCTAGCGAATGTCCCAAAGCGAGTCCAGGCGGTCCTGGAATGGAGGGGAGAAAGGCTGAAGTCGGGGGAAGGCAAGGCTTTGGGGTGGAAGGGGTGCATTACCTCCCCACCCCCGCTTTCCTTTCAGTCCCAGCTGCTCGAGAAGGGAGGGCGCTGGGAAAGGAAACAGAGCGGAATCGCCCACATTAGCCTCGCTCTTCGGTGACCCGGCGCCTCTGGGCTTGTGTGAGCGTCTCCTTTCTAATGCCAATGACAACGACACTGAGGGTGATTTTCTGTGCCTCGCCCACCCCTTTGCAGGCAACTTTGTAAAGAATTTACGGATCTACTGGCGCAGGACCGGACACCGATAGGGAACAGCCGACCCAGCCCCATCCTGGAGCCGGGGATCCAGAGCTGCCTCACGCACTTCAGCCTCATCACGCACGGCTTCGGCGCCCCGGCCATTTGCGCCGCGCTCACGGCCCTGCAGAACTATCTCACCGAGGCGCTCAAAGGCATGGACAAGATGTTCTTGAACAACACCACCACTAACAGGCACACGTCTGGGGAAGGCCCAGGTAGTAAAACTGGCGACAAGGAGGAGAAACACAGGAAATGAAAAATTTTTAAAAAAAGAAGGAAAAATGTTTTAAATACAAAAGGAAAAACAGACAAAAATTTAATTTTAGCTTTAAAATATTGGATTGGCTTTGGAAGAATTATATTAGGTAGAATACACATACAATCAAAATTTTAAAAAAAAAAGCTAAATAACTTAAAAAAAAACTGAGGCGTACAACGGAGCAACAATATCGGTTCTCAGTGTCTATTTCAAGATACATTTGGAGACAACCGTCCGGATTTTCCACTTCGGTTCTTTCGAGTTTAGTAATACTGATAATAAAAGAAAACCATGATTTCCCCTTCCCTTTGGAAAATAAACATAAGACTAAACATGAGAAAAACGCTAACTTATTGGAAGAAAATCGGAGAAACGTTGGTGTCAATGCTTTGAGAGCTGGTTGACTGAGACGCACGAACTTTTTAATTTTAAATATATTTTTAGGAAACTCTCGCAGTCCCCGCCCTCCATCTCACCTCACCCGTCTCCCAACCACCCTTTTCCATGTTACCCTCCCTTCCTCACATTGTTACGGGAATCTTCTGGGATGAAAATGAGTGTGGTTGGCCCTTTTGCGTTGTTTCAGTCCTCTCGGTACCTCCCCGCCCAGCCCTGCGATCTTAACTCACCGGGCCCGGCTCCCCGGCCGCTTGCATAATTAGGGAGGGCGAGGGCGGGGCGGGAGGCCTGTGGAGACCAGGCGGAGGCTGCAATTTTTGGTGCCGGCCGGCAGAGCAGGTTCTGGCGGCTGAGGAAAATCCGGACCAATAAGTTGATTCAAACATCATCAGTTCCTTTCAGAAATGTTACTAGCTCCCAGCCTTGCCAGCATCTGCATAGAGAGAATCTCACATTTATTATATTTGTGTCATCTACTAATTTTATGAACTATAGTAAAAAAAAAAAAACACACACACACACAATATGAATACGTTGATTAGTATGTAATTCCTTCGGAGGGGTATGTACCATTTCATTCTCTTCTGTTTTCCAAAGCTTTGCCCGCATGGTTTATGAGCTTCTTCAAAGAGGACTTGGGCTTCCTACACAATCTATAAGGTACAGAGAAAAAAAAATCCGATCCCTTTTTAATCAAAGCCTGTGTGTCAGAATTCTGCAGGTGCACTTCTTTAAAGAAGCTCAAAGGGAATAATTTAGAAAGTGGCCAATATGATGGAAGCAGCTTTGAATCTACATGCTAACATTCCTCAACACTCCAATTCCGGTGGAGGTGGCAGGGGAGGGGGTCTGCAAAATGAATTTTAAGGGAAAAGAGTAAGGATTCTTAGAGCCCTATATTCTAATAGTATTGCCCTGCATTTAAAATTGATTTGATTTCCCTGGGTTCTTTGGTGATTGCTGTTTAAGCAAGGAAAGAAGCAGCTTTACGAGTGGACGTGGGGAGGAGGGCGGCACAAGCACCCACATTTCTGTAACAATTGCTTTCTTACAAGATGCTTTATGAATGAGGCATTTTTCCCTCCCAGACGTGCACTTGTTTTGGCATATAATGGCAAAATAATGCAAAGTGAAGGGAGATGTATTTCAGCTTTGATTTTTACCGTCTGGATACATCGGGACTATTCCCAGTGGATAAAGTTTCATGCATTTAATATTTCTCACTTCTGGCAGCCCAGCTCCTTTCTTGGGCTCCATCTTAGCATTATCATGAAATAAGATCTGGAATCCATTGTCTGCACCTCCGCAAAAGCAGTGAGAAATTATCCCGGGATAAGGGTGAATGAGAGAGGTCTCTAAATATAGTGTTGATACACTCACCTATTTAACAAAGTAGACGAGATCTTTGCAATACCCCTTAAAGATAACGACATAGATGTTGTTCTGCAGGATTTATAGTTAGGACCCACTCAATTCTCCAGGACTCCCGGTTTTGCCCCCCTCCCGCTTTGCCTTGGTGGGGGTGGGGATTGGGGGAGTGGGGATTGCGTTGGGGTTTTAGGAATCTGCTGAGAGCTTTGCCCATTTTTATTAAAAGAGGAAAGGGAAGTTAGGAAGCTCGTCTCAGGTCACCAAAAGGGCCCAAGCAACTGTTAGGGCCACACTGCAGCCCATCTCCAACCCCTAGCTTCGTTTAGCACTTCTGATCTTCATGGCCCAGCCCTAGAACTGTTGAGAGGAATGCAATGGCCAAGAGCTAGACGTTACGGAGAGTGTAGTCACTCTCTTTTCCCAGCTCAGAGGCCTGCGCCTTCGTCCGAGAGCTCGGCCGATCGCATTAGATGTGTTCTGATTGCACAAGGCCAGGAGAGACCACACTGAAAACGATCGTCTCCTTTCCTTGCAGGGCAACGCGCCCCACGCGTGTGACGTGCGAGAGACGCGATGGACGCGCCTTGCTCTTACTGTGCAGGTCCTGAGAGCGTGTGGGCCACAGGCGCCCAGTCGTGTTGAGGACATAGAATCAGCCGCTGGAGGGGCTGCCGACTGCGCGGGCCCTTCCCGCTCTCGGTCTCACCCTAAGGGCTAAGGCGACCGAGAAAGCCCCATTCTCCAGTAGGTAATGGGGCGGCGCCCGGTGGGCTGCAGGTGGGGAGGGCTCCCAGCGCCGCCAGCGGCCACCCGGGGCGCCGGCTCCTGGAGGGAGAGTGGCCTAGAAATATCCAAGGAATCCGAAGCTTCCCCTCCTCCACCTCTGCCAGTACGGAAACACCCCACCGTCACAATCCTAAAGCGGGGAGATGGGATGGGAATTGTCTTACTTGGCAAGGCAGGGTACCTTCATTGCCAGACGCCCTCATTTGTGTGTTCCTCCTTGCTCCAGCGAGATAGAACCTTTTGCGCCCCCAACCCCGTTTCGTGGAGTGAGCCCACTACCCCTTCTCCCTCCCTCACTTCTCCTTTCATGTAGGACCCCCGCCCCCTTGCTTTCCTTAGCCAGGCCCGCTACATTTATCTGATAATTGAGTTATTAAAAGATTTGGTTTCCTTGGGCCTATAAATCAATAAACAGTAGGATTAACGCAATAGTTTGCCTTTTAAGTCAAGGGAGACGTTTAAGGCAAGCCCCTTTGAGCTTTGTTTTCAAACCAAACAGGTGAGTTGCAGCTCTCCCCCCGGCCCCTGCACTCTTCAGACATTTGGTCCCTGCCCACTCCTAAACGCTCAGTCCCAAAACAAAATAGCGAAAGACAGGAGGAGTCAGGATGTGGCAGTGCTGCCTTCACACTTTCCACTTCGCAAGTTCTTTTAAAGGTTCCAAAGATCTCCAGACCATTCTCTGCCAAACCCTGCCGCCTCCTGCACGTATTGCAGGTCTCTGGGGAGCAAGAAATGTCCTGTTTGGGTGAGGATTCCGTCACCTAAAAAGATCTTTAACTTCTCCCCCAAAGTGGGAAGGTAACTTTCTCCCCCTTTTCCCCACCACCTTCACTCCTACACCCCCAATTACCTTGCATTTTCTTTCCTTCCTTCTGGCCTCCACACCCATAGCTTTCCTCCATCCCCACTTAAAGAACCGAAGAGGCTTTTAAAGACCTGGCTGCTTTGTTTTCCTTGGCCAAGGAAGCCACTTTCTCTCAAGCAATTATTTCATATCCTACGAAAACTTTGGTCGAATGGAAAACTCGAAACCTCGAGCTTATCTACACACTGTTCCTCTGCTACAATGCTTTCCTAGTTAAGAGTGTTTATAGAGAATTTGTCATCACATCTGATATCCTGTACTTGTAATACATTATGTGGAAAGGAAATAACCTTAAACCGTCTGATGTTGCCTCAAGAGCCCAAACGGCGTTTCCCCACCTTTGACGATGTATGTGAAATTACTGGCTTAAAAAAAAAAGTATCAATTTTTTTTTAACGGAATGAACACTATCCTTCTTTAAATGCCAAAATCGACTCCACCTTTGAGTTGGTCTCTAATTCTCTAACATTGTTTTTGCCACACAATCAAGAAATATCAATCTATTGACTCTTCACGAGAAGAGCTCTGGAGGGTATTCATGTTAAGTTTGTATATATTTATTTATGCTTAATTTAATGGGAATGTGTAAATATGGCGAGCAAGTAGTTTGGGATTATTTATCTGTGAATCTATACCTCTGTGAATGGGTGGTTAAAAAACCTCTTGACCCTAGATAGAATCCTATCTGAATTTTTCTGTTCTTTATAAACAAGCTGTTATGGTAATGGGTAGAAATTGGTTTATTGTCCAGTGTTAATCTGATTTACATAAATAAAAAGATTGTTGTGTTTTCATCTTCAGTTTCTTAAATGTGGACAATGTTTTTAATTCTACCGACAGAGGAAAAGTGTAAGAAGCTTTTTACTTTTTGTCCTCCCCCATCGAAGCACCCACAGCGTTTTCATTACAACAGAAATATAATAAATTTTGCTTCTCAGAAAAATGAACTTTTTTTCACTAGGAGAAGTGTTTTTGATTTTTTTAAATTCCAAATTTACATTCTTCTCTCCTATTTCTAACCAGATTTGCAATAAAAGCTAATGTTAACTGAATCTTTTGGTTTCTTCTGCCCTTTACAAATCGAGGAGTCAAATTTACTTCCCAGGTAACTAGAGGACTCTGGGTTGCTGTCAGAGATGATGCTCCCTTCCCACTGCTCGTGGGTTGGCATTCTGGCATAGTGTTCTAAGAAGGAGATGGTGCACGGTGCAGGAGAAGTCTTCAGGGCTGGGTGTGGGCTCCTGCACCCCTCAACTTGGGATATGAAGGAGTTAACCCCCATTTCAGAATTGAACCCGACCCTGACCTCATTAGCAGTGCAAGGCCCTCCATAAACAATGGAGGAAAAAGCTCCCTCAACTGAGAAGAGGAAAAAAGTGTACATGTCTTAGGAAGTTGGGGGGCTCCTACCCTAGGCTCAGAGGCTGCCTAGAGAAGCCAGAGCTTTTCACACCTGGGTTAATAGGCTTCAGCTGGGCCCTAATGGGCTGCAGTGATCAAACATCGTCTCAATCTGTATTTTATTCCAAGGCTTAGGTGTCTTCCTTGAGGCCAGGAAAGCAAAATCACCCACGATGTTAAACAGTTTGGATGAGTCACTGCTCCTTTTTGCGCCTCAAGGTCTTTATCTGTAAAAATAAATATGGACCTCCTAAGGTCCTTTACTTCATCAATATTGCCTATAGTTTAATTATAAAAAGCAGAAACAGCAACCTGTATATGAGTTTAAGGAGAATTGGAAACTTTAAATCATGATGATCCCAGATTTATATATCAGTGCTTAGCATATAGTTTGTTTTCAGTTAATAATATGCCTCCCATACCAATTTTCTGTTTTTAAACGTGAATCTTTTTCAATTGGACTTCCTTATAGGGAAAGGCAGAAGGAACAATGGAATCTGCTTTATGTGAGATTTCCCCCTTCCTGTCCTATTAATTAAAAGCGGGAAGATCATGGCTAGAACTATAAATAGTGGAATCAAAGAAAAGCAAAACAAACAAACAAACAAAAAAAAACAAAAAACAAAAAATGGGGGGGGGAATAAAAGGAAACAAGGAAGCAGAGAAAACCAAGGGATGTGTGCTTATGAGGACATACATTTATCTAGAAAAAAATAGATATGTCTTATTCTCTGGTTCAATTGTTACACTGAGTGTTCCTTTCATTTGCTTTACAGAGGATGGGAGTTGGTTACCACTGGGATTATACAAAGCAGGTGGTGGGTAATTTCCATATCGTATGGCAATTTTTCCTGCTCAAGGTTAGCACGAGCCCTTGATAAACCGACCTGCAATCTATTATCCCACAGGTAAGCTCCAGGCTACTCCTACCCACCACCGCCACTTGGCAAAAAGAGGGTCTGAAACAATCACCTTTAGTAAGTAAAACCCAAGATTTTGAGGAGCCTGAAAATAACTGAAGGAAAGACCTGGCAAGAATAACCAAAAAGGGAAAGAAAAGGGGTTGGAAGCTGGAGACAGCCTTGACTAAGACAGCCCTGGGCTGCGTGTCACAGCTCCCCGGCCCCTTTGTTACAGTGTTAGCAGGCTGTAGAGGGAGTAAGGAAAGAGCAGTAGCTAGAACCTCTAGGTCGTTGACCGGCCCAGCGCAGGGACCCTGAGACCGCCAGATCCGGTGGGCGGCTTACAGTGGCCCAGAACGCACCCGCCGGCTCGTGTTAGCGGGTTAAGGGCTTGATTAAAAATAGTGCTGGAAGGAAGACCCGATTATTTTTTTATGAAGCCACATTCCTTTTCTTCATTTGCAAATAACAGTTCCGTAGGGTCCCTTCCCAGGGACCCTGGGCGCCGAAGTTAGGGGCCACCTGAGAGTTGTTGGCCCGGTGGGAAGTGTCCCTTCCTGAGGGCGCTCTCGGCTTCTCAGGGCAAGCTGCCTTCCACGCTTGGACTTTGAGGGCGGTTGTCTGTCATGTTGAAGCCTCAGAAATTAAACGTGCAGCTCACAAGTCCATTAATTTGAGCTTCCCATTAATCTATTTATAAGTGAGCCAGCGCTTGCTCTATAAATACAGTCCTATAAAATTGAACTCCTTCCCATAAATCTTCCAAGCTGTTTATTTACATGTATTCCCTGGCTCTCTAACGATCCTGGTGTAAACTTGGGGAAGACTCGGGCAGACCCGACCCACGACGGGGTGGGGTGTGGGGCGGGGGGGCGCGCTCTCCTCCCGTTCCTCTCCGCCGGGATCGCGGTATCCTAGGGGAGGGAGGAACTGCGCGCGGTCGGAGGGAGTGGATAAAAAAGACAGGGCGAAAACTCATTTTTCCTTCTTGACTTTGTTTCCTTGTTTCTATCCTAAACTCGCAGTCTCCATATTTCCCATCACACGCTCCACGGTGATTTATATAGTCATAAACAGCATTCTTGCGACTGTAGCTCCTCTCATAGCTTGAGGTGAGCTCCTTTTTCACTTTCCTGGCAGCCACTACTTTAAATCAGGCCTCATAAATAACCCCATGGGCTTACTCAGGATGAGGTCAGTCAAACATCTCCCCGGGTCTACTTTCCCGGCTTGGGTCCCGCCATGCCCCTCCCCTGGGTCACATGCCGGCGCACTCCCACTGTCTTTCCTTCAGGTTTCCAGAGCTCAATCACCGACACCAGTTGGGAGACTGGGTAATAACACACGCTCCGGGCACAGGGACCGCGGGCCAACGAACCGCGCGTGCGCCGCGCCAGCCTGCGTCGAGCCGTCGCACACGGCTCCGGGAGCCCGCGTCTAGGCACGCTCTCCAGGTTGCCAAGCAGGGTGTCAACAAGTGCGCACGCGCGGACGCCCACGCAGGCGCACGCGCCGTGGCGCCCCCGGGCGTAACCCCAGCTGCTGTGACGGGCCAGGGCTCGCAGCTCGCCTGCTAGAGTTTGTGGCGCGCCCTCGGGATCAGGGCACTGGGGTTTGAAGGGGCTGCAGCGTGGGAAGCCTTCAATTTTTTTTTTTTGTAAGCTGCGTGTGCTCAGATTGAGGAAGCAGTTTTGTCACACATGTTCAACACGTTCCACGCTGGTCACAAGCTAGCAAGGTCAGGTAGTTTTTCGCCCACTTGTTCGAAAACCTATTAGTTCCTGCCCACCCTGCTCTTCGCTTTTCCTCCTCTCTCCTAAGGGCTGCAGCCTTCTGGAGCTGACTCAGGCGAGAGGCGTCCAGAGCCCAAATAGGGGTCACACCTGCTGTCGAGAGAGTCCTCTGCATAAAAATGCTCTTTAAAATTTTTAAAATCAGCATAATGGCCAATGGACTTAACAAAGCGTGACTTGCCCAGGCTGCACGGAGGGCAACTCTGGCAGTCATCTGTAACTCGACCAGTTAACGTCCCGAACGTGCCTGTTCGCGGAGATATTAGCAAACGTTTCAAGGATGTGGCTGTCAGATGTCATTAGCCAACGCTTGCTCACCCAACCATTTGCCTAACTGGGAGGAGGGCATGGCCACGGCGTATAGGCGTAGAATTTGGGGGGAGGGAGGGGTGCCACAGTTTGTTCCCTGTAATAGCCACATGTCCCGAATTGTGCAGACATTTATCAAATGACTAGAGAAAAGCTGGCACATGAATGCTGGGGTACAGAGACGTGGAAAGGGGAGCTTCTCTGAGACTGAGACTGAACATGCAAGTCATTCAAGTCTTCTCTAGTGTGGAAACTCCCCAAACCAGACAGGTCTACTGCGCAGAATAGGGTGGAGGATCGAGTCCAGTCACTGAGCCCTAGCACTTGCCATGTGAACCATAAGGCCCTGAACACTGGAAATTCAGCGTCCGGACTCTCGATCAGATGCCCTAGAGCTCAGAAGCACCTGATTGCGCGGAAGGCTGGTGGTGGTTACTTGGGCAAAGAGAGTGCGACTCGAAACTCGAGTTTCTCGGATTTAGGAAATCCGATCTTTAGACAGTTTCTACACAGCGTTGGATTTTACTTCTAAACGGTCAGCTGCTTGTTCTAAGTTTGAAAAGGGTCAGGTAGGTTTTGTACAGAATGGCTGAGAAAGTACTAGGCAACGCAACGAAAACAACTATAAAACCAAATCAAACCTCAGTGCTCCATTAGCTAGTCCTCGCCAAACAAATAAAAAACATACAAAAAATGCCAGTACTAACTTTTGAGATTAAAGCATCAATCTTGGGAAGACTTTTGGGTAAATGTTATTCTCTCTGATACATGGTTTGCCAAGTGACTAGGTGAAAGGCCCTTTTGGGGGACTGTAGTTAGGGCTACTTACTCACATACACACCATATCACAATATGGGAACTCCCCAATATTAGGACTAAATAAAACTCAACCACAACAAAGTAGTGTTTGCCAATGTGAATTTTATGAGAGACGCATATGTTAAGCAGAAGGAATTTTTGTTGTTGTTGTTGTTTTTCTCATTGCTTAGGTTTTAAGGCTCTTGCTTCTCTTGCTTTCAATATAGAATTCTTTTGGCCAGGGATTCCTAAAGATGGGGAACTATCAAGATTGAGGCAAAAGCAAGGCTTTTTAAAAATAGGTTGTTTCACATGCTTTTCCTTTTGCTATGTTTAGGGAGGCAGGAGAGGGGGCCACAGGCATGAGCCCTCCCAGTGAAATGAGACCCCTGAATGATGCGTTCACTTTTATGTTCAATCTAAATATTCTTTTCTTCTTCAAAGATGAAGACCATTCAAGACAATGGGGCCAAATAATCTAAAGAAGGATCAAGCTGATCTTGGTCCCTGTGACCTTTTACCCTTCCTTTAATTCTCAGGAGTGAACATCTGTGTTTGGAGCCAATGTCTGAAAGTAATAAAGACAATTAGAGCATTTTATTTTTTCTTGGGAGGGGGAGTTGGGTGCCAGTGTGCAGAGGTTAAATCTTTGTCTATGACACTGCTTTTCAGGATGAAACTAATGGAATAACATCAACTAAGCCTTCCTGCTTCTCAGGCCCTGAGGAATGGAGTGTACTAATTATGTACTCTGAAGCTATAGGTAATTCATGTGTTTCTTCCCCATCTTTATTAGTCTGTGGGCATTTAAAAAACGATCCTATCATATGTCACCTATACACAGGAGCAGAAGACAGTCTGCCTCTCTTCAACCTTGTTTGGGGTTTACTTTCAGATGTGAGGACTATTAAATTAGGTTCCGGAATACATTTTCACTCTCTCGTCAGTTTTGTGAAGGCACTTCCCTCTTTCATCCACCTAAAAACAAATTAAGTCAAACCAAACCCCAACCTTGACAAAACACTAATACTCACTACATGTTTGTCAATTTTTTGAAAAGTGCTTCAACCTTTAGTGTGTAAAACTGCAAAGTCTACTAATCTCAAGCCCATTTGAAAGGGTCAAACATCTGAAAGAATAAGATATTCCAGAGATAACCAACTAGAGAAATGTATCTCCAAAACAGTGAAATAAGACATTTTCTTGGTACATGTTGTCCTTATGGCACTCTGTTGTGGGTTTTTGATGATCCAAAGCTTGTCTCTTGGAAAGGATATACCTGCGATCTTGAATGAGCAAACCTATTACATATGCATGCAGAAAACTCCATAACAACTTAAAACTTTTGGGTGAAGTTAAGGTTGAAAAGTGACAAAATATCTCTCTATATCTCTATCTCTCTGTATGTATCTCCTGGAATCACAATTGCAGTGAAACTTTTTTCCTAATGGATGTCATTTGGAAAAGCCATCCTATTTTTAATGTTCTAAAATTTGTAGAAGGGGATATGTCTAGTAACCAGAGTCTGAAACCTTAAAATGAGGGTAGAGTTTTCCTGTCAACTGCATACTGGATAGCTTCCCTGCATGTCATCACTCTAACATGGACACAGAAACATGAGTTTGCAGTTGAATCATTCTACATTTAATCACATATGTGCACACGTAGAAGACTGTTATCACTCATCATTTCTCCTTGATGTTAAACATGTGTTGGGAATTTTGGAACTCTGACTTCTCCAGGTCATATTTGTGACTTTGTTCTTACACATGCAGTTTAGAAACCTACAAGGTGGTAACTAGGTTATTCTTCCTCTGTCCCGTTTTTTTTGTTGTTGTTGTTTTTTGTTTTTTTTTGTTTTTGCTGTTAATAACTCTGTCCTTCCTTTCCTCTCCCTCACTGACTTCCCCCTCCCC
Source organism: Homo sapiens (assembly GCF_000001405.40). NCBI lineage: Eukaryota > Metazoa > Chordata > Mammalia > Primates > Hominidae > Homo > Homo sapiens. Next base: position 50,853,939 of record NC_000006.12, read on the forward strand.
AGCATTCTGTCAAGCAATAGGCTGTAAAATAGTTATCCAGACCAGCAGCCAGGCAAGTGCCGTTTGAGAGTAATTTCTGCCCCAAGCATTTAGCCCAGGGCAAAGCAAGCGTGCTCTCTAACTGATCAACCTGGATATTTCATTATTCATTAATTTACTGTTTAACCAAATCCCACTCATTATCAGAGGCAACGCTTGGCAGAGCCCAGCGAACAGTAGCAGTTGGTGTCAGGCGTGGAGAATTGGCCCATTTGATCCTGGGCTGTTTTATTATTCAACACCACTGACTGAGAAAAAGGTCCATGAATAATAAAGAGCCAAAGCGTGTTTGAACTGAGAAGCATGACACAGCCTTACAAAACAGCAGTTAGAAAATTAAAGGCAAGGTGGCCCAGACTTTGCATTTTTTATCTTGGCTGTGGTCGCAGACATTTATATCCCTACATTGTTTTCAATGATTTTTTTTTTCAAGTCTTTAAGACAGAGACATTTGTTTCAGTTGCACCCTTTCAAAACAGGCCATTGAAGAACTCAGGAGCAAACTTACACAGCAAGAAACAAACATGCCTCCAGATGGGAACTTGAAAATGTAATTTCTAACCTTATAATCAGTTAGGTCCTTTGTGGCCCTTCTCAGCTATAGGGAAGATTTGGGTGATTTTGATTCTCCTTTGGACTTGCCATCATCCATACCCTGGGTTGTTTTAATAATATAATTCATCATGCCAATCAAACACGTTATATTCCTTTTCTATCCAGCTGATTCCTTGACAAGTCTTTGGGTCGGTAAGCACCTGGCCACACAGGGCATATAGCAAGGGGTTTATGGGGCCCTATAGGTAATATTTAAGGTCTCATTAATACGAAAGAAGGGCTTATGAAATATATATGGATGGAGGGAGTAGAAGCACCTTTTCTGAATCTACACAGACAACAGTGGTCATGAGTTCTCAGGCTCTGGTTAGGTCTGTAAGTGTACAGTTGAATTGAATACACTTGTTGGATCTATTAGTGGCAGGCCTGAAAGTATGGTGTCTCTAGGACTGATCTGTTCTGTCATTTATTCTAGTCATGCATCTTTTTAATCCATTGCTTTGTAGTCCTTGAATAAGTAAGATGGAACTTAAAACTGTAATGATAACAGTACCCTTTTAATGTTTCCTTCTACTGCCTAGTAACATTTTATCCACACACAGCCTTACTTAGGCAGAAAAAATAGAGTGCAGGAGCTATGGCTCTTTTATTTAGATAAGCAATAGCTGTGTAAGAAAAAGTTTCTGACTACCAACAAAGTCCACATGGGCTACCTATACCCATCAAAAGTAATATATAGCTGGGCATGGTGACACACACTTGTAATCCTAGCTACTCTGGATTCTGGAGGCTGAGGCAGGAGGGATGCTTGAGCCCAAGACTGCAGGACCAGCCTGGGCAATGTAGTAATACCCCTGTCTCAAAAAAAAAAAAAAAAAAGATAATATATATAATCTTCATAACTCGGCCAGGTAGAATGGCCAGGGTGCTAAATACTTAGAATGAGATGTAAAACTCCTGTTCAAAGGTGGTAATGGTGAAACCAAATTTCAAGTGATTTTTAATATTGGCATCTGTAAACCAATGCCGAAAACACTAGAGGGATGTTAACTTTTTTACCTTAGGACATTCACTTGCTTGCCAATATGGTTTGGCTGTGTCCCCACCACCCAAATCTCACCTTGAATTATAACAATCCACACATGTCAAGGGCAGGGCCAGGTAGAGAAAACTGAATCATGGGGGCAGTTTTCCCCATACTGTTCTGGTTCTGGTGGTAGTGAATAAGTCTCACAAGATCTGATGATCTTATAAATGGGAATCCCCCTGCACAGGCTCTCTTGCCTGTGTCATGTAAGACATGCCTTTGCTTCTCCTTTGCCTTCTGCCATGATTGTGAGGTCTCCCCAGCCATGCTGAACTGAATCCGTTATACCTCTTTCCTTTATAAATTACTCAGTCTTGGGTATGTCTTTATTAGCAGTTTGAGAACAGACTAATACACTTGCCTTGTATGCATTTGGAAACTGTTGTTAATAAGTTGAATTTAAAATAGGATGCAACATTAGCTTGGAAAGAGTTCTTTTAACATCATAAGATGTTAAAGAATGGCTTGTCCAACCTCAGGCATGTAACTCTCGACAGAACTGCAAATATAACTTTGGTGTCAAAGTGCTCTTCCCTCTACAATAGATGTTAGAGCTTAGGTTTCTATTTTAGATATTAGTGTCAATTTTTTTCTACATATCTTTCTATGGCTTTGAAGGAAGAGAGCTTAAAAAAATTCTGATCCAATTGGACTGGAGTACAATATTTTTAAACTTATAACTTTTTACTTTTATTTTTTATTTTTAAAATTTCAACTTTTATTTTAGATTATGAGTTACATGCGCAGGTTTTTTACATGGGTATATTGCAAGATGCTGAGGTTTGGGGTATGACTGAACCCATCATCCAGGTAGTAAGCATAGTTCCCAGTAGGTAGTTTTTCAACCTTTACCTCCCCACTCCATTTTATTTATTTATTTATTTATTTATTTGATTTGCAGTGTCACTCTGTCACCCAGGCTAGAGTGCGGTGGTGTGATCTCAGCTCACTGCAACCTCTGTCTCCTTGGTTCAAGCAATTCCACTGCTTGAGCCTCCCGAGTAGTGGAGATTATAGGCGCCCTCCTCCATGCTTGGCTAATTTTTGTATTTTTTGTAGAGGCAGGCTTCCACATGTTGGCTAGGCTGGTCTCAAACTCCTGACCTCAAGTGATCCACCTTATACTCATCAAAAGTAACATATAGCCGGGAGCCACTGTGCCCGGCCTTCCCTGCCTCCCCCGTCTTCTTGTCCACAGTGTTTATTGTTCTCATGTTTATGTAAATGTATACCCAATGTTTAGCTCTCACTTGTGAGAATATGAAGTATATTTGGTTTTCTGTTTCTGTATTAATTCAATTGAATAATGGCCTCCAGGTGCATCCATGTTGATGCAAAGGACATGATTTTGTTCCTTTTTATGGTGGCATAGTATTCCACAGTGTATATGTACCACATTTTCTTTATTCAATTCACTGTTGATGGGCATCTAGGTTGATTCCATGTCTTTGCTATTGTGACTAATGCTTCATTGAACATACAGGGGCATGTGTATTTTTCATAGAATGATTTATTTTTCTTTTGGGTACATATATCCAGTAATGAGATTGCTTGGTCAAATGGTAGTTCTGTTTTTAGTTCTTTTTTGTTGTTGTCACAGATTTATTGAAAATAATACAGCATTGCAGAAAAGATTCAAACAGGTCCCCGAGGCATTTTGAAATTCATCCCAACTGTAGGCTGAGTGACCTGCAGGTTAGACAGACCACCAAAGTCCAAAAGCTTCAGCATTTCTTTAGTGTCAGGATCTACTTCAATGATCTCCTGATCCAGGGCTGAGATCTCAGGAACATAATTGTCTCTCCTTTCTCTCACCTCCTCCTGCAGCTTGATGGAGATACCTCTTACTGGGCCTCTCTGAATCTGCTTCATCAGATGGGTGACATAACCTGCTGTCTTGTTGTGGAGCTTCTTGCTGGGGATAATGGCAATCTCCTTGCACATGTGCTTGTTTGTGTGGAAGTCGTTGCCCAGGTGCATGTAGTACTTTTCTATGATGACCCAGGCAGCCTTCTTCATGGTTTTGGTGCAAACGTGGCCCATGTTGGTGAGTCCTTGGTAAAAGAGGTAGTTCTTTGAGAAATCTCCAAACTGCTTTCCACAGAGGCTGAACTAATTTAAATTCTCACCAACAGTGTATAAGTGTTTCCTTTTCTCCATGGCCTCACCAACATCTGTTATTGTTTGACTTTTTCATAACAGCCATTCTGACTGGTATGAGATGATATCTCATCTTGGTTTTGATTTGCGTGTCCCTGATGATTAGTGCTTTCGAGCATTTTTTTCATATGTTCATTGACTGCTTGTATGTCTTCTTTGAGAAGTGTCTGTTCATGTCCTTTGCTCACTTTTTAATGAGGTTATCTGTTTTTTGCTTATTAAATTGTTTAAGTTCCTCATAGATTCTGAATATTGGAACTTTGTTGGATATTTGTGAATATTTTATCCCATTCTGTAGATTGTCTATTTACTCCTGAGTAATTATTTTTAAAAACAGATCCTTTACAATGGATACTCTTTTGGTGCACAATTTTTGGCATTACTTGCAAGAAGAGGGAAAAATTTTTCCTCCAACTTCGTTGGTATTGGAAAGTCAGAGTAATAAGAAAAAGAACCCTGTTGTTTCCCTTCTCAATATGGGGTCCAAGTCATTCGCCTATTATTATAAATAAAAGTGACTGTAAATTATTATAACTAAGTATGAACATGATTGAAACTTATGACAGATAAAGATAATGCTTTGACTTCTCAAGTCATACTAGCCCTGATTAAATCCACATCCTTGGGTTTGCCCACATGTGAAGAACTCTTGAAGTGAAGAAAATTAGATAAATATCAAACATTCATCCACTTGAGAATCACAAGGTCCTTGTTCTCCTTTTGTTTTCCTAACCTTGCTCTAGGTTGAATTGAATCTTTATCAATTCAGTGTCTTGAATTGATCCAGATATTGAATCTTTTTCCGAAGTGAGATGTGGTCTAGGACTTTTAAGATTCTTGGGTACCACTTTAAGTCTTTGGGATTTAGAACTTCAAAGAGTTGGGAAGAGCAGTGCATGGGAGGTACTCGTCTTCATAATCTGTTTCTCTTCTAGGAGAAGATCTGTTGAAAATTTGGAAGGAGAAAAATTTGGCATTTTTTCTGGACTTCATGAATCATAAAGACAAACAGACTTAGTATAAATATTACTTCACCTGAGAAAATGTCCTTTCCTAACTCCTCTACCTGTTATAATTACTCCTTTTTAACTTTTCTGTCAACTAATCTCTTGCTGGCTGCACATTAGAATCACCTAATTTTTTTAAAAAAATACTAGTGCCTGGCTGGGTGCGGTGGCTCACACCTGTAATCTCAACACTTTGGGAAGCCGAGGCAGGCAGATCACGAGGTCAGAAGATCAAGAACATCCTGGCTCACATGGTGAAACCCCGTCTCTACTAAAAATACAAAAAATTAGCTAGGTGTAGTGGCGGGCGCCTGTAGACGCAGCTACTCAGGAGGCTGAGGCAGGCGAATGGCGTCAACCCGGGAGGTGGAGTTTGCAGTGAGCTGAAATCGCGCCACTGCACTCCAGCCTGGGTGACAGAGCGAGACTTCATCTCCAAAAAAAAAAAAAAAAAAAAAAAATACTAGTATCCTAGTGCCCAAGCCCCATCCTTTGTTTTAATTGATCTGGAACACTGATAGTGCTTCAAAAAATCCCTAGATGATTTTAATGTGCAACCGGCATAGCAAAACAGTGCTGTATGTTCCCAGAGCACTTTATTTCATAACTTGACACTTACTCTTTTGTCCCATAGTTCTATAAAATTCTGTCTCCCTGGTCACTTCATATGATAAACTGAGTATAAAGACCACATCTTAGTCAACTTACATAAGACATAACCTCTAGGAGCTGCTTGCTCATTAAGTGAGTTCTCCTCCTCCTCTTCCTCCTCCTCCCTCCCAACCTCCTCCTCCTCCCCCCCACCTCATCCTCCTCCTCTCCTTCTCCTTCTCCTTCTCCTTCTTCTTGTGATGGAGTCTCACTCTGTCGTCCAGGCTGGAGTGCAGTGGCATGATCTTGGCTCACTGCAACCTCCACCTCCCAGGTTCAAGCAATCCTCCTGCCTCAGCGCCCCCTAGTATCTGGGATTACAGGCACATGTCACCATTCCCAGCTAATTTTTGTATTTTTAGTAGACACGGGGTTTCGCCATGTTCTCCAGGCTGGTCTTGAACTCCTGGCCTCAGGTGATCCACCTGCCTCGGCCTCCCAAAGTGCTGAGATTACGGACATGAGTCACTGCGCCCGGCCTAAATAAGTTCTTCTTTTTAAAAATCCCCAACACCAAGTGGTGGTGTAGAACAATCACCAAGTTCTACAATCTGGGGCTACATCAGAAAATAAGACAGACCTAGTCCTTTACCTTATGAAATTTACAGTTATTTTGTCCTTGAGGGCACATATATTGTCCTTGCATTTGCAAATCTATCTAGGGTTTGCTAATAGCTCACCAAGAGGCATCATAGTAGAACAAATAATTGTTAAGTGTGTGCTAGCCACTGTGCTAGGTGTTGGCTACAAGAGGGCAGATGAACCAAGCTACAGAGGTCTTGATTTGGACATACTGTTTTATCGGCCCTTAGGACTGACCCATTCTGTGTTTTCTAAAACTTGTGTGTTTGTGAGATTTTCATTTAAACTCCGCTTACTTGACACATTAAATCGCAAAGATTTTTAAAATCTAAAATATTCCTACAAATTGCTAAAAAAAAATCTTATGGTTTCAATGCCTGCCCCTGCACTCTAAATGGTAAATAGAATGAATAGATGTTTGTAGATTGCTTCAATTTCCGTTTTACCCCAAGTGGGACACAGTACACTTTTTGGTAATAATGAACATAAAATATATATCTGGTTATTTCAATATGATATGTGTCATCTTCATTTCCTTCTAAATCAAAGATAAGTATCCATTGCAGAGAAAATAATGAGAACATATTTGCCTTTCACTTTATGAAGTACTTTCATTACTTTAAATAACATCATCTGATCCTTGCACCAAGTCTGAGATGTAGGGTGGTTACCATAGCACTTCTCTTGATTTTACAGGTGAGGAAACCTAGGCTCAAGTTGACACTCAAGCTCACCTTGCAAGATAGTGGCAGAGCTGATAAGGTCAGTGCTCTGTCATCCTATACTGCTATAAATATAAGTATGCATCCACAGGCATCACATAAATATGCAAATACCAAATTTCGCTAAAATACTTGAAATGCAAAAGCAAAAAATCTAGTATATTAATGTATTATAGCATAATATATGTTTTAGCAGCTTATTAATTTGCATTAGCTAGAGAAAGATGTGCTTCTCACATTTGTGGGAAATTTGAACTATGGAATATTTTTAAAAGGATGAAAATTTATCTCTTTCAAGTATATGAAAGAAGTGGACCTGCAATAACTAAAGATTCCTTTTAGAGGTCCTTAGAGTGCCTACTTTGGTTAATACTTAAGAATGCTTTGCAATTATACTCTCAATTATCTGTGTGTAAATGGGTGTTCCTGAAGTACTTGAGGATGGTAACAACAGTGTATTCTCTTAGTCTACATATGCTCCCTATAAACTTTATTTACACTACAGATTTGTTCAGCAAGACTTTTGTCCATTGATATGGTAAAGAAAAACTTCTGCTTAGCCAGACTTTCAGTAGATCAGAAATTCCAATTTAAGTGAGTCTGAATTAATGAGGTTTTACTTTATTTGCAATTTAATAGGTGTTACCCCATATATCTATCTTTACATACATGTATAACTTTATTAATATACATGTTTTTATACATTTTAACAGTACTCTGCAGAGCTACTGACTTGATTTATCAATGAACCTAAGACATTTCAAATTATTTTATAGCTTCTTAGCATAGATTTGCCTTAGTCCATCTGTAGCTGTGGAGGAAAAATTCTGTTTCCTTAAGTCCTTTTATGAGGGTGCCAAAAGGTATAAAAATATGAAGCCATTTAATAGCCAGGCTCTTTCAAACTACCAAGCACACACAGTGTGGGTGCTAAGTTTAATCACAGTGATGGATTTACATGTAATGTCTCAATTCCAGACTCCCTCATTAGTGCAGTCAATCTTGAAGTTCTCCCCAGTGAGAAGGGTGAAGGTGACTTCAACACCCCTGAGAGGACGGCTGGATATTGACAAGACCCAGAAAAAGACAGTGGGAAAAATCTCTACCATATGAGGCTATAATCCTAGCTGTGGTCAATGTGTTGAAAGCTTTATATTTCCTGACCACAGGATCTTTCTATAAAATGATCAGGGAGGAGGGATATTCCTAGGATTAGCCAGCTGGCTATTCCTGTATGCTTATTAAAATTTCTGGAAGAAATGGTGGGGCCTTTAAACCCTTTTACAATAAAATGACTATATCTGTTTGAGAAATCATAAGCTTTTCCCTCCTCCAACTATTTCATGCAAGAGGGCAGAATAAAATATTTTCAAACTTAAAATTTGACAGTTGCAGCAAAGAAATGGGAATATAGAAAATGGTGGTAAAAACAGCAGTAGCAGCAGAAGCAAGGAGAGAATCCAGATGTCACCTTTGCAGGAAGTCTTTTTCTCCTCTAAGGACCCGCAGGTCAGGCTTTTAAATTTTGGACAAAACACAGTTTTATTCCATGCCATGCAGAGTGTGGAGACAGCCTTGTCTTTTGGAGGCTGCATTTGGAACCCGCTGCCTCTTTGTATTCAACACCCACGTGTTATTCCTCTAGCTTGCTGAGTGAATCCCTGCACAATAGTGGCATTAAAGAAAGCAAAGCACTGGCAATGCATTTGGCCTCTTTGTTTAGGAGAAAAAAACCAAGCAACTTAACACTTAACATTCATCAGAAGACACTGGGTCATCAGGAACACTGTAGAAGTAGCATTAGAATTGGGTCCCTTTTACAAGAAATCCTCAGAGTGTTTAGTCAATAGTACCAGATGCAGGAATATTGTGTTTTATAGTCTTCTTTCTCCTCTTCCTTCTCCCCTGCCTCTTCTTTTCGATAGAGATTTAGTAAGTGGGGCCAAGATGCACACACACACACACACACACACACACACTCTCTCTCTCTCCATGTGTGTGTGTCTCTGAATATATAGGTAGATCTCCATTTCCTTCTTCCTCTCCCTCTCCTTTAAATAGATCACTGAGTCAACCAGATCTTCATTTTCAGATGAGGACTCCCGGGATATACATAGAGGATATCCAGTGAACCTTCAGTATCTTGATATTTTATCATTCCATTTGAGACTGTGTATTTTCTTCTAATTAGTATTTTCAGAATTTGACTGGGGCCTTGAATGAACTTGAAGGAAAAGATTTTGTTGAAAAGTATAATTAAAACAATAATTAATATTTGTTTAGCTTTTGTACAGTTTATAGTATACCTTCATATATTTTATCTAATTCCCCACAACAATTTATCTAATATATTATGAACTACTTAGAATTAGTTAAGCATAGGGCTGTTGAGGAAAGTTAATAGGCTTGTTCAGCAATAAGCAACTAAAGAGATTTAACGTGACCTTCTGGAAGTCTTCTAGTTGCCATTGGACATCCTGCCACACCAGAGTCCTCCAAATCGTAATAGAAAATCAATTTGACTTATCAATTTAACTACAATAATTTAGGTGGATCATGAAAGAATGAATTAGCATATTTTGAAGGGTTGTGTATATCTGAATTAGCATATTTTTAAAGGGATGTGTATAAGGGACCCAATTCTAATGCTACTTCTACAGTGTTCCTGATGACCCAGTATCTTCTGATGAATGTTAAGTGTGTTTCCAACCCTCTAGTTTCTGGGGGTGGGGTGTATATATACAAATCAGGAGTGGTAGTGCAGGAAGAGAGGGCACTGAGTTTTAGAAAGATCTCTGCTTTCTGGCATTTAATCATCAGGATTTAAGAGCATAAAAAGACAAAGAATATGTTAAATGATTCTCCAAAGGGGGAATGAGGAAGGGAATATAAGGATGGAAAAGGAAGCAAGATAGGACAGAAGGGAGAAATAAAGGAAAGAACAGATTAACAAGTGAGAAAGTAAGTGAAACAGCTGGTAATACCACTGTTCTTTCTGACTCAAGGCTAATTTTGAGACCCTCAAAGATTATGTTAAAATTGACTCAGCCACATATTTAACATGAGTTTGAGACAAGAAAAGGCTTCCTTCACTCTAAATATTTCTTCTACCCGATTCTTGAATGCCAGAAATTCTCTTAACATGAGGCAAAGTTTTTCAGTTCTCTATTACAAATTAAAGATTTTTAAAGCACAAATCTACAGGTAAAACAGTACATTAGTATGAATGATTTTCTGTCAAAATATAAAGATTAATTTCAGCCTATTTTTTGTTCAGATATATGGGATGTATTCACAATAAAATATTCTTTGTGTTTTCAATAATGAGATGGAGTTACCACTACACAAAAAATGAATGGAGTTACTGGAGACTCTAAAGAGATATTTTACAATTTACACCTGGTTATATCCATGCAATTGCATATGGACAAACAGGTTATTTGTAGAGATGTCTTAGTAAATGTGATGTGTATAATAAGACAGTTTACTTTGAAGTAGCCTTTCTGACCTTCTCTCAAAGATATACATCTCAGATATATAGTCAGATGATGGATTTAGAGAGCAATTGTTTTTCTAAACAAAAGAGAAATTCCAAACCCTAGAGGAAGATTCAGAAAACTTTGTCTTGCTGGTAAATATTTTTATAAGCCTGAGCAAATGATTCAATTAATTTCAACATAGTAAACTCTACTATATAGAGGGCAATGCACTAGCTTCTGTAGAGGATAACAAGGTGAAGAGACACAGCTTTCTAGATCCAAAAGAACATAAAGTTGAGCTAAGGAGGCAATGCTATTTCTTAAGTTGGATAAGTTGAAGAGAAATAAAAAAAAATGTATAATTTAAAGCTGAGTTGACTTTCCCTTCCCTTCTGTTTCCTTCTTTTCCCTTTACCTTCTATCCTTTCATCCATCCTTTTTTTTTTATTTCCTCTTACATGTTTGTTTCCTTGAGTGCCAGCTTTGTTTTTGCTCAAAGCAAGTTAGCAAGTCTGGCATTCATCAGTTTAGCAGAGATAATCCTTAGTTCCTAGAAAGGCTGATTTTGTTGTCGTTGTTGTTGTGAAATCATGAAAACAAAGGCCTAGCATTCCAGGTTTATACATGCCAATGTATCCAAGTAATAGAGGGGAAAGGCATGAATCTTCATGTAAGAAGTACTAGGTAATTAGAGATAGGTGACTTTACTATAAATTCAATTACTAGCTACTTGTGGCTTTAAGGGACTGTATCTTAGTTTATTCATTTATAAAATGGAAATATCATTTTATACTTGCCTCCTAGAGTTGCTATGATGGTTAATATAATTAATATATGAAAAAGTGTTCCGTTTCAGTGCTACAAATGATAGTTTACTAGAAGCCTGGATTTTTTCATTAACTAACATAGCACCTCATGTGAAATGAAAAATAAAAAGGAACCCTATTCTGTATTTTGTATGTGAAAGAAGAGGGACATAAATTGCTTTGTAAGGTTGCACATAAAACCAACGACAGGAAAGCAAATCACCTTTACGTGTTTTATTGTATTAGCTGGAGTGGGTTGAATTTTGTCCTTCAAAATATATGTTTAAGTCCTAACCCTTGGCACCTGTGAAGGTGACCTGATTTTTTTTTTTTTTAAGAGTCTTGCAGATATAATTAAGGTAAGGATCTTGAGATGAGATCATCTGGGATTAGGGTGGGCCCTAAACTCAGTGGTGGGTATCCTTAAAAGAGACAGAAAAGAAGATGCAAAGAGACCCAAAAAGAGAAGCCATGAGAAGACAGAGTGGAAATTAAACTGCTGTGTCTTCAAGCCAAGGAATGACAGAAATTGAGGAGAGTCACCAGAAGCTAGGAGAGAGCCATAGAATAGGTTCTCTCCCAGAACCTCCAAAAGGAATCACCCTACCAACATCTTATTTTCAGACTTCTGGATTTCAGAATGGTGAGAGACTAAATTTCTGTTGTTTTAAGCCACCCAAAAGATTCTAATGCAAACTAAGTTTCAGACCTACTACTTGAGCATTGAGGGAAACAAATTTACCAAACTAGAGCTCATTATTTCTACTTAATGTCTGGCAGGTTGTTTTATAGGAAACTCTCACCTTATCTGTAGGCATGATTGATACCAACTTAGCTTCAGATAATGCTAAGAAAACTTTCATTTCAATGTCCTTTCAAGGAAATTAGCTCTAGGAATCACATAATTTTATTGATAGGGTAATAAATACATACTATGGGCAGTTTCTGGTTTAATTTGAGAATGTCCATCTAACAAAATATATTAGATTTAGACCAAAATGTGTTACTTTTCATTTACTATCTAAACCAGAACTTGTTGGAAGTAAGAATATTCTTTTCAGATTTAACTAATTTATCATTAATAAGCTGTGTTCTTAAGTATATGGTCCTGCCAAATGCTACATTAGAAAAAGTTTCCTATGACTTGAAACCATTATCAGGATATTCATCTTTTACAACTTTAAGATGCACGTTAGCACAGTAAATGCTCTGAGAAATCTTGCAATAAGAAAACTATTTATCCCTGTTTAAGAATTACTGAAATTTCTTTGAAAATAGAAGGCTGTTTTCCTTCTCTCATATTATATCAATGGATAATACACAAAATAAGTGATCTCCAGAAAACTGTTTTTTAAAAATATATATTATTAGAATTTTGTCTGGTTAAAAGAGACTGTTAAAGAAGACAGCTTGAGGGGTTCACATTGGACAAATCTGGGACAATTTGCCATCAAAATGAGTAAGGATAGTAATGGGTTATAACCCATGGAAAATACAAAAATTGATAATTCCATACTAACAATCAATTAATTGATAATTAAGCAGAAGGAAAAGAGAAGAAAGCTCTTCCTGGTTGTAGGGTGCCAAGTAATAAATGTAGAGGGAATGATAAGAATTTTTAAAAATCATCATTTTGCAATCATCATTGTAAAAATTGATTTGGACAAGAGTCATCAATAGATCCTAAAACTAATAAGTACAATTTGATGGATGTCAAGTTATTTATATAATTTCAAGGCATGTCCCCAACTGATTACTTATTGATTGTAAGAGAAAAAATCTTATCAGTAGAAAACATTGGCTACCACTGTTTCAACAAGTACCATGTGCCTCCTCATGTGATACCCGGAGAAGAAGCCACATACTTTGACACTCTGCTGTTTGAAACTTGGAAAAAAATGCGTAACTTGAATTTTATCACAAAGAAACATCAGGTAAACCTAAATTAAGGGACAGTGTAAAAAACAAGTGGCTTTCACTCTTCAAAAATATCAATGCCGTGATAGAGACTGGCCAAGGAACTCTTTCTTTCAGATTTTAAAAGACTTGAAACTAAATGCAATTTATAATCCCAGAATAGAAGCTGGATCCAAGAAAAAATTGCTGTAAGGATTTATTGGAGAAATTGATGAAATTTAAATATAATCAGTATATTAGAAAATAATGTTGCACAAGTGTTTTCTAGTTTTGATAATTGTACCTTGATAAAGTGACATGATATGTGCAACTTAATCTTTTTTAAAATTATTATTATTTTTGAGACTGGATCTCATTCTGTTGCCCAGGCTGGAGTACAGTGGTATGATCATAGCTCACTGCAGTCTCGATCTACAAGGCTCAACCATCCTCCCACCTTAGCCTGCCAAGTGGCTGGGACTACAGACCTGCACTACCACGCCTGGCTGATTTTTCAAATTTTTAGTAGAGATGACGTCTCGCTATGTTGCCCAGATTGGTCTTGAACTCCTGAGCTCAAGCAATTATCCTGCCTTGGCTTTTCAAATTGTTGGGGTTACAGGTGTGAGCCACTGCACCTGGCAAAATTAATATTACTTTTGATTGACAAATCATAATCGTATGTATTTATAGGGTAAAATGTAATGCATATATATGTATATATATACACACACACACAGGGTAGAGCTTATTTTTAAATATTTTAGGAGAACATGAGAGAAGGAGAAAGAAAGGAAGGAAGGTAACAAAATGAGGTAAAATGGTGAATCTGTGTGAATATGGGAATGATTTCTTCCGAAACCACTTGTGTAAGTTTGATAATGTTTCTACATTAAAATGTTGTAAAAAGTGGAAAAAGCATTGTTTTTTTCGGAGAGAATTTCCTGCTGCTAAAGAGAGGAAAATTGAATCGTGCATTTGGACTGTGTTTCTACAACTAATAACTTTTCATCCTCACTAGTGAATAAGAGTAACAGGCTTAGATGCTGTCATATTTATTTATATTAAATACAAAAAACTAGCAGTGTTGAAGGTTCAGATTGGTCAAACAACATAGCTCACACATTTGTAATATGTAATATCGTGTTCTCAGCATAAACATATAATGCAAGATACTCTGCAATGGGCTAGGCCTAGGTCACATATCGTTTTGTTTAACATGCAAACAAATACAAAAATCTTGATTGAAAACCTAATTTGTGACCTTTTGGTAGAATTTTCTCTCTTTAAGAATGATCAAATGGAATTATTTGAAATATATATAAAGACACTTTATAAAGATACCAAAAATATTAAGAACAATTAAATGCTCATAATAGAATGAAATAGATGTACTTACTAAATCATGAAATTACACACAGCTGTAGACAAAATGAACTTTAAGTAATATTTGGGAACAGTGATATTATAGTTCTGTGTTATTTCTTAATTTCTTCCCACCAAAGCCAGCAGCAGATGTGCCTAGAAAAACATCTCTGCTGTGGTTCAGGTCCAGACACTCAAGCTTTCTATTACCGCTGGAGTCCACATCAGTCCATACCCATGTGCCCATGTTGATGTGTTGCATCTTACAGTGGTCCATAGAGGCCTTGTCACACTTCTGTCATACTTATGTATGAATTACATAGAATTCTTTGTCTCTCTGCCTGTGACAACAGAGTTTAGCATTTGCAGTGCAAAATCCTTATCTAGTGGTATCTGTTTACTGGTAAATAAAGCCTTATCTGCTGGCTTTAGCTATTTGCTTCCTATCTCCTACTACATGGATTCATGTTAATACTGGAAATGTGATTAGCCTCCCATTTGGTACTTGTTTGGTTATTCTATAGCTGCTTAGAAACACTTTCTTTTTCTTTCTCTCTTTTTTTTTTTTTTTTTTTTTTGCTGTAGCTATGGAGAGACTTTGAAGATATTCCTGGATTTCGGGGGTGGGAAACAAAACAAATTTCAGGCTGAGCACTATTTAAAAAAGTGTCCCCCCCTACTACTCAGAAGTAATTTACTTTATTGTTACTTCCTGTGTTTTGCTATCAACAACCCCCCATGACATCAGCGGCTCTTGGTTAAAAGCTGCTCACGGATTCCTTGACAGGCTTTTGCTGTTTAATTGTTTCAGGCTCACTTAAATACGTCATATGCACATGCCTCCCAGTGATTTCATTGGGTTTTCCCATGAAAAAGGTCCTAGATCTAAACTAAAATCTTCAAAAACACACCTGTTTTAAAAAGTAGCAGGTTTAGAATTTAGCTAGAGGAAAAAATGTGAAAATGCACAGAACCCATGGGGCTCTCTTGAATTCTTTACTGTCAAGATTTCATCATAACATAGGACGCAGCTGGGTAGTACAGTGGGACTAAGAAATTTAGGATTGAGAAGGGAGAACATGGGGTTTTTTCTGCCTCTATATAAACGTTCTGATCCCTGTCTTATTCTCTGACAACTAAGGATTGTCCAATTGTCCAAGCCTCCACCAAAGAGTGATTTCTGCCATATTTGAGTCAGTGCTGTAGCAGCATCGGTCAGAACATAGCCATTAGCAGGAACTGTCACAAATGTGGGGGCAGCAACATGGTAAGAGAGAGTCTCCCTTCAGCAGCAGTAGTTCCTTGGGGTCTCCATAAACATAGCCTCCTATCAGGTTGGCTTACAGATTGCCATAGTGTTTACAGATTGTCCTGAAAGTGAAATGTCATGTGAGTGGGATCCTGGGGTGCAGCTCTTGAAATGAATTCAATATAAAAAATTAAAGTGATGTAAGATCTTAGTACAAGTCAAAAGCTATGCAGAATTGTAGATGAAAGGATGTTAGTACTGTAAATTATGTTATCACAGATGGGGAACATTTATATCAATCATTAGGGCTAGAGGATGAATTTATATAGGGTTAATTGATGAGCCACATTAAAAAAAAACTAATGTAGATAATAGATGAGTAGAGAATAGTACCCCTGATGTTTGGGCGTGCAACTGTCCTCTGGGTCATAGTAGGTAACAGTGAGGAAATTATTTTTAACTGTCTGTGTAAGAAAATGCTGAGTACCTTTTCCTCTAGACATCACTGAACATCCTAAGTCATTACAGGTGCCAAAGCCGTGTACAGATTTTAAAGCAATGCTTACAGATTCCAGAGGAGAAGGCCTGTGTGGTCTGTTTTACTGCAAGCACAGTAAAAATTAGTGGGCCCTATTTATTCATTATTAATCTGGTGGCAGAGATGTATCTTAATTCCTGATGGGTTTTACATGCTGCTGCTATTATTTGTTGGGAAATTTTCCTTTTTCTTTCCTATTAAATCTTCATTCCAGGAGTTGTGTTTATTTGGCACTAAGTTAAAAGGAGAGGATGTTGTTAAAAGAAGGGACCACTTTACTCTTCCTTTTAACACAGCATCTCAGTACCTACTGCTACTAAAATGCAATTGATTCAGTCTCTGAAGTCTGTCATCAAAGGTTAATTCAGAAACTATTAGAATTTGCAGATGTAATTTTTTAATCTAAAAATATATATCAGGGTCAAATCATTGGAGTTTTGTACAACAAATTTCCGTTCTGTAGATTTTGGTAATAGGGTATTTGCCATATTGTATTTTGATTTCATTATTTTTCAATGGTATTCATAGAGTACTTTAGACTTCCCATCCTAGAGGTATAAGGAATTTAGAAAAGAGACAAAACTTCTTCCAATAAAGAGTTCTGTCTACACTAATATGTACAAATAAGAGCATTTCAAATTGGTGCAGCTGATGAGCAATGTCTGAAGTATTAGAAGATTGAAGTGTCCAGACATTGGCCAGAGTGTATCTGTCTGCTCTAAATTGAAGTATGGTACACAAACAGAAATTTAATAAAATCCAAAGAGATAATAAATAGTACATTCTCTTCCAGAAGAGTAATAATTTAATTCCTAAGATTTTCCCTTTTCCCTAAAGAATTCAAGGAACTAGTAATGTTAAGTTCATTTGAAGCATTTGTACACTTCATATTATATAGGCATCATTGAGTGAAAACTCCCTAAGATAACCCCGTTTCCTTTTAAACCCAGAACCCAAATAGACGTTTCTTTCTCATATGTACAAATATGTATTAGGACATGGTATCCTATGTGCCTTGTACCTAACTCCCTGTTCCTTTAAGGGACTCAAAAAGACCATCTGTGCTATTGACATATTTTGATTTCAGTTGAAGATTCAGATGTCCTAAGAATACTGGAGTTTAGACCTGGAACTATATTGAGGTTACCTGGAGAGTCAGGTCGATACTATAGTGAGCTGGCTTTCCCCTCTTGTTACAAGTATTCTGGAGGTGGGGTGCAATGGCTGCTCAGTGTGCCCAGGACAACTCTGGATAGAGAACCATTTTATGACTCTCTAGAGTAAAAAGCTAATTTTTACTTAAGTTTGGGTACATCCAACATTGATTTGACTTTCAGCTCTTTTACTATTATTATTATTATTGTTTTCCAAAGAATTTCAATGGTAGTGCAAAGCAGTATAGATTGTGTTAACTCATAGTTTTTCTTTCATTCAACCATCTTCATTTTGGTTTTGCTTCTGGTTTGCCTGAAATAGACCCCCCAAATTGGGCTGCTCTGAAACTTGATGTAGGGGCTGCTGAACTCATGGGTACTCCAAAGACTTTTATGGCTCTGTTGTTTGCCCCTTCCTGTCTATCCTGATATTTAAACACTCAAGAATACTCAAATGTTCTTGAATATAAGGCTTTGTTTTTGTTGCCATCTAGGTAAGTCTTGTATAAGAATTCAATTTATTCCAACAGAAAAAGAATGCCTGTTACAGGTCAAGGGCTATGCATGAAAGTGAGGATCTGATAAAAGCAAGAGGGGCATGCTGTAACTGATGAGAAAATCAGAGAAAAATAGAAAACAATGAAAACTAGATACCGTTATGGTCTGATAAGTAGTTCCATTTCCTTATTGTGAGAATTTTTGAGAGAGTATACACTAAGCCTTATGATTATCATATCAACTTTTCCTCCTCAGGAAAATGGGATCACAACATGTTATTTTATATTTATTTATTTTGTAGAGAAAGGGTCTTGTTATGTTGCCTAGGCTCATCTCATACTCCTGGCCTCAAGCAATCCTCCAGCCCTGGCCTCCTGAAGTGCTGGGATTACGGGCCACAACACATATATTTTGATGACATTACAGTTGTTTCAGTAGATATCTGAAAGAATAATGATATGTGATTAGTAGGTATAATTAAACTCTTGAGAAAAATAAAGCACTATATTAAATTTCTAAGCTATGAAAACAATGGAATAGCATATTATAGATTATTTTTATCAATGTGAGAAGGACTCCAGATCTGTGTTCATGATACTTGGGTTCCAGTGCTGGCTCTACCACTAAGTAGCCACATGACCTTGAAATTAGTTAATTCTCTTAACCTCCTTGGGACTTGGTTTCTTTGCCTATAAAATGAGGGGGCTTTTGTAGACAGTTGAAGTTTATAGAGTCTGTCAGCTCTTTATGCCTTTTGAAGGCATTTTGAGAAATAATAATCAATTAGTCTTCTATATTTTTTACAAAAATCTCCTCTTGGGGTATGTACCCAGGTGATAGCTGGGGGCTCTATTTAGTCAACTTATTAGTGAAAATATTCCTGAGTTTGTTCAGAAGATCTACAGATATGCTAATTGGCAGCTGCTCCATTCTTCTCAGGGAGCAATTCCAAGTGAAATATTTGGAATTGGATTTGAAATACTTTTTCCTTATTTCTGCCTGGGGGATTTATGTAAAAGAATAAAAAATTTACCCTAAGTCAGAAAATTCTCTGGTCTGATCCACCTCTTCTAGGACTTTATGAGCAGGAGGGAAGGTTATGGCAGTTTTTCATTTTCTATGAGAATGTCAGAGCTTGGAACAGTAATGGAGTCTGGAATTGCTCTTCATAAAAGTGTATGAAATTATTAGCAGAATGGGAGGGAAATGCAACAGGTGAGATCAGAGATATAAAAATAATTTTCCTATTACAAAGTACTTTTCTTTCTCCAAATGGCATTCAGGGATAATCCTCCCTGATATCCATGATGGGTATTTATCTGGGTATTAATATATTTTATTGCAAATAACTTCATACTATATTATTATTGTAATAAACTCTCCTCTATCTGGAACTTTCCCAAGTGGTGTAACACCCTAAGCAAAGCTGCTTCTGTCAACAATGCAGGTGGCTGTGGAGTTCTTTAGAACTCCAGACCATGGATGAGGCATTCCATGAAACACGACATCCAAAGGCTAATAAAAATCATGAATTTTAAGTCTTGACTAAGTTTGCAAAGAAAT
Organism: Homo sapiens; assembly: GCF_000001405.40. NCBI lineage: Eukaryota > Metazoa > Chordata > Mammalia > Primates > Hominidae > Homo > Homo sapiens. Next base: position 50,873,290 of record NC_000006.12, read on the forward strand.
GGGGATGAGGCAACTCAAGTATCCCAAGACAAGCCAACCACAGTGCCTCTAAGGAACTGGCATTCATATAACCCTAAGAATGTAAATTGAATAATAATTTTGTAGACTTTAAAGCCACAGCAGATGCCTGAGGTCAATATTAAATGCAGAAAAGAAGATACTGTGCTTAAAATTCAGCTATAGAAACTTGAACACTTTGTCAGATGTCCAAGGCTTTCTCTAAGTAGAAAAAAAACATATTCTGTTGAGCACATGCATGATATATTATACATTCAGACATTCTAAGGGTTTATGAGTGGTGGTAGAGAGAGTAATTATGGACTACTGTTCACAGAAAAGGCAAGAGAAAGACGGAATTGCATTTTAATGTCACAAATAGTTCAAAGACAAGCCTGAGACATTTTTAGAAAGGGAAGAATTTGAGCAGGAAGGAAGATACAGAGCCGTCCCCAAAGAGACTTGCTCAGAGCAGAGAGCCCTCCAGATCATACTCTGGAGAATGGTCTTAGAGTTAGAAGGAGTCATTGAAGACCTGGAGCTTAAATTTCCTTTCTGCTGAATGTCTTTGTGGAAATACTGCTTCTTTTTTTCTGTGTTTGCTTTTTCTCTTTTAAAAGAAAAATATCAGTCCTGGCTATTCATTCCTTGTCAGAGTTTTTTTAATATATAATGCCCAACAAATTATTGGTATTCCACGTTTCTTAAGTCAAACCTATTTCAGTCAATTTCTATGTAATCAATTCCATTCCAAAACAAGGTCTACATTTCTAAATGCAAGCATCAATATTGGAACAAAAAAAATTGCTCTTCTTGTTATTAAGCTAGTGAGATGCTTCCGTCAATTCTGGCATCCTTGTAGGGAAAACACATTACTTTTCCATGAATGAAAGCTGTGATGTAAATTAATAGCTTGGTAATTAGTTGTCTTGACTCATACAAAAAGGATGATGAGCAGCCTAGTGTTGTAAAAAGAACAGCAGCTTTGGAGTCAGGAAGGTCTGTCTATCTCTGCCACTTACTAGTTTGTTTGGTCTTGGGAAAGTTGCTTAAAATCTAAGCTTCAGTTTTCTCATCTAAAAAGTGCAGTTATAATATTTGCTTTATAGAAATGTTCCAAATGTTAAAGTGAGTAGGGAGTGTAAATCACTTAGCATAAAGCCTGGCAAATTACATAATTCAAATCAATATTAGTTTAGCAAATCCCACCTGCTCCAATTCTGGGAGTTATTTTCCTCAGCTATCCTTGACTTAGACAGTGTATTGGCAATGCAGCTGTATTGTGCACTGAACTGTTGTGCTCCCATCTTGATGGGCAGGGCTCCTAACATCTCCAGTCTTTTTTTTTTTTTTTTCACCACCTGCTTCTTCCATTTCTCTTTCCTCAAGACAATGGATCTCTATCCCGAGAAGTTGTAAACTACTTCCACTCCATTTGTTGTGGAATGAAGAAGCATGAACCATTCTTTCCAGATGGCCTTCAATTAGAGCTTCAGAAGGGTAACTTAGAACCCTTAGACTATACCCTTTCTCTATCTCTTTTTCTACTTTTTTTGCCCTTAAACTTTAATTTTACTGTCATATTCTCTATTGTCTAGATCACTTACTTAAATATTTTATTAGGTTTTTATATACTTTTGATATTAATAATTATAAAATATGAGACTATATATAAACTTTAATTTCTATGGAATTACATTAATACCAATGTTTTTCATAGTTATGCATCCTGTTTCCTCCATTTAAACATGGCTCCTGGGTAGGGATTTGATTTAGTAATAGGTAGGAGATATACTATGTCACTGAGATTAGGGGTCTTCCAAACTAATGTCACTCATGATGAAACTTTTTTTTTAAAAAAACTTTGGTCAACAACCTAAAATAGCTGAAGACTGGAGGCCTTTGATGTAAATTTGACTGATGTAACTGTATTATAATATGATAATGCAGCAGTTTGACTATAGCACCAATGCTGTGTTGGAAATATAAGTATGATGACTTTTTGCTATGTATTTTAAAGGGGTAGCGACACCTTGTGACCCTGGACATCTCAGGCCTGGAAGGCCTGGCCACTTGTGGTGAGAGTTAGGGCTTTATCCAGTTGACTAGAGGGCCAGCTCTCTGGAACAGCCTGAGGCCACAACATGCTCCCAGGGTATGTTTGTTATACTCTGTAACCTGCTAACATTTTCTTAGCCTAGGTGCCCCCTAAAAGAAGAGGCTGAGACAAGGGTTTGATATGGTTATTTTGGGAAGAAAGTGCACAGAACAGGGGTGAAGGACTAGAAAAAGTGAAATAAAGAACAATTTAAAAGCAATCAAAATGTGCGTTATGGAACTGATCAATACTTTGCGAAATATAGATCAAGGAAAGAAATGTATATCCTTCAGCTTCCAAGCTTCAGAATTGGTTCAGAATTGCTCCTGGAACATTTTGCCTTATACTTCCAAGTGTGCTCATGCATCTGGCTGGCTTTGTGCTTCTGCAGCACCCCTTGTCGGGACAGGGTGTGGAAAGCAAATGGAATTTGGTGCAGTTGGAAAGAGCTCTTTCTGGATGCCTTGGAAACACCTGGAGAAAACAAAATGTCCCATAAGTGTAAGAAGTATTTAATACAGAAGTGCTCTTTTCCTTCAAGCCAGTCAAGGAAGGACCCAGTTTCCTTTGGGATCTGTCTGGAGTAGTGAAAAACCTAAACTTGGGACTTGACTCTGTAGTTAAAGTCCACAGCCATAGACTTTCATGTGCTATCTTAGTTGGGTTCCCCTGAAAGCAGAGCCTGCGATGAAAGTGTAGATGGAGGTAGTTTATTTGGGCATTTCCATCCCAGGGAGCCAGAGTTCAGGAGGAGGAGTTGATATAAGGAATGAGGGAGAGAAAATTAAAAGATGTAAGAATGTGTGTTATTGATTACGCCACCCTGTGGGGACTGGGGCTTGGTCTTGCCTGGACTTTTGAGGAGCAGTATGTAATGTGTCTCTTTCATTGTCCCCCAGGCTTAGGGAAGTTAAATACATCTCCTTAGGTCACAGAGCTAATAAGTGGCAGAAGACAGATTTTTAATTCAGATCTGTGTGACTCTCAAAACCTTCTATTTAACTACTAAGCTGTAATGTTTGCCTATATGGCACATTTTTCTTATGATAATCTCATGTCTATTTAAAATCCCCCAGTCTAGAAGATAGAAGTCGGGTAAGAACAAAATTATTACACGTTCTTAGTGATCAGGCATAATCTGATGTCCAACTGACTGATTTTTAAAGATTATATCATTATGTCATTTAATTCTATGTCCATAAGACTATCACCAGAATTTGAGATGATAAAAAATAGATTTGCCTACCACTATTCCCAGAATAGTAGACAGGAAATTCAACAGTTAAAATGTCTTGAAGGAAAGTATTACATGTTACATACACTAACATTGTTTTCCTTTATTTGTTTATTTACATGGAAAATGTCCAGGGAATCTAATACTCATGGTATAGTATGGAGGAGTATATGAGATATCATACAACTTGGACAATTTTTTGTGATGACAATGAATAGAGCAGTTAAAACAATAATTTGATTACTCAATAATATTTTGATTCATCATAATATTAACGATATTTTTCAAATTGTCTAAGAGTGTGTTTGTGGCTTCATTGTTTATGTTGTAGGCAAGCTTAATTGTCTGTGGATGGCTTTTTGATGTTAAAGGGGCAGTTGTTTGTCTGTCTCTGCTTAGGACCCACCTAACCAAAATTGCAAAGGAGCAATGTTTGCCGTTAATGCCTTAAGGCTTCGTTTAGATCATGGTTTTCCCTTTCTCCACACTCTCAAATGGAAAGTAGATCTATTCTAGCAGGGGAGGCTTTGTGATCCATCATATATAGTTTGCTCTGAACTTAAATAGGTGTATTTGTATTTATTACCCCTTGCCACATTCCTTATGCTGCAACAACCGTAAATTATCTTCAGTAGCCTAAAAACAGTGTGGCTCTGATGTTGGCTCGATTCATGCGTTCCCCATTTTCTGTAAGGCCCTCCTTCTTCCTCTTTGCTTGGCTATCTCCTCCTTATCTTTTGAGACTCAGCTCAGGGATAACTACTTCAAAAAGTCACCCTTGGTACTCTTGTCCTTTCCAGAGGTAGGAGACCCACTTTTCTGGTCCCATAATGTTCTGTGTAGATACCTATTATTATACTTATCACATTATTTCACAGCTATTGTTTTCATTACATAGTGATTTTCTTGACAGCAACAACTGTGTTCTCACATTTGTCAACTCAGGACCTAGTAAATAGAAGGCACTTTATATATGCCTGCTAAATTAAATATGAACTAAATTTAATATTTTAGGGGCAAGAATTCTTTCTCTAGCTCCTAAAACAATATCATAAAAAGGCTACTTCTTCTACTTGCCTTGGTGGAATATCAATATTTCCATTCTATAACTCTTGCACTCAGGGTTTATAACTCGGTGAAGAGTTAAATTTGATCTACATAGTTTCATTTGATTAAAATAATTTTACATAATAGTGGGGGAGTTGAAATGAGTTGGAATGGAGTAGAAAATATGTTTCTGAATTTTAACTGACACAAGAAACCAATTTTCAAGCCAAATAATATCCTTTGGTTTTAGTGACATTTTGTGCCAATTCTGAGTCATTGCATAGCTAACTAGAAGCTTCGGAATATTTAAAAAATATGCATGCTGTATGGATGGTGGGATGTCCAGAAAGTTGTAACCTTGAAATTCTGTACTCACTGCTTCTTTCCCTGCTTTTTGCAATTCCTTCATATATGGGAAGATTACCATATATATGTAATCGTTTATATTTGTAAGTTTGAACCTAGTGCTTAGGCAACCTACATAATTCTAAATTTTAAAGACTGCATAAATACATGCTCATGGATATTAAGGGAATTTTCAACTCCCATTTCATACATAATCATGTCATGCATTCTAAAAGCACAGTGTTGGGGGAAAATCGCAAATCAAAGTCATTTATATCTAACGCCATTAGTGAGAAAACTTTAATATTAAAATGGTAAACATCAATTATTGCTATCACTGTGACAGCTTGGTAGAATGAACTTAAAAGATGGGGGAACCTAGATAGTTAAAAATACATGTTTTGTTGCATTTTAATTATTGGAGCTCTATATGTTGAAAAAAACTGTTCAAACAAATATACAGGTATACATATGGTTTACTGAGTATTTGTACTGCCACTATTTTAGAAATATTTTCCTCTTTCTTCCTCCACTGTTATGTAGACTCTACTAATCTACATTCAAAACTTACTTAAGACTGCATTTCAAACATTTTTCTTTTCAAAAGGCTTCCATGATTTATACTAGCTTGCTCTAATAATTTTTTTTCCTATTTCTCAGCATTTATTTATCTAATTTATCCTGCATATTTTTCCATACATATAATACTTTTTCACAATTTTATCTTTTATTCAATGATATTAACTGTGAGCGTTTGTGTCTGTGTGTGTTAGTATGGTAGGAGTTTCAAAAAGAAAAAATGGTTCTTTTCACTTACTGTGTATCAGTCAGGTTTCAACCAGAGAACCTGTAGGATGGGTGTGTGTGTGTGTGTGTGTGTGTGTGTGTGTGTGTGTGTGTGAAAAACAAGAATTGCTTTGCATTTTCAGAGCTGGGAAAACAAATTCAAAGTCTATAGGTCAAGCAGTCAGGAAAGGAAAATTATGAGCAGGATGAAACTCCACAGGTGAAATTTCTTTCTCTCTGTCTCTCAAGCCTCAGCCCTACTTGTAAAGCCTCCAACAGGTAATTCAGGACATTTTCCTTTCCTTCAACTCAATTGATGATGGCAGGCCCCCAAATTCATCTGCAAAATATCTTTACGGTAACATTTAGATTAGTATTTGATTAAATAACTAGACTATGGTCTAGTTATTGTGGCATATCACAAATGCCATCAACTACATTTACACTCTGATGGAGAGTCAGGAGGGTTATAAGGTGTGCATTAATGAAGCCAGTGAGTAAAATGATAATCCAAAAACTATGCAGTACTATTGGAGTTCAAGACATATGCAAGGTTATTGAAGTACTGAGGTTAATCTGAGAAGGTTTTAAGCTGGGCCTTGAGCAAGAATTGAGTATGGCAGTTTAATCTGGAAAAGAGGTCATGGAAAATATTCCAGATTATGAGAGAGGTATAAGTATGGGCAGATGGGTAAGACAAAAAGGTAAAGGACAGGAATTAAATTAGGTTGACTGACAGGAATTATGAACTTACATTCCTTTATGGGCTAGGCAGGCAATGTAAATTATCAAAGTAGGAAAACATCTAAGACAACTAGGAGTGGTGGGAACTGGGCTGACCAGGAGAGCTTGTACCCACCTTAAAGTCATCAAATTAAAACAAGCAGACAAAAAGCACTGTTTCAGCCAAACAAAATATACTGGGAGCTTCAACAAAGGATACCCACATAGAAAATGCTACTTAGTAGCTCTGTGACCTTGGGTAAATTATTTAATTACTCTGAACCTCAGTTTTCTCATTTTTAAACTAGTAGTAACAATAGTACCCCCGTGATAGGGTAAAATACTAGTACATGAAAGTGCTTAAAAAGGGCATGGAACATAGTAAGTGTTACTTGTTTAATTTTTTAGTAAGTGCTAGTTGTTTTTGGCCTCTCTCCCCATCCCCCAGCCCCTCCACCTTCAGGGTATACTATCTGTATCTATATATCTATCTATGTCTATATCTATAGCCAACTAGTTTAGTAAACTATGTTAAATTGATAGAGGTACAAATAGAAAAAAAGTTTTTTTTTCCTTCTAACCATTGTTTTCAAACATGCTCTGATAAATCTTCTTTCTTTACACCTTGTCTGTAACTTGAACAGTCCCATTTCTTTCCTAGTCACTCATAGGCATTAAAGCATCTAATTTTCAGGTATTTAAAAGTTCATTCCAATCTAAAACTTAAGTTCCATTCAATTTCCCTCCCTACTCCCCTCCGTTTTTTTCCTGCTTTCCTTCCTCCCTTCCTTTCTTCTCCCGTCCTCTTCCCTTCCCTCCTCCCTTCCTGTCCCCTTTTCTCTCCTCCTTTCCCCTCCTCCCCTCCCCTTCCTGTACAGGTATTTTTTGAGTGCTTAGTCTGTGCTAAGCTTGCAGGAAGTTTTTAGAGGAGGATAAGGGTGGGGTTTCAGTGCTGGGAATACTGAGATAATGATAAGTACTTGCTGTCTATCGGGATACATAGGAGTTGTATGTAGATCAATACTGAGGCATCAGGGATGTCTTTCTGTATGAAGTAATGTCTAATATAAAATCTGAATCATAAATAAACATTAGCTAAGTGGGTGAGGAGGGACAATAAGGGTACAGAGAGAATTTCTGGCAATGGGAATAGTAGATGTAACAATAAAAATTAGAACATGCTGTTTTCTGGGAACTACAAGTATTTCACTATGGCTAGAAGAAAAGTGCAGGCAGTTAAATAAGAGGCATGAAAAAAATGCAGCATTATACATACCTTAAATTTTTTTTAAAAAAAGGAGGCTTAAAGTGTTTTATGTCACTTTCCTGTGGCCGAGTAGGCAGTATAGCTAGAACCAGGTTCTCCTTTGTCTCCTTCCTGCTTCACTGAGCTCACATCATGCCATACCCCAGGACCATCCTGCCTCCTCTTTATTAATACTAATGAAAGAGAGAGGCAAATGAAGAGTCTGATTCCACTCATCCCTTCACTTAGAGAATCCATGGGAAAAGAGCATTTTCCTAAGTCATAGCTTTCAGAGGGAATGTTCTGCAGACAAAGCCATTCAGAGGGGGCTATTCTGACTGTGTGGATACAACCAACTTTTTTTTTTTGGTTTTCTATTTTTTTTAATGTTATTTAATTCTTTTGATCATTGGATTCTTTTGTTTTTTTAAACTTTTAGGAGCTTTGCTTTTTAGGTCTCCATTATTGTGAAACTGGCCTATCTGGGGGAGGGGGGCAAAATTCTTTTTCCTCACTGGTTCCTTACTGGTGGCCTGTAGTGCAGACATTTTTCAGGAGCTATTCTCTCATGCCTGACTTGGACTGTGTTCTATGGGGATCTTGCTGCATTTTAGCATTTTAATTTCCATTTCTGCAGCATAATACTATTGATTCATTCAAAACCTTGTTCTCTGTATAATATTTTATATGTTGGTTATATACTTTTTAGAGGTTTAAAATATATGGTCACAACCTATTAATACAAATGATGACATGATCTATACTTGTACTTTGGTCCAAATTGCCTTTATATACTAAAGAAAAAAAAGTTCTGTTCGCAAAATAATTTTTTTTTTTTTTTTGAGACAAAGTCTTGCTCTGTCTCCCAGGCTGGAGTGCAGTGGTGCGATCTTGGCTCACTGCAGCCTCTGCCTGCCAGGTTCAAGCAATTCTCCTGCCTCAGCCTCCCGAGTAGTTGGGATTACAGGCACGTGCCACCACGCTCTGCTAATTTTTGTATTGTTACTGGAGACAATAATCACTATATTGGCCAGGCTGGTCTCGAACTCCTAATCTCAAGTGATCCACCCATCTTGGCCTTCCAAAGTGCTGGGATTACAGGTGTGAGCTTACAAATAAGCCAGTTTCTTGTAATATAAGTGTGGTTTCAGCTGTAGAGTTTGCATATGGCAGAAAAGTTGGCTTTAGCGGTTTTGGAGAGCTGTCATATTTGCAAAAGTATTTTAAATCAGAATATCAATACTATTATCTAGAAGTGGGATGACTGACTTATACGATAGTTCTATTTCTAATTTTTTCTTCAAAAGTATTCTTAATGCATTAATCTTTATAGGATCCCACACCAGACAGTAAGTAAAGATATTCACTGTACCAATCACAATGACTACTTGAATCTTCACATTCACTTGCAAATTGGCCAACTCATTTATTTGCAGAAATCTTTTAGACCTATGGAGTTTAAATCTATAGAATGAGAATTTCTAGGGCTTAGTATAATTATTTATTAAATATTGGCTTAATTGAATTTACTTGGATTCAGAAGTGGTGTCAGGAACCAATAGTTCCATTTTTGGAGAGAAGCAGCAGTAAAAGTTATGAAACAGAGAAGAAAAAGTAGGTTGATGAAAACTATGCCTGAATTGTTTGAATTTTATAAGTCTATGTCAACTATAAGTAGTGAAAAATTCTTTAGAGAATGAAGTATGTTCATAGAGCAAATAAAAGAAGATAAATATACTTAAACATCCTAGAAATTTATAAACTGGGATAAGACCCATTCTCTTTGAGCCTTAGAGCCTCTTCTGTAGGATTGATAATTTTTTAAAATTCTAGATACTTTCATGGGACTCTTTCTGCCTAAAAAATCTTGGATTTTGTGATTTTAAATTTTCTCTTCATCAAATAGACAACCAAAGATCATTTATTCGTGTGTGTGTGTGTGTGTGTGTGTGTGTGTGTGTGTGTGTGTGTGGTGTCTTCCTGTTAAGATCTTCTTATCCTAAAGTGAAATTGTACAGCCAAAGTATAACCCTCCAAGGAATCTGTGGAAATACTGACAGATTTAGCAGCAGGAATAAATTCTAGGGGTTCATCTTGGAGTTCAGATGAAGACCTTGAAAACCCTGGGGCAACTCTGAGAGAGATTGTATTATTAAAGGAATTTGGATAGAATATAAAGTATTGCAAAGCAGCATCTCCTGTGCAGAGGGACTGTTTGGAAGATATAGTGAGGAGTGCTCAGCGTCACAGGGGAGTGCTCTTTGAGATCTCTGCTAGGGACTTTGGAGGAGGGCAGTGTAGAACCATGAATCAGACAGCACACGTGTGCAATGGTTGTTAATTATGTACCCTCTTGAATAGTTAGGAGAAACTTAATCTAAGTCCTATATTCCAACCAGAATAAATGCTTTTGTTTGAGGCATAGTTGTAGTACACTCCCATGGTACTTAGCACGGAGCACATACTAGGTGCCCCAATAGCTACTTGCGGAGTGATGATGTGAATGACTACTGGAAATCAATCAAGGGGGCCATATGTCTTGACCTGCAGTAGTGAGAAATAAGAGGGAAGTGGAAAGACAGTGAGGAGAAGGGCTGAGCTATTATTTTAGGTTCTATGAACAGACGCAGTGGCTATGAACCAAACAATTATGTTAGTGAAGAGCCAATCTGAGAAGAATTAAAGTGTGTCTTTGTGCCATACAGGTAGCTGATACAGGTAGTAGCTGCCTCCCACCTGATGGGCAAGTCAGAAAGCTAGAAGAAACAGTTTAAGTCTGAGGTCATTTGCTCCATTCTTCTTATGGAGCTGAAAATTCATTAATATTTGTACCAGAGACTCAAGTAACAAACCTGGATAATTTTTTAAAAGAAGATACATGTTCTTGGATTTCTAGCAAAATAGACCAAACCTGAAAGGCACTGTCTTAATACCAATGATCCAATTAGACATTGATCATTGCAAAGGGGCTTGGATGTTGCAGATTGCTAGGAACAGGCTTCCTTGAAATGGCCAGAAATGGAATGGTATTGGTCTTCATGTAGCTTGTTGTTTCTGAATGCTTTGTGGTTGCTCCCTAGGACCAAGCATTGTATGCTTGTGTATGTATGTGTATGTATGTGTGGTTATTCAGAAATGATTTTCCTACCAAGTCAAGTAATAGACAAAGTAAACACAGAATATTCTGTTCTTGTTGAACTAAATAGTGTGGTTTTTCAAAGGAACAACAATCAAAAGTGGTGGAAATCACTCATTTGCACATTTGCTTCTAATGAAATTAGAAACATTGAAACAAGTATCTGTGGGACTTTTCAACCTTCTGGAATTCTAGTCCATTGTGTTTGAAATAATAGTTCCTGGAACATAATAAGTACTTGAAAAATATTTGTTAAATCATTGAATGAGTGTTTTCTCCAACTGCATTTTTGAAAGCTTAATAATTCTCCCTCTATATTTAAAAACGGGAAAGCCCTTATTTCTACAACAAGAGGAAAGGATTTGGGTATCTATGGAGGGCTTGTCTATGCCAGGAACTTTGCCAAGAACTTTATATTATTTCAATTAGTTCCTACAACAACACTGTGAGGCAGGCATTTTCACCATATTTTACAAAAGAAAATTAAAGCTCTGCATGATCAAATAGCACAGAGTCCCAGAACGGTGGACTTAGGATTTCCTTTTGAGTTAAAGGATTTACATCTCCAATGGACTGGTTCTCTGGGAATCAAACTCAGGCCACACAATGAAAGTGCAGAACCTTAACTACGAGACTACAAGGTGGAGTAGCAGAACGATGATTTAGCTTATTTGCTCTGGAGGGCTGTTTCCATTTAAACTGCAGTTCCCTATTTTTCTTTATTGCCTCTTTGTGAATTAAGATGAAAACAATAGGAATATCTCTTCCATTTTCTCTTTCTAGAACTTCCTTCATTATTCTCATTTCCAAAAATCAGTCTGGTAAAAGCTGTACAATTACTTATCATAGATTTAGAGAAGACTATGAAAATTATTTTTGAGAAATAATAGCACTTTTCTCAGAATGCTTTGTAAATATTTGAAAAAGTCATGAGAAAGCATGATTCCAGGACTGAGATCAGGCTCAGGAAATTAAGTGATGCTTCTAGTTTTCATTGGAAATGAAATGTTTTCCACTTTTCATATTATCTTATTGACATTTAAATCATCTTGTTGAGATGTGAGAATATAGACGCTAGAGCCGGACTGCTGGGATTTGCATCGCAACTCCTCCACTTATTGGCTGGTGACCTTCAGAGAGTTACTTAACCTCTGTTTCTCAGTCTCCTTCTCTGTAAGATGGGGATACTCATAGAAACACATGGGACTGTTATAAGAATTAAATAAGTTAAGTTTCATAAAGCACTTAGAATACCATCTGGCACAGAGTATGCTCTATCTAATATTTGTTAAATAATTACATAATACTATCTGTCCCTAAAAATATATTGAAAAAAACTCCTTCATACAAACTAATCTCAAAATTTCATTTATTTTCTGTTCTTAGAGTGAAAGTAAGATAGAATCAGACTTCAAGTGAAGACCCTATATGCTTTCAACATAAAATAATTAAAATATTTGATTATCAGTTGTCTTACTGTTTCATTTGCCTGATTAAAATTGGGACAGAGAGAGCTTATTCTTTTGAGTTTGTTTATCACCTGTCTACTTGCAGACAAGTGTCACAGTGACCAGTACCAAGCTTTAATTTTACTGAGTATGGATTAGGAGGTAGGGATTTGGCAAGAGCAAAAGTACTGGACAACACTGAATTACAAAAGATAAAAAAGTCTCTGAAGTTTGAACTATATACAAAATGGTTACATTAACATAATTGACATGATAATCTCCACTGAAATATATGTTTTAAAAAACTTGAATTTCTATGTGTTAGGCAGTTACATTTTCTAGATGACTGTATTTCAACTCAGGAAAGAAGTAGCTGAAAGGCCTGAGTTGATACCTGGGCAAGATATCAAGAAATATATTATTTTCAACACTCTTCTCCCACACACAGTCTAGCAATAGCATTTATTCAGAATCTGTTCCTAGTGCAGATTTAGATTGTATACATTTTAGAAAATGTGCAGAAGATAGACAAGATGGGGGCAAAGGACATGGACATTGTCTGGGCTGAATTACCTGTGTTACCTCTTTGGAATCCAGGCTTCTATATTCTGTGGTAATCATGTCATATCATTTAAAATAGCCTGACTTTTTTTCTCAGTGTTCCATTGAGGGCTAGAGACACTCCAAGTTAAGAGTACACATATTCACTTTTAGGAGGTATGCTCTTAGTTTGCTAACCAGTCCAGGGAGACTTCCAAGTATACAGATCAAATGGTGATGTCAGGATATTTAGCATTCAGAGGGGAAGAGAAGAAAGCTAATATTGAGATACTTCTGGCCTAGATTCCTGCCTGCCAGTGGTGACTATCACTATCAAATACAGAGACATTGGAGCATCAATCTATGCTTTCTCTGTGGCCCATTTGGTGCTCCAATGAACACCTGATTCCTTTAAGTATGAATTTTGGCAATTTAAACTAGTTTATCTGTCAGAGTGCCAAATATATTTAATGTTTTACCAATTCATACTGGGGGTCAGATTATTAACTGAATCAGATACAATTATTAAAAACTGTCTCACAAGGTCAGGAGATCGAGACCATCCTGGCTAACATGGTGAAACCCCATCTCTACTAAAAATATAAAAAATTAGCTGGGCATGGTGGCGGGCACCTGTAATCCCAGCTACTCGGGAGTCTGAGGCAGGAGAATGACGTGAACCCAGGAGGCGGAGCTTGCAGGGAGCCGAGATGGGGCCACTGCACTCCAGCCTGGGGGACAGAGGGAGACTCTGTCTCGAAAAAAAAAAAATTGTCTTTTTCCTATGGAATATTTTGTGTTTTTTCATGTAAATTTTGAAAAGATAAGGATTGGGTTCGATATTCCTCTGCTAAGCCACCACATATTATTGGAAAAATCACTAAATGTCTCTGGGCTTCAGAATTTTTATTTCAGAATCGTGGAGAGTATGCCATTTCTTGGCCACTTGCATATGTTAGAATGGTGTAAGAAGTCTTATCTAAAAATGTTCTTTAAAGATTGGGTAGGTTAAAGGTTTGAACACTAAAATAACAAAAAAATTATCTAGTTTATTTTAAAATTCATTTTTAGAATATTGGAGTTGACATTGATGTTAGAGATCTTGCAGTCTCTGCCTCTTCCAATTAAAGATGAGGAAACTCATGACTTGCCTTCTATATTTAGCAGAAGCAAAACTAGAACCCAGGGCTCCTGACAGAACCACACACAGCCTCAGAAAGGGTGCTGCTTAAAATTCTGACTCAGAAAGGGCACTGCTTAAAATATTTGATTTGGGCTTTAAAAATGTCATGGTGGAATCTGGAAGCAAGCCAGTTGCTTTATGCTTTTTATCCTTTTTGGTTTGAATTATTAGCTCTAATTCTGCGCAGGTCACTGTGTTATGGAAGGGGGCTATTGGAAGACAGCAAGATTCATGGGTTTTAGACCTTGTACTGCAATAAAGCAATGTAAGAAGAGGAGGGGCTTTGGGGGCACAGGATGACAAATGTAATACATCACAACACAAACTTCTTTCAGCCCCAGCAGCAATATGTGAGATGACCAAAGCCTGTAAAATTAAGCATAAGAGGAACAATGTCTGATATGAAGATTCCTCCAGAGTGATCTAGCTCTCACCAACTCCCAATTTATTTGCAATATTAACCCTCAGTGAGTAAGAAACGAATAAACCATAATATATTATTATTGGTAAAACAACAATAAGGGCAACCTTCATGTGAACTGGACAATAAAGCAATTTGCATGTTTGATAACAAGTTTAAAAGCTCTTCTAAGAAAATAATTTAATTTTATATATATATATTTTTTGCATTCTCTACTTTGCTCTCCTGTAGAATCTCAGTTTATCATAGCATAATCACAATGCATTGTAAATGCTAGTTACTTGTCTATCTCCAGCATGGGGCTTTAAGTTCAGTGGCCCCTAATTTCATCTGGTGCCTGCTAAATATTTGCTGAAATAATAAATGAATGAATGACACTTCCTTCCCCCAGTCCGTAGTTTAAAAATAGCCTGAAAGGTAAGATTAAGACAGAAAATACTGACATTTTTTTATCTTTTTTTTTTTAATTATACTTTTAAGTTTTAGGGTACATGTGCACATTGTGCAGGTTAGTTACATATGTATACATGTGCCATGCTGGTGCGCTGCAACCACTAACTCGTCATCTAGCATTAGGTATATCTCCCAATGCTATCCCTCCCGCCTCCCTCCACCCCACAACAGTCCCCAGGGTGTGATATTCCCCTTCCTGTGTCCATGTGATCTCATTGTTCAATTCCCACCTATGAGTGAGAATATGCGGTGTTTGAAAAAAAAAAATTTATATGTTGAAACTTAACCCCCATTATGATGGTATTAGGAGGTGGGGGCTTTGGGAAGTGATTAGGTCATGAGGGCAGAGCCCCCATAAATAGGATCAGTGCCCTTACAAGAGGCTACAGAGATGAGAGTTCTTCCTTTCCACCATGGGAGGACACAGTGAGAAGGCACTGTCTATGAGGATGTAAGCCCTCACTACACACCAAATCTGCTAGTTCCTTGATCTCCGACCTCTCAAGCTCTAGAACTGCTAGAAATAAATTTCTATTTTTATAAGCTAAAAAAAAAAAAGAAAATACTGACATGATGATATATAAGATGAAGAATTATCTGCTTCAATTAATTAGTCAAACAACCACTATTTTTTAGCATCTGATAAACTAATGTTAAGCAATTTTTATGTTACTTTTTCTGGTTGAATGTTTTGGAGGCTCCCACTCCATTAACTCCTTTCTCCAAGATTTACAGGTGCTTATAATGCTACGGAGCAGATAGAAGCTGCTCTATAATCCTAACAGGGAATTGACATCTCCTGAATCTAAGACACTGAATCATGGCCTCAAATGAAATTTCATCAAGGTGGGTTTGGTTGATCTCAGAAACTACAGTGATTACACACTATGAGGGCCTCCTAGTTGGGTGATGACAGAAAAGACTGAAATTATGGGAAAAAAATGAATGATGCCCAGCTTGCCAAAACAAATAATCACAGGGCTCTGGCACATCAAGAAGGTGAAGTAGGGGGAGGGTAGAGGGGAGTAGGGTAGGGGTGAGGTCTTTGATCTACGCAACTCAGGCTATGATCCCAAATAAATGAAATTAAACGCCCAAAACTTAATTTTCATGACAGTGTGTAACCCTCCATAATAGCTAATCATTCAAAGAATGAAGTCCTTTGAAGTATCAAAACAGGGCAATCCTTACCACCCTCCTACCCCATCCAAGGAATAGGCCAATAAACTAAAATCAATGGTTTGGAGCTTTCTTTCATTCTGAAACATTACAACATCTTCACAGTAATTTGAATAGGAATTAAACACTAAGATAGCAGCAGAAAAGGTAAGCTGTATCCTATCAATTCTGTATTATTTTCTGCATTGCACAGGCTCTTTCATATCATGCTGTGATACAACTTACAAGTTTTTCAATTTTATTTTATTTTTACTGCCCTCCCCCTTTGGATTACATAAATACCAAAATGAATACATATTTTCTAGCCCTACTCTGTTTTATCCCCTTTAATACTGCAGCTAATGAGGCAAAAGGCAATCCTACCAATGCAAACACAGCAATTTGGCAACTTTTATTTCCCTAGTTCAGCCGATTTTGTTATTCTCATACACTTATATAATTGCTATTTTTCAACTATCATGTTAATATAGGTAGAAGGAAAGCTAGTTTGAATCTGAACATGGTGCTAGAGGTCACAGGAAGATTACATAACAGGACAGAGAACCTCTGCAAAGTATTTAATAGCAGAGCATTTCCAGGAGAGTTCAAAAACATAAAATTGAAACCACAAGCCTAAAACATTTTGCAATTACTGACAAAACTGTGCCTTGTCAGATAATGCCGGGGAATAGCTCAAGCAAGAGGAGAGAGTTGCTAAAATGGCAATAAAGAGTATACCTCTTGATTCTGTAACAACTGATTTCTTGTGTTTAATTTCTTGCCGTAATGGTTTTCCTTGAAAATTTGTGGAATAGGTAGATAAGACAAAGAAAAAAATTTCAATGCTTTGTGCAAAGGACATGATAGAGATTATGGGTTCTTTTTGAAGCAAACTCTAAAAATCTTAGTTCAGAAGCTTAAATGTGGACTGAGGGACTGTGTCCTGTTTCTCCCTGCTGGGTTCATTTAGGCTAAATCCCAGGCTGTCCTGCGTTTTAGTTGGAGACTCTCACAGTGGGGGTGATTGGACTTTCTCTGCCCTAGGCACAACATATGCTACTTCCCATCCCTTTTATAGGCATTAGTTCTGCAGACAGCACTGGTCAAATGTACATTATTCACAATCACTTTAATGCAAATATGCAAGGCTGAGGGAGAAAATATGTCACAAAGAGGCGGTCATCCATTTCTCTTGTTTTCTGATTTATTTCTTTATAGGTTCCCTTCTATATGTTTGATTTTACAATTAATACAGGATACAAATAAATAAATATGTAGCATCCACTGTGAACCATAAAAAAGCTCCCCAAAAATTCCCTCAAATGCCTTTTGTGAAATGCTAGTAACTAGAACCCTATAAATTGTTTTGTTTTTATTGTTGTTCCTTTTTTTCCTTCATGACTCTGTTTTTTTTTTTTAAATTAAGTGGAATCCCTGTGTGTACTCTGACACTGTCGCATTTGTAAGAAACAGAAGAGGAATCAAAGCAAAGGGTAGAACTATATTTAATCTGTTAAATGAAAATAAAACACACAATTAGTTTTGTACTGAAAAAATTAGCTTTTGCTGCATTTTCAACCTCTATTTAAAGAACTGTTTGATTTCTCAATAACAAGGCATCTGATCTGTGGCAGAACATTTCTAGGACAGATTTGCAAATGTATATTACACAGGCATGCATTTTAAGTTTGAGCAGAGATTATGTGGTATTTGTCTGTCTAAACCATGAAGATATAACTTACTTTGCCAGTAGTGAACCCAAGTCTTACAAAATCACCTGCCAAATATAGAAAGAAAGACTCCTGGATTTCTGATACCCTATTTCTGAGAAGTTAAACAGTTCTGTTTTGTTTTAAAGTGTATCCAATGAATTTATTTATATACAACTATTTGTCACACAAGACAACTTGACATGCTAAGCCTGGCTTTACATTAAGCACATGAAAGTTCTTCTATGTGCGGAATGAAAAACTAAAATGTAACCATCTGCATATGATATTTAGAGGTACATAAAATTGTGCCAGGGACCCTGAGATGCCCATATGCATGAACAGCAATGTAGAATTAAAAAAAATGCAGAGTAATAGAACATTTGGAAGACATTGTACTACTTAAAATAATGCAATTAAAATGTTAAGTAAATCCTATGTTAGTCTAAGGTACAAGTGTAGCAAACATTTGCCATATGAAGGAAACAATATGCTTTTATTGTGACTCAATTCTGTTAATTTAATGATCTATGTCAATGTGCTTAGATATCATGTAATGCACTCTTCTGTCTTTTCAAAAGCAGTCACTCTTATTCACCTTTATGTTTGCTTTCTTATTGTTATGCTTATGATTAACTTAGGAAGTAGGGAAAATAAAAGCCAAATAAAGTGTCAAGTCATCCTTTTTTTCTTACCATGTTGTTTTAATACAGTCTTAACCTCAGATAATTATAGTAAGAATGTTACTTTTTCCCCTTGTCCTAAAATTATCTTTTAACTAAAATAGCCAATTACCCAATAGATGGAGGAGGTCTCTTCCCACTATTGGTGCCTAGTGATTTACATGGACACTTATTAATGCTAATGGAAGATATATCCGTAAATCTCCTCACTCCAAAAGGATAATGGCCTTCTATTAGTCTCCCATAAAAGGAGAATAAGCAAAGTCTGTCTTTATAAGTGATACAGGTAGTGAATTACTTAAAGGAGATTTATAGCATATGTAATTACATAGTTTAAACCATTTTGGTAGCATTCTGTGTACATTGTTGTAAATTTTAAAAATGTCAGATATGTCTTTGAGTCTACATAAACTGCCAAAATCAATCCAGGGGACTATTGTTATTAATTAAATACCTGTGTTTTCAGAGGCAAACACATGTAGTCGTAAAAATATATGACTTCTTGTTTCTAAGAAAAAGAATTCATAAAACCTTTTTAATTTAATTTAATTAATTTTTTTCAAAACATTATCATGTGCCTAATTTTGAAAAAAGAAGCAAAAGGGTTATTTTATTTCATTTTTAAAGATAAGTGACATACACATTTATTAATGTGAATGAGGGGCTGGGGTAGGGAAAATCATAGAGTAATTATCTCATCTACATGATAGGGGTACAGATAGTAATATACCAAAAAGGTTATTGTAGATTGGATGTATCCATTTTCATTAAAATTAAAAAAGAATTTTTAAAAACCTAGATTTTGAAATAAGAATGAAATGACTTCATTTAAGTAAATAACATGGCCAGCATTAGAAATGGGATTCTGCATTATTGAGTTGTAAAAGAGGAGGAGGTGTGTGTGAAGTGTTATCCTGAAAAGTCACCTAATAGTCCCTTAATTCCTGGGCCCTAGGGAAAGTCATGGTGTTAGAGTAGTTTGCCAGACCACTCTGGTGTTACACAATGGTAACACTAACCTTTGTCAAACTGAACTAAATGAAATTTGTTTTGGCATCAACTTCCCAGGTATATACTGGATTCTCCTTTCTTTGCTGTCCTTTTGCTTCTTCAGACATGTACATCTCACCCTTCTCAAAAGTTTATTTGAAAAATGATACTTCAAATTAGTCATTTAAATCTTACTGAAAATTTATTAATGTATATACTACTTCTAGGGCTATTTGCATTTTAAATCTCTTCTCTAGAAGTTCTCTTAGACTCCATATTAAAGGACTGAGATACATAGGCAGATTTCTTGAGATCATATTAATATGGTACTGCCAGGATTGGCTTTGGTTTACAGCCTGGCCTGAACTTTGCTTGAGAGCATAGGGACTAGGAAGGTTGGAGAGAATTTGGGAATCCTGGAAACAGGCAGAATGGTTTGTTATTTGTGGATTTACAAGTCTACGATTACATAGATGTGGTTGTCTTAGCCTGAATTTAAATGTCCATGATTGCTTCCCTTTCAATTCACATAAACCCTTGTTGTCAATATTCAGAATTAGTGCTAGTTTCTTGATTTGGGGCCTAAAATTAAAATACACGAGATCAGATTAAGAAGTTCTATTTACTATATTCAATCTTTTATTCGTTCTTAAAAATAGGGCAATTCCCGTTATTGATTTCTTCTTGAGTACATTTTGGTACTTTGTATTTTTCATTTAATCTGAATTGTTCATTGTTTGGCCCAAAATTATTCATAATGATCATTTATTGTTATTTTAATTGTCTATAGAACATTTAGTGGTATTTTATTTCTGATATTGATAATTTATGTTTCTTCTATTTTCTTCTGGAAATATTATAAATCTGGCTAGAGATTTATAAAGTTTATTAATTTTTTTGAAGAAACTGATTTTTGGTATATCAAATTTTTTCTATTATTATCTTTTCTGTTTTTGTTTTCTCCTCTTATTTTTATCATTTTCTTCCTTCAATTATTTTAGATTTTTCTCTTTTTAAAAGATTTCTAAAGATTAATTTTGATAATCAATTTAGGTATTAACTTGAGAACACTTTTTTCCAATATAATCATTTTAAAGCTCTCAATTTCTCTCTAAGCTCTTCTTTGGCTGCATATAACAAAATTTTAAATGATGTTTTTATTTTCCTTGGCTTTAAAACATTTTCTAGTTCTTATTGTGTTTTCTTCATTGATATAATTTCTTCTTGGAAATAATGTGTTTTTTTTTCTCTGATTGCTCTTAAGTTTTATTTATTTATTTATTTATTTATTTTTATTATACTTTAAGTTTTAGGGTACATGTGCACATTGTGCAGGTTAGTTACATATGTATACATGTGCCATGCTGGTGCGCTGCACTCACTAACTCGTCATCTAGCCTTAGGTATATCTCCCAATGCTATCCCTCCCCCCTCCCCCGACCCCACCACAGTCCCCAGAGTGTGATATTCCCCTTCATGTGTCCATGTGATCTCATTGTTCAATTCCCACCTATGAGTGAGAATATGCGGTGTTTGGTTTTTTGTTCTTGCGATAGTTTACTGAGAATGATGATTTCCAATTTCATCCATGTCCCTACAAAGGACATGAACTCATCATTTTTTATGGCTGCATAGTATTCCATGGTGTATATGTGCCACATTTTCTTAATCCAGTCTATCATTGTTGGACATTTGGGTTGGTTCCAAGTCTTTGCTATTGTGAATAATGCCGCAATAAACATACGTGTGCATGTGTCTTTATAGCAGCATGATTTATAGTCCTTTGGGTATATACCCAGTAATGGGATGGCTGGGTCAAATGGTATTTCTAGTTCTAGATCCCTGAGGAATCGCCACACTGACTTCCACAATGGTTGAACTAGTTGCTGAAACTGGATCCCTTCCTCACACCTTATACAAAAATCAATTCAAGATGGATTAAAGATTTAAACGTTAGACCTAAAACCATAAAAACCCTAGAAGAAAACCTAGGCATTACCATTCAGGACATAGGCATGGGCAAGGACTTCATGTCCAAAACACCAAAAGCAATGGCAACAAAAGCCAAAATTGACAAATGGGATCTAATTAAACTAAAGAGCTTCTGCACAGCAAAAGAAACTACCATCAGAGTGAACAGGCAACCTACAACATGGGAGAAAATTTTCGCAACCTACTCATCTGACAAAGGGCTAATATCCAGAATCTACAATGAACTCAAACAAATTTACAAGAAAAAAACAAACAACCCCATCAAAAAGTGGGCAAAGGACATGAACAGACACTTCTCAAAAGAAGACATTTATGCAGCCAAAAAACACATGAAAAAATGCTCATCATCACTGGCCATCAGAGAAATGCAAATCAAAACCACTATGAGATATCATCTCACACCAGTTAGAATGGCAATCATTAAAAAGTCAGGAAACAACAGGTGCTGGAGAGGATGTGGAGAAATAGGAACACTTTTACACTGTTGGTGGGACTGCTCTTAAGTTTTCTATTTGTCACTGATGTTCAGCAAATTGAACACAAAAGTCTTGGTGTGGTTTCCTTTTTGTTTATTCTGCTTGAGGTTTGTTGAAATTAGATTTATGGGTTTATAGATTTGGAAAATTTGGAAAATTATATATATTTTTGTCTCTTCTCTGTCCTCTTTTTTTGGAACCCTAAATTACTTGTATGTTAGAAAACTGGTTGTCATGCTATAGGTCACTCATACTCTGTTCAGGTTTTCCAATTCTTCCAGTCTTTCATTTACTGTTTTTGACTCTTTATTTTTTGTCTTTGACATTTCTAGTTCTATATTTTCAAGTTCATCGATTTATACTTCTGCAGTGTTTAATCAGCTGATGATTTCTTCCAGTGTATTTTTCCCTTCAGAGATTGTATTCTTCAGTTCTTTAAGTGCCATTGGGTTTTTAAAAAATATTTTGCATTACTCTTTATACTTAATACTTTTTGGAACTTTTTAAAAACATATATATTTTAGAATATATATACACATGTGTAACATAATTATATATATGTATATTAGTTGTTGTAACATCTTTTCCTGATAATTCTACTATCTGTGTAGTCTCTAAGTCTATTTCTTTTAATTGATTATTCTCTAATTTATGTTTCATCTTTTCCTGCTCCTTTGTTTGCTAATTTTTGATTGGATATTGTATATTGTGCATTTCATATTTGTGGGTACTGTAATTTTTTGTATTACTTTAAATAAAGTTGGACTTTTTTCTGGCATGTTGCTGTATTACTTGGAAATGGTTCATTCTGTTTGAGGTTGGCTTTTACATTTTATTTATTTTTATTTTTTATTTTTTTGAGACAGAGTTTCACTCTTGTCACCTAGGCTAGAGTGCAGTGGTGTGAACTCAGCTCACTGCAACCTTCGGTTTCCGAGTTCAAGCTATTCTCCTGCCTCAGCCTCCTGAGTAGCTTGGATTACAGGTGCGTGCCACCACACCCAGCTAATTTTTGTATTTTTAGTAGAGACAGGGTTTCATCATGTTGTCCAGGGTGGTCTCGAATGCCTGACCTCAGGTGATCCACCTGCCTCAGGCTCCCAAAGTGCTGGGATTACAGGTGTTGAGCCACCATGCCCAGCCAGCTTTTACATTTTATTAAGGTGGGTCTAGAAGAGCTTTTACTATAAGGTTAATATAGTTCTACTACTAAGATGATACCCCTCTGAGGATTCTAATCAATGGTGCATGATTTAGGAAATTTTATCTGGTGGAAATATCAACATTTTTCAGTCCTACATCGGCTCCAAGAATATGCACAGCATTCTATTTTCTAGTGGTTTGATTCCTGGCTTCTCATACATGCATAGATTGGTACACAGCCAAATACTGGAGCAGACCTCTATAGATTTCCAGATTTGGGCTTCTGGCCTCCAGAATTGTAAAAGAAAAAAATTGGTAAAAAAAAAAATTGTGTTGGTATAAACCATCAAATATGTGATAGTTTGTTACAGCAGCCATAGGAAACTCATATAAATTTTATAATTATAGCTCTTACACTTATGCCTATCATCTATTTTGAGTTCTTTTTTATATTTTGTATGAAAGGGGTACAATTTTAATCTTTTGTCTGTGAATATTCAGTGTTCCAACACCAATTGTTGTGAAGACATTTCTTTCCTCATTAAATTGGGGAAATCAACCTTGTTGAAAATCAATTAGCTGTACATGTTAAGAATGTGTTTCTGAGCTCTCAATTCTATTTAATTGATCAATATATTTACTGTTAGGCCAATACTACATTGATTTGATTACTGTAGCAGTGTACTAAATTTTGAAATTGGGAAGTGTGAATTTTCCAACTTTGTTTTTCTTTTTCAAGACTATTTTTTTTTCAAATTTAGTTTTTTTATTAAAGTCTTTCTTTCTTTCTTTCTTTCTTTTCTTTCTTTCTCTCTCTTTCTCTCTCTTTATTCCTTCCTTCCTTCCTTCCTTCCTTCCTTCCTTCCTTCCTTTCTTCCTTCCTTCCTTCCTTTCTTTCTTTTCTTTTCTTTCCTGCTGTTATCACCCAGGCTGGAGTGCAATGCTATAATCTGTAATCTCGGCTCACTGCACCTCCACCTCCTGGGCTCAAGCAATTCTCCTGCCTCAACCTCCCAAGTAGCTGGGATCACAGGTGCACACCACCATGCCCAGCTAATTTTTGTATTTTTAGTAGATATGGGGTTTCACCATGTTGGCCAGACTGGCCTCGAACTCCTGACCTCAAGTGATCCACCTGCCTTGGCCTCCCGAAGGGCTGAGATTACAGACATGAGCCTCTGCGCCCAGCCCTTTTAAAAAAAGTTAATTAAAATTATTTTTCCTTTTAGAAACAAGTTTACCAAGAAACCAGCTCCCCTCCCACCACACTGGGCAGGCTGCAGTCATCTTTCTTTAAACTGCTCTGATTTTCCCTCACACCCCAAACAGGATCTCCTCAGGATGGTCTCAGAAAGCTGGAGTCTCTCCATGCCTGGCCATACAGCCTGCTGGTGGTGAAGGCCTCTCTGCCACATTGGAGGTTTCTGATTGTGGGACACAGTCTGGTTTTTTGTTTTCTTCCTGTCTTCTAATTTAAAAGACATCCCTGGGTGACAGGTACAGTGCAGGAGTGTGAGCTGTTGAAAGAACCTGGTGAAGTCTTGCAAGGTCCAGCAAATTGCTTACGTTCCTCAGCACCAGTTACTTGCATGTGGAAGTCTGTAAGTTGTTTGTGTGTCACTGTGCTGGGCTCCCATGGTTGTCTCCTTTGGCAGTCCTTTCAAGGAATTCTCTAACCATTGACAAAAAAAAATTGGACTTTCAACCTGCATGACCTCCTAGAGCACTTTAGCCACATTGGGTAGGGTATGTTGGGGAGGAGACAAAAGCAGCATGTGTGGAGCAACTGGCTGACAAGTTACTGTCTAAGCTGGTTCATCACCTGCCCAATCAGTTCTTTCTGTAAATCAAAGTCTTCCCCATGGTCATTGGCTACCCCTGTATGGATGAGGTCTGGTGGGAAACTCATGACACTACAGTTGGCATCCCAGTGGTCCAGGGTAGTAGAGGCAATGGCCCACTGTGATATAAGGATGATTACTTGGCTCTTCAGCAAGATGACAGGGCTACACTAAATAAACCTGGTAGCTATCCAGGCTGAACATGTCATCTACAGTGTCAGGGTGACTCTGGAGACCATTCTGCTGTTCTAGGAGCTGAAAGGTGGGGATGCATAGTGCCTGGACATGTCTAGTAGTTCCTGTGTTTTGGCTATTTTGGGCCCCTGCATTTCCACATGAATTTTATGATCAAACTGTCAATTGATGCAAAAAGGTAACTGGGATTTTGACAGGAATTGTGTTAAATCTGTAGATCGATTTGGGAGTATTACCATTTTAATATTAAATTTTTCAATCCATGGACTTGAAATGACTTTCCATTTACTAATTTACTAATATATTTTAAATTTTCTTTTTATGAAATGTTTGCAGCTTTCAGTGTATAATCCTTGCACTCTTTTTCTTAAATTTATTTCTAAGTATTTTATTCTTTTTAATACTCTTCTAAATAAAATTGTTTTCTTAATTTCACTTTTGGATTGCTTATCACTAGTGTATAGAAATTCAATTTATTATTATGTGTTTATCTTGTGTCCTGAAGTCTTTCTGAACTTGTTTATTAGGTGTTGTACATTTTAGTGGATTTCTCAGGATTTTGTATGAACAAGATCATCCATTTGTACATAGAGATAGTTTTACTTCTTACCTTCCAATCTGGATATTGTTTATTTCATTTTCTTAACTATTTGCCTTGATCAAAACCTCTAGTACAATGTTGAATAGAAATGGTAACAGCAGACATCCTTGTTTTGCTCCTGATGTCAGGGAAAACACATTCACTGTTTCAACTTTATGTATGATTATAGATGTAGATTCTCATAAATGGCGATTTATATCATGTATGTTTTAAATTAATAATTTTCTTTTTTAAAAAAACTGCCGCTTTAGGTTTTCAGAAAAATTGAGTAGAAAGTAAGAGTTTTAATGTTATCTTTCCCTCTCAGTTTCCTTTATTAACATCTTGTGTTGGTGTTGTACATTCGTTAAATTGATGAATGATGAATCAATATTGATATCTTCTAAGTGAAATCCATAGTTTACATGGAGGTTCAAATTTTGTGTTATATTATGGGATTGAGGAATGCACAATGTCATGTATCCACTATTACAGCATCATCCACACCGCCCTAACAACAATGGGCATTTTAACTGTTTCTTTCGTGTTTTTTTTTTTTTCTACAGTGTTATATACTTGACATTATATAGTTTGTAGCCTTTTTAGACTGGCTTCTTTTACTTACCAATATGTTTGTAAGTTTCCTTTATGTCTTTGCTTGATAGCTCATTTTTAAAAATCACTGCACAGTATTCCATTGTATAGATGCAACACAATTTGCTTATTCATTAACATATTGAAGGACTTCTTACAAGATTTCGCAATTATGAATAAAGCTGCTGTAAACACTGATTTGCAAGCCTTCTTTGGACATTTTTTCAACTCATTGGGTAAAAATGTGATTGCTGGATTGTATGTTTAGTTTCATAAGAAACTGACAAATTGCCTTCCAAAGTGACTGTACCATTTCACATTACCACCAGCAATGAATAAGAGCTCCTTCATTCCACATCCTCATCATAAATAGCATTATCAGTGTTTTGGATTTTGGCTTTTCTAAAAGGTATGTAGTGCTACTCATTGTTATTTTAATTCATAATTCCCTGATGACACATGATGTCGAACTTCTTTTTATGGGCTCATCTGCCATGTGTATATCTTTCATAAGTTGTCCACTTCAGAAATTTGCCCATTTTAAAATTGGCTTGTTTTCATATTGGGATTTAAAAGTTTTATTTTAAATATGTTTTAGATACAACTCTTTTATCAGATACATGTTGTGCAAATAGATCCTCTCAGTCTGTAGCCTCTGTTTCCATTTGCTTTTTACTTAACTTTTCAGGGCCTTAGTTTTCTCATTGGAAAAAAAAAGTATAATAATAGAATCCCACAGGATTATATTGAAGTTTATATCAATTAAGATTCAATTCTTTAAAACCACTTTGGGTATTTTAAAACAGTGAGATATTTAATACAGGTTAATTATGTGCTTATGAAATTGTGGGAAGAGCTAAAGAACAAGCACTAGGCTGGACTGCGAGGGTATCCTCTGAAAACAAAACTATTCAATTGGTTTCCCAAGAGAGTTGCTGCCTCTGCCACACACAAGAATGTGGGAGTCAAGAGGCTGCCACTAGAACCATGTGTCAATAGCTCACTAAAATTTAGGATATGGGAGCTTGTCATAGCCTCTGTTACCACCGCTTCCACTGCTACATCTATAACTGCTTGAGGATTGGGAAACTGAGCCCAGGTGCTATTTCTCCAATTCCTTTTCAATATCTATAAAGCTGTGGGCATTGGCTTCTTCATAGTCTTGCTTGTCATCAGAAAATATGCTGAAAGCCACAGGTATGTGATCTCCATTTACTTCTGCTTTCCAGATTTCAGGGAGTGCTTTTAATTGGGGAAACCTACTTTGTAAACCTAATGTGTTTTGTTAGTTGCAAAGAAATTCTGGGAATATACTTTTAAACTTTCCAGTGTTTGTAATAAAATGAGAAACAATAGAAGAAGGTGGGAAAAAGTGCTGAGTGCCAGTATATACATACCATATCTAGCTCAACAATTAAATGAGGTATGTTATCCTTGAGGCACTCAATCAATTTTCATGATTACTAATTTTTGCTCATTTTGTGACCCATGAAATAAGTCATGAATTTTCCTACTACCATAAATTAAAAATCTAAAATTCTTGATGTCAGATACCAGGACCACATCTTTAAATGTTCCACAATTCCTTCAAGAAGGTGTATAATGTCTCTTTCATAATGTCCCCAACAGAGTAAGATTTGGTTTGATGCTATTGTAGAATAGCTACTTCCTCCTCATGTTGTCATTTTTTGCTAACTTGTTCACCTTTGGAATTGTCTGAATTTGGTTCCTATCACTCCATTTTCTCAATTTTGAATTCTGAAATCCTTTTCACTCAGTTGTTTTTTTAAAAAAAATCCTGACCTTAATTCTAGATCTTCACTTTGCTTCTTTCCTCTTTCTTACAGGCCAGAATCTGACTTTTTCCTCTGCTTTTCTGGTATTGATTTATGATCTGATCCTGGTTTGGGTATTCCTATTGCATATCTGTGATCCACCTTTACCACCACAGTATGGCAACGCTTTAATCCTTTTGTGTTTATGTAGACAAGTTTCTATTTCTAGATGCAACATATTGGAAATTTTGAGGCCAATTTTTTTTTCTTTTCTATTCTTTCTTTCTTTCTTTTTTTAATTGTGTCTTTCTCTGTCACCCAGGCTGGAGTGCAGTGGCATGATCTTCAGCTCACTGCAGCCTCCACCTCTGGGGTTCAAGTGATTCTTGGGTCTCAGCCCCTTGAGTAGCTGGGATTCACAGGCACGCCACCATGCCCAGCTAATTTTTGTATTTTTAGTAGAAATGTGGGTTTCATTATGTTGGCCAAGCTGGTCTCGAACTCCTGGCCTCAAGTGATCTGCCTGCCTTGGCCTCCCAAAGTGCTGGGATTACAGCTGTGAGCCACCGTGCCTGGCTTGAAGCCTATTTTAAGGTATCAAATAGTTTATATTTTGTCTACAAGTCAAAATCTTTTATCTTCCTAGGCAATTCTAAATCAATGTATATTTTATAAGATATTTAATTGACAACTGTTTGACTTATACATATTTGAACCATCAGTATGCTTGGAAATGGCCATTTAGGAGTCTATAAACCTCCAGCATGTTATTTTTCTTAGAAGCAGATTACTCTAAGTGAATTAATTTATCTTTCCATGTTCAAAGTTTGGTTTCAAAACTTGACACTTTGAATATAGGAAAGGTTTTGTTTGATTTTGGGAATTTTGCCACCTCTCATATCTAATTTAAGAAAAAGACAGCATTTTTTTTTATTTTAGCTATACATATTTACAAGTTTCAAAACAAATGATGGTTGTGGGAAAGCCAACAGTCAGTAAACATACGAATAATGCATTTTTAAAATATTTTGTCCTCTTCTCCTGATCTTTAGAATGTTTGCTTCTGTATTTCGGATTAATATTTACTTTGTTTTAATTCACTTATTTTAATAGGAACCTTTTTACTGAAATAGAAACTCCATAGGATTTCTGAATTTGGAAACTGAGAAATAGATAACAGTGTTAGCCACTTTCTACAGGTGATTTCATTTTAGCTGTTGCAGGACAAGAGGCAATAATACAAGGAAAGAAGGAAGGAAGGAAGGAAGGAAGGGGGAGGGAGGGAGGAAAGGAGGGAGGGAGGGAGGGAGGAAAGGAGGGAGGGAGGAAGGAAGGAAGAGAGGAAGGAAGGAAAGGGAAGGAGGGAGGAAGGAAGAGAGGAAGGAAGGGAGGGAGGAAGGAAGGAAGGAAGGAAGGAAGGAAGGAAGGAAGGAAGGAACTTCAAAATCCCATATAAGACATGATGAAACTTGATTATTTTTTGTTATATCTGATGTAAGTAATAAACTTACATTCTTTTAGAAATGGCAGATACTTTTGATAAACCTAGGGCTCCTCCAGTTGTGTTCAAGCATTGCAGTACAACTTTTAGTGGGGAAAAGATACTGAGTACTTTCTTCTCCATTGCTTTTCCAGTGTTGTATTGGGCTTTGAAGAGGGAAAGTATTTTGTATGCTGTTTTCAGCAAGAAGAGTTTTTGGAGACCTATAAGGGAGCATAGTGTTTTTCCCTATAAATGTATTACTCTATTTTTAAGATTGAACAGAAAGAGTAAAAGATAGGAAAAATTAAGCAATAGATTATTTACTCAAGTATAAGACTATTCCTGTTTATCTCTTTCATCTTGTGGTGTTGAATACGTCTTTTACTTCTAAGGCTTCTAAGTTTCTTAAATCTAAGACATAGGGATAATATTAAATCTTTAACTGTGGTATATGTGTATGTGAAGTACATTTTGGCACTTTCATTCGTTAATTTTTGAAACATATGGAGGACCTATTGTGTATCTTTAGGAGCCAGAGGAGACAGAGAAACTAACCAGAATCAGTGTGATAGGTGCGCTGATAAAGCTGTACCCCAGGAGCTTTGGAGGATGGAGAGAGAAGGTTTTCCAGAGCAGGTAACCACTGTTTCAGAAGACAAGAGGACCTAACCCAAAGGAACAATTGGAGAGAGGTGGGGGAAGGGAAAGGCAATGTCTTCTCAGGTAAAGGGAAGAGTATGGCAGATACTGCTAGAGGAAGTTCCACTTCCTTTTCCTTCTGGTACGTGAGAGGAAACTACATTTCCTACCTGGTTGCAGTTAACGTGGGGCCATGTGACTGTTCCAGCCAATGGAATGTGGGCAGAGTGATTTATACCATTTCCATGCTGAATCCACATGAAGACCTCCTGGATGATTTTCCATGCATTCTTTTTTACCCTCTTTTTCTTCCTTCTTTGGGATGCAGGCAGTTGATTTAACTAAAAATGCTGAGCTCTCAGATTAGTGGCTCTTAGCTTTAGCTCCTGTATAATTCTAATATGCAGCCAACGTTGAAGACCATGCCCTGGAGCAGCCTTCCTCAAAGGGTTCATAGAGAAATAAGGTCTATAGAAAATGATTTAATGACTATTTTCTCAATTCATGCAAGGCTAGTACTTAGCTAGCATCATTATAGATGTGTAGGAGATGGCTAATTCCTCACATGCAGTAAATGTCTATGGAAATTACAGGTTAAGTCTTTCGTGGAATCCTGACTGAGGATTGTCCTAGAGGATATTAGAGCTACTGAGTGGAAGGGGCTTAGATTCCTTAATGACTGAGTAGAGCAGAGAGAACCACTGCTGACTTGAACTGGATAGTGACTTGAGTGAGAAATAAACCTTAATGCATTAAGTGACAAAATGTTAAGGTTATTTGTTATGTCAGTTAGCCTATCATTACCAATACAAATGGCATGTCTAAATGTATTATGACCATAGAAGGCACAGAGAATCGAAGAGATCATATAATTTTTTTCCAGATAGAATAATGATTATGTATTTATTTGAGGTTGGGATGAGTTTAGGCAGTAAAGGTATGGTTAAGGTATGGTTAATGTTGAGGCTGAACAACTATTCAGTGGCCACATTATTATGAGCCTTGTATGACTTTTTTGGCAATTTATCTTACTCTGAAAGTAATGAAATTCCATTTATTTCAAGACTTCTCACTGGATAGGTAGCTTGACAAGTTCTACACTTTTGAATACTGCTTCAACTAAATCTTCTACAGTCAAAGTGAAGCCAGTACTCTGATGGGACCTGAAGCCTGAAAAGGATGACAACATTCCAGGGTTTGCTCTGTAATGATGAAAGCAGGATAAATCAAACTGGGAGAAGGTACCCCTCACCTTGCTGGAAATCAAATGATGTTTGCTACTCATTCCAACTGACTGCTAGCCTTGGTGATATTTAAAGAAGGCAGCCAGGATGCCACTGCTTAAACAAACATGTTTTTCATATTTTATTTTCTATGCTGTTACACAATTAATGCATGAGCTTACTGAAACAAACAGAACAGCAAAACAATACAATTAGAAATAGTAAGCCTAGGGCAATAACCACTACTCATGCTTTATGTGGATCCCTCAGTGTAACAATCTGAAGTGAAATCCTGAGTAAGCACCATCCTCTGGATGTTCATTCAGTTAGGGGTATTAGTACAAAGACAAGCAATCAGGAAGGACTGCTAAGCTTCACCTTCACCTCAGAGTGCAGTGGTATTTGAATGGAACCTTATGTGCCCCATTCTGGTTGGCTTTTGTTTTTAGTGGTCGATTTATTTTTGATGTCTGAAAAGTAGGGGATGACTACACAAATCTGCAGGCATGCACACACAACACGGTTTCTCAAGCTTATATTGTTCTCTTGGGTAGAAAGAGAAAAAGAAAACCACTTTGGGATATGCTAGAGTATTTTCTTGTAGGAAGTTTAAAGATTATCCATTCAAAAACCTGACAAATTAGGAGCCAAGCCTTCCTGGGTGTTTGTCTGAGTTATATTTTCCAATCTATTATGAAAATCCTGAATAGGGCAGTCATTTTGAAGATGGCTTTGACCTTTATCAAGAAGAAGGAGCCAGTTACATTCAGCACTATCTACTCTACAATCAGTCATTGTGCTGTCTGGGCCTGCTTTCTTTAAGAAAGCTTATTTTTCTTCTTTCTTGTTGCTTATGGGTCTTGTCATTTATGATTCCTCTACTGCAGGAAGTCTCGTTTGTGAAGAGTCACAGATTGTACCAGGTTTCCTTTTTCTGTAATAGGATAGATGAGGAGAAGACTTCGCAGCTGCCACATAGGTTATGCTGTGCTCCTAGCGCGCTGTGAAGGATCTGTCTGTAAAGAATCTGTGTGTCATAGAGCAGTCACTGAATGGCTCCATGCCTCTGTTTTCACCTGTAAAGCAAGCATACCACCTGCCTCCCAGAAATGTTTATAAAATCGATGAGTCATGTACTTGTTTATCACCTATCTCTCTCTCCTAAAGGGAGGTGGAAGATTATTAACCCCTTGAGCAGTCATTCTGAAGTGATTAGTAATTAAAAAGGCTCTTTTTTTTTTTTTTTTTTTTTTTTTGACATAGTCTCACTCTGTCACCCAGGCTGGAGTGCAGTGGCATGATCTCGGCTCACTGCAACCTCCACCTCCCAGGCTCAAGTGATTCTCCTGTCTCGGCCTCCAGAGTAGCAGGGATTACAGGCATGCACCACCACGCTAGGCTAATTTTTGTATTTTTAGTAGACACGGGGTTTCACCATGTTGGCCAGGCTGGTCTCAAACTCCTGACCTCAGGTGATCTCCCCGCCTTGGCCTCCCCAAGTGCTGGGATTACAGGCATGAGCCCTGGCCTAAAAAGGCATTTTAAACTAGTTGCTAGGGAAATTTCCCCATAGGAATATTGATTTTGCATGTAGAATAGTCTCTGTCATACAAATAAAATTTCTTTTGGGGTTCTGTAACAGGCAGAAATGTTCAAAGATTATCTCCAATCGGAAGCTCTTCTAAAGAAAAATAAGCAGCAATGAAGTGATTACAAATATGGATTTTGCAGACAAATGGCCTGGGTTCAAAACTCAGTTCTGCCATTTAATAGCCATGTGAGCCTGGACAAGTGTTTTTTGTTTGTTCGTTTGTTTTGTTTTGTTTTTACTTTTCTGTATCTTGGTTTTCTCATCTGTTAATTGGAGATAATAATGGAAACTTCATTTTAAGGTTGTCTTAAAGGTTCACTTAAATGATAGTACTTGTGAAATGCTTCTATGTGTTTCTGGTACAAATTAAATGCTATGTGTTGTTTAATAAAATATCATTCTTGTTATCTCACCTCTTCTATTTGGAATATATGTATTTATAAAAAGTGGAATGAAACCTGTATCTCTCTTACTTTTCAAGTCTTTACTGAAATAGATCCTGTGTTAAAAGGGTTATACGAATTTTCTACACCCCACTAAATTTTTCAAGCTCTCAGCTTGGTCTGCTAATATGGAAAGTTCCAGAGGCATTTCTTAAACTTCCTGGATAGGAAAAAAATCTGCATCTCTATCTCATCTATCTGTATAGGTGTTCCATGTTGGAAAAAAGAATGTCATTGGAAGCAAGGCCTTTGCTTATGTTTAGAACCCCTTTCCTTGTTTTCTTATGGAATATTCTGTTTTTAAAACCTAATCATGATAATCAGTTTGTTGGATTATTAATATACTTCCTTTTTACAGGTTTGCTGCCCTCTCAATAACTCTAAATTTTCAAGTGTTTTATCTATATCTATAAAATTTATCATATTTAAGATTGAATGCCTCTGTTCATGAATTAAAAGAATTTATGTAATTCATTGTTCTTATAAGAAAAAAAATTGCTCAAGCAAGAACTACTGGTCTCCGGGTGCGCACTCTTAGAATATTTCATCAACAATGTTTCCAGAGATCATATAGACTGGGGATAGAAATGCAAGGGTGGAACTGGGAAAGAAAAATGAAGGAAAGTTAATATGGTTATGATAACTTCTAGTTTTCCAAACATGTAAATCTTTAACAGTATACCACTGCCTTACTAGGCATATAGTTAGTCTTAGAGCAAATAAATCTTGTTACTTTTTCTGATCTACTCAATCTCCTTCCCTTCAGGCTGGATTATACCTTATCATACCAGACACGTGAATGAATGTCTATTCAGGTTTTTGTTGTGGCCATTCTTAACTTATGTTTAATTGTCAATGACACAACCGTTTTGAGAGTTATGGTGATCTTCTTTGTCTGAGACTCTTGTAAATGAAATCACAATGTAGTATGCAGCAAGTTGCAAATGAGCTTTTATTTGTTTGTTGGTAGGTTTGTTCAAGGAATTTTTGTTTATTCTATTATTGGCCTAAAAATGTGATGTTGGAAAAGATGATCCTTTTAAGAAATACGATTCTATGAACTTAAAAAAAAAAGATTTAGAATTATGCAACTGTAAATTATGATGAGATTATTATATATTTTTATAGTCAAAGACACACTAATAGAGGAAGAGATCCATAAGGTCTGTTTTATCTTTTCAACCCAAATGAGAAGGATTGAATTCTCAAGCATGAAATTGCCATCTGTGCTTCCCCTTCCCACCCCTCACATTGTTAATACTTTTTTTTTTTTTTTAGCAGACCAGGTGAAGTCAGAACTTTGTTTTAGAAAGAATGATGTCATTGTATAATTGAATGTATACATTCATGAAGCTACTAGGGGTAACAGCTTGTCACTATAAAAATATGCCTGATATAAATTTTTCTTTTCCTTATGCTCCCTTGGATTCTAACCTCATGCTAATAATAACTGCTACCAGTTTTGTAAGCATTTGGTCTGTGCCAGGCACAATGCTAAGTGGTTTAGGTTCATCACTTCTTTTTTAGGCCTTTTAAGAAACTCTTTAGGTAGATGTAATAGTGTAAATATTCCCACCTCATAGTTAAGGGCACTGGAACCTAAAGAGGTTAAATAATCCCCAAATGCCACGAGGCTAGTACTAGTGTTGGGTGTCTATCTCACCTGATTAAACTATTCTTTAGCCTAAGAACATATGCTGACCTTTCTCACATTCACTCCTTTGTTTATGATGTTCTCTCTGCTCAGACTGTTCCTCCACCTCTGCCCATTGAAAATCAGCAGAACCTTCAAAACCCAATGGAAAGTTCTCTCTTCTCTGTAAACTTGTATTGGCATTGTCCGAATTAAACATTCCAGTGCTCCCTCCTATAAAATTTATACACATTTACAGATTAAATGTATTAATATCTTCATGGTATTAACAAATCAAAACTTGAAGCTTAATTATTAGTGTACATGTCTACTCTCTCCACTAGATGCAAAGTACCTAAGAGAAAGCCAGACTGTTCTTTGCTGCAGATTTCTTGAGGACAAGTCTCATGTTTTAGCCATTTGAATAATTATTTATATTTATTTATATCTCATCTTGTTTCAGAGATAATTCAAACAGAATCAAGAATACAGAAAATACAATCATATAGCATAGGAAAGAAACAAGGACAGAGACATAAAGTGGAACCAGAAATGGGATTTAGCAGTGCTTACCATTTGATCTACATATACATTTATTTTTTAAAAACAAGCTTTCCAAAAGCCCACTTATTTTTCTTTGTATTCTTAATGCCAAATGCAGGATCTGGAACATAGTGGGGTCAATAAATACTCATTTAATTGAATACTTGCATGTCAGATGTGGGAGGACAGTGGAGAAAAGATTGGTATTTGAAGTCTGATTACTTAAAAAAATGGTTTGTTGAGATATAACTGATATACGGTAAGCTGCATGTATTTACGTTATAAAGTTTGATAAATTTTGAAACTTATAGACACTTGTGAAACCATCACCATAAATAAAATAATGAAAACTATACAATCAAAAGTTACCTTGTGTTCTTCTGTGTTATCTTGTGTCCTCCTACTATCTAAGCAACCAGTCATTTACTCTCTCTCACTATATATTAGTTTGCTTTTTAAAGAAAGTTATGTAAATGGAATCATCCATATGCAGTGTGTACCAACATTGTTCATTCCCTTTTATTGCTAAATAATATTCCATTATATGGTTGTGCCGTAGCTTGTTTATCTATTTGTGGATGAGCATTTGATCATTAAGGCTTTGACTATTGCAAGTAAAGATGCTAGGAACCTTTATGTACAAGTATTTTTGTGGACTTAGGCTTTCATTTTTCTTGGGTAAATAACTAAGAGAGGAATGGCTGGATTATATGATGGGTGTGTATTTAATTTTTAAAGATATTGCTAATCTATTTTCCAAAGTTTGTGGCATTTTCTGTTTTCATGAGTAGTGTATGAAAGTTCCAGATTTTTCACTACTTTTCCAAACCCTGCCCGACATGGTCAATTAAAATAAAAAATCAGCCACTCTAATAGATGTGTAACAGTACCTCATTGTGGTATATTTCTACAATGACTAATGAGATTGAACATCTTTTTATGTGCTTATTTGCCATCATTTTTCTTCTTTGGGGGAAATGTCTGTTTAGGTCTTTTGTCCATAATTTCATACTTCTATTGGAATTTTTTTTCTTATTACTGAGTTTTGAGAGTTCTTTATATGTTCTGGGTATAAGTCTTTTAACAGATATGTGACTTGTGAATACTTTATCACAGCCTGTGGTTTTCCTTTTCATTCCATTAACTATCTTCTGAAGGCACTGTGACAGAAAATTTTAATTTCAATAAAGTTCAATTTATCAATTTTCTCTGTCACAGATTGTACTTAGGTATTGTAGCTAACAAGTTTGTGCCAATACCTATTTTTTCTAGAAGTTTTGTAATTTTAGGTTTAGCATTTAGGTCTATGATCTATTTTGGGGCAAATTTTGTATATAACGTGAGGTATGGATTGATCTTGGGGTTTTTTTGCATATGGATATCTAATTATTCCAGTATTATTTTCTGATTTTTTGAAAAGACTATTCTATTTACACAGAAATGCCTTTGCAATTTTGTCAAAAACTAGTTTCCCACATATATGTGTGTGTGTGTGTGTGTGTGTGTGTGTGTGTGTGTGTGTTTTGGGGATCTATATTCTGTAGAATTGATGAATTCGTCTTTATACCAATACCACACATGCAGATTCATAATGAGCTTTGACATCAGGTAATGTTAATTCTCTAAATTTACTCTTTTTCAAAGGTGTTTTTGGCTATTCTAGGTCCTTTTATTTTCTATAAATTAAGAATCAGTTTGTCATTTTCTACAAAAAATCCCCTGCTGGGATTATAAATGAAAATTCATAATATTTGTAGGTCACTTTTTAGACTTGATATCTTAGAAATATTGAGTCATTTGACTCAAGAAGATGGTGTATCTATTTATTTAGGGCTTCTTTCAGTGACATTTTGAAGTTTTCACTGTACAGAACTTCCATGTTTTGTCAAATTTATCTCTCCTCACTTTGTTTCTGATGCTACTGCAAATAATGTTATTTTGAAGTTTCAAATCCTGATTGTTTATCAATAATATAGAGAAATACAATTGATTTTTGTATTTTGATTTTGTGTCCTGAAACATTCCTAAATTCAGTGATAAATTCTGTAGATTTTTTTCTCTTGGTAGATATTATCAGATTTCTGGTTATACCTTTGTGAACCATGTTTTTTTACAAATACAGTTTTACTTGTTTCTTATGCCTTTTTCTTTCTCTCTCTCTGAGTAGAAATTCCAGTACAATGTTGAATAAAATTGGTGATAGCAGATACCTCTGTCTTGTTTCTGATGTTTGGGGGAAAGTTTTCAGCCTTTCACTAATAAATATTATAAATATAATGTTTGTTGTAGGTTCTTTGTAAATGCCCTTTATCAAGTTGAGGTAGTTCTGTTTTAGTCTTAGTTTGTTGAGAGTTTTATGAGAAATGGATGTGGGATTTTGTCAAATGCTTTGTTTGTATGTCTGTTGAAATGATTATATGGTTTTTCTTTTTTTGATTGTTAGTATAGTGAATTACATTAATTGATTTGTAAATGTTAAACCAATCTGACATTCCTGGTATAAATGTCACTTTGTCATGATGCCTCATCTTTTTTTATATGTTATAGGATTTGATTTGCTAAAATATTGTTTAGAATTTTTACATCCATGTTAACGAAGGATGTTGGCCAGTAGTTTCCTATTCCGATAATAGCTTTGTCTGGATTTGGTAATAGCATGATGATGGCCTCCAATAATGAGTTGGAACATTTCCCTCCGTTTTAAATTTTCTGGAGGAATTTGCATAGAATTGTATTTTTTTCCTTAGGTGTTTAGTAGAATTCATCAGTGAATCCATCTAGTTCTGAATTTTCTGAGAAAAATTTTAACTAAAAATCCAATCTAACAGATAAAAGATTAGTGTCTTCACTCTTTTTTTCTTGATCAGTCTGGACAAAGTCTTTCAATTTTATTCATTTATTCAAATAATAACATTTTTGTTTTGTTTTTTTTTCTACTTTGTTTTCATTGATTTCTGCTCTTTAAAAATTACAGCATTTATTCTAGTGGCTTTGGATTTTATTTGCTCTTCTTTTCCTAGTTTCTTAAGTCTGAAGCTGAGATAATTGATTTGATAACTTTCTTCTTTTACATTATAAGCATTTAGTGCTATAAATTTCTTCATAGATGCTACTTTAGTGGTATCACATACATTTAACTTGTTCTTTAAAAATTTTCATTCAGTTCCAAATGCTTTTCAGTAACTCTTCTTATTTATTTTTAGACGTATGGTATTTAGTTTCCAATTATTTGGAGGAATTTTTCAGATATCTTTATGTTATTGATTTATTTTTAATAGAACTGCCATATTTACTTATTTTTATTTTAAAAACTTGACAGATAAAATTCTATGTATGTGGACCCTAAAAATGTTGATCTCTTAGAAGTAGAGAGTAGAACAGTAGTTACCAGATTTATTTTTAAAATGTTTTAACTGATTTCTAATTTAATTCTTTTTATTCAGAGAATATACTTTGTGTGATCTGAATGCTTTCAAATTTGGTTGAGACTTACTTGTGATCCAGAATATATTCCATCTTGGTAAATGTTCAGTGTGCACTTCACAGAAAGCTGTTTTTGGGTGAAGGGTCTAGGTCAAACTGATTGATACTCTTCAAATTTTCTATATCTTTACTTATTTCTAGCTAATTAGTCTGCCATTTATTGAGAAAGAGGATTGAAATCTCTGACTATAATTGGAGATCTGTTTCTTTCTCCTTCCAGTTTTTGCTGCATTTATTTTGAACTGTTGTATTAGGTTTAGGATTATGTCTTTTTCATGAATTGACCCCTTTATCACTATGAAATAATCATTTATTACTGGTAATATTCTCTACTCTGAAATTTACTTTGTCTGACATGAATGTAGCCACAGTAGCTTACTTTTTATTTGTATTCACATGTGCTATCTTTTGTCATTCTTTTTTGGGGGGGGGTACCAGATTTCTTTATTTGAAGGAATGGTACAAATCAAAAGAACTTAAGTGGATGTTTTGGTACAACTTATAGAAAAGGTAAAGGAAACCCCAACATGCATGCACTGCCTTGGTGACCAGGGAAGTCACCCCACAGCTATGGGGAAATTAGCCTGAGGCTTAGCTTTCATTATCACTTTCTCCCAGGGTGTGCTTGTCAAAGAGATATTCTGCCAAGCCAGATTCGGGTGCTCCCATCTTGTGCAAGTTGGTCACGTTCACCCAATTCTTTGATGGCTTTCACCTGCTCATTCAGGTAATGTGTCTCAATGAAGTCACACAAATGGGGGTCATTTTTGTCAGTGGCCAGTTTGTGCAGTTCCAGTAGTGACTGATTCACATTTTTTTCCAAATGTAATGCACACTCTATCACATTCAGCCCACTATCCCAGTCATCAGTCTGGTTTCTTGATATCCTGAAGGAAAATTCAGCCACCTTGTTGGTTCTGCAGTTTCATCAGTTTCTCAGCATGCTCCCTCTCCTCATGAGATTGGTGAAGAAAGTATTTGGCAAAGTTCTTCAAAGCCGCATCATCACGGTCAAAGTAGTAAGACATGGAGAGGTTAAAGTAGGAGGCGTAGAGCTCCAGGTTGATCTGGCGGTTGATGGCGGCCTCTGAGTCCTGGTGGTAGTTCTGGCGCACCTGCGAGTTGGATGCAGTCATCATGGCAATGACTAAGGAGAGGCTGCGGCGGCGGTGGCTGCGTGGCGCTGGAGCGGCGGTGGGGGCCTTGGGGTGGTCTGAGGGTGCAGTGAAGACGTGACGGAGGGCTGGCTATGGGCAGCTGGCCTGGGTGGGGGACAAGTGCCGGGTTCCGTCCAAGCACTGCTGAAGCAGGAAACCCCGAGGACTCTTGGTGAAGAATGTCTCTTCTTTTGTCATTCTTCCACTTTTACCCTATCTGTGACTTTATATTCTAAGTGTGTTTTTTTTGTGGTTAGGTCTTGAATTTTCATTATCTATTTGAAAGTCTCTCCTTTTTGATGGGGGTATTTGGACCATTTACATTTAGTGTGATTATCGTGTGATTAGGTTTAAGTCTCTCAGCTTGGTGTTTGTTTTATAATTGTTTTATCTGTTCATTCTCTTTTACTATTATGCTGTCTTTTTGTAATTATTTGTATATTTCTTAAAATTACATTTTATCTCCTTTGTTGCCCTATTAACTTCATATTTTCAATTTTGCTATATTAATGGTTGCTTTAGTGTTTATAGTATATAGCTTTAAATTATTGCAGACTATCTTCAACTGATAATATACTAGTTTGTATATTAAGAACCTTAAAATAATAAATTTTAATTTCTCTCCTTATAATTTCATGTTATTTTGTCAAATATTTAATTTCTACATATAAGTCTGATACTACATTGATTTATTTTTATTTTTATTTTTGAGACAGATTCTCACTCTGTTGCCTAGGCTGGAGGGCAGTGGAGTAATTTTGGCTGACTGCAGCCTCTGCCTCCTGGATTCAAGTGATCTCTTGCCTCAGCCTTGAGTGTAGCTGGGATTACAGGTGCCCGCCACCACGCCTGGCTTATTTTTGTATTTTTTAATAGAGACAAAGATCACCATGTTGGCCAGGCTGGTCTTGAACTTCTGACCTCAAGTGATCCACCCACCTCAGCCTCCCAAAGTGCTGGGATTATAGGTGTGAGCCACTGCATGTAGCCTACATTGATATTTTTATTTAAACAATCAATTCTCTTTTAAAGCATTTAAATAAGAAGAAAAAAGCAATATATTTACTGATGTAGTTACCTTTTCTTATGTTCTTCATTCTTTTGTGTAGATCTGTATTTCCATCAGGTGTAATTTTCCTTCTGCCTGAAAGACTGCCTTCTATAGTTCTTTTAGTATGAGTCTGCTGGAGATGAATTTGTTCAGCTTTAATATTTCTAAAAAGTCTTGATTTTACTTTCATTTTTAAAAGCTGTTTTCAATGAGATTACTTTTAGTTTGACCCTTTGTCCCCATTACCTTAAAGAGATTGCTTTTCTATCTTGCTTGCTATGTTTCATTCTTTATGATGTGAAATCTGTCATCCTATTTTTGATTCTCCGTACATAAAATGTTTTTCATTCTTGCTGGTTTTGAAACTTTTTTTCATCACTGGTTTAAAGTGTTTGGTTACAATGCACTTTAGTTTTCCTCAGATTTTTAATGTTTTGTGTTCATTGGACTTCTTAAATTTTTGGATTTATAATTTTCATCAAATAGGAATAATTTTAGGTCAATATTTCTTCAACTTTTCTGACTTATGTCATTCCTAATTCAAGAACTCCATTGATTCAATGAACTCCATTGAACTCAATGGATTCTCCATTACTGAGGCAAGAGCAACTGGGAGACATTAGACTGTTAATGTCTCCCAGTTCACCATTGCTTTTTTCTTTTAAAATAAATTGTATTGTGTATATTTAAGGTATACAGCATGTTGTAATAGGATATATGTAGATAGTAAAATGGTTACTATAGTAAAGCCAATTAACATGTATATCAGCTTACATGACCATTTTCTGTATGTAGCAAGAGCAGCTAAAATTTACTCAATTAGCAAAAATCCTGAATAGTATATTATTAACTATAGTCCTTATATTATATATTAGATCTCTAGACCTTCATCTTACTTATCTGCTACTTTGTATCCTTTGACCTACATCTCTCAATTTCTTCTCTAACCCCTGCCCCTGATAACAGCTGTTTTAGTCTCTATTTTTGTATATTTGAGTTTTCTTTTTCTTTTCTTTTTTTAGATTCCACATGTAATGAGATCATGCAATATTTATCTTTCTCTGTCTGCCTTATTTCACTTAGCACAATGTCTTCCAGATTCATCCATGTTTTGGCAAATGGCAAGATCTTCTTTTTAAAGGTTGAATAACATTCCATTACAAACACACACACACACACACACACACACACACACACACCACAATTTCTTTACCCATTTTTCCATTGATGGACATGTAGGTTGTTTGGCTATTGTGAATAGGCAACGAACATGGGAATACAGATATCTTCACAAGGTGTTGATTTCATTTCCTTTGGATATGTACCCAGAAGAGGGATTGCTGGGTCATATGATTGTTCTATTTGTAATTTATTTAGGAACCTCTATACTGTTTCCCGTAATGGCTGACCCAATCTCCGCTTCCACCAACAGTGCACAAGGATTCTGTTTTTCTCTATACCCTCATCAACACTTGTTATTTCTTGTCTTTTTTAAAAAGCAGTTTTATACTATTGAGTTCTTTTTTTTTAATACTTTAAGTTTTAGGGTACATGTGCACAATGTGCAGGTTAGTTACATATGTACACGTGCAATGCTGGTGTGCTGCACACATTAACTCGTCATTTAGCATTAGGTATATCTCCTAATGCTATCCTTCCCCCCTCCCCCCACCCCACAACAGTCTCCAGAGTGTGATGTTACCCTTCCTGTGTCCACGTGTTCTCATTGTTCAATTCCCACCTATGAATGAGAACATGCGGTGTTTGGTTTTTTGTCCTTGCAATAGTTTACTGAGAAGATGATTTCCAATTTCATCCATGTCCCTACAAAGGACATGAACTCATCATTTTTTATAGCTTCATAGTATTCCCTGGTGTATATGTGCCACATTTTCTTAATCCAGTCTACCATTGTTGGACATTTGGATTGGTTCCAAGTCTTTGCTATTGTGAATAGTGCTGCTATAAACATACGTGTGCATGTGTCTTTATAGCAGCATGATTTTTAATCCTTTGGGTATATACCCAGTAATGGGATGGCTGGGTCAAATGGTATTTCTAGTTCTAGATCCCTGAGGAATCGCCACACTGACTTCCACAATGGTTGAACTAGTTTACAGTTCAACAGTGTAAAAGTGTTCCTATTTCTCCACATCCTCTCCAGCACTTGTTGTTTCCTGACTTTTTAATGATTGCCATTCTAACTGGTGTGAGATGGTATCTCATTGTGGTTTTGATTTGCATTTCTCTGATGGCCAGTGATGGTCAGCATTTTTTCATGCGTTTTTTGGCTTCATAAATGTCTTCTTTTGAGAAGTGTCTGTTCAGATCCTTTGCCCACTTTGCGATGGGGTTGTTTTTTTCTTGTAAATTTGTTTGAGTTCATTGTAGATTCTGGCTATTAGCCCTTTGTCAGATGAGTAGGTTGCAAAAATTTTCTCCCATTTTGTAGGTTGCCTGTTCACTCTGATGTTAGTTTCCTTTGCTGTGCAGAAGCTCTTTAGTTTAATTAGATCCCATTTGTCAATTTTGGCTTTTGTTGCCATTGCTTTTTGTGTTTTAGACATGAAGTCCTTGCCCATGCCTATGTCCTGAATGGTAATGCCTAGGTTTTCTTCTAGGGTTTTTATGGTTTTAGGTCTAACGTTTAAGTCTTTAATTCATCTTGAATTAATTTTTTATAAGATGTAAGGAAGGGATCCAGTTTCAGCTTTCTACATATGGCTAGCCAGTTTTCCCAGCACCATTTATTAAATAGGGAATCCTTTCCCCATTGCTTGTTTTTCTCAGGTTTGTCAAAGATCAGATAGTTGTAGATATGCGGCGTTATTTCTGAGGGCTCTATTGTGTTCCATTGATCTATATCTCTGTTTTGGTACCAGTACCATGCTGTTTTGGTTACTGTAGCCTTGTAGTATAGTTTGACGTCAGGTAGTGTGATGCCTCCAGCTTTGTTCTTTTGGCTTAGGATTGACTTGGTGATGCAGGCTCTTTTTTGGTTCCATATGAACTTTAAAGTAGTTTTTTCCAATTCTGTGAAGAAAGTCATTGGTAGCTTGAAGGGGATGGCATTGAATCTATAAATTACCTTGGGCAGTATGGCCATTTTCACGATATTGATTCTTCCTACCCATGAGCATGGAATGTTCTTTCATTTCTTTGTATCCTCTTTTATTTCATTGAGCAGTGGTTTGTAGTTCTCCTTGAAGAGGTCCTTCACATGCCTTGTAAGTTGGATTCCTAGGTATTTTATTCTCTTTGAAGCAATTGTGAATGGGAGTTCACTCATGATTTGGCTCTCTGTTTGTTTGTTATTGGTGTATAAGAATGCTTTTGATTTTTGTACATTGATTTTGTATCCTGAGACTTTGCTGAAGTTGCTTATCAGCTTAAGGAGATTTTGGGCTGAGACAATGGGGTTTTCTAGATATACAATCATGTCATCTGCAAACAGGGACAATTTGACTTCCTC
This sequence comes from Homo sapiens, assembly GCF_000001405.40. Lineage (NCBI taxonomy): Eukaryota > Metazoa > Chordata > Mammalia > Primates > Hominidae > Homo > Homo sapiens. The sequence goes on from NC_000006.12 coordinate 50,917,801, forward strand.
TTTTCCTAATTGAATACCCTTTATTTCCTTCTCCTGCCTAATTGCCCTGGCCAGAACTTCCAACACTATGTGGAATAGGAGTGGTGAGAGAGTGTATCCCTGTCTTGTGCCAGTTTTCAAAGGGAATGCCTCCAGTTTTTGCCCATTCAGTATGATATTGGCTGTGGGTTTGTCATAGATAGCTCGTATTATTTTGAGATACATCCCATCAATACCTAAGTTATTGAGAGTTTTTAGCATGAAGTGTTGTTGAATGTTGTCAAAGGCCTTTTCTGCATCTATTGAGATAATCATGTGGTTTTTGTCTTTGGTTCTGTTTATATGCTGGATTACATTTATTGATTTGTGTATATTGAACCAGCCTTACATCCCAGGGATGAAGCCCACTTGATCATGCTGGATAAGCTTTTTGATGTGCTGCTGGATTCAGTTTGCCAGTATTTTATTGAGGATTTTTGCATCAATGTTCATCAAGGATATTGGTCTAAAATTCTCTTTTTTTGGTCGTATCTCTGCCCGGCTTTGGTATCAGGATGATGCTGGCCTCATAAAATGAGTTAAGGAAGATTCCCTCTTTTTCTATTGATTGGAATAGTTTCAGAAGTAATGGTACCAGTTCCTCCTTGTACCTCTGGTAGAATGTGGCTGTGAATCTATCTGGTCCTGGACTTTTTTTGGTTGGTAAGCTATTGATTATTGCCACAATTTCAGAGCCTGTTACTGGTCTATTCAGAGATTCAACTTCTTCCTGGTTTAGTCTTGGGAGGGTGTATGTGTCGAGAAATTTATCCATTTCTTCTAGATTTTCTAGTTTATTTGCATAGAGGTGTTTGTAGTATTCTCTGATGGTAGTTTGTATTTCTGTGGGATCGGTGGTGATATCCCCTTTATCATTTTTTATTGGGTCTATTTGATTCTTCTCTCTTTTCTTCTTTATTAGTCTTGCTAGCAGTCTATCAATTTTGTTGATCCTTTCAAAAAACCAGCTCCTGGATTCATTGATTTTTTGAAGGGTTTTTTGTGTCTCTATCTCCTTCAGTTCTGCTCTGATCTTAGTGATTTCTTGCCTTCTACTAGCTTTTGAATGTGTTTCCTCTTGCCTTTCTAGTTGTTTTAATTGTGATGTTAGGGTGTCAATTTTGGATCTTTCCTGCTTTCTCTTGTGGGCATTTAGTGCTATAAATTTCCCTCTACACACTGTTTTGAATGTCCCAGAGATTCTGGTATGTTGTGTCTTTGTTCTCATTGGTTCCAAACAACATCTTTATTTCTGCCTTCATTTCGTTATGTACCCAGTAGTCATTCAGGAGCAGGTTGTTCAGTTTCCATGTAGTTGAGTGGTTTTGAGTGAGTTTCTTAATCCTGAGTTCTAGTTGCTTGCACTGTGGTCTGAGAGACAGTTTGTTATCATTTCTGTTCTTTTTCATTTGCTGAGGAGAGCTTTACTTCCAACTTTGTGGTCTATTTTGGAATAGGTGTGGTGTGGTGCTGAAAAAAATGTATATTCTGTTGATTTGGGGTGGAGAGTTCTGTAGATGTCTATTAGGTCTGTTTGGTGCAGAGCTGAGTTCAATTCCTGGATATCCTTGTTAACTTTCTGTCTCGTTGATCTGTCTAATGTTGATAGTTGGGTGTTAAAGTCTCCTATTATTATTGTGTGGGAGTCTAAGTCTCTTTGTAGGTCACTCAGGACTTACTTTATGAATCTGGGTGCTCCTGTATTGGGTGCATATATATTTAGGATAGTTAGCTCTTCTTGTTGAGTTGATCCCTTTACCATTATGTAATGGCCTTCTTTGTCTCTTTTGATCTTTGTTGGTTTAAAGTCTGTTTTATCCGAGACTAAGATTGCAACCCCTGCCTTTTTTTGGTTTCCATTTGCTTGGTAGATCTTCCTCTATCCCTTTATTTTGAGCCTATGTGTTTCTCTGCATGTGAGATGGGTTTCCTGAATACAGCACACTGATGGGTCTTGACTCTTTATTCAATTTGCCAGTCTGTGTCTTTTAATTGGAGCATGTAGCCCATTTACATTTAGAGTTAATATTGTTATGTGTGAATTTGATACTGTCATTATGATGTTAGCTGTTTAGTTTGCTCGTTAGTTGATGCATTTCCTTCCTAGCATTAATGGTCTTTACAATTTGTCCCTTTTTTGCAGTTGCTGGTGCCGGTTTTTCCTTTCCATGTTTAGTGCTTCCTTCAGTAGCTCTTGTAGGGCAGGCCTGATGGTGACAAAATCTCTCAGCGTTTGCTTCTCTGTAAAGGATTTTATTTCTTCTTCACTTATGAAGCTTAGTTTGGCTGGATATGAAATTCTGCGTTGAAAATTCTTTTCTTTAAGAATGTTGAATATTGGCCCCCACTCTCTTCTGGCTTGTAGAGTTTCTGCTGAGAGATCCACTGTTAGTCTGATGGGCTTCCCTTTGTGGGTAACCCGACCTTTCTCTCTGGCTGCCCTTAACATTTTTTCCTTCATTTCAACTTTGGTGAATCTGACAATTATGTGTCTTGTAGTTGCTCTTCTGGAGGATTATCTTTGTGACATTCTCTGTATTTCCTGATTTGAATGTTGGCCTGCCTTGCTAGATTGGGGAAGTTCTCCTGGATAATATCCTGCAGAATGTTTTCCAACTTGGTTCCATTCTCCCCATCACTTTCAGGTACACCAATCAGACGTAGATTTGGTCTTTTCACATAGTCCCATATTTCTTGGAGGCTTTGTTCATTTCTTTTTATTCTTTTTTTCTCTAAACTTCTCTTCTTGCTTCAATCCATTCATTTGATCTTCAGTCACTGATACCCTTTCTTCTAGTTGATTGAGTTGGCTACTGAGGCTTGTGCATTCATCACGTAGTTCTCGTGCCATGGTTTTCAGCTCCGTCAGGTCATTTATGGACTTCTCTACATTGGTTATTCTAGTTAACCATTCATCTAATCTTTTTTGAAGGTTTTTAGCTTCTTTGTGATGGTTTTGAACGTCCTCCTTTAGCTTGGTGTAGTTTGATCGTCTGAAGCCTCCTTCTCTCAACTCGTCAAAGTCTTTCTCCATCCAGCTTTGTTCCGTGGCTGGTGAGGAGCTGCATTCCTTTGGAGGAGGAGAGGCCCTCTGATTTTTAGAATTTTCAGTTTTTCTTCTCTGTTTTTTCCCCATCTTTGTGGTTTTATCTACCTTTGGTGTTTGATGATGGTGAAGTACAGATGTGGTTTTGGTGTGGATGTCATTTCTGTTTGTTAGTTTTCCTTCTAACAATCAGGACCCTCAGCTGCAGGTCTGTTGGAGTTTGCCTGAGGTCCACTCCAGACCCTGTTTTCCTGGGTATCAGCAGCAGAGGCTGCAGAACAGTGGATATTGGTGAACCGCCAATGTTGCTGCCTGATTGTTTCTCTGGAAGTTTCGACTCAGAGGGGTACCCAGCCATGTGAGGCGTCAGTCTGCCCCTACTGGGGGCTGCCTCCCAGTTAGGCTACTCAAGGATCAGAGACCCACTTGAGGAGGCATTCTGTCCCTTCTCAGATCTCAAACTCCGTGCCGGGAGAACCACTACTCTCTTCAAAGCTGTCAGACAGGGACATTTAAGTCTGCAGAGGTTTCTGCTGCCTTTTGTTTGGCTATGCCCTGCCCCCAGAGGTGGATTCTACATAGGCAGGCAGGCCTCCTTGAGCTGCAGTGGGCTCCACCCAGTTCGAGCTTCTGGGCCGCTTTGTTTACCTACTCAAGCCTTAGCAATGGTGGGCACCCCTCCACAGCCTTGCTGCCGCCTTGCAGTTCAATCTCTGACTGCTGTGCTAGCAATGAGCGAGGCTCCGTGGGCATGGGACCCTCTGAGCCAGGTGCGGGATATAGTCTCCTTGTATGCTGTTTGCTAAGACCATTGGAAAAGCACAGTATTAGGGTGGGAGTGTTCCGATTTTCCAGGTGCTGTCTGTCACAGATTTGCTTGGCTAGGAAAGGGAATTCCCTGAACCTTTGTGCTTCCTTGGTGAGGTGATGCCTCACCCTGCTTTGGCTCATGCTTGGTGCACTGCACCCACTGTCCTGCACCCACTGTCCAATAAGCCCCAGTGAGATGAACCCGGTACCTCAGTTGGAAATGCAGAAATCACCCGTCTTCTGAGTCACTCACGCTGGGAGCTGTAGACTGGAGCCGTTCCTATTCAGCCATCTTGGAACCGCTCCCCCAGAAAACGGCCCAATTTTATTCTTTTTCCTGTGGAAGTTCAGTTTTCCCTCTGCTGTTTATCAAAAAGACAATTTTTCTTATTGTGTGCTGTTCGTGTCCATATATATTTGGATTTATTTATGGGTTCTCTATTCTATTCCACTGGTTTATGTCTGCTTTTATGCCAGTACCATGCTGTTTTGATTATTATAGCTTTGTTATATAATTTAAAATAAGGAAGTGTGATGCCTCCAATATATATATATACATATTTTTTTGGTATGGGGGTGGATTTTTGCTTTGTCGCCCACCCTGGAAGGCTTGCTACAACCTCCACCTCCAGGGCTCAAGTGATTCTCCTGCCTCAGCCTCTCAGGTAACTGGGATTACAGGCACTTACCACCACACCTGGCTAATTTTTGTATTTTCAGTAGAAATGGGGTTTCATTATGTTGGCCAGAATGGTCCTGACCTCAACCGATCTACCCACCTTGGCCTCCCAATGTACTGGGATTACAGGTGTGAGCCACTGCACCCAGCGCAATGTTGTTTTTTCTTTCTCTGAACTGCTTTGGCTATTTGGGGTCTTTTGTGGTACCATATGAATTTTAAGATTTTTTTCCCCATTTTTGTGAATAATGCCATTGGGGTTTTGATAAGGATTGCATGGAATCCATAAATTTCTTTGGGTAGTATGGATATTTTAACAATATTAATTCTTTGCTTTTTTCTTTCTTTCTTTTTCTTTATTTTAATTCTGTGTTTACTCTATGACTCATTTTGGATAGTTTCTATTGTTATGTTTTTAAGTTCACTTATCTTTCCTTCTGCAACGCCTAATCTGTCATTAATCTCAACTGGTATGTTTTTATTCTTGAATGTTGTAGTTTTTACCTCTTAAAGTTCAATTTAGGCCTTTAAAAAAATCTGCCATGACTCTACTTCATTTTTTGAACCTGTTTAGTTTAGTCATCAACCATTTCAATGTGCTTGTCTACTAAATATAAAAATGTATCTGCTCTGGGTCAGTTTTGAATGATTCATCTTTCTTCTTATTGTGAGTCTTATTTTCCTACTTCTGCTTAGTAATCTTTTATTGTTATGTCAGACAGTGAATTGTACATTGTTAGTTACTGGAGAGTTTTCTATTTCTATGGATATTCTTGAGCTTTGTTCTTGGGATGCAGTTAAGTTACTTGACATTATTTTGATCTTTTCAGGTCTTGCTTTAAAGATTTAATGAGTAGGAATGGATTCTCCCTTACTGAGGCAAGAGCACCCTGTGTACTCTACCTATTCCCCTTGAATCCTGAGGTTTGCTAGGTACTTTAGCTGACCCCATGTGAGTGTCAGGCACTGATATTGCTAGCTATTTCCTGTAATTCTTTCCCTGTCATTTCCTCACATACATGTGTTACTTGTACTCAGCTGAACACTGAAGGGCATCTTCTGTAGATGTTTAAGGAGTTCTCTCCATGTGCAGTTCTCTCCTCTTTAGGAATTTGTCCTGCAAATTCTGGCTGCCTTGATCTCTTCAGACTCTCAGCACTGTCTCCTCAACTTAGGGGGGTCTTCTGGGCTTCACCTGGTTTCCATATTCTTATGCGGGAGTTGGGAAACCCTCTCAATGCAATAAATTGTGGGAAATTGCAGGGCTCACTTGTTTGTTTCCTGTTTCTCAGGAAACATTTTTTTCTTGCTGTTCCTCATTGTATAATATTAAGTGTTTTGAATATTTTGCTTTATATATTTTGAAAACCTATTTTACATATTTTATATGTTTTGGTTGTTTCAAGCAGGACAGTAAATTCTTCCCCTGTTATTCCATAGAGGTCTAAATCAAAGTTTAGGCACAATTGGTTTGAATGGCTCAGTCATTTAATTGCTGTGAGACCTTAGATACATTTCTTTAGTACTTGAAACTTTAAATTTTTATCATTAAAACTAGGAAAATATCAGAGCTTTCTTAATAGAAATAAATAACATTTAAGTTGTGTCCAGCATGGTGTTGAGTATATAGTTGGTATTTAATGTATCTATATTTTTGTGTGCCTTCTCACTTCTCTTTGCTTATGATAGTGTGGAAAAAATACTCTTTGAGTATGTTAAATTAGTTCTGCGATTCCAAATTAAATTCACTCTGTTCTCAAAATGTGAAGATTAAACAATGCCCACACTGTTGCAAACTGCCCAAACTTCTTTTCCTTCTGAGTGTCCAAGGGCTAATAAATCATCTGCTTCTATTGCTAAGATTTGTCTAATTGCTAAGAATTGCTTAATCTTATCCTGTTAATGTGAATAGTAGAGAAACACAAGTGGGGCTCATTGAATAGTACAGTTTTTGACCCCTAACATCTGCCTTCCTTTTCTCTTGTGCTAAATGATAGTTTGCAAGTGTTTAAAAATTATTTTATTATACACGGCTATAATATAATATGGTGGGATTGGGGTTATCTGGAAATTTTAGGTTCTAATCCCCGTAAGATTTCCCTTGATTCACACCACATTTATCTTTAAGGAGAAATATGTAGACAGAGCAATAGTATTTAAATATATTATTTGCATGTACCATATGGTACTTAATCTAAATACATATATGCATATACATACACACACCTATATGTATTTAATTTTTAATTATGTCAAATGATTTACTAAATTCCTTACATACCACCTATGGTTAAAATTTGAGTTTTAGCTGCAGACTAATAAAACTTGTTCTGAGGCAGCTATTGCAACCATTGCATTTTTTTTCCTCTGAGCATTACTAGTCAATTTTAGAAAGAGTAATTGGATCTGTTATCTATGTTCCTCCAATTCTCCTACATAACTTTATCAAATTAATCTTCCTTGATCACTGCTTTTACGCTGTCATTCCCCTTTCTCAGAAAAAGTTTAGAACGTCTGAGTTTTTATCAGCTTACAAGGGAACCCGTTTACTTTCTTTCAAGTCCCTACCCACATACTTCTCATCCTTCATATAAAAGCCCACTTCCTTTTACTTTCTTGTGTGAAGCCTCCAAAAAGGGCAGAACTTTGTCTGTTGGTTCCCCTAGTCTGTCCCACTCCTTCTCAGCATCTTCTCATATGTTTTTTTCTGGCCCTGACCCTGCAAATTTATTTCTCACCTTTTCCCTTAGGTAGATCACCTTAACTTCCTTAATGAAAACTTCCATGACTCCAGTCCTCACTGATACCCCCTTTCTCTATTTATCTAAGAATGTGTAATTATAGAATGATAAGCCAGTGTTATAATATTGTGTTGAAACCATAGGGGAAATTAAAGTTTGGGAAGTTGGTTACTGGCTCAGGCTCACACAAAGTGCTAGCAGTGGAGTCTGAACTAGAATTCATATCCAGGCATGGTTTCTGGAGCCTGTAATCCCAGCTACTCATTTAGGGCTGCAGTGAGCTATGGTGGTGCCATGGCATGCCAGCCTGGGTATCCGGAACAGACCTTGTCTCAAAAAAAAAAAAAATTAGGATTCTTATATTTTGGACCACTGTACTTTGTAACTGTGTGTGAAATTTTATTCATTTGTTCATCCATTCAAAAATATAGACAGTGTACCTTCTTCGATCCAATCTTTTAATCTACACAACAAGAGGTAGATACTGTTGTCATGCTGATTTTACAGACAGGGACTGATCTAAGGCATCAGAAGTAAATGTCAGAGTTGGGATTCAAACCCCAGTAGATGGGCACTAGGACCTGTGTGTTTCATCAGCATGTGACACTGCCTGTCTTTGCTGCAGGTCTAGCTCCCTGGCTACTTTTTATGTACATGAAGGATGAGGTCATGCCACATACTTCTGGGTCCCTGTTGTCTTCCAGATAGGGAATAAACACACAGTGTGCCTCAATATCTGTTGATTGACACAGTGTGCCTCACTATCTGTGTCTGACTCCACAAATTGCTCATTAAGACAGTCCCCAAATCTGAATCAACATTTGCCCACAGTCATATTTTTTAAGAAATTACTTGAATCCAGATAAAGGATTCTGTGTGTGTATATGGAAATTAAAATATAAGGTAATCATGCAGATAATTAAGGCAATACCTCACTTTTTACTTCAATAATCTTCTTTTTATTCTTTGTTTGACTTTGTCAGTGCAGCACTGTAGCTCAGACCACTTGACCTGCACCAGTCATTTAGGTTTTGTCACAAAGTCAGGCAACTATGTAGAGAATTTGGACGGCAGAGCCAAAGTCTTTCAGCTTCTTGACTGAGTTTGATTCATTCTTACCACACAGTCCAGGGTTATCAGTGGATTTCTACACACTCTGGTCTGTGTAGAATTTGTCCAGCGATCTCCATATTTCATTGCTTCACATGAAATGTGTATATTCCAGAAAGTAGACTATATCTATATCTTTATATCTGTATTTCCAGAAATATTTTTCTGGATAAATTACATGGCCAGCCACAGTGCCTGGCATTAAGTGAAGGAAACAGAACCACTAGAAAAAATATTCCTTTTTGCAGTCAGGTCATTCCAGACCAAAAAAACCTCAAATCCTTATAGTCAGTAAGTATAATACATCATAACAAGATAGTGATTTGTGATGCAAGTCATCAATATAAAATATAGAAGATTATTATTATTCTTATATTTAACTCAAGAGCAATATAAGGTTGATCTGATTTTATTCTTTAAGTAAATGCTGGTGAGCTTACTAGGTTTATATGATCAATTGGCAGGACTTACTGAAATGATAATCAATAGTATAAATTCTATTTTACTTGATATTGGTATAGACATATAGTGGTGAGAAGTTCTATAAGTTCACTGATTGTTATCTTTTTCTCTCATAGATAGGTGAGTAATACATTTCTTCTTAAAGTAGAAACAAACGACTGTGTTAGGAACAGAGTCATTGATTTGAACTCATAATAGAGTCTGGAGAACCAGCCCAATTATTGTTCTGAGTCTTAAACTGAATTTATTTTAAAAGATATAGTGTTTCATAACTCTTTTCTGTTCTAGGAAAAAAATGAAGAAGAGGGCTTTTTATATCTCCTCCCATTTATTTATTTTAGGATAATTATTTAGATGTCACGTTTACTATTAGCATTGCCATTTGGAGCTATTTCCAGTTTTAGTTCAATTTCCATCTATTAGAAGTAAAGATAGAGCAGTTTTTACCCCCTGATGGAAATGAAAAATGGTGACTGTTAATGTCTTTTAGCACCATAACCATGCTTGTTATGATGATTTAGCTGAATTCACTGGAACAGATATAATGGCTAACTTTAGCTGTGTCTACAGAATGGCAGATGCAGATCACTTGCTGAAAAAAACTGTAATAGTGCTCTGTACATCTCTGTTGATTTTTATTGTAAACAATAAAATATATCATTAAAGGAGGCCACTACTTGATTTTTATGAACATCATCTGATCAACTGGACCTGGGATTATAGAATGCAGATGTACACCTGGGTTTCAACAAATGAGTGCTCTCTCTCTCTCCTTTTTTTTCTAGTTGAATATTTCCATTTATGTTACTTGGGGAAAGATTGCCACCATAATATGAAGCATCATTACTAAATCTAAATGATGCCCAATTAGGAAGGAGCCATGAAAGGTAAAGGAGAATATTAACAAGAGAAACTCAGCAAGAAGCTTGGCAGGCAGTTTAGGAAGAGACCCTAATCAGTGCATTAGATCTATTTCATCATAATCAGAGATGGTAATTTACTTGAATGAGGCCTACTAAGTAGCTGGCACAGATCTGGATAACATAATATGAAACAAAGGCAGACTGAAAGTGGCTTTGAGGGCCCTAGATGAGGGATCACATTTCTCCTGTGAAAAAATAACACAAAAACCTGATACCTTCTTTCTTAGGCTACCTGGACAAACTTCTCTCATTGTGGAAATGAATGCATGTGGATAGCTGTGGTATCCATTAATGATTATTTCTGTGCCATGTAGATAGGCAGAAAAGGGTGGTACATAGCAGTTTAGTGACTAATACTATATGATATCACCGGATTCAAAATTCATCAGTGGAGGCTACCCTGCTGACAAGTCAAAGTGCTAAAATTGGCTGTGCTGTTGCTGGGTTAGTTCAACCTTCTGACAAAGGAATGAGCTAGCAAATACCTTTTGGGTTCTGAGGTTGTGGTGGTCAGCACCATACTGTGGCTTATTCCTAACGTACTACTTAATGAATCTGAGCTCGAGCAGAGAAGCTATGATGATGACACCATTTAAAGACACTTTTGGACCTTTTTTTTCAAGTGTCCTTTGGCCTGGTTTAGTGTGCTTTCATCTCTAAAGTGTCTGCTCCAGCCCTGTTGTCACTGCTGTTGCTACACATTTTTGAGACTTTATCAGAGGGGGTGGCAACTGTTCCTATAATCACACCTTTCACTACCAGGCCAAGCATGATTCAGTTTTTCAGTCCACTGGAACCTGCAACGTTTTGGGAATTCCGCGACCATGTATTTTAATGTAAGCCTTTCTCTACTCTATTGCCAAGGTAACATAAGACAGATTAGTAGTGTTTGAGCCCCTTTAACTCCTTTTTGGACGTTCTCTCATTGGTAGAACCTTGCCCCACCTGTATCTTCTCTTCCAGCTATTGGGCTAGGCCAAGGAACTTCCTGAGATTTCTTGAGTGATTGATAACTCCATTGTGATTGGGAGAGTGGTGACTGAGCACCGATGCTGTCAAAACCCTTCTATCTGCTCTGTGGTCATCGGCATTTTGATGGCACTGTTATCTATTTACTCCCACAGGGAGTTGAGAACCCAGTAGTTGTTTCAGTTAATCTACTAATCTAAACTCAGTACTATAGCTTTTCTCGTCTAGAAAATCAGTTTTTCATAAAAGTGGCTTTGACCCCTTCATATAAAGATCTAGTTTCTGTGTGCATCAGACATTTAGGGGAAAAATATCATTGATATGAGATGTCTTATAATTATGGGGTTATTTGTTTAGCATCAATCTTCTGTCAGATACTGTTCTATCTCTGAAGATAAAGGAGTGAAAAACACAGGCAAAAATATATACCTTGAAAGAGCTTACATTCTATTGGGATGGGATGGGACAAATAATAAAATAAAAGTAAAAAATAAATAAAATACATATAAAAAGAACTACGTGATAAATTTAAGCAGCCAAGTTGGTGATAAGTTGTTATGGTGCCAATAGAAAACTACTACAATTGTGCGTATCCAACATTTCTTCATTTGTATTGCTCAGCAGTATTCCAGGTATCTTAGAGGACTTATCAGTTCTCCTATTTTTGAGCATCTAAGTTGATTTTAGTTGTTTAGTTATTATAAATAAAGCTATGGAACAAGAAAAAATAAAATGTGTGGTATGTTGGATGGTGGGTAAGTGTTATTGAGAAAAATAAAGAACAGAAGGCCCTCGTTGAGATGGTGACATTTGAGCAGAGGCCAGAAGGAAGTATGGAGTGAACAGTCTCCCTGGCACACAGACCCATAAGGAAATAGGTCCTGATTCCTGAAGTTTGACTGTCAAAGTGAGAGTAAGGAGTGGACTGTACCAGAGAGAGACCAGTAGGAGGTGAGGTCTGCGGGGGAATGGGGGAGGGCAGAGGTTGGAGACAGCTTCATTGTTGTTTTTGTGGACTTAGTTGACGTATTTAAGTCTATTCACCCAGTTGTAATAATGTGGCAACTGTGAAGGATTGGTTGCCCAGGGAAATTCTTAAGTGAAATTTTTCATATCTGTAAAATCAATCCACATACCAGTATCCCTGTAAAGGGCTATGCTGACAGATGTTTAGAAGGGAATAGAGAGCAAGTGTCCTTATAGGGAAGCATGAAGGCAAGGCAGCCTGCGCCTCTCATTCTGTGATTTGGTAGATAGTATTTTACCTTGTCTTCAAAAGACTGTGACTTGGCAACTGAGCAAGGACAGCTACTTGTGAATTTATCAATACAAAAATGTTTAATAAGGTTTTCTTTTAAACATTTTCTGTTTTTTACCTTCATGCTTTGAGACATATCTAACAGTTATTCTTTCAAATCTTGAAACAACAAATAAAGCAAAACAAATAATTTTGGGTGACAATCTCAAAATAAATTGAGAAGAACAGTTTTTGGAACAAGGAGTTACATTTTTAGTGATAACATTATATGTATACATAGAGTCAAATTGCTTTTATTTGTGTTCCTGTTTGTTGTTCAGCACAATATCCAAATTTCATGGTAACAGACTGCATCCTTGTAGTTTTATTCCAAGAAAACTCTGTGTTCCAGAAATTTCCTGTTTTAGTTTTCAAATGTGCTTATTTATCTGGACCCCTAGCACTGAATAATCAGTGTTACCATAGTCATTAAATGCTTTTTCCAACTTCCAGAAAAGTTGACTTTATTTACCTATTTATTTAAATTAATTTTTATGTAGAAAATATATTACAATATTTTAACTTTAAAACATTCAAATGATACAGAGTTATAAGACTAAAAAGTGAAATTTCTTTATTATCTTTCCTTGTAATAACTACTTGACTCTCCAGGAGCACTAATCACAGTTTGGTATGCATCTTTTTAGAACTCTGTTATTTATTAACCTACATATATCTGTACATTTACACACATAAAGTGACAGATCATACTGTGAGTCATGTCCTACAACTTGCCATTTTTATTATTTTTTACTTATTTTATTTTTTTGAGATGGAGTCTCACTCTGTCACCAGGCTGGAGTGCAGTGGTGCGATCTCGGCTCACTGCCACCTCCGCCTCCCGGGTTCTAGCGATTCTCCTGCCTTAGCCTCTCGAGTAGATAGGACTACAGGCACGCACCACCACGCCCAGCTAATTTTTGCATTTTTAGTAGAGACAGGGTTTCACCATGTTGGCCAGGATGGTCTCGATCTCCTGACCTCGTGATCCGCCTGCCTCAGCCTCCCAAAGTGCTGGGATTACAGGCGTGAGCCACCACACCTGGCTTGTTTTTATTTATTGACAAGTCTTGGGAGTCTTTCCATGCCACTATCCTACTTCTTTCTTTTTACTTGTTACATAGTATTCCATAGAATATATTTATTTTATAAAACATTTCTATAGACACTTCTGTGGAATTTTTAAAAATATATATTTAATAGACCCATAATAATGCTATATGTTTATGGGGTACAGTGTGATATTTTGATATATGTATCCAATGTGTAATAATCAAATAAAGGTAATTGGGATTACTGTTACCTCAAACATTTATCATTTATTTGTGCTGGGAAAATTCAAAACCATCTCCTTTAGCTACCTGAAAACATGCAATAAATTGTTAGGTATCATCACCCTGCAGTGCTACAGAACAGTAGAGCTTGTTCCTTACATCTAGCTGAAATTTTGCCTCCATTAACCAAGCTCTACCTATCTACCCTACCCCTTCCCTTCTCAGCCTCTAGTAACCACTGTTCTATCCTCTACTTCTATGAGATTATCTTTTTTAGCTTTCTATGGAATATTTTTATTTACTATTTATTTATATATCTCCATTTCACAAAGGAAATGTGTATTAAAAATAATATATAGTATATAATAAAAAATAAATTTCATTATTTATTTATTTTTAGAGATGGTTCCTCTGTTGCCCAGCTGGAGTGCAGCGATGAAATCATGGCTCACTGAAGCCTTGACCTTGTGGGCTCAAGTGATCTGCCCACCTTAGCCTCCAAAGTAGTGAGGACTACAGATGCATGGCACCATGTCCAGCTAATTGTTTTAATTTTGGTAGAGATGGGGTCTCACTATGTTATCTTCCCCAAGCTGATCTCAAACTCCTGGCCTCAAACAATCCTCTTGCCTCAGTCTCCCAAAGCATTGGGATTATAGGCATGAGTTATGACACCCAGACAAATTTTTGTTTTTAGATACAGTGATGCTTCCTTATAGGTTCACCTTTTAATCAAGTGCACGTATTTCTCTTTTTTTTTCATTTTTGTTAAAGAGTTTTTCCTCCCTTTTATTTATTTATTTATTTATTATTATTATACTTTAAGTTTTAGGGTACATGTGCACAATGTGCAGGTTAGTTACATATGTATACATGTGCCATGCTGGTGCGCTGCACCCACTAACTCGTCATCTAGCATTAGGTATATCTCCCAGTGCTATCCCTCCCCCCTCCCCCCACCCCACAACAGTCCCCAGAGTGTGATGTTCCCCTTTCTGTGTCCATGTGTTCTCATTGTTCAATTCCCACCTATGAGTGAGAATATGCGGTGTTTGGTTTCTTGTTCTTGCGATAGTTTACTGAGAATGATTATTTCCAATTTCATCCATGTCCCTACAAAGGACATGAACTCATCATTTTTTATGGCTGCATAGTATTCCATGGTGTATATGTGCCACATTTTCTTAATCCAGTCTGTCATTGTTGGACATTTGGGTTGGTTCCAAGTCTTTGCTATTGTGAATAATGCCGCAATAAACATACGTGTGAATGTGTCTTTATAGCAGCATAATTTATAGTCCTTTGGGTATATACCCAGTAATGGGATGGCTGGGTCAAATGGTATTTCTAGTTCTAGATCCCTGAGGAATCGCCACACTGACTTCCACAATGGTTGAACTAGTTTACAGTCCCACCAACAGTGTAAAAGTGTTCCTATTTCTCCACATCCTCTCCAGCACCTGTTGTTTCCTGACTTTTTAATGATTGCCATTCCAACTGGTGTGAGATGGTATCTCATTGTGGTTTTGATTTGCATTTCTCTGATGACCAGTGATGGTGAGCATTTTTTCATGTGTTTTTTGGCTGCATAAATGTCTTCTTTTGAGAAGTGTCTGTTCATGTCCTTTGCCCACTTTTTGATGAGGTTGTTTGTTTTTTTCTTGTAAATTTGTTTGAGTTCATTGTAGATTCTGGATATTAGCCCTTTGTCAGATGAGTGGGTTGAGAAAATTTTCTCCCATTTTGTAGGTTGCCTGTTCACTCTGATGGTAGTTTCTTTTGCTGAAGTGCACATATTTCTTGAAAACAGACAGTTAAAAGGAAGAATTTATTAGTTGAAGGATATACTCATTATCTACTTCCTATTGTAGGCTAGTTTAAAAATAAACGCATTAGGCCAGACGTAGTGCCTCACGCCTGTTATCCCAGCAGTTTGGGAAGCCGAGGCAGGTGGATCACCTGAGGTCAGGAATTCGAGACCAGCCTGGCCAACATGGAGAAACCCCATCTCTACCAAAAATACAAAATTAGCTGGGCGTGGTGGTGGATGCCTGTAATCCCAGCTACTTGGGAGGCTGAGGCAGGAGAATCACTTGAACCTGGGAGGTGGAGGTTGCGGTGAGCTGAGATCGTGCCATTGCACTCCAGCCTGGGCAACCAGAGCGAAAACTCCATCTCAAAAAACAAACAAACAAACAAAAAATGCATTAACATAATAAACATAACATAAATTCCCATGGTACAAATTCAAATACTAAAGCAAGGCATAATGTGAAAGTTAGTGACTTCTTCATTCCCTAAACACTGTGTTTTACTTGCTGCAAAGGTAATTCCAATTAATATTATTTTGAGCATTTCAAGAACAATTTTAAGAATGCACATACACAAAGAATACTCACACAGAGACAGATACGCATATGTGTATTCATGTTTATACAATGTAATTATATATTATATATTTACACAGACTAAGGACAATTACTTTAGAAAACACTTAAAGTGATGTGGTTTAGAAGCTAAAGCTTTGGAGTTTATTTTGCAGGTTGTATACAATGTTTTTCTTACTTTAAATTCTCTTTGGTCTTCCAAGTTAATACATTAAAACAGCAGAACTATTTTAAGTAAGTTTATTAATATTGCAATTTCACACTTGCACATGGGAATTTTACTACAAAATAATACACAATCTTAACATAGGTATTGTATTTGCATCTGATATCCCACCCTCACCATGATCGTGGATGGTTTGATTTTCTCGCTTACATGCTTACCTGCTTGCCCTATATCAGTGTAAATGAAACCATAACTCCTCAATGAAATATATTACATTTCTTCACCAAATGCCTGTCCTTGTGACAGCATTACACCCAGACAACAGGTAATATTTTTCACATTATAAAGTAGCAGCTTTCTTTCTCTGCATTGTTCATTTCCAAAAGTAAATTTGTGCATGCCTGTAATCCCAGCTACTGGGGAGGCTGAGGCAAAAGAATTACTTGAACCCAGGAGGCGGAGGTTGCAGTGAGCCAAGATTGCGCCACTGCACTTTAGCCTTGGAGACAGAGTGAAACTCCTCTCACAAAAAAAAAAAAAAGAATAAAAGGTGAAAATATAGAGAAAATTTCAGTTTAATGTTTATTAATGCAATTCCACAAATATGTGCTAGACACCAAGGAGAATATTAGACACCAAGGATAATATAAGGATGAACAAGATATATATGTGTCTTCAAGGAGCTTCCAATATAGTTACAGAGCTAAGAGAAAATGTTACAGTAGTATAGATTATAATATATTATACAGGAATGGCATGTACAGAGCACTTGGCAAAAGGCTACAGGAGATACAGAGATGAATCTTCATCTTAAGGAGCCTAGTTTATGCCAGTGAGGGGACTTAAGGCATGTATACAAATAACTTTCACGTAAGCAAGAATGAATTAATTGTCACAAGAGACAATATAATCAGTGTTCAAAGAAGGCAAACTCCTATTTGACCAAAAGAGGCAGGAAAAGGTTTCAGAGAGGAGATGGAATTTACAGTGTGCTTTGAAGGATGCATAGAAATTTGACAGGCTACTAAAAGTATTCAAAAGGAACAGGTGCATAAACATTGTAGGAATTATTTTGTTTGATCAAAAAGTACTCGTATGTATGAATAGCTTTGAATAAAAAATAATCAGTGACATCTCCTCTGGTCTTTTACAGAAAAATGCAGACAATTACCCTTTTAGAGGCATAGGCATGACTGAGGCAATGTCTAGATAAAATGAGACTATAATTCAGTGATTCCCTAAGCCTGAACCCAAATAAAGTAAATATCTACTTATTTAAAATAAAATTTATATCCATACCTAAAAAGAGTTGAAAAAAAATCACATAAATGCCCATCTTAGTGGTACTAATAATAACTGCAACCATATTTTACTAAAATTTTCAAAGAAATTCATAAATTGTGGATTGCACATCCTCACTTTTCAGGTGAAGGAATGCTCAGTGGAGTTAAGCAATTGTCTTGAGTTCACACAACCATTAAGTGGAAGAATTAGGATTCCAAACCATGTCCTACCGACTCCAAAGACTCTTTCTTCACTTCTGCTTAACCCCTTCTTCTTACCTGTTTACTGGAAGCATAGCATAGAGTCAATATGGTTGTACTAGAGTTCCTGTTTGCCAAAAACAAATGTCACTCTAGCTAAGATAAATAGAAAAGTAAATTGTTAAAGGTGATTGGCCAACTCACTGAATCTTTAGGAGAGCCAGGAGTCAAACTTGAAGGCTATGCATCCAGATAGGGTACCCAGCCCTACTGCTGCACTGATTTGATAGAGACCCCATGACCACCACCTTTGTACATGGCTCTGCACAGGGTGCTGTTGACACTGATTCAAGGTGCCAGTAAGACCTGGGCCACTGCTGCTCCTGGCTGCTAGATAGCCCTATGCCTCTCTTGCCAGAAGGAAGGAGTTCCATGTGGTGTCTCCTTTCTCCTTTCACTTTCTTCCAAATTGAAGTTGTAAGTGGGTGGGTCTAACTGGCAGAGACTAAGTCACATGTCATAACAAATTACAAGAGGATCTGGGAAAACAAATGCCCAGCTTCTAACTTGAGGAGGAAAGACTCAGAAATTGAAAAATTTCTCATATTGAAAGGATTTTCAAAAGGTCCCAGATAGGTTAAAAAATCAGTGGCCAGGGAAGTCTCATCTTGTATAGGATTCCAGCGTTTGTCTAAATTTTTCTTTATCTGTCTGAAATTCCCATCTGCCCTTTACTTCCTTGTTTTCCAAAGGTGACCTCACCAGAATCTCAATTCTAACATTATGCTGGCAATGACCCAGGCAGTAAAAAATATATCACCAAATTAATTTAGTGGAAACACTAAAACATTCATGGTCTTAAAATTTTAACAGAAGCCTGTGTTTTCTCCATTAAAAAAATTAATCGTGTAGGATGTCTTTAGTCAAAAGACAAATCAACTGGGTTGCAAAAAAGACTAAATAATGGCATTGTAACTGTACAAATCTGACTTTTGGCTGCTTTTTATAGGCCTGAAAAAAATATCAAAAGCAGTAAAAACTTATATTATTTCTGTCAGTAGTCCTTTTCATAAAATGTTGTGAAAACAATCTCTCTAAGAAGGAAGCAACATACTGAGCAACAAGCCTCAGTCAGGAAGTTCATTTTTTCTTTGGCTTACAGCCCAATGCCATCAGAACTAATTAAAAACAGAGCCACGCTGGTATGGGGCTCAGTGTTTGGGTTTTACAATAACAGAGTCACAAAGCAGGGGGATGTCTAATGAGAATAGTTTCTGAGTTTGTTTTGTAGCATTGGGCAACTATGTCAATTACTGGAACTGCAGCTCAGGGCCAGCACCCATGCTGGGATGTGAGAGAGTCTTACTGCCTTACAGATTGAGCTTCCTCTTTGATACATGTGATATGCATGTCACTTGTATACTGGTGCCACTCCTTGGCTGCAGATTATATCAGAAAAGGCTGATGCCACCTAGCTTCTCTCATCTGAGGCCAGATCAAATGTTACCAGGACCAGATTTCATCTGCATTATTAGCTATGCTCCAGTTAAAAAATAAAGCATGTCTTTCAGTTGAAAATTATTAGAAATGAAGGCTCTGACTTATACAGCCATATGTATGAGCTGCTGGAGAATTAATGTGGGATGGGAGGGGAGCACAGAAGGACATACATTCCAAGGTAAAAAATAGAAGAGCCAAATAGCACGGCTAAAATGTCTTCTTGCTTTCCTGCATGTATAATAGGGATAAAATCAAGATTTTTCACCCTTGCTTAAAGAATCAAAATTCACTCCACCCATACCCTAAAAGAACGTTTATTTGTTATTTGTGTATATGGGGATTATGGTGTATGATGTCCTGGTCATTTAAGAAATTGACTTGGAAAAAGAAGGTAGGAGAGTCATGGAAATAGCTGGTAAAACACAAATAAGTAGTTATCAATAGAGTGCTTGCAACTCCATATGATCTTTTCAAATTTACCAATTTAACCGTGTGTTCAAGGAGATTTTTCTTCTCCTTCATGCAAACCATAATGGCAGAACAATTCAGTGCCAAATGTAAGCACCATCGATGTATTAAAAAGAACTGCAGGGCTGGGCATGGTGGCTCCCTCCTATAATCCAAGAGATTTGGGAGGCTAAGACTGCAGGACTGCTTGAGGCCAGGAGTTCCAGACATCTTGGACAACGTTGCAGCACTGTACCCCAGCCTGGGCAACAGAGTGAGACTCTGTGTCTAAAAGTGAAAATAAAATAGAGTAAAATAAGAGCTTAACAAATTTTGTATCCACTTCTTGTGGTGTGATTTAGTGCATTTAAGACAGATGTGTTTATTTGTACTTCTGTTTCATTTACATTTCTTTTCATATTATAAGAACATATGTAAAGAAAAGTCAATAAATATGTAGTTTTAGTAGAGGAATTAAAGTAAATATTCAGACATTAACTAATTAACTTATGTAATCAAGTAATTGGTCATCTCAATTATTAATGTCTTATGAAACATGCAAGATCTTCCTTTATGCTTTTTAAAGTTGTGAGCAGACAAGTTTATGATAGATGAACATGCTATGAGAGCAAGATTCTAAGAAGGCTGACATACACATTCTAGTCCAGCAATATTTATACAAATTAATTTAAAACATTTAATAATTTATATATTAATTCTCAATCTCAGTGGTGATTAGGCATAAAGAATAAGAATTTTTAAGTATGTGCAATTAATATTATTTCACAAAGTAGAATATAATTTTATACTTTTTATTTTCTTACTTCATTCACTCTCTGGACTTTCAATCTGTGTTAGTATTGGATATTCCCCCTATATCACATATAGTGCATTTCACAGAAACATATATTTGCCTTGAGAGTTCTACATGACAAAACCTAATTGGCTGGGATTCCTTAATGTCTCTCTCTCCAGCACCTCCTCCCAAACCTCAAAAAGCATTTCATCCTATGCCCCGGGAAGTCTTTGATAGTACATTGAGCTAGATATCCCATACCTGTGCTCCCAAGTATACTGGTTTCCAGAGGCCTCAAATAGCAAAGCTCTAAGTCAGTCATGGTGGCGCGTGCCTATAGTCCCACCTACTTGGGAGACTGAGGCTGGAGGATCACTTGAGTCCAGGAGTTTGAGACCAGCCTGGGCAACATAACAAGACCCTGTCTCTTACAAAAACAAAAAAACAAAAACAAAAACAAAACTCTGGAAAGAAGGCTCCAAGCAGTTTGTTTGGAGAATGGCAACAACATTAGCACCCCAGAAATGTCATGTTGGCACACTTGGTGATGCCATGGCCTAGAGTGATTAAGAAGTGGGACTTGGAACTCCAGGGCCTATTAATTGTGGACCAGAGAAATGGCAGGTAAGGAAGGAGGCAAGGAGGAAAAGAGATGGGGACCGAAAGAAAGTTTGACAAGCAGAGACCTCTTCAAGTTGAATTCAGGTCCTGTGACTGGACCTGAATATGACGGGACAGTCTCTAAAACTCTACTCTGTTCAAATAGAAAGGGACAACATCAAATCCATTGTCACAGCAGGATTTACAAGGGGGTGGAGTTTGCAGTCTAAATCCTACAGAAGTGGAACATTGAAAGTCACTGGTGGTAATTTAGAACATCAACAGCATGAATGAAGAAGACTTGATTTTTTCCTTTTCTTTCACTATGAAAAATGATGAAAGAACATGATGTGTTTGGGAAGGTGTGAAGAGTTTGAGTGATTTTAGAGTTTTTGCTTTAGTTCTTGTTTATACTCAACTTCATGTATAAACTTATGTAAGTGATTTTGTAGAGCAGCCCCAGTCCCTTGTATAATCATCTTAATGCAAACATTGATTTTATGATCTATGGCTTATAGTGTTGTAACCAATGAATGGTGAAGGAAGAGAAATTATATTTAATTTGGTATCTGTTACATGCCGGATCCTTTATGACATATCTTATTTATTTCTCAATACCACCCCCCAAAATGGGAAGTGATAATTATTTTTCACAACTAGAGAAACTGAGTCTAAGATGGAAATAAAATTAAGACCAGATAATTTGATTTAAAGAAAACCATTTTCTTTTCTTCAGGGGCAATTTTTTTTTTACATTCCACCACATATTATTTATATGTTTATTATATTTCTTATGGAATTTGAAAATCATTGCAATCCAGTGGCAGTCCAAAATGATGTATTAATATCTTTGAGGTATCTACTACTTAAGTAGGAATTTTATCTCCCTAACAAAAATAAAAATAACATCTTTGGCTAATGCACACAGGATGTTGACTACACTAATGTGTATTTGTGAAATGCTTTCCCATATACATGGCAGGTTCACCAACATAACTCATCCGATCTTGACAACAACTCTGTAACCTGGATGTTGGTTAAAATTGATTGCGGTAAAAATCTAAAAACAAACTGGTTGATATTAAGTAATTCATTGAGGATCCAAGTAGACAAACTGGAATTAGAATTCAAAGCTTCACATGCCTAGTCTTGTCCTTGTAGGATGAGATTCATGTTAGAAAGTGTACTGAAGACATGTGCAAAGACTTCTTCTGAAATTAATTTGGAATATCACAAGATTGGGTTTGATCTCTCAGCACTCTGCATTGTTCAAGGATTTGGGGGATTAGAGAGAATGTGCTTCAAGTGGCACTTCATGGTAAGCTAAGACGTTATGAAAAGTATTTCTGTGGTTTCTTTTTATCCAACTGATGTAAGAGAATTCCTGATGGGAAAAATAACTGATTTTTTAACATTCTGGGCCACTAAAACTTTCCCACAAATTTTGACATATAATTATATTGGTGTCTAGAAGTTGAACAAATACATGGAATTTTTTTCATGCCACCCAAATTCATCTCCCACCAATTCAGTGGCATCAAATATTCCTTATTTCCTGTTTACCCACTATACTTGGCAATGACTTGTAGCACTGGCCTGTTGTTCTGTGAATGTGTCATCATTTCAGAGGTGCCAGCGGGCTTTTGGCAGAAGCAGGATTAGTGTGCATTACTGATAATAACTACCAATTGGGCAGCAGTGTTGCCCCTGGTGCAAATTATAAATGACCTGTGTTTTTAGTCTTATCATATTCCTCTTGATAGTATTAATGCCTTCATTAGAAAACATTTATGAAGCTCTTATTGGACATGAGTCATTATGGGGATGCTACAAGAAGAGAAAACAAAGTGCTGTTCTCGAGGAGCTTTGATGTGGTAGGGGACTTAGGCAGATGTAAACAGGTGCATCTATAAGGCTACCTCAACAATGTCCTGTGGGGTCCATGAGGACATTTCTAGCAATTTTACTGTTCTCTAAACCAATCATTCACTTTGCCTTTATAATATTTGAAGGAAGGAAATATTAATAGGTGCATTTGGCTCCCTTTCCTCCCCAAAATAAAAGCCATTTCTTTTTTTCCATAGACTATTTTGGAATTTTTTTGGTGATGTGTGCATAAATTCTTTCCATGAACAATTCTTGATAGTGGTACATAAACACGTAGAGGTGAATAATTGGATGGACTGGAAAGATAATGTAAGATGCTGCTGCTTCATTGTAATGTGTAGTCATTAGTGCAATGGTCACTTTTTCCAAACAGAAGGGGAGAATATTGAAGTATCAAAGTCTTTCTTTTGTTTAATGTGAGTTTTGGTTTGTTGAGCCATCTCTTACAGTATGACCTTCTCAAATTCCCTCACTGAAAATAGATCCAGAAGAGACTAACATTATGCAGGTTTAATTGACTGTGATCCTGTAAAAAATTAGAACCACAGTTTTTTGTGTCCTCTACATGTGGGTGTTGAAGAAGAAACCTAAATGAGACCTCTTGACCTGGCTACAGCCATTGTGTTTGAGTTTGTCTTAGTAACATCAAACCTTATGTTAATTATCACCACCGAATTCTCCTTCATTAAAATTTAAGATAAAAACTGCTTTAAAGTGTTGAGTGTTTTGAAAAGAAAGCCAACAGTGTTAGAATAGAATAGTCATGTTAGTGGTAGCCAACTTTTCTATATAGTGAGCAGCTATTGAATTAATACAAATGGGCAGAATAAAGGAAAGAAAATATTAATTGACTGGATTTTGGGGGTTTTAAGTGGAATTCCATAGTTTCCCTGGGTATTTTGGCCAAATAAGAATGTCACCTGTGGTGGGAATGTAATGGTGCAGTTGCTTTAGAAAACAATCTGGCAGTTCTCCAAATGGCTAAACCTAGAGCTACCCAGCAACTCTACTCCTAGGTATATACCCAAGAGAGATGAAAACATATGTTCATGCAAAAACTTGTACATAATATTCTTAGCAGTATTATTCATAACAGACAAAAAGTAAAAACAACAAAAATGTCCACTGATTGATGAATGGATAAACAAAATGTGGTATATCCATATAATAGAATATTATTTGGCAATATAAAGAAACGTAATACTATAACATGGATGAACCTTGAAAACATTATGCTAAGTGAAAGAAGCCAGTCACAATGTACCCCAGATTATATGACTCCATTTATATAAAATGTCTAGAATAGGAAAATTTATACTTAGAGGCAGAAAGTAGAATAGTGATTGCTTAGGGCCGGTGGAGGAAGGAGGGGTTTGGGGAGATTGCAGGGTGATGGCTAAGGGGTATAGGGTTTTTTGGGGGGAATGAAAAGGTTATAAAATTGATTGTGGTGATGGTGCACAACTGTGTAATTATACTCAAAGCCATTGAATTGTACACTTTAAATGAATGAAATATATGGTATGTGAACTATATCTCAACAAAGCTGTTTTTTAATAAGAAGAATGTTGCCTGCATTCAATGTCCCAGTATATAAAACCAAACCACTTTATATTATCAGTGTTAAAACCCTTACTTGTATTATGTTAGTTGACCTTTGGTCTCTTTTAATAAAGATTTAGTATGACTTATATTCCATTTTATAAGGTGGGTATATGAGAGCTAGGGGAGCTATCTTATTATCACATATAATATACCAGCAATGCTTTTGGTCACTGTGTAAAAAAGCCCCTTTTTAACCATGAAAAATCCAACTGAAGCCAATTGCAAGAGAACCACATTCATTTCAGAAGGATTTGTAAAAGCAAAAGTAATTGGCAATAATATATATAGGACTTGTAAATATTATATATACTTGATGAATTAGGTCTGAAATTTCTGGACTCTTGTCATATGGCACTTCATTTATACTCCATTCTTTCAGACCTTTCAAATTCATAAAGAGACATTAAAAAATTGTTTTTAAGCTGTTAGGACTGCATATAGAACATGGGATGTGGTTGGCCATATAATCTGCATCTATCACACAGCAAACTACAGAACTGGGATGTTGGTTTTTGCTCACATCATGTTAAAGTACTGCTTCACAAGTTTTAACAGATATATATTTTCTCTCCCCTATTCATCTTATTAATTGTGTAATAAGGTGTCAGTAATAGAAAAAGGCCTTGCTTCTTTCCTTCCTATATTTAAAGAACAATGATTCTTAGTTTCAATATTTATAAGAACAAATAAAACTCTTAAAGTATCAACAGTACAAAATTACAGATAATGTTATTTACCTTGCATGTATTCAATAATGTGAATGTATTTATTAAAGCTGTATTTTGTTTCAAGAAATATATGTGTGTGATAATATACCTTATCAGACGGTATGCTGGTAAATGTTTAGCAATCAGATCTCCTGAAAAAAAAAAGTCTCAATTTGTAGCTGTTGCCAACTTTGGTCATGTAAATATTCCCACCATGGCTGATTTCAAACTATTTGTGAGATGTCTCTAATGTGGTGTTAAGCAAAGATATACAAAATGGCTCTTGAGAGGTTGTATGAGTTGACTGCCACACACCATTGGGTGCTTCTTAACATATATACACACACAAGCACAGAGACACGTGTATATGAGCACAGACATGCACACACTGTCATTTATAATTTATACAACTGTATTGGGAGATGATATGTTCAACAATATGTTTTTCTTGATACATCCAGAGATACTTAAAATTTTTACCACATTGGAGGCTTCTCTTGCTAAAATAGATGATCAAATTCCTTGCTGACAATATGGAGCAGGGGTGTCTAATGTTTTGGCTTACCTGGGCCACATTGGAAGAAGAAGAATTGTCTTGGGCCACACATAAAATACACTAACACTAACGATAATTGATGAGCTCAAAATAATAGCCAAAAAATCTCATAACGATTTAAGGAAGTTTATGAATTTATGTTGGGCCACATTCAAAGCTGTACTGGGCTGCATGCAGCCCTCAGGCTGCGTGTTGGACAAGCCTGATATAGAGTATACCTTAAGAAATGTAATCTTTTCTTAATTCAAAATCAATTGTTAGAGTAATAAAGTAGGACTAAGATTCTTATTTCAACTCGATGATTAAGTAGGGGTGTGTATGTGTGTGTGTGTGTGTGTGTGTGTGTGTGTGTGCGCGTGGGAGGTTACCTTAATTGAGAGATCCCCTCAATCATCTCCCTAGGCTTTGGCTTGATTTACTTCATTGACATTTAGCAAGTTTCATTGGATAAATTCCAAGTCCCTTCCATTTCCAAACCTATGAATTTAGTCACCATGAATTAACATATGCCACAGTACTAGTTTCAGTGCAGTATGATTGGGAGTGATTACATCTGTTATTGAGGTTTGTTCTCTTCAGCTGTTTGTGATATTATCCTTATTTTTGTTCTTGATCTTCAGATCTCCTTCCTCTACCTTTAGTTTGCCGCTTCTAATCTAATGGACTTGGGAGAAGCCACTTACGAGAATGGTATATAAGCCAAGAGCAAATGAACTGACGTCTGAGGGGCTGGCTATCCAAACAACAAAAGATGGAGCATCAGATCATTCATTGAAGAGTTTCTTGCTCTTACAAGGTCTTTGCAATGATTTGAGAGAGGAAGTTGCTATATAATGCTATCTGGATGAGTTCTTTGTATTTTTACTCTGCATTTTATTATTTAGTATTTATTCTGTGTTTTGGTTATATCACAATATTTTGGTAGTTTGTAATAGAACTTCAAAAATTCAGGTTTATTTATAAGGCATATTTTAAGATGTCTAATTTTCACATATGGAAAATTTGAGGAAGATATTTGCTCAAAGCTACACATCATATTTCAAGCACAGACAAGACTAGAATTCAGACTTCCTGACCGTTAGGACTATTCAAACATTCATAATCCATCATCCATCTAGGAGTTTCAGTAAATAGGCCATAGTCTTTAAGCTGTAGAAAATTTTATTTCTAAGGCCTTCAAAATAGATTCGTGAGGTACAAAATGTTGCATTCCATTCTTTATAAAGTGATTTGATTTGACCATCCTCCCTGGTGAAATATTCTATCTTTATCATTCTTGTGGGCCCCTGTTGGGTCTTGAGTAATCAAAGGTAGGTACAATGCCTTGGCTGGTGGTCCTCTCTGATCATTAGCCTTCTCTCCAAGCAGGCTGCATCTCACTGTGCATTTGCTCTTTTTCCATTGTTACTTTAGGTTTGAGGGTCATTGTTGTTTTCATACCACAGTTGAGAAATAACAATCTTTACAAGCTTTCCAATAGTGCCATCTGTAAATTTTCAAAGGTACTATTTTTCTCAAAGGTCTTACATCCCTTGTTTTTTGCTCCTCTAGGACTTATAGACCTGTCTCCTCTCCCCAAGTCAGTGGGAAATTCTTTTTCTTGTTTATAAAGACAACGTTCTCCTTTGCTTCTTTCTAGACACTCTCCTTGTTTCTGTAATTCCCCTTTGCACTTTTGCTTTCTTTGTCAACTCTGTTTGTTCTCCTATGGGATAGATTTTAGAAACAGGGACAGAAAGTCTAGCAGGCTAATTCTGCTTTTTCTTCTTTTACTGAGCACATCTCACCTCTCCTCCACCCCAGATTTTGAAAAGTTAACTGGATACCTGCTTGAATGTGATGTGGGAATGTAAGAAATGTGTATAAACACTGGTTGCTTCAAGGAGGAGGGATTAAGGATGAGACGGAAAAAGATCATTAATATTTTCTTTATTCTCTTTTGTGATTCTTGATCTTTCATAATTAGCTTATATTATCTTTTAAATTCAAAACTCTAATAAAGAATTGGTTGAGTTTGGAAAATAGACTAGAGCTTTGCTAAAATCACTTTTTAGTTCTTTTAGTTCTAGTAGTGTTTTTTGTAGGCTGCAGTCTGTTTTCTGAACCGCAGTCTTACTTGCATATATTAGCAACAAACAAATGGAAATTGAAATGCGTAGTTCACTCACAATGGCATAGAAATAAAATATTTAGAAATAAGAAAACTGAGGGAAGGGCAGTCTTTTCAACAAATGATAATTGGCTATTTGTATATAAAAAAACTCAACCATTACCTTACACATTCATAAATATTAACTTACAACAGAACCTATAATTAAATGCAAGAGCTAAAACTTTAAAGTACCTAGAAGAAGATATCAGAGAGAATCTTTGTGACTCTGAGTTAGACAAAGCATTCTTAGATAGGATACAGAAATATGAAAGAAAAAATTGATGTTAGACTTCATCAAAATTGTAAAATTTTTTATGATTTTTGAACAACACTGTTAAAAACATGAAAAGATTAGCTATAGAATGGGAAGAACTATTTATAAAATGCATATTTGATAAAAGACTTATATCCAGAATATATAAAGAACTCTTACAACTCAATAGTAAGAAGACAAATCCTTGATTAAAAAAAATCAATAGACAATTCAATAGACAAGATGTATGAATGGTCAGAAAACACACACAAAAAAATGCTTAACATCATTAGTCATCAGGGAAATGCAAATTAAAACCCATTAAAATTGAGATATGCCTACACACCCACTAGAAAAGCTAAAATTAAAAAGATAGAGCATTCCAGGTGCTGACAAGGATGTAAAACAACTAGAAGTCCCATACATTGCTGGTAGGAATGCAAAATGGTACGGTGACTTTGAAAACCGGTTTGTCAGTTTCTTATGGACTTAAACATAGAATTGACTTGCTGTAAGACCCAGCAACCTCACTCTTAGGTTAGGTAGTTTGGTGCAAAGGTAATTGCGGTTTTTGCCATTACTTTTAATGGCATTACTTTCAATACAATACTTTTTTTTTTTTTTTTTTTTTTTTGAGACGGAGTCTCGCTCTGTTGCACCCAGGCTGGAGTGCAGTGGTGTGATCTCGGCTCACTACAACCTCCTCCTCCTGAGTTCAAGCGATTCTCCTGCCTCAGCCTTCCAGGTAGCTTGGATTACAGGCACATGCCACACTTTTAATGGCAAAGAACACAATGACTTTTGCATCAAACTAATATTTAGGTAAGATAAATTAAAACACATGTTCACAAAAAGCTACATATGTGAATGTTGATGATAGCAGCATCATTCACAGTAACTCCAGACTGGAAACAACCCAGTTGTCCATCTGCTGGTGAATAGCTAAACAGGTTGTAATAAGTCCACGCAAGGGAACACTACTCAGCAACATGAAAAAATGAGCAACCAATAAATGGAACAACCTTGATAAACCTCAAAAGCATTATGCTAAGTGAAAGAAGTCAGACACAAAGTATTACATACTGTGTGACTTCATGTATGTAAAATTCTAGAAAAAGCAAGAGTAGAGGAACAGAATACAGATCAGTGGTTTCCAGAGGCTAGGATGGGAGAGAGATTGACTACAAAGAGCCCAAAAGGAATTTTTTTCAGGGGATAGGATAATAGTCTATATCTTTATGGTAGTAGTTATAGGACTATATACATGTACGTGTTTCAAATTTTATTTAACTGTGCACTGAAAAAGAGTAGACTTTACTGTATGTAGTTGTACTCAATAAACCTCTCTTAAAATATACTTGGGGCAGCGGGAGGAGGGAATTATTCTCCCTGCTTCAGTTTCCTCATCTGTAATGTAGACCCGATAATAAAACACTGCAAGCTCCGCCTCCCGGGTTCACGCCATTGTCCTTCCTCAGCCTCCCAAGTAGCTGGGACTACAGGCGCCTGCCACCACACCAGGCTAATTTTATGTATTTTTAGTAGAGATGGGGTTTCACTGTGTTAGCCAGGATGGTCTCGATCTTCTCACCTCGTGATCCGCCTGCCTCAGCCTCCCAAAGTGCTGGGATTAGAGGCATGAGCCATTATTATTATATTAATAATCATATTAGTTATTGTATTAGTCAGGGTTCTCTAGAGGGGCAGAATAGAATAGATGTACATGTGTAGGGGAGTTTATTAGAAAAGTTGACTCACATGATCACAAAGTGAAGTCCCACAATAGGCTGTGTGCAAGCTGAGGATCCAGGAAGCCAGTCTGAGCCCCAAAACCTCAAAAGTAGGGAAGCCGATAGTGCAGCCTTCAGTCTGTAACTGAAGGCCTGAGAGCCCCTGGCAAATCACTAGTGTAAGTCCAAGAATCCAAAAACTGAAGAACTTGGAGTCTGATGTTCCAGGGCGGGAAGAATACAGCACAGGAGAAAGATGGAGGCCAGAAGACTCAGCAAGTCGGCTCTTTCCGTGACTGCTTTTATGCTGGCAGCTGATTAGATGGTGCCCACCCAGACTGAAGGTGGGTCCACTGACTCAAATGTTAATATCCTTTGGCAACACCCTCACAGTCACACCTAGGAACAATACTTTACATCCTTCAATCCAATCAAATTGACACTCAATATTAACCATCATAATAATTATTATTATTTATGGCTTTTCTGTGTTTTACTTATTTTACTTATTAAAGATTAGTTAACTTATTGTAGTTCCCCATAAGATTTCACTGGAAACAAAGTTTGCTGCCAACAAGCACAAAATATAAGTTTGTAACTATGATCATGGACAGGTGTTTTTATGTGTTTTGGCATTTGTGAAATGGTGGGTGGGCAAAATGTGGGAGGCTGTGCTTATCTAAAGCCTGCAGGGTCCTAGAACCCTAGTTCACTGGGCATTAAGGTTCATGGAGGCGTAGCAAAGATCTGCTTGGATTTGGAGAAAGAGTTTCTCAGTGGTTGTGTTTCACTCTTTGAAATAACATAAAAAATCCCTGGTTCTTTCTGGTTCAGAAGTAAATTTTTTCATCAGTCTAAGTTCCCTTCTTACCCCACCATGCTCTGGATAAGACCCATTCTTCATACTTACTTTTCCCATTTACACTCTTCCAATTTTCTAACTTTCTAGAAGGACTAACTGATTCCTTTATATCCCTGCATTAATTAAGCATTAATGTGGGCAGTTTTCTGCCTATTTATTTTAAATATTTTATTTTAAAATACTTTCATGCAATTGTACTTCATTTTATTGTGCTTTGTAGTTATTGTATTATTTACAACCCCAGGTTGCCACAAACATGTACCAAGAGAATACATGTTGTTTTTCCAACATGTACTTCCAACTTCATCAGTGAATGTTGTGTGTGTTCTGACTGCTCCACCAACCAGTCTTTCCCCATCTTTCTCCCTCTTATGGGGCTTCCCTTTCCCTGAGACACAACAATATTGAAATTAGGCCAATTAATAACCCTACAATGACCTCTAAGTGTTCAAGTTAAAGGGAGAGTTGCACATCTCTCACTTTAAATCAAAAGTGAGAAATGATTAATCTTAGCGAGGAAGGCATGTCCAAAGCTGAGACAGCCCAAAAATTAGGCTTACATTTACACAGCCAAGCTGTAAATGCAAAGGTAAGGTTCTTTAAGGAGACTAAATGTGCTACTCTAGTGACCACATGAATGACAAGACAGCAAAATAGCCTTGTTGCTAATATAGAGGAAGTTTGAGTGGTCTGGATAGAAGATCAAACCAGCTGCAACACTCCCTTAAGCCTAAGCCTAATCCACAGCAAGACCCCAACTCTCTTCAGTTCTATGAAGGCTGAGGAATGTGAGGAAACTGTAGAAAAAAAGTTTGAAGCTAGTAGAGGTTGGTTCATGGACTTTATGGAAGCAATCCATCTTCATAACACAAAAGTGCAGGGTGAAGCAGCAAGTGCTAATGTAGAAGCATCAGCAAGTTCTCCAGGAGATCTAGCTAAGATCATTGATTAATGTGGCTATACTAAACAACAGATTTTCAATGCACATGAAACAGCCTTCTATTGGAAGAAGATGCCATCCAGGATTTTCATAGCTAGAGAAGAGAAGTCAGTGCCTGGCTTCAAAGCTTCAAAGGATAGGTTGACTCTCTTGGGGTCTGGTGACTTGAAGTTGAAGCCAATGCTCATTTACTATTCCAAAAATTCTAAGGCCCAGGCTGGGTGCAGTGGCTCACGACTGTAATCTCAGCACTTTGGGAGGCCGAGGCAGGTGGATCACGAGGTCAGGAGATCGAGATCATCCTGGCCAACACGGTAAAACCCTGTCTCTACTAACAATACAAAAATTAGCTGGATGTGGTGGTGCGTGCTTGTAATCCCAGATACTCAGAAGGCTGAGGCAGGAGAATGGCTTGAACCAGGGAGTCGGAGACTGTAGTGAGCTGAGATTGCACCACTGCACTCCAGCCTGGGGACAGAGCAAGACTCTGTCTACAAAAAAACAAAAACAAAAACAAAAACAAAAACCTTCTAGGGCCCTTAAGAATTATGCTATGTCTACTCTGCTTGTGCTTTCTATATGGAACAACAAAGCCTAGAGGACAGCATAACTGTTTACAGCATGGTTTACTGAATATTTTAAGCCCACTACTGATACCTACTGCTCAGAAGAAAAGATCTCTTTTGAAATATTATTGCTCTCTGACAATGTACTTGGTCACTCAAAATCCCTGATGGAGATGTACAAGGAGATTAATGTTGCTTTTATGCCTGCTAACACAATATCCATTCTGTAGCCCATGGGTTAAAGAGTAATTTTGACTTTTTAAGTTTTATTATTTCAGAAATTCATTTTATAAGACTAAAGCTGCCCTAGCTAATGATTCCTCTGATGGATCTGGGCAAAATAAATTGAAAATATTCTGGAAAGAATTCACCATTCTAGATGCCATCAAGAACATTTATGATTCATGAGAGGAGGTTAAAAGATCAATCTTAACAGGAGTTTGATGGAAGTTGATTCCAACCTTATGGATGATTTGGTGTGGTTCAAGACTTTAGTGGAGGAAGTAACTGCAGATGTGGTGAAAATAGCAAGAGAACTAGAATTAGAAGTGGAGCCTGAAGATATGACTGAATTGCTGCCATCTAATCAACAAACCTGAACTACGAGGAGTTGCTTCTTGTGGATGAAAAAAAGTAAGTTTCTTGAGATGAAGAATCTACTGATAAAGATGCAGCAAACACTGTTGAAATGACAACAAAAGATTTAGAGTATTACATAAACTTAGTTGATAAGCAGTGGTAGGATTTGAGGGGATAGACTTCAGTTTTGGAAGAAGTTCAACTGTGGTTAAAATGCTATAAAACAGCATTGCATGCTACAGAGAAATCTTTCATGAAAGGAAAAGTCCATCCATGTGGCTGGCAAACTTCATTGTCTTATTTTAAGAAATTGCTATAGCCATCCCAAGTATCTGCAGCCATCACCTTGATCGGTCGGCAGCCATCAACATCGAGGCAGGACCCTCTATCAGCAAAAAGATTATGACTTGCTGAAGGCTTAGATAATTGTTAGTACTTTTAAGCAATATTTGAAAATTAAAGTATATACATTATTTTTATAGATATAATGTTATTGCATACTTAATAGACTACAGTATAGTGTAAACATAATTTTATATCCACTGGGAAAATAAAAAATTTGTGTGACTTGCTTTATTGCAATTTGTTTTATTTCAGTGATCCGGAACTGAAACTGTCATATCTCTGAGGTTTGCCTTCAGTTACAGAAAATTTGCAAAATAGTACAGAGAATGTTTACCATTCATGGAGTCTTCCCTAACATTAATATTATTATGATATAATCATAGAATTTAAGAAAACCAGGAAATTAACACTGACACAATGAAATACTGTTAATTTGTCTGAAAGCCTTATTTACATTTCACTTTTTCCCCGCTAAGTAATGTCTTCTTTTTTGATCCATGATCCTGTCCAGGATCGTACCTTGCACTTAGCTATTATGTGTCCTTAGTCTGCTCTAATCTGTGACAGTTTATCAGTCTTCCCTGTCTTTCATGACTCTGACACCTTTGAAGATTCTGGTTAGTTGTTTGGTATAATGTCCTTCAATTTGAGTTTGTCTGATGTTTTATTCAGGCTAAGATTGAGGTTATATATTTTTGTGGGTTTTTTTTTAAATTTTTATTTTTTTGAGACAGAGCCTCGCTCTGTCAGCCAGGCTGCAGTGCAGTGGTGCTATCTCAGGTCACTGAAACCTCTGCCTCCTGGGTTCAAGCGATTCTCGTGCCTCAGCCTCCCAGATAACTGGGATTACAGGTGCCTGCTACCATGCCCTGCTAATTTTTATATTTTTATTTGCGATGTGGTTTTACCATGTTGGCCAGGCTGGTCTCAAACTCCTGAGCTCAAGTGATCCACCCGCCTTGGACTCCCAAAGTGCTGCAATTACAGGCATGAGCCACTGCGCCCCACCTGGGGTTATATATTTTAGGACAAGAATACCATAGAAATGATGTTGTGTCCTCAGTTCATCATAGGAATGGTGTAAGATATTGGTATATCTTATTACTGATGATGTTGCCCTTGATCATTTGCTTAAGATAATGTCTGCCAAATTTATCCATTATAAAGTTACTCCTTTTTTAAGTTGCTTTTTTCCCTTTTATAATTAATATTTAGGAGAGATACTTTGAGGATTTGCAAATCTTTTGTCCTTATTATATTTTTTCCTACTAATTTCAATACAGAGAAGCATTGTTTTACCCTGATCCTTAGCCAAGTGGCTTAGAAATAAAGAAAGCATTTAGGGACTTCAAAATGTGAGTCCCCAATAATTGGATGTATAGATGTACTTTAGCATTGATTCCTTCTGAATATGCACAAGATTATTTAAGGCCAAGTGAGGAAAGGGAGTAGACTGAAAATGTGCATTGCAGGTTTCTGAAACAGCTGACTCACTCAGTCATATTCATGGCATACTTTTGACTCTTATTTCACATAGTCCCTGCTGCCACTCTGACTTGCTCCACCTCCAGGCCATTTCACACTGAAGTTTGTGAGGATCTCAGCTCAGTGTCCCCAGGGTGTTTATTTCATAGTTTCTCAGAGGGAAGGCGCAGTGTGCCTACCCTGGCCTCCCACTCCAATCACAGATTCAGCTACTTCCACAGATGCCCATGTAAATCATCTTTAGTAGAACAATGAGAATCTGGGGAAAACCCCTCCTAGGGAAACGAGTGTCATTTCATTAAAAGAAAAAAAACCACAATCCTTCAAATCTGGTTCATCTCACAGTCTAAATGCAAGTTCTTAATTAAAAGCCAACAGAGATTTCTAAAGTTGGAGAAAAACTGGAGCAACAACTTTTAAAATTATCCTGTGGGCTTTTTTTCCTTCTTAGTTTCTTAAAGAGAAAAAGGCTAATAACCATTCAGTGGCAAATTGCTGTTCCTTCAGAACAAGGAAGTGAATGAGAATGAAAAGTGGCATCCCAGGGGAATAGGGAGTCATCCTGTAATTAGACGGGGCACCATGTCGAGAGGCAGCAGAAAATTACTGGAATGGATCAATGAGGAATTGTCCTATTAGGCCTGAATAGTTTATTCGAATTTCAAGTTTCTGGAAGAAATTGTGTTTTCCACAGTACCTAAAACAGTGCTGAGCATAAAGTAAGAACTCACCGAATCCTCGTTTATTGATTTGAGGATTCCATAGTTCAAAGTCTCTGGCGTTTTGGTAGACTGTGATTTTTGTTTCAGCATGTCAGTGCTGAATGTTGGTGATGATAATAGGCTCTTTATATATGGGGTTGATCTTCCTCAGCACTACTGATATTTGGGACCAGATGATTCTTTGTTGTGGGGTGTTTATTGAGGGATGTTTAGCAGCGTTCCTGACTTCTATGCACTAGATGCCAGTAGCATTGCCTCAACTCATGACAATCAAATATGTCTTCAGACATTGCCAAATGTTTTTATTTCCTTATCCCAAGGTTATCCCACAGATAAATGGTAGAATTGAGGATAAGACCCAGAAGGTCTGAATCCTGGCCTTTAGTAATTGCCATACTATAACTCTACTAATTGCATCATGGACTACATTGATATGAACGAAATGTTAGAAGCATTGACATACAGCAGCACAGTTTTTTAAAAAATTGTTTAGAATAAATTCTATGCACACACCAGTTATGCAACTTAGAGGCATGGTGACCACCTTGAAGAATCAATAAATTTTGTCCATTTTGCAGGAGAACCCACTGATCATGGAGGCATGAAACAAACTGAGCAGAGGAGATTTGGTTTTGCTTCTTTCTGAGTACCAGCCGAGGGCTGGGCAGTACTGAATCCGAGTCTCTTTCCTTAATTTACATATTGCCTCCATTTTAGCAATACAGAAGGGAAATGAATAAAAACAATTATCCTCAAAGACATTCAGTCTGGTCTTGACTTGTTAAGAACGATAAAAGTCAGCAGTTAGAAGTATTTAATACAGCTGAACAAACCATAGAGTCTCAAACAGCTTCATCTGGTGCATTTCCTCTCAATGGCAAATAAAAAGGAAGACTATAATTAGGGCGTGATTCTGCACAAGCTATCCAATAAAAGCTTTTAAAAATGATTGCCCTTATAGACAGCATGTAAAGAACAAAGGAATCATGAATGGTTTATTATTTGCTTATTAGTATTACTATATGATCATCTATTTTTTGCATTTTAAACCAAAATGAAATACTAAAATTTTCACATGATTTCTTAAGGATATTTTTGACACCTCATTCAAAGTATGCTGGTTTGTTGTTTTCTGAAAGTCAAATCCTCAGATTTTCAATTAATCAATAAATGTTTATTAAATCTCATGCTGTTTGCCAGATCCAGAGTACTGCACAAAATTTGGTTGGAAGATCTGAGGCTTCTCTTTCAATCTAGAAATTGAAAGTAAAGTAAGAAAAAGAGAAATCAGTGACCCTGGACCTTTAATGTGCCCACAACTCACCTGAGATCTCTTTTAAATGAGTTTCTGACTCAGCAGGTCTAGGGTAGAGCATAAGATTCTGCATTTCTAAGTTTCCAGGTGATGCTGATGTTGCTGGTCCAAGGATCACATATTGTGTGGCAAGAATGGAAATGACAGTCCTAGGATACATGATAAAAATAAGCTGAGCTCTAATTACCAAGTTCAAAGTATGTCTCCTGTATGCTCAAAAAGTTATTCTCTTCTCACCTCTGTGGTATAGCAATCACTGAGGATGTTTACGTGCCTTGTGCTTTTGCCCATTGCTGGTACTGCATGTTTTTCTTTGTGCATGAAAACTTGCCTGCATTTTGCTACACGGAGATGGGAATGGGCTTCCACTGTTGTGCACTGCTAAGACGTATCTAAGCTGTTTGGAAAGCCACTTATAATTTGACATTGGCAGATGGTCTAGATTTCCACTGGAACCTCTGTGACTCCTGTATTTTCTATTTAGGTTTTATAGTTGCCCAGAGACTCTTCAAATTAAGGTCTATGGCCTAACCCTGTGTACTAAGCACATGGTCCCTTGAGTACACTTCTAGTCACTCTCTCGATGCAGTGTGAGAAAGAAACAGGTATAAGTAGAGTCATGCTTTCTATTTCATATAAATGTGTAGAGGCCTTCCCTTTCAGGAGTTGCTCATGGCTAATTGTAACACTGTGCCTAGCTAGCAGTTTAGCACCTATACCAGCAGTGTCCAATAAATCTTACTGCAATGATGTGATTTTGTGTTTCTGTGCTGTTCATTTGGTAGCCATTAGTCACATGTGGCTATTGAGAACTTAAGATATAGCTTGTGAGACTGAAGAACTAAATTTCGAATTTTTATTATGTTTAAATGTAATTAAATAAAACTTAAATATTACCACTGGCTAGTGGTTACCATATTGGACAGCACAGCAAGATGAAATTCTCAAAGATACATGCACTCACAAGAAAGCAGCAGGAAATGATTGGATCCAACCAAAACTAGACTACTTTTGACCTGGCTTTCTAATTTATCAAGGTCATGGAGTACCCTGGGAAAATGTCTTAGTTACTCTGTTCATTTTTGTATCTTTCTTAGAAATATGAGAAAGAGTAGGTATTTAATTTTTACTTTTAAATACCTTTCCGTTTACTTCATAAGAAATACGTAATCATTATAGAAGACTTAGAAATTTATTATATTTCTACATAAAATGAAGAAAAACATTGAGAATCCCACCATCTAAAAATAACCAGAGTGAACATTTTGGTGAATAGCCTTTCAATTATCTGTGTGTGTGTATCATAATGATCTATAAATAAGCCCATATATCTATAAATCTATACATATTACATGAAAACAATTATTATTATTACTATTATTTTGAGATGAGTTTCGTTCTTGTTGCCCAGGCTGGAGTGCAATGGCACAATCTCGGCTCACTGCAACCTTTGCCTCCTGGGTTCAAGCAATTCTCCTGCCTCAGCCTTCCGAGTAGCTGGGATTACAGGTGCCCGCCACCACAGCCAGCTAATTTTTTGTACTTTTAGTAGAGATGAGGTTTCACCATGTTGGCCCAGCTGGTCTCAAGCTCCTGACCTCAGTTGATCCACCCGCCTTGGCCTCCCAAAGTGGTAGGATTACAGGCATGAGCCACCGCACCTGGCTTTTTTTTTTTTTTTTTTTTTTTTAGACAGAGTCTCGCTCTGTCACCTGGGATGGAGTGCAGTGGCACAATCAGAGCTCACTGCAGCCTTGACCTCCTGGGCTCAAGCGATCCTCCCACCTTAGCCTCCTGAGTAGCAAGGACTACACGCATGCATCACCACACCTGGCTATTTTTTAAAATTATTCGTAGACACAGGGTCTAGCTTTTTTGTCCAGGCTGATCTCGAACTCCTGGCCTCAAGCAATCCTCCCACTCAGGTGTCCCCAAATGCTAGGATTACAGGCATGAGCCAGTGTGCCTGGTTAAAGACACTTACTTTAGATAGAATACTTTTGGAAACGGTCATAGTGACTTAGTGGTGGTAAACAAGAACCCCAGATGTCACTGGAAAAGGAGAGATATGGTAATTTTCTTCCTTTTTCTTAGAAAAACGAACGCTTTGTTTTGTTAACTATGTCCAACCTAAGAAACTTTTTTGTAGGCATCCAAGAAATGGAGTCTATGAGTGACTGATCAAAACTCATGGGTTAACAGACGGACCCTAATCTAGAAGCCCTGGATGGGCATTTAGCCACCTGAGTTGCTGGCAGTATTACAGCCAAATAACAGATGGAAATGGTGGGAGAAAGTAGACCTAGCAAACTCCAGGATGAAGTTTTTCTTCATCATGTAGCGTTAAGTACTAAACAAGATGTTCCCTAGTTAGTAGAGTTGTTTTCCTAAATGCCCTTATGTTACTGCCTAACCAGCCCCTGCGTTTGTTCAGGCCCACAAAGGGAAAAAATAAATTGCTTCAGGAATCAAGATGGTGATGTTTTGGATTAGTTGGGTGGAGGGGAAAGTTCCTTTGCAAACTGCGCTTGGACACGTGAAATTTAAACTTTTATATCTGGTGAAATGCAAATCATTTTTAAAAAATCAAGATGACTTTCTGTGGGACAGAGAAAAGAAGAAGGCAGAGGAGGCTGCCCAGGTCAAAGAATCAACCAGAGATTCACCCAGAAAGCTTCTGCAAGAGAAGCTTTCAAAATGTAGCTCCATTTTCACTTTAGATCAGCTGCAATGTTAAGTGCTTAATCAATCTGGAAGCACTGTCATAATAACAGCCAGCAATACTGCTTTCCTTCTTTTTCTGGCTGCTTCTCAGACTCACACAAAATGACAGGTTCAAAGTTTATGAACCCTAGCAAGATGTACTCAGACTTTTCTCTTCTATTCTGTGAAAGCTTTATATTGTCCTCCCTGCCACCTAAGCCAGAAGTACGAATATGGCTGCAATGAACTGATGATTCTCTTTATGAATTACCGAAGGGTTCTTCCTTCTTATATTTTCTGCTCACTTTTTGACCAGT
This sequence comes from Homo sapiens, assembly GCF_000001405.40. NCBI lineage: Eukaryota > Metazoa > Chordata > Mammalia > Primates > Hominidae > Homo > Homo sapiens. The sequence goes on from NC_000006.12 coordinate 50,957,234, forward strand.
TCTCTGAATATTTAAACTTATGACTCCTGTGATATTTTCCTTCTGGAGTACTGGCTGCACAGTGGTTCACAGCATGGGCTCTGGGGTTGTACTGCTAGATTCGAACACTGGCTTCACCATTATTTGGGCATATTTCTGTGTAGCTTTGTGTCTCAGTTTTTCCTTTTGCAGCCTATTGTCCATTATTATTGTCTGTTATGGATTGGGGATACTATGTTCCAACTCATAGAGTTGTGAGGCTGAAATTAGATAATCCTTGAAAAGTGTTCGTTATAGTGATCAGCATATTCGGTATTAAGTATCTATTAGTAAGAGTTGCACAGGCTTGCCATTTTTCCCCAAGGGAAATGACCAGGGAAATTACATGTCCAAGCTCAGAACTACATTTTTTTATCTGGAGAATATTCATTTATGGTTTGAATGACACCTACCAAAGTCAGATTCTACACTGGTGCCCCCTGCTGCAGCATTCAATTCAGGGTATACAATGGGTGCTTGACTTAAAAACTATATATATACTTATAAATACATATAAATGTATATGTAAATGTATAAATATAAAACTATATATACACATATACATACATATATCTCACTTATGTAGCATTCACTATGGGTCAGGTATTCTAAATACTTAAAATATTGAATCATTTAATTTTCACATTAACTTCCATGAAGTATTACTATTGTCATTGTCATTTTACAGATAAGAAAATGGAGACACAGGCTAAGTAGCTTTGGGGTCACAGAGCTAAGTACATGACAAAACTGGGATTTGCACTCAGAAAGTATGGCTCAAGAATTTGTGCTTTGATCCACTACACTATGCTGCCTTCAATTTATCCATATATGTTCCCATTATCTCACTATTATGTATGTGTGAGTATAAATATATATATATAGTCTACATATATTTCTCTTTACAATCTTCATTTTCTTCTGAATCTGGAAATCAAACAAGCAAATGTAAAAGAAATATTTCTCTTTAAAGTTCTTTTCTTACCTCTCTTCTCTCCCCTCCCCTATTCTCTTGCCACCCTATCACTTCATCTCTCAGGCCATTCCATTATATAAGTTCCATTATGGGCTGCTGCTGTCACATGCTGGATACAGTATAATTCAACATGACACATGGTGAGCAGAGATGTGTAGAAATACCTGAAACTATTAGAGCCAAACAGCTTTCTGTTAAAGTTTTTTACTGCCGTATAAATATTCTTCTAGCTGGCTGGAGTCTCTGAGTATAAATACTTCATTAGAGACTATATCCATGGCAATAGCATGGCCCTCTGGGTCTTGCCTAGGAGACCAAGAAAATGCCAGGGTCTGGTGACATCTGGTTTCTTTGTATTTAAAAGGCCTTCTCTAGTTTCCAAAGTACAGGGGCATTATTAACACAGTCCATTTGGCTTATTACATCCCTAAAAGAAATCCCAACACCTCTGTGGACAGATGTAAAAATCAGTTAGGCAACTTGTATTTATTAAGTGCTTACTATGTGTCGAACCTGTGCAGGCACTATAATAGAAATAGGTAAGCATTAAAAACCACAGCTCATTATCACTGAATATTCAAGCATTCTCATATGAGCTCTCTAAAGTGTTAACTGGATTTGAACTAGGTGGGGGGGTCTCTTTCATCTGAAGACAGCACATTTACCTTCCACAAAGATTTCTGAAAGAAAAATTAATTATTATTTATTTCCACCTGACCAGTTCTTGCCTTCTAGAATACTCAACTACAACTCCAAAATGCAGACAGAAAAAGACTTTCCTGGCTATCTCTTTTATAATATTTTCTGACGGGGCCAAGCTCGTCCCCAACCACTCCAGGTGGCTGACAACACCATACTCCTGATAACATAGAGATTATTATTTTCCCAGGAGGGATGACTTAGGAGGAAGGATGGGGGTCAGACCATTCAGGCCCAGCAAGACTGTATCATCAGCTTGTCCACAGACTTGCCAGATTCATTCATCCCTGTGCTCTGTCTGCCCCAGGCTATGCCACTCCAGAAACATGGGAACAGAGTGGCAGCATACAAGCTGGGCACTGCATGCGGGCAAATGAGGCATATCCTCAGCCCTGCATAGATATGAGAAGGGCATGCATCTGCTTTCTCTGATCCACAGATCAGAAAATTAAGGTCAGCGTCTCTTTAGTCTAAACAATATCTCAGTGAGATGAGGGGGAAAGGAGGCAGTCAGCCTTATCACCATTTCACAGGCTAGAGAGTTGAGACCGAGTGAAGGCCACACCTCCGGAGGGAAAGATAATGTGAAGGCTCTCTCCACTGACATGTCACATGCTTTCTACTTGACTGGGCTTCCCTAAACTTGGGTAATTTTCAGCATCACCCATGGGCAAGGGTTAAACACATGGATTCCAAGGCTCATCTATCCCTCAGAGATTCTGATTAAGTAAGTCTGGGTACCAGTAATCCATATTTTTAATAAGCTTCCCACATGATTCTAAAGATTGGCTATGCACTAAACTGCACGACTTTCCTTATTTTTCCATAACTGACATGGGATAGGGGAAAAAAGTTTATATTTGGCACTGATTGAAACTATAGTCAGACAGGTATTATTTGCCCTGTTGTATGAGATTCTACTGGGTCTTAAGCAAAGGATATCTCTTGAAAGAACAACTTTTCTGAGGTAAGGTCAAGCCAGTTCTAAACAGCTAACACAGGCCCTGCCAATGTGTGATCAGAGGAATACAACATGAGGCTTTCATCCACCAAATGTATATATATTATGGTCATAGAAATGCCACGCTATTTTGTTTGCTGTGTATGCTCCCTGGGTTATGTTCCATGAGGTTTTGAAGTTTCTGGGAGACTTCAGTGTGAAAGGTAAGCCAAATTCATCTCACGAGGGGTATCCTTTGGCTACGGAATGTCTCAGTCACATAGGGATTTGGTCTATTCTGTTTTCAGGGAGTTCTGTGGAAACAGCACACAGTTGTCAGGTTTTGCATGAAGTCACATTGGCGATGGCGTCTTGCTCCCACTCTAGTGTTAGATCAGGTCGGGAGGAAATTGCCAAATTTTATTTCAGTAAATAAACTACATAAAAGGATAAGAATTATCAGAAATGAAGCTGAATGAACTCCTTTTCTGATATTCCCCAGTTAATTTAATAAATCACCAATCAAACATTAGCCACAACAAGGAATAGGAATAGTGTGGGTAACTGAAACCCACACATAGTTGCTACTCTTATCATTTTTCCTTCAAATTCATGAGAGCCCAGTCTAGTGAATAGAAAATCAAATAAACTGATTTAAATTCTTCTCTTTTTCTTCCCCTGTCTACCTTCCTGAGAAGGTACTCCATTTAAAAATGTATTTATTTGAAAGGGGAAGAGGGTGGGATAGAATTTTATTGTCCACTTGGAAATGGGGAAAAATTTGATTATACTTATGCAGTAATCTTTACAGATGATTCCAAGATCCACATGGACATATTGACATATTTGATCATCCCAGGAGCTTTCTGAAAGATTAACATTGCTAGGTGCATATAAAACTGCAATAATATTTTTAGGTGAAGAGAAGTTCAAATACATGGTTAATTCAGTTTTGCTGTGCATATACGTAGACATGTGTGTAAGATTTTGCAAAAAGTTTAAAGCTAAATACCTGAGATAGAATGTTAGTTATTTGCCTGTGTATGTCTTATGGAAGGTCCTGTGTGTGTTTAGAAGTTGCTCACTATTTCTAATCAGCACAGAGATTCCCAGAGCTGGATGCCTCCCTTCAGTGGCTAGTTCTATGCTTAGGTTGTGGTGACAATAAAATGGGTTTAGCCTCTGCCCTGTCTCACCACATGAATTAGGGAAAGAACGCAGAGTAATAATGGGGTGAGCTCAACTCTGAGTGAATTTTTATTTTATTGTATATTTTGCTTCGCTCCTAAAGCCACAGTCAAAATGATATTTTTTCTCCAGTTTGTCTCACTATTCTTTAAAAATAAATTTTTATCAGCTTCCTAATTTTCACTGCTCAGGAAGACTTTTCTAATTCATTTTCTAACTAACTCTCAGGAGTTGGCAGTGGTTTTGTTAACAATTAGCTTCCAAATAGTATTAATCACTACACCAAATTCCTCTTACTATAAACCTCTGGATACTGTTGCTTTAAATGTATGATGCCTTCCTTTCTTACTTTTCACTCAGCAGATCCTAGATGCCACATTTTAATAGTCAATAAATATACGTAAGGAAAGTTTGGAGGTTGGAACAAAATTTTCTTTAAGAATGTTTCTCTGTTGGGCTTAGCAGCATAAAGCATTTGAAAATGCATTGTACTAACATTATTGGAGGTACAAAATGGTAATCAGAAGACTTAATCTCACACATTAGTAGAGACCCTTTGAAGTACTTTTCACTGGATCTGCAGTTTTTAAAAGATAAGGTTTATTTTTATAATATAAATACATGTTTACTCTTCCTCTTCTACCACCAAAGCCAACACAATTTCTTATAAGCTTGGATTGCTCAAGTATTCATGATTCCTTCTTACATCTGCTTCCTTCTCCTTTTACCTCTAAATGCACTTCATCTTCTGGCTACCTCTTCTCCAGACTTTGACAGACTTCTGCATTTATACTGTCTTTATCCCCATGATCATGCAAATTTTTAAATCCTAGAGACTTTCTTTCAACAAAGTCACATAAATGCTTTTTTTGCAACTAGCCTTACCCCACTCCTCTTCTTTCTCTCTCCTAGTTTTGGAGAGCTGGCTCAAATTGGATATAGTATATATAGAGAGACTAGTGTTCCTATTACTCTTTCTCCCCAAACAGTTATTCAAAGAATTAATAGATGTTATCTCCTTTCTTTCAAGAATGTTTGTTTGGATATGTAGTTTGGCATGTAAGTATGGTATGAAAGACACACCTAAAGAAAACTTTGCTACATTCTGATTATTCCATTTTCTGCAACCTCTCAAAGGTTTTAATAATCTGTCCTCAGCCTTCTTCAATGTAAACTTCTTCTCCCTTGGTAAGTCCATGTATCTGAGGCTGCAGTCAGTATCTCCAACCCAGAAAGAGGGTGATTCAACAAATTTTAGTACTGAATACCAGCCATGTTCCAGGCACTGTAATGAAGCTATAGATATAGCAATGAAACAAATATGAAACTCCAGTTCTCATGAAGCTTACATTTTTAGGTGAAAGAGATTAACAGACAAAGAAAGGGGAAGTAATGATGAATGCAATGGAGAATGTAAAGTGGGGTAAGTTGATAGGAAGTGACAGTGGTGCTTTCTTTTTATGAGGTGGTGAAGGAAGCCTTCTCTGATAACACTAGAGCAGAGACCTGAAGAACATAAGGAGGAAAGCAGGCCATGTGGCTATGGGTGGTATGATGTTCCAGGCAGAAGGAAGAGCAGGTGCCAAAGCCCCAAGGCAGGAGAGGACTGAGGAGGTCCTAAGAAGAGCAGAGAAACTGGTATGTCAGGAAGGAATTGAACAAGGGAAGGAAAGGTGGGAGGAGAGTTGGAGAGGAAGCAGAGAGACGAAATCTTAGGTCTGTGAACAACGATGAAGACTTTGGATTTTATAGTGAGTGAGACTGGAACATTTTAAGCAAACAAGGGACATAATCTGACTTGTTCAAAAAGTATCATTGATGTGTGAATTACAGACTATTGAGAATAACGGAAGCAGGACAACCCATTAGGAAGACACAGTATTAGTTCAGATGAGAGACGATTATGTCTTGGGCTGGAATGGTAGTTGCAATAGCAGTGAGAGGGAGCCAGATTTAAAATATATGTTGAAAGTGAAGCCAACAGAATTTGCTATAGGAGAGTTATCTAGGATGCTGCAAATGTTTAACACAGAGAAGTGAGATTGACAATATTTGGGGGTGGTTCAGTTTTTTTTTTTTTAAATTAACTTTAGTTTTTAGAGAAGTTTTGGGTTCATAGCAAAATTGAGCAGAAAGTCCAGAAAGTTTGCATATACCGCCTGTCTCTACATACAAAAAACCTCTCACTATGGACATCTCATAGCAAAGTGGTACAGTTGTTACAATTGATGAACCTACATTAACATATCATTATCACCCAAAGTTCATTGTTTATGCTAGGGTTCATCCTTGGTGTTGTACATTCTGTGGCTTTGAACAATATATAATGACATGTATTCATAATTGTCATATTGTTACCTGGTGCAATGCTTGTGTAACATAACTAAATTTCTACCCTGCTGTAACTCTGTTTGTCTTTAAGAAACAGGAAACCTGCAATAAAAAGTTCCCCTGTAACCAGACCAACTGAGACTGCTTAGAGTCAAGATAGCTGACTGAACAGCTTCAAAAAGACTTCAGGCCTCATTATAATCTCCTTTCCATGCTAAATGACACTACCACCACTGCCATGACAGTTGACAATCTCCGTGACAATAATTGGAAAAAGTAATAAAAGGACAGAAAGGATGGCAACACTCCAGTTCCAGAAAGTTTCCTGCGCATTTCCAGAGAATACATCATGAATATTCTTCCCTTGCTTTTTTTTTTTTTTTTTTGAGACGGAGTCTTGCTTGTTGCCCAGGCTGGAGTGCAATGGCGTGATCTCGGCTCACTGCAACCTCCGCCTCCAGGGTTGAAGCAATTCTCCCACCTCAGCCTCCTGAGTAGCTGGGACTACAGGCGTGTGCCACCACACCTGGCTAATTTTTGTATTTTTAGTAGAGACAGGGTTTTACCACATTGGCCAGACTGCTCTCGAACTCCTGACCTCAAGTGATCCGCCCGTCTCGGTCTCCCAAAATGCTGGGATTACAGGCATGAGCCACTGTGCCCGGCATTCCCTTGCTTTTAATGCCCCACTTCTTCATTAGAGAAACTATATTTTAACTTCCTCACCCTTCACTAGCAGAGAAGATGATTTGTGAGCTAAGCTCCCACTTCTCCATTCCATGGCCATGAAATAAAGCCTGCACTGCTTGACACTTTTGGTTTTGCATATTGGCTCCATGGCACCAAACAGGCAAGGACCCCATTTTTTTGGTGGGGGCAGCTTTGTTGGTAACAATTTCATCCAGAATAGTTTCACTACCTAAAACATCCTCAATGCTCTACTTTTTTCCCCCAAACCCCGTGCAACCACTGATTCTTTTACCGTCTCCATAGGTTTGCCTTTTCCAGAATGTCATATAGTTGAAATAATGAGTGTGTAGCCTTTTCAGATTGACTTCTTTCATTTACTAGTATGCATTTAAATGTCATCCATGTGTTTTCATGGCTTGATAACTTATTTTTTTTTAACCATCAAATAATATCCCATTGTTTGGATATACCATAGTTTATCCATTCACTGAAGGACATCTTGGTTACTTCCAAGTTTTGGCAGTTTGGAATAAAGCTGTCATAAATATCTGAGTGCAGGTTTTTATGTGGATATAAGTTTTCAACTCACTTGGGTAAATACCAAAGAGAGAAATTTCAATTTCTGGATCATATGGTAAGAGTCTGTTTAATTTTGTAAGACACTACCCAACTGTCTTCCAAAGTGGCTATACTATTTTTGCCTTCCCACCAGCAACAGTAGAGAATTCCTGTTTCTCAACATCGTTTTCAGCTTGTGATGTTGTCAGTGTTTTGCATTTTACCTGTTTGAATTAATGGGCATGTAGCGATATCTCGTCATTAGTTTGCAATTCCCTAATGACATACGATGTTGAACATCTTTTAATATGCTTATTTACCATAACTTATTTGGTGAGGTGTCTGTTCAGGTCTTTAGCCAATTTTTCAGTTAGGTTGTTCACTTAAGACCCAACACTTAAGACTGTATTTTGGATAATAGTCCTTTATCAGACATGTTTTATGAAAATATTTTTTCCCATCTGTGTCTTGTCTTCACATTCTCTTGACATTTCTTTTTGTAGAGCAGAAGTTGTTCATTTTAATGAAGTGCAGCTTTAAAATTATTTCTTTCATGGATCATGACTTTGGTGATATATCTAAAATGTCATTCCAATACCCAAGGTCATCTAGGTTTTTATCCTATTGTCTCTTAAAAGTTTGGGTTTTTAGAAGTTAATTTTGAGATACCTACAAGATATTCAATTTAAAGTTCAATATATGAATCTCGAGTACAGTAGAAGTCAAGCATGGACATAAAAATTTATGGATACTCAATATGAAATTGATCATTAAAGCCATGCAACTGGGTTGATCATCTAGACATAGATAAAGAAAAGGTCAAAGGAATGAGCTCTTGGGCCCCCAAATATTTCATTTAGAGGTTGGAAAGATAAGGAAAAACTAGTTAAGGGAACAGAGAATAATAATCAATTAAGTAAAAATAGAAGCAAGAAAAAATATTGTCCCAGAAGCCAAGTGAAGAAAGTGTCTCAAGATGCAGGGATGATTAAGTGTATCAAATCATGCTGATAAATTAAATTAGATAAGGGCTGAGAAATGACCATTGGATTTGGCAACATAAAAGCCATTGATGTCATTAGCAAGAATTATTTCAGTAGAGCAATGGGAAAGGAAATTCTAATGGAGTATGGGAAAGGAAATTCTAATGGAGTAGGTTGAGAGAGAACAGAAGGAGAGAATGTCTAAACAAAATTGTCAAGGATTCTTGCTGTAAATAAGAGATTAATGACATGGTTGTGAAGTACAGGGAGATTGTTTTAAAGATAAAACATATTAAAGAATACTGTCTGTTGAGGGGGATAATCTAAAACAGAGAGAAAAACTGATCACACAGGAGAGATAGGAGACATTGCCAGAGCAATGTAGGTGAGAAGGGACCAGATCTAGTGTACTGTACAGGGATTGATGCTAGAAAACAGCATAGAATAAATATAATGATAATAATCCATTTAACAGGAGGGAAGGCATAGATAATGGGTGCTGATATAGCTGGGTCAGTAGATTTGTTGTTGAGAATATATGAAAGGGGGTATTTATTCTTGAATTTTCCAAAGACACCTAACGTATAATATCATGAACACAACTTATCATTCTGGTCCCATCCCGAGTAGCCAATGATATTTCTGCTAAAAACACTACTGTTTTACCAATCCCTAAAACAGTCAATTTTTATTGCTGTTTCTTATTTATTATTATTCTGTCACCTCATAATTTCCATACCTGTCCCCACCTTAACATTTGTGGAGCTACAATTCCATGTCAGTGAGGTCATGTGACTTAAGTATGTATTTATTTTAAAACTTTTTAATTCCTCTTTGAGTTATAAGATCTACTATTAAAGACTTTTATTCTTCATCATTTGTTAAGTTTCTTGGCATTAACTAACATGTGTCCTCTTGAACTAAAATTTTTTTCTTGCTTTTTGAGGTAGGTTTATGAGGATTACCATTATTCTACCATTATTTCTAGTGTTTCTCTTTTCAAGCCACTTTAAATTGTCTTTTTGTTTTATTACTGTGAATTTTTTTTTGATAAGGAGTCCTTACCTTTCACTTTTCTTTACTACCTCCTGTACTTTGTTTGCATACACTTTTCTCAGTTCCTCTTTTCGGTTTATGCCTTGTTTGCTTATACTTTCCTATCTACTTTATTTCATTAAACACTCAGTAGCTGAGAATGTTTGTTTTGTTTGGTATAGCCTTCATCTTATCTCCTACCAATGAATATTTTTTATATCATATTTTAACATATGAATACCTCTCTGATATCTTGAGAGTAAAGCTTTGATTATTCTTTTTATCATAGTTTTCATTTTTTCTTTTTCTAACAGGACTTGGCTTATTCATCTTTTATTTATTTAATATTTCAGGGATTTTGAGACATTAATATCAGTTATCACCATAGCATGATTAGCAAAGATGCTATCTTTCATTTTGTATTATACAAATTTTGTATTACACAAATTCTCTTACACATAAATCATATCACTTATAACTGGCCCACTTCTCTCTTTTTGTCATTTAATTTTTTCAGACTTAGTGTAATGCCCACAAAACAGTCATAACAGATTTACTTATTATCTCAATGTGGTTGCCCAGACTGAACTCACATCTGGGATAACAAAGCTTTTTATAATGGTGGCATTTAGAGTTAGAAATAAATAACCATAGAGAAAAGCATTTGAGTAATTTGTGCTCAATTTTGAAGATTATTTTTCCTACCTAAGTCATGAGAGTCAGTAATACTCTTCTAAACCAGTACAATATGGAAGAAATTAACAAAGGAAATTAACAAACCCAACAAAGTATTCATGCCTTCTATACTTGATGTATAACATCAACTTTCAAAATAACAAATAGAATTTTGTAAACAGAAACAGAACAGTAGAAACACAAGAGATAAACTTATGTGGCTACAGCCACAAAAACTGTATAATTGAAGTTATAGAGCTCATTACTATAAGCATATCAGCATTGATATCTGGAATTAATGAGTGTTGTATGAAATAGGAAGGACCAAGACTGAAGTCATATTTTAACAACAGCTGACAATTCTGGCCAAACATTTCTTGTAGATATTTTCTTGCTGAGGGGTATGTGCTTACAGTTGTATATTACTCACAAGTACTGTTGAGTAGAGTTACATTTAATTATATCATCTAGTATGTAATTCTTTTTATAGTATATGTTCAGTTTTCCTTAATGGCTTCTTCCTTAAATATGGCTTTAAGATTAGCAGCAGAACAGGAACTGATTGAACATTTACTATTATTTCCCTTATTGGGTAGTTTGGGTAGGCCAGATCTTACCTTATGTCTAAAAGTATGTTTCATCCATATTTCGTTATACATCAATAAGATTACTTTTCTTATTCTTCTTATTCTTTTTTTTTTTTTTTTTTTTTTTTGAGATGGAGTTTCACTCTTTTTGCCCAGGCTGGAGTGCAATGGCATGATCTTGGCTCACTGCAAACTCCACCTCCCGGGTTAAAGGGATTCTCCTGCCTCAGCCTCCCAAGTAGCTGGGATTGCAGGCATGCGCCACCACACCCAGCTAATTTTGTATTTTTAGTAGAGACGGGGTTTCTCCATGTTGGTCAGGCTGGTGTTGAACACCTGACCTCAGGTGATCCGCCCGCCTCTGCCTCCCAAAGTGCTGAGATTACAGGCGTGAGCCACCACGCCTGCCTGTTTTCTTATTCTTCTTATCCTGAACCTTACAACACTAATATTTAGTTAAGATGGACTTTCAACATCATCCTTCTTGTCTGCAGTACTTATGCCATATAGATTTGTATGCAATGTGTCACTTTTGATTTATAGTCTTATTTTTTAATCTCAAATTAAATTGATTTTTTCACCTCACAGTGCCATATCCTGTCTTTCAGGCTTCTCCAGCTTATGCTACTTTATTTTTTTAATTTTTAAATTTTTATTATTTATTTATTTATTTTTGAGATGGAGTCTTGCTCTGTCACCCAGGCTAGAGTGCAGTGGCGTGATCTTGGCTCACTGCAACCTCCGCCTCTCGGGTTCAAGCAGTTCTCCCGCCTCACCCTCCCAAGTAGCTGGGATTACAGGCACACACCACCATGCCCGGCTAGTTTTTGTAATTTTTTTAGCGGAGACAGGGTTTCACCCATGTTGGCCAGGCTGGTCTCGAACCCCTGACCTTGTGATCCACCTGCATTGGCCTCCCAAATTGCTGGGATTACAGGTGTGAGCCACCATGCCCAGCTTGCTACTTTCATTATGTCTACTCTTTACCTAGTGATATCCCCATGTTTTTGAAAATGTATTTATTTTATCTTGAGGCCTTCCTTCTTCTCAGACCCTGATCATTCTACCTAAAGCAAAACAAAACCTTAAAAAAACCACCTTTCTTATCTTTTTCCCCTTCTAAAACTTTGGCTCCATATATACAGAACCTGTTTTAATTTGTCTTTGCTTTCATTTTTGTCTATTAATTTCTCTGAATGCTTTATTTCTTTCCTGTCAAGAACTAAACCACTTCTTTTGAAGGGTTTGTTCTCTCCTTTCTTTCTTCTGCAAGAACCACCCTTTCCTTGGTGTCTGCTCACTGCTTTTGTCATCTATCTCAAGCATTTCTGTGTTCCTCACAATACGGGGTTTCTACACAAAGTAGGTTCTTTAAATCTACTTTGGCCAAACTCTAAGCTGAGGAGACTTTTAAACAGCTTTTCCTCTGCATACTGGATACCAGCCAAGATTTGCTAGCCGCCTTTTGCCATTACACTGCATTGCATAGATGGCATCACAAAAAGTGTGTTCAGTTCTCTCATTGACCAAATCGCTATGGGCATTTTGTTCTCTGTATTTAAAACTTTCGTCTGGCTGCATAGTGCTTGCAAAAAGGCCACTGCTTTAGTACACCAGCTTCCATAACAGGTGCCACAGAGAACTAGAGGTTCATGAAGCTGCTTCAAGGGCCACTGCAGGATGTAGGAAAGGCTGAGGGCACAGCCCAGAACCTCTGCCTCTAGCTCTAATGTGAATGCCTCCTACATGTTAGCATTCTATATAAGTTTCATATTTGAAAAAAAATTTTACAGATGAAAATATAAGCTTGAAAACAGTTGGTACAGTGAAGAAGAATTGGCCAGGAAGCCAGAAGGTTCTACATCTACCCCCTGGGCAAACTTGAATACTCTCATCTGTAAAGTGGAGATGTTATAACTCATTAACTCACTTAGAGTTGGAAGGATCACATGAAATAGTGTAAGAATGCATGACTGTCAGAAAAAATTAAATGTGTGAAAGAAATCTCTGTATATCAAGATTTATGCATCTCAAAAAATAATGTTTCATAAAAAAGGCAAGTTGTAGAATGGTAGATACAGTGTGACAACATTTGTAATAATTTAAAACAAATACTGAATAATACCTATTATTGCTAGAGGATTAGCAGTGGGCATTAGGACACAATGGACTTGAGGATGATATGTAAACCTTTTTTTTTTTCTTTTTAAAGAAGCAATTAAGTCAAATGCTAACAATAATTGTACTGGTTATGTTATCATGTACTTTCTATTTGTTTTTAAGTTACCCCTCTTCTCCCAAATCTTTAAATACTATTTAACTGTGTTCATGGCATTTTATTAAGTGATTTCTTCATCAACATTTATATCTTCTCATTAGTCCCTGAAAGTGTGTCTGTGCTTAAATGAAAAGTTCAAGGGGAAGAGAAATGATGGTTGCTTTTCTGGCATGGTTTATATATGGAATATATTTAATCTAGTTTATACCTTCTCTTCTACTCATTATTTTATTCCTATAAAAAGTGAAGGAAAGCTAGAACTCTGGGTGGTATCATCATTTATTTTTTCAACTATCTCATCTCTTTTCTCTGCTCAGCAACAAATCTCCAACATAAATTATTCTTTCACTGCCAATTTGGAAAACACATCAAACTTCCTCCTTTCCAGGCTTGGATGCCTGCAAATCAACCTTTTGAATCAATGTCAGTTGAATTACTAATTAGGGATTCCTCTGCTATCTACCAGGATGCTGAGCATTGATCTTCTCTCAAAGGGTCCTGCTGCTTCCCTCCCTTCATGGAAATGGCAAGTATCCAAGATTACTTGTTTTTCCTCCTCTTTCTTCTTCAATTCCTAACCTGGAAGGACACAATAATATCTAAAAAGCCAGCTGCAGAGGTGTGCACCTGTAGTCCTAGCTACTCAGGAGGTTGAGGCGGGAGGATCACCTGAGCTCAGGAGTTGAAGTGCAGCCTGGGCAACATCCCCACCTTGAAAGAAAAATTGGAACGTGGGAGGAAGGAAGGAAGGAAGGAGGGAAGGAGAGAAGGAAGGAAGGAAGGAAGGAAGGAAGGAAGGAAGGAAGGAAAGTATCTACTATTTCCCTTGCTCTTTAAATCTTCCCAGTATTTTCTTTCTTTTCTCTCTTCTTTGGCACTGCTCTGACTTGTTCCTTTAATGCTCTTCTGTGGGCATTCATTTTGTAGCTTAGAGTTGACATTATTTAGCAGATGGGAAGGAGAAGTTGGGAGCTGGGGGATGGAGATATGGACTGCACATATTTTGGAATTAGCACAATATCACTCCTAGTCTTTCATTTTCCCAGTAGGGTATGATATTTCTTGGGTTCACAACTTTTTTCTCCTTGCCTGCTAGTGGTGCTGCAACATTTCTCTGGTGACTTGTCACAGATGAAAGCTTTTTTGCCTTTCAACAATGGTAAAAGTGTGACAGGCACAGGTGATAATCCTCATTTTATAGGTTATGAAGTGGAAATGAAGAGACCTTGATACTAGCCTGTGATACAGCTGTGATTATGGCTTGGGCCTCTGGTTGCCTAGCTTCAGCCTCTTTTTTCTTCACTTTTTGTCCTAAGTAAGAAATCTTTGCAGTCTTTGTTGGATTCTACTTCATTCAACTCTAAATGCTAGGATGTTTTCCCCAGCTGTACTCACTTTCTTGTTAATCTCATTCAGCTCCATTTAAAATGCCAACTATATACTATTGACTCCTAAATATATCTTTTGATATGACCTCTCCCCTGAACTCCAGTTTCATTTATCTTACTTATTTGACATCCGTCAGGATATTTAATAGGCATCTCAAACCTAGCTTGTCCAAACTTGATTCCCCTCCACCCTCAAACCAACTACTTCCTGAGCTTTCTCAATGTGACAATATTATTCACACAGCTGGCTTTTGTTAAAAAACAACTTGGAGTCAATATTGATTCTTATTTTTCTTTCATACCATTATTCAAACCATCAGCTGATCATGTGTGCCCCACTTTCAAAATATATCCCAAATCTGACCACATCTCACCATTGCCATCCTATTAAAGCTACTCATATATCATCTGATCTGGGAAGATTACTAACTGGTTTTACTTGCTATAATCTATTTTCCATGCAGCTGTCAGGGTCCTTGTAAAACATAACTCAGATCATGACATTCCTTTGCTCAAAATTTTCTAATGTCTTCTCAGCATATTTTTAGGTATTCCAAACTCCTTACTATGGCATCTGATGACCTACATGATGGGCCACTGGCCAATTCTCTAATTATATCTCCTGATTTCTCTCCCTCACTCAGTCTGCTCCAGGCACACTGACCTGCTTTCCCTTGGGTTGCCAAACACACTTGGCTTCAGTCTTTCCTATTGCTGATCTTTTGCCTGGAAATATCCCAGGATAATTGCCCTACTCCCATCTTCACTTCTTTCAGATATCTGCAAGTATCACCTCCTCAAGGACAATCAACCACACTAACTACAAACCATAGCCCTATCCCTCACTATCTCCTTTCCTGCTTTCTCTTCACAGCAGTTACCACACCCTGACTTTATATATCTCTTAATATATTTATCTTTTTCTATTTCTCCTTCTAGAATATTAGCTCTGTGAGGGAGGGACTTTAACACTCTTCTTCACTGCTGTGTCCCCAGTGTCTAGAACTGCTCCTAAGTTATAAGAACAGATTCAGATGGACTCACTAAACATTTGTTGACTCGATGACTACTGGAGGATACTTCAGGCTGGGCTATTGAGATGGGCCCAGATCAGAAGAAATCCTCTGACAAGGAGCCATCACACACTGAGCCTTATTGTGGTCAAATTCATGCTATCTATCTGCACTATACAAACACACTTGTTTTGAGGACAGGCCTCGTTTCTACAGTCTGACTTATCTTAGCTTTTAATATTATTTTGTTTCTATAAATACACTCATATTTCTCATACTACATATTTATTGGTTGCATACCAGAAACCAGTCTCTATATAATTTTTTTTATTTTAATAGGTTTTTGGGGAGCAGGTGGTTTTGGGTTACATGGATAAGTTCACTCGTGGTGATTTCTGAGATTTTGGTGCACCCATCACCATCACCCGAGCAGTGTACACTGTATCTAATGTGTATTCTTATTCCTCACTCCACTCCCACCTTTTCCCCTAAGTTCCCAAAGTCCATTGTATCATTTGTGTCAGGCTCTATACTTCTCTATTCTTTACCTATTTTAATCCTCACAAGAACATAAGGGTCCTATTGAGCTTAAGTATTTTGCCCAAAGCTGGTCAGTGGTGAAGTCAGAATTTTAAACATGGAAGCCTGACAAGAAGGCCAAACTCTTAACCACCATCGCTCTGCTTTGTATTCTCATACTGCTCCTGGTGTCTCCGTTTTTGGCTGAGAAGATATGAATATCATGGCGAAGCATCAGTGCAGCAATGCTCCCAGAGCTTTCACACACCGTTACATATTTACTGAGGTGTGTGATGGAATGGCATTTTTCTTTTTAAGATTCAACAACCCATTAATTCTGCAACTTTAGGACAACCTGTCCCATGTGCTGCCCAACAAATATTCTTTCTCCTTATGATCATTGGACAATAAAGAGACCATGTTCTGGTAATTTCTCCACACCTTGTCCTGCCCTCCTCCTCCTAAGAACTGATTGTTTCCTACATTCTGCAGGCTGCTCAGTCAACCTGGTCACTGTGATATCCTCAGTGCTAAGGACACTGGAAGCGGGAGTCAGGTTTGCACAGTTAGATTGATAAGCAGATGCTAAGCCGATGTGGCACAGCTGCTACTGCTGAGCCAGGAAAAGCAGGTCAAGGTTATTAGGAGAAAGTGTGGCACTTGTCCATAGCTGGAAGCAAAAATATTCCCATGTACTGTTCCCTTTCCCAGTCTCTCTCTTCAGATCCCTTCTTGTTCTCTCTTTGTATTTCTTTCCGTCTTCTCTTTTATAGAGTATTATGGCCAAAGAGACATATATTGAAATAGCTGGACTTCTCTAAACAAAGGACATCCATAAAACAATAACTTTGTTTTTCTAACATTATGGGTATTACTTGATCTACCAAGTAGTACCATGCTTTAAAAATAAGTCAAAGATTAACAGTGACCATTTGCCATTTATTATTTCATTCTATTTCTTTATTTCTAAGACATGGTTTCACATATGAAATATACAGAACATTTTGTACTAATGCATCAGAAATGCATGGCACATTAGCATACATGCAATGCAACCAGGCAGTCTGGTTTGTGGTTTCCATTTTTCATTGAATTGAATTTATTGGTGTCTAAATTTGATTTTTCATCCAGAAGAACCTGTTTCCCCTAAGGTCTTTTTAGTTGTTTCTATGTAATTTTGAACTGAATATCATTTAATTAGGTGAAAATGACCACATGAAATAAACCAACCCTAAAACCAAAGGCATTTAAAAATTATCATCTTTAGATTGACTGCATCAGTATCTACCAGTAGAACTTGAAGCCTTATCAGGCAGACTACCAGATAGTACATGTGCCCTGCCCCTGTTTGGGAATTCTCTGACTGTTACAAGTAGTGTGGCACCTCCCAGAAAGCTCACTTCCCTTCTAGACCTCCCCGCCCCCACCACTCATTATGCCAATCCCCAGCCTGGGACCAGGCCTTATCCTCTGACTGGAAATCTTTGGGCTCACCAAAAATTTGGAGACGTCTGCTTCAATTATATTTTATACATAATTTTGCCTTTACAGTCCCTTCAGAATATGTCGTGTGGAACATATGAAGAGCACTGAGCTGGAAGTCTGGGTTTATATTTGAGCCCTGGCACTTATTAGCTGTATAAGTACAGGAAATTGCACATCTCTCTGAGCTTCAATTCCTTGTTTATCTGAATAAGAAGGGAGTGATAAAAGAAAAAAAATCTGTGAAGTATCTAGCATAATATAGTAATACCTGCAATAAACAATAGCAATTCTTATAATACTGTTACTGTTTCCCTGAACTAGCTTTTGTACTCCTGGTAATAAAGCACCTCAAGGCAGAGAATGGTAAGTGGAGAAGAAATTAAAATGACTTTTCACCAAATTTTGCTTGTAAAATGTCTGAAATTTAAGCAAACAGACAGCAAACTTACTTATACTCAGGACAAGTAACTAGGTCATGGAGAAGAAATGCCAGATCTTACAAATGTAAAAAGTAAACACAGGATTTAACAGTATGTTTCTAGGTCATATGCATAAGTGGGAATAAAAGTAATGCCTGCTGCATTGTGTTGTTATGAGAACAGAATGGTTTAATCCATATAAAGCACTTAAAAGATGTAGGGAAAAAAAACCCAAATTAGATATTGACATCATTGAATAAAAGACTTGACTTTTAGTCTTGGTGGCATGCCAGTGATTATGGGGAAGTCTCTTTCGTTTGAAATACTGCAAGTCTGATTGTGGTATTTCTTGAGATTTTGAGAATGTCTAAATAGAATCCCATTAGCTCCTTGAGGCATTTATCTCTATATCTTACCTCTTGGTACAGTATTTGGCACAGACTCAGTATTTAGCGAATGCTTATTGAATGAGTGGATGAGCAAATAGAAAAGCTACCTGTCTTGTCTAATTCTAAAGGTCATTTGGTTAAGACCATAGCATTTTGATGCAAATTGCAATTTCTTTATTTTTCTTCTCACTTTGCCCACCCACCCTATCCCACCAGGTACACAACTGTGCAACCTCTCTACCTCTTCTCACTCTAGAAAGCATTTACCTGGAAGCAGTCTGGAGCCACAAACTCTAGAGCCCACAAGATCCACACAGGGAGTACGAGTGAGTGGAATGGTCCAGGGGATGGTGGATGAGTCCTCCCAGAAAGCAATATCAGGAGAGCAGCAGCCTCACCTGTGTTTCAATTGTGTCTTTACTCAGCAACTAGAACAGTGCCATCTACATAGTCCATCATAAATAAATACTGGTTGAATGAATGAATGAATAAATAAATACTCAAAATTAACTGTTGCATGGCAAGGATGAGGACCAAATGCTGTCCAACTCTTAGATTTCTTAAGAAATCTAAGAGAGTTTGTACTTTTATGTGAATTGTCTTGCTTTCAAAAGTTGACAACAAAGGAAAAATGTAAAGACACTGGGCAGGTCAAACAAAAACATATCTAAGGGGAAAATTCCACTCCTAAGCTCCAATTAGAAACCTCTGCTCTTCGTAATAGCTTATGTAATATTTTCCCATTTGCCCTGTAGGATCACTTTTGTTATTACACTTTTTTTTTCATATGTGCTGTATAGTATAAATAGTATTGTGCCCATTTTATGGATGAAATCATTGAAGTTCTGAGAATTTAATTGCCTTGTTTAAGGTCACAACACTGGTATGTAATGAAACTGGGACTAGGATTTGTTTTCTGACCTCAAATCCTGTGTGCATTCCCGGGCACCATTCTGATTATTTTTCCTCACGTCCTTTGGCAGTAGAAGGTAAATCACAAACCATTTACTTGTTGTTACTTCACCCACTTGAATTTCTATTGTTAGGACTGTCCAGCACTTTCTCACTGTTTCTTCTCCCCATCTTCCAGGCAATCTAGTTCAAACAAGTAAGTGTGCAATGCAGCATTAGAATTGGAATTAAAATAAAGTTGTTTCTAATTGGTGTTATTAATTCACAAAAATGCTGATTTCAGCTATCTACTTGTATGTACAGACATCATTTTGAATCATGGAGAATTGGTAGTTCCTTTCATTTGGATCTAGATTTGATCACTGCAAAAAGAACATAATCTTTTTAACAAGATAAAGATTGTTTGTATTTTCCCCTCTTTCATGTACATCTGAACATAAATAGTCCAGGGATGCTATAGTGGCTCCAAAGTGTTGGAAAAGTAGACTTTAAAATCTAATACGTGGTTGTTAGTCTTGTCTGCTTTATCAAGCATACTCACTAATATGTTCATATTAAATTCAGATGGGCAGAGGAAAGAGAAGGGGATTGTGTTCCCCTTCCTCTTTTGTGCATGAAGTGAAGCTTGCATGTATTGCTTCTGCTCACAGATTACTGGCCAGAATTTATTATTTAGCCACTGAACTGCAAGGGAGTGAGAAATGTAGTTTTTTATCTGGATGGCCAGGTTCAATGCCATATAAAAACAAGACAACAAATATTGGGGAGCAATTTGTGATATCTGCCAGCTAAGCATAAATGTATTCTTTAGTGTTTAAGCGGTGTTTTCTAACTGGATTGAGTATTCTTGTTACAGGTACTTAGTCTTTTTTTTTTTTTTTTTTTTTTTTTTTTGCTTTTCATCCGCAATATTTAGTATGAATAGTAGATGTTTGGTGGATGAATATTTTAATACATTAAATAAAAGTGTTAACTGGATAAGTCTTAAGACTCTTCTCTGAATTAATTGTAAATCATTACGTAAATTTTGAAACTTGAAATTTTCGGGGAGCTAAAATAGTCAAGTATATTAGGCCTTGGAGTTGATAATTGCGGACAGGGGCCATTGAACAGGAATACATCACATTACTCTTTGGAGATAACACCACCCCTCCTCTTCTTAAGTATGTGGTTGACACAACCATTTCACATAGCCACTCATCTTCTGATACTTGGGGGATTTCATTCGTGAGAACATTGAAAACATTACAGGTTAATTATTTCTGTTTTTATGGCTGTTGTAACAAATTACCTTAAACTTTGGGGCTTAGAACAACAGAAATGTATTCACTCACAGACTTGGAAGCCAGAAGTCTGAAGTCAGTATCACTGGGCCCAGATCAAGGTGTCTGCAGGGTTGCACTCCCTCGGAAGGCTCCAGGGGAGAATCTGTTCCTTGCCTTTTTCAGCTTCTGGTGGCTGCTGGCACTCCTTGACTTGTGGTCGTGTCACTACAGTCTCTGTTTCTGTCATTACATTGCCACCTTCTTTTCTGTGTCAAATTCCCCTTTGTATCCTTCCCATAAGGCCTTTTATGGTTGCATTTAGGACCCCCTGAATAATCCAGGATAATCTCCCCATCTCAAGACATAACTTTATCACATCTGCAAAGTCCCTTTTTTGCCATATAAGGTAACATTCACAGATTCCAGGAATTAGAGCACAGATATCTTCTGGGCAAATTATTATTCTGCTCACCATAGTAATATTATTGTTGTTGAAAACAATAGCTATTTATTGAAGTTACACTGTGTGCTGAACATTGTGCTAGGTACTTCATAGAATTTATTAACTTAATTTTTGCCTTACATTAACTTTATTTTATTTTTGAGGAAACTAAGGTTCAGAGGGGCCGAGTAACCTGCTTTTGATCACCCAGACTGCTCTAGCTGCTTTTACCCACATTGCTTTCCTAAACCAGTACTCAAGTAAATGTGCAATCAATAGATGCACAATCAACCTAGGACAGCAGGACAGAATGTCCCCTTCCCTGCTGTCATTACCAAGTCAACTTAAGTGGCACTACCTGACTCTCCCTTCTGACCTTTATGAGGCCCTTTCTGACTCCTTCTTCCGGTCAAGGGTGCCTTATTAATGTCCATTTTAACCTCATTTTACCTGTGTGTGAAGCTGTATGTCTGGGAGAGGTGCCTCATGCCTATGTAACTCAAACTTGTCATAATTTACGCAAGGGACAATTGGGAGAGTATCAAGTTGCCTTTGCATAATTGGATCCAGAACTCTTCTAGACTTTTGGCGTTACAAAGTTGGGTTATGAATGTCATGAGAACAAACTCTCTGGCAAGATATCTAATGCTACTACTTCCAGTCTCAACTAGACATAGCAGGAGACTAGCTTTTCCCAGGGTATTTTAGTGCTTTGGGTTCTGGTCCCAACTGGAATCAAGCTGTGAAACAACTTCCAAGTAAACATTCAGAATGTTAGTGAAAACGCTTAGTTCAATATTAAGTGTATCAATAGGTGAAGCTGGGGGAGTGGGGTGATGAGAATGAGTGGAAGGAGTATAGGCATTTTATTTTTTTCCTCCAAATTAGTCATGAGTTAAGACACCCATTGGAGTCCTAGATGGATCTATTGGATATTTTACATGCCATTTCCCAAATAGTTCTGTGCAGAGGTAGGGCCAGCTCAGCTGTATTGTTGCTATACTAATGTGGTAGCTCAGTCATTTGGAGTTAATTGTTAATCAGGCCAGACATTACTGCAATCCTATTCTGAGAGGTAGAGAGACAAAAAATCCAATATCTTTTTATCCTTGTTATGAAAATGCTCTAAAAATTCTTTGACAATAAATAGTCAAAGGAATGACAGAGACAGAGCTATTATAAGAACCAAAAATGCCTCGGTTTTTGGTTTCAATTTTCAAATCATTTTTATCTGTGAACTAACATCAGCTGGAAAGGATCTGACACATACTGGAAATTGCAAAGGCTGGCTTCCAGCAGCACCCTCTCTGTGACGCTCATTTTGCTATTAAGAGAAGCCACTTAACAAACCAATTGTCAACAGGGGGAGATGAAAACACAATAGTTAATCAGGCTTTACAAGGTCACACATCTAATTCAAATTGTAAAAGGACCCCATTAGTGTCTTCTTTCCCTTGTTCTAGAATGTAGCCTTTCTTCAAATTGAGGGCTTATCACTTTGGATCCCCCTACAAGATAGCAGTCCGTTAATAAAGGCTTGAAGTACTATTTTCCTAACTGAGGGCCCCCTTTGGAGCCTATTAACACCCTTTTTTATGGCGAGCAGAGCAAGTAGCCACCTCCTGACATGTGCTGGCACTTCCTAAAAGGTCATTAATGCTCCATATTTCAGAGTATAACAAACCCAGGAAGGCTTACAAGGAGCCCAGCAGGGGTAAATAAAAACAGTGAGTAATTTGCAGAACTTCTTGTTTCACCTAGGTGGTGCATGGTAAATGAGAGAGAATTAGGCCGTTTCCCTCTTTTGACTTTCGCAAGGATTTGCAGGGTCCTAGAAATTTCCAGGTAAAATCTAGAAAGCAAGCTTTTGGAGAAAGAGCATTGACCAAATATTTGTATTATAGAAAAGCATCATCACAGCATCAAGGTGGTCTTATTCCTTACCTATTCTTACTCTTTAGAATGAATATTATTCATAGGTAGGCCTTTTTGGCCTTCTGATGAAGCTCTGCTGTGATTCTTCAATAATATATCACATTGAAATTGGCAACTGATGAACAATTCTGGAGCTTCACTTTTTTTCATGTTTTCAAATTTCAAAGACTTTTTAAAATAAACTCATTACATACTTTCCAGGGGAGCTACTGATGTTGCTAAAACTTACATTGAACACTAGATTAATAGTGGTTTATTTTCATAAATTACATGTTAGGGTCTATGATAGAAACGAATGTAAAAACATTTTAAAAAATAAACTTTAAAGCATTATCACAAATAAAAAGTATATCTAAATTTCACTTATATATGTCTTTGCCGAGCTGACAAGCCAGTGACCTTTCTATATATTTAAAGGTAAATATCACACCAATGAATGCCTATGTAACAATCCCTTCTTGCTCACATTATAGTTTCCTCAAAGGATGGAAGGACCATTCCCACTGGCTGTTGCCTCTGGTGAGGTGTTCCTATTCCTCCCATGTTCATAAGCATATCCTTTTGCCCCAGTCCAGCATTTGATAGGATTCTACTGAAAAGTACCTTCTTACCATACATACCTCCTGATCATGATAAGGTTGCCCATGACCCACTCATCTTCTATTTTTCTGAGCCTGCTAGAGAACCAGAGAGGTGAGAAGCAACTTGAATTATGCATGAAGGAAAGACCTGGTAATAGCTGCCGGACATTTCTTCAGGTAAGTTAGGCTGGCTAGTTAGGGGCAGGGATTTTTTATTCTATCTCAAATTCAGATTTAAGGTGACAGTATATATCCCAACTACTATATTGAGCACCTACTGTGTGGCAGATACTATTTTAGGTTCTAGGGAAACAATAGTGAATAAAGCAGAGTAAACCTCCTGTCCTCATCATGCTCGTATTTGCGTGTGTGTGTGTGTGTGTGTGTGTGAGAGAGAGAGAGAGAGAGAGAGAGAGAGAAAGAGACAGACAAGCAATAAACAAGATACACAAATTACTAAAATACTATATTGTTTAAGGTTCTAAGTGCTATAGAAACAATAAAGCAAGAAAGCAAGGAATGGGAGAATGTATGATGAGGAGTTGTGATTTTGAATTGAGGATTCAGGAAAACCTCTCTGAGTAATTACCATTTGAGCACAGACTTGAGAAATCTACTTTTTCCACTTAATTGTTAATTGATGGATAAAATGAGTATTCCCATCAAAGAGTTACAGTAGAAGAATTAAACAGGCTTCATTTACATTGCAAGATAAATATGTTAAATGCCTTAAGAAATCTATGAGCGAAACAGCAGAGTGGGTAGAGGAGAAAGAGAAGGGAAAGTTGGTGGGAGGAAAGAGAGAAGACAGAGGTATCCTCTCATTAAAATGATTAGAATCTTGGCTGGGCGTGGTGGCTCATGCCTGTAATCCCAAAATTTTGGGAGGCCAAGGCAGGCAGACCATTTGAGGTCAGGAATTCAAAACCAGCCTAGCCAACATGGTGAAACCCTGTCTCTACCAAAAATATAAAAAAATAGCCAGGTGTGGTGGCAGGTGCCTGTAGTCTCAGCTACTTGGGAGGCTGAGGCAGGAGAATCACTTGAACCCAGGAGGCAGAAGTTGCAGTGAGCCGAGATCCTACCACTGCACTCCAGCCTGGGCAACAGAGTGAGACTCCATCTCAAAAAAAAACACAAAGATTAGAGATAGATGTATGAAGAAGCATTGCCTCAAGACTATGAGAAATCTGATATAATTTAAAGATTTAATTGTTGGTGATTGTACCTTTGCTGACTACCATTAGCCTAGCCTATAGGAGAAGAGATGAATCAGGCCCTCTGACATTTTTGTTACGGCTCTATGAAAGGAATCAAAACTAGGATTGAGAAGCTGAGTTTCCTTATCCTGCTAACCATTATACTTGATTACAAAGGTGTATGCTACCCAGAGGACACTCTAGTTAATACTCTATTACTGGTCAGAGCTTTGGCCCCATTGCCTATCTGTTCTCTGACCCTGTAAGGAAAGGTGGCCTTGAGGACTAACTCCTTATATCACTGTAGCCTGAGGCCCACCATTTACTGGAGGAGTGGGCTCCTTGGCCCTCTGTCCCAAACCCACACCTGTCCTGGCTCTCTGCTTCTTACACTCATACTGTGAATGGAGTCATGGAACATAGAGTGAAACTGATCATTTGTCCTGATCCAGATCCATCTATCCCCCACTTCTCTCCATGTAAAAGTGCTTCTGAGAACACAATTTAGACCTTGACCCTTCCAGAGCTCTTCTCACCTGGTAGTGAGTGACTAGGAGAAGCCCCAAACTTAAAATAGAGCATGAACATGAGCACTATGTAGCTCTGTGTTATCTATTTTAATGGCTATATGGTATTCCATTGAATGGAGATACCTTAACGTAGTTAACTAAATATTTGGTAGAAGGTACTGAGTTTGTTTCTAGCTTTTTTCTCCCCTGTTATAGGGATACACATTACTTAAATGGTATATTATGTCTAGTATTTTATAATAATATAGTATAGTATTTTCTAGATAGATCATTCCCACTTTAAATTATAAAAATATTTACATTTTACTCTAATACTACTCTAATTTTTCTTTATTTGTTACATTTTTATTCACTTGTGTTTTATTCTAGTACTTTTATGTTTTACTTTTTAAACTTTACATGTTAAATTTTAAGTATTTAAATGATATTCAATAATCTTATGGCTTATTATAAAATATTCACCCATATTTTATGTGGACCATTTGGAGTTGATTTTGGAATAAGAAGTGAGGTAGGGCTCCAATTTTATATTTTATTAAATATAAATGCTAAATGCTAATCAATTTTGTAAACACTACTTATTGAATAATCCCTAGTTCTCTCTCATTCACAAATTTGAAATGCTAATCTTTTAAATATATCAAATTCTAAACATGCTTGTCTTTGTTTCTGAATTTCTCTTCATTCCATTGTCTTTCTTCTATTCCTGTACCATCAGCACATGGTTTTAATTATAATAGATTTTATAATTGAACATCTGCCAGGACAAGTACCTCTTCGCTACTTTTCTTTTCCAAAATTTTATTATATGTCATAACATGTTTATTTTTCCAAGTGAAATTTTGAATTATTTTGTCCAGGCTCAAAAATAATCCTCTTTTAGATTTCTAATATGGATCACTTTGAATTTAAAAATAAATTTAAGGATAAATGACATTTTTATGTTACTGATTCTACTGAACCAACAGACAAAGTATGGCTTTCCAATATTTCAAGGTTTTCTTTGTTTTGTTTTGGTGTGTGTGTATTTCCCAGCAATGTTTTGTTTTATTCACTGATATTGTATCAGGATTTGTCAAGTGTTAGCAACAGAAACTGAGATTAGCTAATTTAAACAAAAAAGGAATTTTAATTCAGAGAAAACTGTCAGCTCAGAAAGTTGCTAAAAGGTTGGAGAAGTAAGCCTGGAAAAAAGACAAAAATCGGGGCAGTTCTGGCAGGAAGCACTGGGCAGTCTTGTCTGGGAACTAAAGCGGGAGAGATGAACATGGACTGTCTTCCTATGTTCTTGCTTTATGTTGCTTAAGATCAAAGTTCTGTTTTGGGACTGAGGTATCTAAGTGGCTTGACTTGATATAAAAGAAAACTTACATAACTCTGGTAAGAGTCTCTACATGCATACAACAGGAAGACCCAGCTGAGTCCCAGTGGAAGATAGGCTCTGGGAGGTTGGTGACCTTATCTTCAACTAGGATTCATTTGTTTTGTCAGACTAATGGGGTTGAGAAATATCCTGAGAAAAGATCATGAACAGGATCAATGATGGCAGTCTAGAAATATACAGATATCCCAGAAAGCCTTGGGAGGATGCAGTGGAAGGCAAAACACAACATGTCAAGCTAGATTCAGTACAGAACATGAAGGAGAGTAAGATGAGAGAGAGAAGGCGATCTGAGTATAGTGTATTATTGTGATCTTAATGTACCTTGGCTCAGCCACTCTGACATCATGAATGTCCCCTTTGTTTACATGCTCTGTGTATAAAAATTACAATAACTATCACAACTGGGGGTCTACAAACTATTTCTGACTGTAGTTTCAAAGTAGGGTTTGGTGAGCGGAAAGCTGTTTTCTTTCCAAGTAGTGACAGGTAAGCACTGAGAGTTTTGATCAGTGCCAGGGCTATGTATGGTTGTGCAAGTTGTACACTGCACAATTTCAGAGGTTGTCTTTCACATAGACTACAGTGTGCATGTACTTTATGGCTGTACTTCGTTCCCCTGCCAAGAGTAAACATCAGCTGGGGCAGTAGGGAGAGCAGCATCTCAAGGCAACATCAGTAGTCTGAGACGGAGTAGCCATGATGGTGCATGGCAGTGGGCTGGCCCCAAGTGATGGTCAGCTGTGGACAGTGACTTGGAAAAGCTCAATAGCTTAAATTAGAGTGCTGGCCTGAGAAAACTCTGAGTATAACGGGCAAGCCCTGGGAGCTTCCTGAGATACTAGGATAGGAGAGGATATTAAAAGGTGGTGGAGGAACTGGCTATGTTTGTGAAAATTGAGAAACTTGATGTGTTAGTGGGGCCCATTTTCATAGGACCCTGGAGTCTTGGATTATCCACGTAGACAAATATGCTTAGTTTATTTTCAGACCTTAGATTTATGGTTGAGATCTGTTTGTTCTTTTTGGAGGTTTGATTAAAAATCCCTTCTTTGTTAATGGGAAGAGCATGGCTGCTGTAAATCTTTACTATCTGGCTGTGAAAAAGCATGTAGCCACGTGGCCTAATAGTCGCTGCCATAGTAAGTTTTTCCTGAATCTTGTTTACTGGCACAAATAGTAAAGTGAAATGACATTAAATGGACTGGTGATCTGAGTGCTCCATGATAAATCACAAGGAAATAATTCTTGGCCATGACATTTAAAGAAAAAGGAAAAAAATAATAAAATAATGATTTTTAAGAGATCTTCAGGAAAGGGAAACAATTCAGATTTTTTTTTTTAACAGAAAGCACACACAAAGAGGATAAGACTACCTAGTAAAAAGTCTTTTCCTTTCAACCTAATCATAACAAAATAAACATGATGGGAAACTATACGGAGTAGTTTTAACAGTGGAATTTCTAAGTCCACAGAGAAGGCAGTATCTTAAAGGACCTGTGGTTCCAGCACTTTATAGAAATTCACCACTGCTGCAATCAGCTCCAGAGGAGGGGGGGCAATGAGCCAATTGGCAGAAAGGCAAAGCGGACTCAGGCCAAATATCACCTGGGCTGGGCGCGGTGGCTCATGCCTGTAATCCCAGCACTTTGGGAGGCCGAGGTGGGCGAATCATCTGAGGTCAGGAGTTCAAGACCAGCCTGGCCAACATGGTGAAACTCCGTCTCTACCAAAAATACAAACAGCTAGGTGTGGTGGCGGGTGCCTGTAATCCCAGCTACTCAGGAGGCTGAGGCAGGAGAATCGCTGGAACCCAGGAGGCAGAGGTTGCACTGAGCCGAGATCCTGCCACTGCATTCCAAGAGAGACTCCATGTCAAAAAAAATAAAATAAAATTCACCTCACTGATGCCTTGCTTGTCCACACAATATTCAGCATAATATACCCACTTTGCCTTGAGCATTTACATAAAACCCTTGGAAGTCAAGAAACACTTTCTTTTAATGAGGAAGAAAATACGAGATAATTGATGAAAGAAAAGAAGAAATAACTGGCCTAATATTCCATAAGCTATTCCTCAGTACTAGTAAGAGGATTTATAAAGAATTGACATCTTCAGAGTGGGTTTTGAGGAAAAGGTGTAACACATAAAGCCTTTGTAGAGAAGGAAAGCAACTATATATGAGAGAACTTCAAATGCCAGGAACTTTGCATTATCTCTTGAGGTGTGGATATCATTATTCCTATTTTATCAAAAAGGAAAATGAGGCTCAAAAAGCATAAGTGACTGCTGGAGTCACTCATCCAGTAAATGATAGAGTCAGAATTGAACTGAGTCACCTCTGAGGGTAACTCGGGTTCTGTTTCCACTACACCCAGGCTGCTCTTCCTCCTGACCTCCCTCCAACTATGGAACCCTATGGTGCTCATATTTGTAGGTGCTGTCCTCCAAGTGTGTATTGGCAAACAGTCCCTCCACTTACAGGTCAGGTAGCAGCTCTGGACTCTCCATCAATCACAAGAGTATTAGTGGTTCTACTCTATCGTCCACCTGATTGCTCGCTCACTCATGTCTTCACCTCTGCAAACCTCTGTTAACTCTTGTTTAAATATGCATTACTGAGAGTGATAGCATTTACATTCTCTTGAGTAATTTTACTTAATTCTTCTGAGCTTTGTTAGTCAAGTACAAGTTCACTTTAAATCCCAGAAGGGAAACTAGGTTCTCCTTTTTAAAAAATAAATAGACTGATAAGGCAGAAATATATCAGACTCATTCAATATGCCACCACTGTCATACTCAGAGCCAGGGAGAGGGAAGAGGTTTCATTCATTGTTACTCCTGGAAGAGCATGACACATTCTAGGGATGGAGAGGGACTGCTTGAGTCATGTTCCAGTAGCTATTGGGACCACAAAGAATGTGACTGCAATTCTGTTAGCAGGATTCAGGAGGTATACCTGCAATGGCCTGCAATGTCATCATGGCCTCCTAAAAGGAGAATAAAAGACATCAGGTTCTGTATGAACATTTGGGGGTTTTACAGGAGTTACCAGTCTTTCACCATTGAAGGTGCCTATTCACTAGTAACTTTCTCATTTTTTCAAGTAATAACACAAAAGACAAGCATAAATGTATGCCTAAGTCATAATTTATGCCTGAATTCAAACTATACTTAAGTTGCTTCTTCTTGCTTATTACTTAAGGTCTAAAGGTAGCAACTAATTTCAGGGAAAGTCTACTGATGAAGGAAAAAATAGGTGTTTATTGAATGACAAGTTGCTTTGAAGGCTCATTCTACACAAAGAGAGATTTTTCCAGAGACCTCTACTTTGTCTATGCGTACATTTTCATAGCTGAAGTCCAGTGAAAAGCATTTACATTATTATGCTTATGTAAATATTGCTCACTATTTATAAAATAAATGTTACATCCTCAAACCCCTTATGACCCCTGAGCAATCAGGGTTCCAGTGTTAGCTCAACAGAATTTCATTTATTTAAAGTATTTCAAGTACTCTAATCATGTTACAGTTTAGTTTGTTTCCTACTTTATAACTTGTTTGAACAGCTTTTGTTTTCCTGGGGTTTCTAATTACGAGGAGAAGAAATAGAGCCTTCTGCACCATATTATTATGACCTTGTAGCCTCTGGCTCATCCCATCTGTTGAATGGGATCAATTCCTTTCTCCTGCCTGAAAAGTTAGTCATGGAGCCCACTAAGTTTCTGTTCTTGTTTGGAGCAATTGCTTTATGGGTTGTCTACACCTCTGTCAACCTCTGATTTATTTTTATTGAGCTTTTGAGTTATTCCCAGAGATTATTAATAGCTCAAGGCTCTTTCTTTCTTGAATTTGACACTTACTTTGTTAGAGCATATCTTTAAGTTACTTACTTAAAAAGGCTATGCAGGAGGTAAACTTTCTAAGCACTTTTGTATAAATGATGTTTTTATTTCCTCACCATATTTAAAATGTAGAATAATAGGTTCAAAATAACTTTTCCCTAAAACGTTTAAGATACCAACCCACTGTACCTTTCTGCATTTATTTTAGGCTTCCTCTTATTTGTTTTTCTGCAAAAATGTTTCCATATACTGTCCATCTTCAAGGAATTTGTAGAGTTCTCTCTCTCTCTCTCTTTTTTAAAAACCAAATGATCTTCCTTTCTTCACAGTTAGGGGTTTAGTCCATTTAAGAGAAAATTTTATTATCAATTTAGTTGTATTTATGAAGGGAGAGAAGACACACTTCTACATTCTATTTGTGCTCAATCCACTTTCTTGATAAAAAAATAGCAAAACCCCCAAATAATTAAGTTTTAAAATGAACAAAATATCTGAATAGACATTTCTCAAAGAAGATATACTAATGGCCCACACGTATATAAAAAATGTTCAACATCGCTAATCATCAGGGAAATGCAAACGCTGACCAGGATGTGGAGAAAGGGGAATGCTCATATGTTGCTGGGGGGGATGTAAATTAGTATAGCTACTATGAAAAAAATAAAAGAAAAAAGAGGTGTCTCACAAAACTAAAACTAGAACTACCATACGATCCAGCAATCCCACCGTGGACTACATATCCAAAAGAAAGAAAATCAGTATGTCAAAGAGATACCTGTACTCCCATGTTCATTGATACTGTTTACAATAGCCAAGGTATGGAATCAACCTAAATGTTTATCAATGGATGAATGAATAAAGAAAATGTTACAAACACACACACACACACGAATACTTAGCCACAAAAAAGAATGAAATTCTGTCATTTGCAGCAACATGGATGGAACTGGAGGATATTATGTTAAGCGAAAAAAGCCAGGCACAGAACTTATCCATATGTAGAAGCTAAAAAAAAATGTATCCCATTCAGGTGAAAGAGTAGAATAGCAGTTGCTAGAGGCGGGAAAGGCTTGGAGTAGAAGATGAAGAGAAGTTGGTTAATGGGTACTAAAATACAATTAGATAGAAGAAATAAGTTCTGGTGGCTCATGCCTGTAAACCCAGCACTTTGGGAGGCTGAGGTGGGTGGATCACCTAAGGTCAGGAGTTCAAGACCAGCCTGGCCAACATGATGAAACTCCATCTCTACTAAGAATACAAAAAAATTAGCCAGGCATGGTGGTGGGTGCCTGTAATTTAATCCCAGCTACTTGGGAGGCTAATGCAGGAGAATTGCTTGAGCCTGGGAGCCAGAGATTGCATTGAGTTGAGACTGCGCCATTGCACTCCAACCTGGGCAACAAGAACGAAACTCCATCTCAAAAAAAAAAAAAGAGGAAATAAGTTGTAGTGTATGATAGCACAGTAGAGAGACTATAGCTAACAATAGTTTATTATGTATTTCAAAATAGCTAGAAGAGAAGCCTTGCAATATTCCCAACACAAAGAAATAATTGTTTGAGGTGATGGATATCCCAATTACCCTGATTTTATCCTTACACATTGTATGCATGTATCAAAATATCACATGTACCCCATATATATGTACAACCACTATGAATCAATTAAAAGAAACTTGGCCTTCACCTGTTAAAAGTACAAATACCTTTGGGCTGAGAGTGAAAGAGGAAGCTAACCTTATCCCATGCATTCCAATAACCAACTTATTCTGAACAGCTTGAGAGAACAGTAAATCAGAGCTTTTCAAGGGCATATAAACAAGGCTTTAATAATACCTCTTTATGTGAACTAGGAAATGGACAACAGTTTCTTTGGAACTGGAAAGCTGACAGTGGTTATAACTGGTGTTTAATCCTAACCCAGGGAGAATTATGTCAGTGTTGGAAATCCTGTGTACAAGTTGCTTTTGATTTTTTTTTTGGTAGCAGTGTCATATATATGTGTGTGTGTGTGTGTCTAAATAGATAGATATACATAGATATATATGCCATATATATACACATATTACACACATATAAACACATATATTTACACACATATTTACTGATATATTAAACATATATAAGCACATATATACATATATAAACCTATATATTAAAGTTTGAGCCTCAACTAGTTGTATTTCAGACATACTTCCTTTTCTCCTAAATCTTATAATAGGATGTCTGGGTACTTGGTTACTGTAAGTCTTGGGGTTGCTACTCATGGGTAGAATTTAGGGTGCATGCCCATGTGACTTTTGAGGCAACCCGTCTTTCTGAATCTTTAACTCTTAGAAATGTTCAGACTCCTCCTGGGTCAGGTGCGGTGGCTCACGCCTGTAATCCTAGTGACTTGGAAGGCCGAGGTGGGAGGATCACTTGGGGCCAGGAATTCGAAGCTAGCCTGGGCAACATAAGGAGACCCTGTCTCTAGAAAAAAAAGAAGATATTAGCTGGGTGTGGGGTGGAGTGTACTTGTTGTCTTAGGTACTGGGGAGGCTGAAGAAGGAGGATCACTTTGAGCCCTGGAGTTCAAGGCTGCAGTGAGCTATGCAGCCTGGGTGATAGAATGAGGCCCTGCCTCAAAAACAAACAAACAAACAAACAAGCAAACAAAAACCCAATAAAAAAAGAAATGTTTAAACTTCTTTTCTGACAAAGTTGTGACCACTCAGTTTTTGTTCGTTTGTTTTAACAGACTTCATGGTGCCCTGAGGAAAAAATAACCCTTCTAAAATTGATTTTATCATACTGTTCAAGCTTGTCCAACCCACAGCCTGTGGGCCACATGTGGCCCAGGATGGTTTTGAAAGTGATCCAGCACAATTTCATAAACGTCCTTAAAACATTATGGGATTTTTTTTGCAATTTTTTTTTTTTTAGCTCATCAGCTATTGTTAGTGTTAGCGTATTTTATGTGTGACCCAAGATAATTCTTCTTCCAATGTGGCCCAGGGAAGTCAAAAGATTGGACATTCCTGATGTAGTTGTTCAGGCTGACCATACTACCATTTGATACCAGAGTTCCTCTAGCTAAAACTCATCCATCCCTCATCCTCTTTTTTCAGGAAATTTTGGATTTGAGAATATGCAGGTGAACCTGGCTACTGACATGGGTTACCCAAGACCATGAAGGGAAGAGACCACTTTCTCAGGAGACCTCACCTGTCACTAAATCTTTACTTTGCCCACTGTCTTAAATGCCACTGGTTGGATTAATAGGATTAGTTATTCATACTTAAATTGGTTTAAATGTCCAAGATTTTTTCCTTCCATCTACTTTAGGCCGGTTGAGGAAATGAGGTTTGGAGGTGAATGGAGGGGGAGGTGAGAAAGGAAGCTCTGGGGCAAGCAGGGACAGGCAGGAGGCGGTTAGGACTGACGGAGAGGGTACAAAAGACAGTGTGGCCTCCTCCCAAGGCAGCATCCCATTATGCAAGCCACGGACCTCTGAGAGCTGTAGAATGCTGCTGTCCACATCACTAGTTTGGGACGTCTCTATCTTTTGGTGATAAAAGAGCAAAATACTCATTTCCCCCAAAGTTAACCCTCTGGTTTGAGGGTCTGTAACCCTAATTCCTGAGGTATCTCAGCCTCTTAGCCCAATGTGGTCCAACTATGTCCATGCTGAGAATTCTCTCCACAGCTTCCTCACAGCTGGAACCATATTTGAACAAGCGATGACTCACTGGACTGTGTATTCCAATTTCTCTGTAAGAAAGGTAATAAGAAAAGGAAACGCCTACAGGGGAAGGACTTTAGGGGTGGTTTTTGGACTTTTTCCTGAAAATATGAGGCAATATTTATCTTCTAGGCCTCAGTTTGATGCTAGCTGGGGGAGCTGGGGGAGGCAGACTCTGTATCCCTGTTCAAAAAAACCTAGCTTTAGTTTCTTTTTTTTAATTTTTCTATTAGAATTAAAGAAGAGGACATTTTTGAGTTTCATGTGTTTAGATAGCTGCAAATTGAGCTCATTCCTGGGTCAGGCTAGCTAATTTGGCCTCCTGAAGCCGTGGAAATGTGCAGCCAGACCCCTGAAATAATATACAACAAATAGCTATGACATGATTGAGTTATATGTCTCTTACAAGTCACTTTAGTTTGCTTTCTCTCATCTGTCAGGTTTTTTTTAAACTACATTAGTAATTCATATCTTACACATAGAAAATGAAAAGATTCACCTTATGGATTACTCAAAATAAGTAATTTGGAATTTTTGCATATGCAGGATGAATTTAGATAGAAATTGAAAAGGGCTTAAGACTTACTGAACATGTTTTATGTGCCAGGTATTGTTTAGGTGCTTTAATATATTTTCCTATTTTATTTTTCATTACAAAAACAATACCACTTTGCAAAAAGTATTATTAAGATATTTTATAGTTGACAAAATTGACTTGGAATGAACTGCAGTAATTTGCCCAAGGTCTCTTAGCCTATAAGTGGTTGAGTTACATTCAAATATAGGCTTTTGTGATATCAAATCAGAACTTTTTCTATCATCCCACAGTGTCTGTGAAAATGATGCAGAAAAGTCTTCCTGGTCAGAAATATTTCTGTCACTGATCTGCCACAGGCCCTGAAATTGCCTTTACTGAAGTCACTGAAAGACGTAATTTTTAGAGGTTGTCTATTAAAATGTAATGTGCAACACAGAGTAAGTACAGCGAGGAAGTCATATTAATCTCCCTGCCAACTCCTACTGGAGTTTACTGGTAGACTCAATGTTAAACCACAAAGGGGCTTGGAGCATTTAGCCCACCTCTTCTTTTTAAAAATGATAAAACTTGATGGAGAGAAGTTAAAGAAACTCCTCAAATTTACATAGCTTGTGTAGTTAGTTTTATCAGACATCAGGGCCCCCATGGGCTAACACAGATGAGACTTGATTTATGGAGTGAGAAAGAGACAGACAAGTTTCATTTTCAGGTACATGTTTCTTAGCGGAAAGCATGAAGACAAATAGCACAGTG
This sequence comes from Homo sapiens, assembly GCF_000001405.40. NCBI lineage: Eukaryota > Metazoa > Chordata > Mammalia > Primates > Hominidae > Homo > Homo sapiens. The sequence continues at coordinate 50,992,510 of NC_000006.12, forward strand.
AGAAATCACGGCTATCCGTGGGGTCACTGGTCTGGATGCCTGGGTGGAGGCAGCCCCAATAGTAGGGGAATGCCTATCACAGGGAGGTGAACATTGCAATTTTGCCCAGTACCAGTATTGTCAGAGGGCACAGATCATTAGAAATGTTTGGGAAGGCCTTTACCATTGTTGCCTGTTTCTTGGGAACTCCTCCAATCATTACTATCTGTAGTTCATTCAGAGTTGATGAAAGACTCAAAGTAAAACAAACAATACTCTTTAAGAACGGTTAAGGCACAATTTGTAGGCCAAAGCTCCCAAGTGCCTGGCACCTGAAAACGGAGCATCAAAAAGCAAGAGATTAAATTGTGACCTCATCCAATGTTTGGCGTGTCAGTGACCTCACTGGGCACCCACACAGACAGCTTCCGGTTTACCTCCCTGATTCTGATAAATGGAACTGCCAGGGAAATGGCAGGTCTTGCAAATGTGATAGCATTCTGGCTGGAGGGATTTGGTTTTAGTGCTCATATAAATGTGAGGAAAGCCTTTTACCTCAAGCTTAAAAAACAAAGGAGCAATTCTGGTTCCTAAAAGCGAGAAATGCTACCCTGCTTGCCTCAGCCTAGGAAATAGCACCACTGGCAAATTTGGCAGCTGTTCTGAGGAGAGTTGTGTGGCCAGCTCTTCAGGCTAGCAGTGTAATGGTAACTGCATAATGATGTCTGAGAAAATCAAAGACCAAAGGAACAATTACAGTTTGGAGGAAACAAATATACAACCAAGCTCATCTTGGATAATTTTTGAAAGGATGCCCTTGGGTCTTGGGGAGACATTCTGGCTATAGATTCTAGAGGAAAATCATAATCATGAGAGGGCACTCAAAAGGATCTGATGACCTGTGGTTAGGCCTGTGTGTGTAATTGTGATTAGCCGGTCAGGCGAGAGCACTTGAGGATCAGGAAGCCAAGAATGACATGTCCAAGTGTACCAATAGAACTAAACCTTGGGTACTTGTTCCCACGAAAGTACAGAAGAGAGAAAAGCAAGACCTTGTTTTTACCACTCACAGGCTGCTTGTTCTTGGAGAATCACCTGGCCTCCTTAGACCTCAGTTTTCTGTAAAAAGAAAAGCTTCGATTAGATTATTTCAAAGATTCTTCCAGTTATAAGGTTATGTATTCTGGGCCTCCAGAGTATTTTTATGTATGGTTTTCTAACTCTTCAGATGGTTGAGTGCTTCTAGAGCGTCCAATAATGTGGTTGGTTGTGGGACACTTGCAAAGAGTAACAAGCCCTGGATTCCTGCCCTTCAGATTGATAATTCAATGTTATTCATGTCCTGAAATGTACATGCAATTCAGTGCTAACTAAATATTTATAAGGGGTGCTGTGCACGATGAGAGATGCAAAAGAGTGTAAGGCCCCTACATTCAGGAGTTTCAGTTAATACATGTGAAACAATTAGAAGATAATTAAGGAATCAACTTTTGGTTACTGACTATAAATACAACTAGGATTTATCATGTGGGCTGGGAATTCAGAGCAAGCATACTGGAGAAGGAGGGACTTGGCGGAACCTTGGAGGAGTGCTAGGATTTGGATAGACAGAGAGGAGAAACAAGGAAACACCAGCTGGGGAAAATAGTATAATAATTAATAGAAAAGATTATTCATAGTTTTTCTCAGAAGCACTGAGAGCTTCAGCTGTCTTCAGCCAAATGTTAACCCAGATGGTATATCCAAATTTTATAATTAACAGTTCACCCAGTCACCACAGGTGCTTAAGTATAAGTCTTAAGTTATTTATTTGTGGGGCCACAGAAAAAGAAAAACCTAGGGGTAGGGAAGGAGGAAGGGTGGGTGGGAGTGATACCCAGGGCAATTTTCCAAGATGAGTGAGTTTGATTAGTTTCTGTTTGATAAGTGTTAGCTGAAGTTGATTGTAGGTTTCATCTCTGTGTGCAGACAAGGTATCTGTTTTACTGGGAAGTCACAGATGGAGTTAATAAGTCCAGAAGAGGAGTAAGCACAAGGCACAGTACCTGAAACAAAATTCTCCCTTGCGTTCTTTAGCTGAGTGAGGCCTAGGCAAGAGAAGATAGGTAACCAATTAGCAAAACTAATCATCATCTCTGTTGAAAAAACAAGTCACAGCAAATCTTGTACAGAAGATGGCTATGGGAACGAAGAAATAGAAATAGCATCTTTAGCATAGTTCCCAGATATAGGGTTGGAGATACACTGGGTTACCCATGAGACTGGGTTCTAGTCTCTTAACTCCTTGCTTCCTGGACTAGCCCCATCCTCAGAGGCACATGGATGGTTTCTGCCACAAAGGCCCTAGGTAAAATTGCAATATGAGCATAATTTATCATTTTGGGCTGCTGCTGTTCCTTTTTGGGAAAGGTTCCAACTCCCATGAGGGCATGTTGAACTCAGGTTATTCATTCCATTCTTGGAGTTCTGTGTTTAAACATTCCCCTTCTTGTAAAGTGAGACATGGCATTGGGATCCCAATTGGTGAGCTTTGTGGGTTTAAATTCAGAGTGGGAATAGAAGTAAAAGCTAGTTAGCAAGGTCTGAGGAATGGGCATTAGAGCCTAGGACTGAATATTCATTCAAGACGCTGGGCTTGAAGCAGGCTCATGTGCCTTCTCAAACTTGTGCTTTTAATGGTAGGAGACGATTGAGTACCAGGGCTGTCTGTCAGCTGCCCTGTCCTAAGCGGAAGCAGCTCTTCTGCAGAAAGAGACAAGCTGGTTGCAAACATGACTCTTGAATTTGATAAGTAGATCCTTCCACAGAGTCATTTCCCGCTCTTCGGAAGTGTCATTTCTAATGAACTATGTGCAAACAGTGAAAAGAGCCTGTCTCTCCTTAATCCTCTTCAGTTTTGAATGCTTTCATTTTTTCCCAGCTTCTGTCATGTCAGGGATTGGTAGGTGGTTTGTTCTGGAGCATGGAGGGGTTTTAGCTGTCCCAACTACCTCTTGTTTATTTAGAAATAAAAGGGTCCCCAAGGAGTAACTGCCCAAGGCCAAAGTGCTTCTTGGCTGTGGCTCTCAAATTTGGTTTATTATCTGAATTACCTGGGGGAGTTTTTAAAAACATAGATTATTGGACCTCCCTTTTGGGAAGTCTAACTTAGCAGATCTAGAGCCTGTTTTATAGAAAGCACTCTGGCTGATTCCAAGGAAATACAAGAATAAAGCTTTCATCTGTAGCAGCAGTCTGCAAGATTTTTTTGTTTTGTTTCCTTCAGTAAATATTTCAGGCCTCGTATGCCATACAGTCCCTACTGCAACTACTTTGCCACTATGATGGGAAAACTGTCATAGACAATGTGTAAATGACTGAGTGAGCTGGGTTCTCATAAAATACACTGAAATTTGAATTACATAAAATTCTTATGTGTCACAAGATATTATTTTTTTCCCTTAACTATTTAAACTTGTTAAAACTATTCTTAGCTTGTGGGCCAGACAAGTATAGGCAGTGCATTGTATTTGGCCCACAGGCTATAGTCTGCCAGACCTTGATCTATAATATGTACTTGGGTACTTAACTGCAAACATCAACTAAATTCTGACCAATATAGCTTAGATAGAATATGGGCTGGAATCCCAGCTTCACCGCCTCACACTCCTCTGATCTTGGGCAAATTAATTAACCTCTCTGGGCCTCTGGTATCTGTAAATGGGATAATCTGGTTCATATTTCCTGGGTTGTTGTAAAGATTAAATAAAATTTTACATGTAGGTTTCTAGCATAGTATAGTGCCTCGTAGTTTCAAGTACTCAGTAAGTGTCAACATTTATATTATTACAAAGAACTGCAAACTCCAGAGATTGAAAATATGGATAAAGCCAATTCCTTAGCCTTAAAAGAAGTTACACACTAACCAGCAGGATAAGACTTGTATGCAAACAGTTATTTTATTATAGAATATAAATTCCACTGGGGCTAATATTACACAAAAACTATGTCTGTAGACATTGACAAGGGTGTTGAGGGCTCTTCTTATTTGGTTTTAGGGAGGCAGGTCTGCAATCCTGTTTTGCATTCCCATGTTTCCACCCTTCCTTTGGAAACACATGCATGTTGATCTTGTATTATGAAGCATATCAGTTTTAAGAGATCTGCTAGACACTGAACAACTTCAATAGGATCTGTAGCTCTGGACAACATAGTCTCATCTGATTGATTCACATGTCTAATCATTGTCAACTATCAAGGGAGTGAACACAGAGCATGTCCTTAGAATACAATTGGCTCATATTTTCAGAGTTCCATAAATCACTAAAAAATGAGAGTGGAAAAAAAGCTTTTAAAATTTAATCAGATGATTTTTTTATACAGATAGATATAAATAGATAGTCTGAGGTTTGCATTCTCAGCTTGGTCACTTACCAGCTTTCAGATCTTAGACAAATTTTTTTTTTTTTTTAATGTACTTTAAGTTCTGGAATACATGTGCAGAATGTGCAGGTTTGTTACATAGGTATACATGTGCCATGGTGGTTTGTTGCACCCATCAACCTGTCATCTAGGTTTTAAGCCCCACATGCATTAGGTATTTGTCCTAATGCTCTCCCTCCCCTAGCCCCCCAGCCTCCTACAGGCCTAGATGTGTGTCCATGTGTTCTTATTGTTCAACTCCTATTTGATGGAGTTTCCTTGAAAAAAAAAGTGCTACAGCTTCAATGTAAATTTTAAACAGTTGGAAAGCACAACGAGAAAGATAACTATAACTTTTATTCTCAATATTTAGCTATATCATTGTTAATATTTTTTGCATGTACTCCCAATCTTTTTGGGACTATGCATTGATATGTACCATGAGATAGATCGATCAATCTAACTATCATCTCTCTCTCTCTCTCTCTACCTGTCATGTATTCTTTTTAAAAAGACTGGGATTATGCTATCTAAATTATGTTTTAAATCTTTCTTCAGCTTAACAATATTACATGTATAATTCATCATTAATTATTATTCATTAAGTCATTAAGCATTATTCAAAACCATCCCTATAAAATTATTCGACATACAGCAGTATCTGTTAGCTGACAGCCTCCAGCTGCCACACTTCAGGATCTGCCAGAGTGTTTGTGCTGAGGCTGCAATGTATTGGCACTGAACATGAAGAGGGTTTTGGCACCAGGGCACTTCTGCCTGATGCGGGACTCCTCTATTGGGCACTTGCTGGATGTTTGGTTCTCCATTGGCCTGGCTGGAACTTCCCTCAGAACTGCACTGCACTCTGAGGCTCCTCCTGTCCTATCTTTCTTCCTTTCTTCTCTCCTTTCTCAGGTGTCAAACCCACATTGCAGCTGGAAGACTCTCCTTTCCTACTCCTAATTCCTCTCCCTTTTATCTTACAAATGTTTTCCCCAATAGATCTCTTGTACTTATAATTTCATTTTGGCAGCATCTCCCTGGAGGATCCAAATAGATACACGTGTATAAGTCTCCCTCCCACTCCTGCTTCTTAGCCTCTCAATACCCTTCCTCAAAGGCAGTTCCCACTATTGCTTTATATATCCTTCCAGAGTCTTCATTCATATGGAAGCATTTCATATATTTCTCCTTCTGTTTCCTTTCCTCTTAATATTTCTTCATCTTCTCTTCTTTCTTCTCTTTCTTAACAAGAATGGTAGCATACAATGCAAATTGTCCTGCATGTTGCTTTTTTATTTAATATATCTTGGGGGCAGTCTTACTTTATCAGTAGTATATGTAGAATTACCTTATTTCTATTTTTAATTTTGTCTTTACTGTAGTCTCCCCCACCCACCTTATCCATAAGGAAGATGTTCCAAGACCCTCAGTAGGTGCTTGAAACCACAAATAGCACAAAATCCTATATATACACAATATTTTTCATATATAAATATATATACGATGAAGTTTGACTTATAAGTCAGGCACAGAAAGAGGCTAACAACAATAACCAATAATAAAATAGAACAATTATAGCAACACATTGTAATACAAGTTGTATAAATGTGATCTCTCCCCCCGTCCCCACCCCTGCCCTTAAAATATCTTATTGTATGTAATATTTTCAGACTGTGGTTGACTGAGGGTAACTGAAACCACTAAAAGTGCAAATATGGATGGGGGGTACTGTATAGTATTAAATTGTTTAGTGTATTATAATTAATCTAACCAATTCTCTATTATCAGTTTATTTCCAACATTTTCTACTCAAAGCAGGGCTGATCCATAACTAAATATTTTTACACCCATGTGAGAGTATATCTTTATGAACAAACCCCAGATGTAGCATTGTTGGATCAATTGGTATGAGTGTTGTGATTTTAATACATATTGTTAAATTTCCCTCCTTAGAGAATGCACCAATTTCTACTTCAAGGCATGTATGGCAGCAATAGCATCAAGTATAACGGCAACACCATTTCCCAACATAAAAATATAGAATAGACATAATATCACTAAGATCTTCTCTAGTGGCTTGGACTTCAATAAAGTGCCTGATCTTTGTTTATTTTCATGGTTACTTTCCCTGGAGACTTTTCACTGAGGTTTTGCGAACAGTCCAGGAAGTTAATATTACTACTGGAAGTTTGAGAACCTTGTTGAACATTCTGTATCATCAACAGGAAATAACAAGCAGTTATGTTGATAGGGGCCACTTGTAGCTACTAAGGTATTAGAATAAATTAGTAAGACACCAGAAGTAGAAGTTTATACTTTTAGGAAAAATGATTTACACATTAAGAAGAATACAGAACAGAAGTAAGCAGGCTGTTTTGTTCTCTTTTTGTCTCTTCTGTGGTTCTTCAATGTCCTCTGCCCGTTTACCTCACAGGGTTCCTGTGAGGGCAGAATAAGAAAGCAAATGGAATATATTATTAAGATGATCATTTGTTATTAATAAGGGTAAGATTTTATTCTAGAGGGTCAAATATTAGTGACATTCATTCAGTCAACATTAATATTTAGAGTACCAGCACACTGATTCTTCTGGTGAAATTCCTCCAGTATAGATATGATTTGGGTTAAAAAGTGAAGAGGGTTGTTCCTAGGAGAAGCCATTTTATTTTGCTATATGTTATTGTAAAATGGTGATATTAATAGTAACTACATCACAGAGTTATTGTAAATGTTAAATTAGTAATGTATAGAATCTCTGGCACATAATAAGTACTCAATAAATATCAGCCATCATCATCATTATTGTTATACCCAATTACCTCTAATTTCTTTAACTTATTTATTCTTTGAGTTTGAGGTTATGGAATCATTTATTAAAAATTAATTCAAATAAACAGAGAAATAGCCCTAAAAAGATATAAAAATGGTAAAAAGAAAGGGCTGAAAAATGAACCAAAATTAGTGAGTCAAAAAAACAAACAAAATGAAGAAACCAGTAACCAGGTATATTATTCTCAAAGCAAATAACCATATTAACAAAATTACTTTTGGTCAAAGTGTATGCTACTGAATTCTTAAATCTGGTGCATGTCACTGTCATCTCACCTCCATTGAGCAAGTGTTAGGCAAAATTCTGAACCATGTAAAATACATCTTGTGATCCATCCTTCTCTCTTTTTCTGCATCCCCTCCCCAATCTTTTCACCCAACTCTATTGTAGGGCTGCTCAGCTTGCCTTTCCAGCTGCCCATAGCTGTGAATCCTCCCCAAACCAGGACAATGTTTTACCCCAAGAAATGCAATTGTTCTAAAATTTTTTCTCCCTTCTTGTTTTATTGGAGAAAAGTAATCAGATAAATTAGTTCACATTAGACTTTCCTTTTGTATCTTTTGTAGACGGTCTGGCTAGACTGAATTTCTATCATAAAGATTAAAAACACAAAACCCAAAGGCTTTGAAGTACAATTCACCTGTATGGCACCTGCTCCTCTCTCTATCTATAGTCCTGTCAATTCCAACTCCTTAATATCCTTTGAATTCATTCTATTTTCCACAGTTCTACTGCCATAACCTGCAAGTCCTCATAAGCTCTTAACTGGGTCACTGCCCCACTCAGCCTCCTAAAATAAAAAGTTTGACCATGTCAACTCACTCTTAAAATCCTCTGATAGCTCCGTTTAATGTGACCTCTTACCTCTGTAGCTTCACCCATCCTCATTTCTCACTCGTGGACTACGTTACGACATGAAAACTTCTGTAGGTTACTGATTTTTCTCTTTATCTCTGTTTTGCAAATGCTTAACTGGATGAATACCAGCTCTTATTTTGAATTCATCTCTCTGTTTGAGGACTAATTCATAATTCCTTTTTTTATGATGGCTGCTGCAAGGCTTGAAACCAAATTTTTGGTTCTCATCTTACAAACACATAGACATTTACTAGCATGCATTGAATTTCACTCTTAGGTCAACTGGTTTTCCCCACTATTTTTCCTTTGTCCCTCCTTCTCCACTTTAAACAAAAACCTTATTTTGCATTTCTGTTACCTTTTGATATTATAGGCATTTTTGAAAGTTTCCGTACACTTTTCTGGAACAATACGGGTAGTACTAATCAACTACCTAACTATAAGAAAGTAAGTAAATAAATAAATAATCTACTACTTATCTTTTCAAATCCAGCCTAAATATGTCCTCCTTTGCTCTCTTGTATCATGCTTCCTTCTTCCAGGTTTGGCTAACTCTCTGGCCTCTATGATCCTATCTCGCCTCAAGATAATGGCTATTGTAACTTCAATCACACTGCATTGCAAATATTTGGCTATTTTTCCACTAAACTGTACTTTTTTTTTTTCACTGGGGATGCCGGTCTTTATCACTGCATTTCCAGCTTCTAAGACAGTGTTTGCACATGTTGAAAACTTGATAAATTGTTAATTGAATAAATAGATAAATAATTGCACAAACTAAAGAATACAGAGCTTCTTATGAGAAAAGCTCTACTATTAAGCTTGTATGAGAATATGGTTATCTTTCTGAATATTAATATGCTGTTTCCTTGACCACACTCTTAGAAAATATGAGGAGACAATTTTTCTTTGCCTATTACTACAGCTGATATTTTCAAGCCACTGTTTCTAGGTTGATAGCAGAGTGTTTGGTAAAAAGAGTGGCGAGAACACAAAAGGTGTTTGTTTAAGCTGTTGGTGTCAAAGTCTCCCCTGAGCAATGAAACAGCTTAGTTTCCAGGAAAAACTTGATGATCCCTTGGAGCAGGCACTGAAGAGTGGAGAAAGCATGTGAAAAAAGAAGTGGGCTGGTCCAAGAAAACTTAGAACCCTACTCCACCCAACTATGAAGTCCTCAGATGTTAGGTGTCAGTAATTAAGAGGTTTACAATCTCTGAGCTGGTCTTATTGAAGCTCTCAGGATGGGCATGTAAACAGGATATGCTGCTCTGTCCACTGGCAGCAGCAGTGACTTCGTCATTTAGCGATCATTTTCCAATGATTTCTTAGTTGAGCTCTTGCTATGAGCTCCAACAAGCCTCATGTAGGTTTGCTGGGTTTCTTCTCTGCAAAGCTTAGCAATAGGCCACCCATAATGTCTCCCGATGATGCGAAAGAGAAGCTGAAAGAGCACTGGAAAAAGATGAACATACTTGAAGAAATAGTGCTCATTGAAAGAATAAAATGTCATTTTTATGTACAGTTCATCTATGCTGATCAAGAAAAAATGATGCTATGAATATTTCTCTTAACTAAAAAATCCAAAGCAAGAACTGCTCAGAATTTAGTGTACAGTTGAGGTCACATGTAATACATTCCCAAGTTTTCTTCATGTGCTTTGGAAACTGATGTACATAGTATAAGTTATGCATGTCATCTTTTTTTTTAATGTCCAGCCATAGATTTATCACCAACAATGGGATTAATGGCAGATTTGGTTTTTAGGTCATTTAGATTAGTTATCCTAGGTAAATTTAATATTCACTTTGATATCCATCTTAGGTCCCCTGACATAAAAATTTATGTCTGTGCTAGAGGCCTTTTTCCCCCTCTCTTTTCCCCAATATAGTATTTCCTTAGACCTTCTGTTTTCTCCAGGTTCATTTCTGGAATATATTTTACAAGGCCTAAAAAAAAAGTTCCAGTTTTGATGTGTTTTTATTTCCATTCTTTAAGATACACTTGTCACTGAATAGCAACAGACTGACCACAACACCTTTCCACTGGTAGCTTTGAGGACACAGAGTTTCTTAAGGTTGAATGGGCTTATCCATCCTACCACTACCCATGGCCTTGAAAGCTACAGATGTAAGGGATACTCCTTGACTGTGATGAGTGAAAGGGACTTGGTCTTACATAAAACTAAAGTAAGTGTTTTGTGGCATGCTAGCACTTTGAAATGCTTGATAGAAAAAAGGCTTTACATCAAGTTTCATATATTATATCTCCCTCTTGTTGCTCTATAACACATATTAGCATATTACAAGCTTTAAAAGGCCCTATATTGCCAGATTAATTTTGTTTAACTTATTGTTTCTGATAAATACTTGATAATGGTACTTTTAAAAATGACATTGGGCTGGGTGCTGTGGCTTACATCTGTAATCCTAGCACATTGGGAGGCCAAGGTGGGCAGATCACTTGAGGTCAGGAGTTCGAAACCAGCCTGGCCAATATGGTGAAACCCTGTCTTTACTAAAATGCAAGAAAAGTAACCAGGTGTGGTGGCGGGCACCTGTAATCCCAGCTACTCGGGAGGCTGAGGCAGGAGAATCACTTGTACTCAGGAGGCGGAGGTTGCAGTGAGCTGAGATCATGCCAATGCACTCCAGCCTGGGTGACAGAGTGAGACTCCATCACAAAAAAAAAAAAAAAAGGTATTGTTAATAGTATTAGCACCACTTTAACATGTTGGTTAATAGCATGCTGGTCACTTTTATGGCTGTGAAAATGTTTCATAGGAAATGCTAACATCAAATGTGCATAGCCATGATTCTCTAAATGTACAGCTAGAAACTCCCCACTTTGGTTAATTCCTACGGTGCTTATTAAGTGCTATGTGAGATTTGACACATGAATATGTAAATAATAATGCAATTATAATTTTGTAGGGTGCTGTATTGTTTACAGTTCAGGGCTCATAAGAAGGAAGTGAGAAAGTGGTCACTGTATTGTAGGAAGTGTTCCTGGAGAAAGAGAGGAGGCATGGCATGGTGGAAGGAGCTCTAGACTGAATCAAAAGATGAAGGTCAGGTATAAGCCTCACCACTAGATGTGCTTTCTGATGGTAGTCAATTCAACCATGGTTCAGTTGAGTCATCTGCAAATTGGGCTTATGTGGTAGGTAGAATTCCAAAGATGGTCCCCTCCTAACTTTCCTAGCCCTTACTTATTCAGTCAAACACTAATATAGGTACTTCTGTGAAAGGATTTTGCAGATGGAATTAAAAGTCCCAACTCAGTTGATCTCAAAATATCTGGGCGATCCTAATCTAATTACCAGTCCATTAAAAAAAGAAAGTTTTCTTCAGCTGGTCTCAGAATAAGTCAGAGAAGTTCCTGCTGACCTATAGTAAGAAAACACCTATGTTGTGGTCTTCCTATGGGGGCAAGGAGCCTCTAAAAGCTGAGACCAACCCTGACCAATGGGAGAGAGAAAATAAAGATCTCAGTCCCGCACTTGCAAAGAAGAGAATTTTGCCAACAACCAGTGAGCTTAGAACAGCTCACCTAGAACCCCAGGTGAGAAAGTACAGTTGGCTTGATTTCAGCCTGAGACCTGAGCTGAAGACCCAGTCAATTCCGACCTGAAGTCCTTTCCCAAGGCAATTATGAGATAATAAATGTGTATTGTTCGAGTTGCCAAATCTGTGCCTTTTTTTAAAAAAAAAAAAAGGCAGCAACGGAAAACAAAAACAGGCTATTCACCACATTTTCTTGTCAGATGAAAAGTAACAGGACATAATGTGAGTGAAAGCACTTTATAAAATATAAAGACCAGTGCACATGGTGAAAGTCTAAAGCAAATTCCTTAACTTCCCACCCAAACCTACTTCTCCCGCTCTTCCCTGTTTCAGTAAATGGTACCATCATCCAGCTTCTACAAGCCTAAAACCCAGGAGTCATCATCTTTATCTTTTTTACTCTCACCCTGCATATCTTATTCTGCCAGCAAGCCCTGTCAGCTCCTAGAACACTGCCTGACACTTAGAAGGTTCTTCAAAACGTGTTGATTCAATGAATGATAGCTAATTATCCACTGAATTAAGTCATTTAGAAAATTGCATCCATTTGCCAGGCACGGTGGCTCATGCCTGTAATCCTAGCACTTTGAGAGGCCGAGGTGGGTGGATCACTTGAGGTCAGGAGTTTGAGACCAGCCTGGCCAACATAGTGAAATCCCGTCTCTACTAAAAATACAAAAATTAGCCAGGTGTGGTGGCAGGCACATGTAATTCCAGCTATTCAGGAGGCTGAGGCAGGAGAATTGCTTGAACCCAGGAGGCAGAGGTTGCAGTGAGTCTTCACACCGTTGCACCCCAGCCTGGGCAACAAGAGCAAAATCCTATCTTAGAAAAGAAAAAGAAAAAAAGAAAATTGCATTCATGAGCTCTGCTCTTTGGGCTGTCTGTCAATGTGATAGACTGGAATTTTTTCAGAAGTACTTACTCCCTTGTCCACTGCCTACCTCAGTGGAAGGGTCTGTTTCCCTCGCTCATTCATGTTAGGCTTGGTGATAAGACTGGCTTTGGCCAATGGGAGTAGGTGGAAGTGATAATCTGCCAGTTTGAACCAAGGTATTAGGAAGCATTGGTTTTTCCACTGGCCCCTTTTGGAGCTTCCAAACTCCTTCATTAATAAAACAGCCTCTAGGTATCTGCTGCCCCTCTACCTTGGACCACTGAGTGAGACACATGGAGCAGAGTTGCTCTAGCCATCCTACATTTTAAAGGCTGTGACAGAGCAGTCCAAGACAACTGCAGGCCTGTGAGCAAGAGGTTAAATAATTGTGTAAGCCAGTGATTTTTTGGTTTGGTGTGTTATGCAGCATTTGAAAGGCAATAGTGGACTAGTACACATTTCTAAAGCAGTAACACTCCTACACATCTAGGAAGTTATACACCTTGTTTAATGAGATTATTTAAGAAACTGATTTCCATCAGTTAAATGTACTGAGCACTAACTCATTTTGTGACTTAAGAGATTTAAAATTATAAAACTGGATGGAATATTAGAGATCATTCAGTTTGCGGCTTTCATTTTGCAGATAAGGAAATTGATGTCCAGGTGTGCTCAAGCTTGTATAACTAATTCATTCTCGAGTGAGGACTGAAGTCCAGAGCTCCTGAAGCAATGCCTCCAAGGCCCTAATGGGAGAATGTGATGATAAGGAAACCAAATTGTGTGTGGAAATCAGTTCATTTTATAACTTTCTTTGAAAGATGCAGAGAGCAAGAAGCTCAATAAAAGCCAACAATGGCAGAACATATTTTTAAATATCCTTTGGGAGGAAACTGCCATGTAAACCTATTAACTGCCATCATTCAGAAGCATAATTTTAGCTAACACTGATATGCTGATTAGACAAACCTTAGGTTTTGATCTCAGCTGACCTACAGGACCTAAATTTTGATGTGATTAAAGGAATAGGTGACATTTAATTAGAAAATTTCTTCAAGTTAAACTTGGGTATAGCAGTTAACTCCAAATCACTTTCACTGATACCTGTTTTATAAACACATAGGCATTTTCCTTTGAAAACAATCACATTAGACACTCTTTAGGCATTATTTAACTTAGTTAAGGATCCTTATATACTTCTGGGTTTCCTAATTTAGGAGAAGCCACTGTCCTCAGAAATCCCTTTACACTATAAATTTGGAGACACTTTAAAAATTTTATACCTTTATATCAAGATATATTAGGGTTGTAACCTACAGAGGCATCTGTATCAGCAAGTGCCTCTCTGCCCATACCTCCTTCCCCCAGCTATTTTAGCCTGATGGCCATTTTGCCCAAATGTCATATTTAATTGTCTTAGAATTTCTGTAAGTTTTTTAACTGTAGCAATTCAAATCCAGTTACACAATATGTTGACAATATGTCTAATTTCTTTTCTAAAGAAGGCAAATTGATTATATCCTACAGTTTTTTTGAAAGATGGTGAGTTATGGAAAAATAGTCATCTTAGTTTGTGGTACAAAGTAAGTAACCATTCAAAAAATTAGTATTTAGTGACTAAAAGAAAGACATTGGGAGCTAGGTGAATAACTATATATAAATGCACTTTTCTGGAGTTCTCTCAATATCTAAAATAAAAATTGAAATAAAGGTAAAAACATAACTGTGTGTATGCATTGTTTCTGAATTTTAAAAAATCTTTTAAAATTATCTTATATTTTCTGTTTTTTTTCTTACAAATGACTATTTTTATTGCAGTAATTTTGTTAAATTAGAAAATTCATTGTGGAGAAAAGAAAATGCTTATACACACCTGGTAGGAATGTAAATTTGTTCGGCTACTGTGGAAAGCAATTTGGAGATTTCTCAAATAACTTAAAACATAATTTAAACCATTTGACCCAGCATCCCGTTACTGGACATATAAGGGAATATAAATAATTTCAGCATACAGACCCATGCACAAACATGTTCATCGCGCATTACTTTTCACAATAGCAAGGACAAGGAATCAACCTAGATGCCCATCAACAGTGGATTGGATAAAGAAAATGTGGTACGTATACACCATAGAATACTATGCAGCTATAAAAAAGAATTAAATCATGTCCTTTGCAGCAACATGAATGCAGCTGAAGGCCATTATACAAAGCAAATTAGCACAGGAACAGAAAACCAAACACCAAGTGTTCTCACTTATAAGTGGGAGCTAAACACTGAGTACACTTGGACACAAAGAGGGGAAGAATGGACACTAGGGCCTACATGAGGGTGAAGGATGGGAGGAGGGTGAGAATTAAACTACCTATTGGGTACTATGCTCACTACCTGGGTGACAAAATAGTTTGTACATCAAACCCCAGTGACACACAATTTACTCATGTAACAAGTCTGCACAGGTACTCCCTGAACCTAAGTTAAAAGCTGGAAGGAAAATAAAAAAGAATAAACCTTGAATTTAAAAAAAAATCAGAAAAGCAGAAAACAAACAAAAACACCCAGTAATCTTATGACCAGTAGCAAATATTATTAACATTTTGGTATATATTTTCCCAGATTTTTCTGCATATCTATACAACTAAAATATAAACTGAAATTTTTAGGCAGTAATTTTTTGGAGGAAGACTGTAAAAATAACATCTTCATTAGTTTTTAACTTATAAAATAACACATGGATGTTATAAAAACACAAATAATATATGTTTTAAATTACAAAAAATAGAAGTTTTTCTATCCTCTCCTATGTCCAATCCTACCTCTCACAGGGAAACCACTATTTTGTGTGTCTGTTTTCAGTCTTTTGCTTCGTATGCATATTTTAAAAAATAAAAGTTAACTGTTTTTATTTCTCATACATTATAAATATTACCACATTACTTTAAAGAATCATCAATAAGTGATTTTCATTAGTTGCCAGGTTTTATGTTTCATATATTATTATAACTGATTTTTACTAAATTCCTACCATTGGAGATCTTTATTGAAGCATGTTTTTGTATGTCCATTGCTCCCTTATGATGAATCCTTAGAAGTGGACTTTCTACATTAATGCCTTTATGTGTACGTGTGTGTGTGTGTGTGTGTGTGTGTGTGTGTGTGTGTGTGTTTTGTGTGCATATGTTTGGATAAACTTTGTTTCTGGAAACACAGTAAAATTTCACTCTCAAGTAGAATTGTACCTTCCACTGTTCCTGTTTCTTTTCACTCTATAAGGGACATCATAATTTAAAATAATTTTGCTCAGTACTAGCTTATTTGATTGTATTTTCATATCTTTACTTAGCAAGGTTGAATACTTTTCCTATATTTATTGAACTTATGCATTTCTTTAGAGAATTGCTAGTTCATGAGGTTGGCTTTAAAATTTGATACTATTGGTTTATAAAAAGCATTATTTACAGGTTAAATATATCTTTTTTTGCTAAAGTATATGTTGCAAAAAATTTCTCCTCAATTAATACACCTTTACATTATGTTATGAGTTATTACTTTTTAAAATTATACTTTAAGTTCTGGGATACATGTGCAGAACGTTCAGGTTCGTTATATAGGTATAGGTATAGATGTGCCATGGTGGTTTGTTGCACCTATCAACCCGTCATCTACATTAGATATTTCTCCTAATGCTATCCCTCCCCTATCTCCGACCCCTGACAGGCCTCAGTGTGTGATCTCCCCCTCCCTGTGTCCATGTGTTCTCATTGTCCAACTCCCACTTATTAGTGAGAACATGCAGTGTTTCATTTTCTATTCCTGTGTTAGTTTGCTGAGAATGATAGTTTCCAGCTTCATCCATGTCATCCCTGCAAAGGACATGAACTCATCCTTTTTTATGGCTGCATAATATTCCATGGGGTATATGTGCCACATTTTCTTTATCCAGTCTATCATTGATGGGCATTTGGGTCAGTTCCAAGTCTTTGTTATTGTGAATAGAGATGCAATAAACATACATGTGCATGTGTCTTTATAGTAGAATGATTTATAATCCTTTGGGTATATACCCAGTAATGGGATTGCTGGGTCAAATGGCATTTCTGGTTCTAAATACTTGAGGAATCACCACACTGTCTTCCACAATGGTTGAACTAATTTACACTCCCACCAACAGTGTAAAAGTATTCCTGTTTCTCCACATCTTCTCCAGCATCTGTTGTTTCCTTGCTTTTTAATGATCACCATTCTAACTAGCTTGAGATGGTATCTCATTGTGGTTTTGATTTGCATTTCTCTAAAGACCAGTGATGATGAGCTTTTTTCCATATGTTTGTTGGCCATATAAATGTCTTCTTTTGAGAAGAGTCTGTTCATATCCTTTGCCCACATTTTGATAGGGTTGTTTTTTTTTCTTGTAAATTTGTTTAAGTTCCTTTTAGATTCTGCATATTAGCCCTTTGTCAGATGGATAGATTGCAAAAGTTTTCTCCCATTCTGTAGGTTGCCTGTTCACTCTGATGATAGTTTCTTTTGCTATGCAGAAGCTCTTTAGTTTAATTAGATCCCATTTGTCAATTTTGGATTTTGTTTCCATTGCTTTTGGTGTTTTAGTCATGAAGCCTTTGCCCATAAAAACTCTCAATAAACTAGGTATTGATGGAACATATCTCACAATAATAACAACTATTTATGACAAACCCACAGCCAATGTCATACTGAATGGGCAAAAGCTGGAAGCATTCCCTTTGACAAGCATTCCCTTTGACAAGCATTCCCTTTGACAAGACAAGGATGCCCTCTCTCACCACTCCTATTCAACATAGTATTGGAAGTTCTGGCCAGGGCAATCAGGCAACAGAAAGAAATAAAGGGTATTCAATTAGGAAAAGAGGAAGTCAAATTGTTTCTGTTTGCAGATAACATGATTATATATTTAGAAACCTCCATTGTCTCAGCCCCAAATCTCCTTAAGCTGATAAGCAACTTCAGCAAAGTCTCAGATACAAAATCAATGTGCAAAAATCACAAGTATTCCTATACACCATTAATAGACAGAGAGCCAAATCATGAGTGAACTCCCATTCACAATTGCTACAAAGAGAATAAAATACCTAGGAATACAAATTACAAGGGATGTGAAGGACCTTTTCAAGGAGTAGAAACCACTGCTCAAGGAAATAAGAGAGGACACAAACAAATGGAAAAACATTCCATGCTCATGAGTAAGAAGAATCAATATCATGAAAATGGCCATACTGCCCAAAGTAATTTATAGATTCAATGCTATCCCCATCAAGCTACCACTGACTTTCTTCACAGAATTAAAAAAAAAAACTACTTTAAATTTCATGTGGAACCAAAAAAGAGCCTGCATAGCCAAGACAATCTTAAGCAAAAAGAACAAAGCTGGAGGCATTATGCTGCCTGACTTCAAAGTATACTAGAAGGCTACAGTAACCAAAACAGCATGCTACTGGTACCAAAACAGATACATAGACCGATGGAACAGAACAGAGACCTCAGAAATCACATCACACATCTACAACCATCTGATCTTTGATAAACCTGACAAAAACAAGCAATGGGGAAGGGATTCCCTATTTACTAAATGGTGTTGGGAAAAACTGGCTAGTCATGTGCAGAAAACTAAAACTAGACCCCTTCCTTACACCTTATACAAAAATTACTTCAAGATGGATTAAAGACTTAAATGTAAGACATAAAACCATAAAACTCTAGAAGAAAACCTAGGCAATACCATTCAGGAATCATTAATTTTTATGAGGTCAAATCTGTTAATCTTTTAGTTTATAGTGATTTCACCTTTTGGCATTATGCTTAGAAAGGTATTCTCAATACAGAGATCAAAAAAAATTCTTCTATTTAAAAAAATTAATTTTTTATTTTAGAATAGTTTTACAGAAAAGTTGCAAAGATAGTACAGAGATTTCTCATATACTCTGCACTCAATTTCACTCATTATAAACACCTTACATTAGTACAGTGCATGTGTCACAATGGTACAATGCATTGTCACAGCTAATACACCACTATTGATATATTATTATCAACTGAAGGCCATATTTTATTGAGATTTCCTTTGTTTTTACCTAATGTCCTTTTTCTGTTCTGAGATCTCATCCAGGATACCACCACATTGCATTCAATCATTATGCCTCTGCAGGCTCCTGTGGGTGTGACAGTTTTTCAGACCGTTCTTGTTCTTGATAACCTTTGCATTTTGAGGTGTACTGGCCAAATATTTGTAGAAAGTCTCTCAGGTAGGATTTGTCTAATATTGTTCTCATTATTGGATTGGGATTATGGGTTTTTGGGAGACAGAACATAGAGGTAAAGTTCTACGTCATTATATCATATCAAAAATACACACCATCAATGATAAGCCACATTTATATTAACCTTGATCATCTGAGAAAGATAGTGCTCATCAGGTTTCCACTGTAAAGTTACTCATCCTCTCACCTACTTTCCCATATGCATGGCTCAAATTTAAATCATAGGGAGTTAATGCTTGAAACTCCTTGACAGTGGAGTATCTATACAAGTTGTTTGGAATTCATTACAGGAGATTTGTCTCTTCTCTCCTATTTACTTTTTCAATGATTTATTTATATCTGTATAAACTCATGGAGATTTTTTTTAAGTTATAGTCCAATACAATGTTATAAATTTCATTGCTCAAATTGTTCCAGTTTTGGCCATTGGGAGCTTTCTTTTTTTTTTTTTTTTTTTTTTTTTTTTTTTTTGTGAGAAAGTGTCTCGCTCTGTCACCCAGGCTGGAGTGCAGTGTCATGATCTCGGCTCTGCAGCCTCCGCCTCCTGGGTTCAAGTGATTCTTGTGCCTCAGCCTCCTTAGTAGCTGGGACTACAGGCGCATGCCACCATTCCTGGATAATTGTTGTATTTTTAGTAGAGATGGGGTTTCGTCCTGTTGCTCAGGTGGGAGCTCTTTCAGTTGGCTTTTGTCAAAGGGTTGACATTCCCCAATCATTTGGTTTTGGGGCACCTCCTTACTTCCTGACACTACAAGGAGCTCCAGGCTAATCTTATATATTCCTTTTCCAACTCTACAATCAGTAATTTCTCCAAGGAGCCTTAGTTCCTTTTATTGTAGGGTGTTATTAGAAATGAAAATTTGAGTCCTGGGTTTGCACATTGCTACTGGAGAATCCTTGTTTCTAGATCCTCTCAGCTGACAGAGCAAGAAAGTATATGTATAATCTGTGTATATATGCATATCAATGATTATATATGTTGATTTTAACACCAATGATTATATATATCCATTAACATCTTTATTAAGCTAAACTTGAGGTCCTACTCATGTCTCTCACTCTAATCTACAACCACATGCTTCATTTTAGCCTTAGCCTTTTCTTATCTGTAAATTTTCACTCCTCTAGTAACAATCCTGGCTCCAGCAACTATCATCCTTTTACTTATTTTTCCAATCTCAGCCTACATATGTACTGGTTTCAGAGTTGGTCACCCAAGACCCCATAGAAAACAACTTTCCAGGTAGAGTTCAGTGCTATATACAGTTTTATTTGTTTTTAGTTTTATGGTTCCAGTCATTTCCAGAGTTACTTAGGTCAGTAAGTCTTTTTCCTTGCCCCTACATTGTTGTACTTTACACAAGTTATATCAAACATTTGTAACACAGCTAGATTGTTTTCTCACAGTTCCATCTTATTCTGGCATCCCCTCCCCTCCTGGTTGGTATTTTTAAGGTGCTATATGGATTTTGACAAATGCAGTGTCATGTATCCACCACTGTAGTACCATGTAAAATAATTTTATTTATTTTTATATTTTTTGCTTGTTAAAATTATTGTTGGTGTTTTCTCTTTATTATATCTTACACACCCTTATGTCAAGGGCTGACTCAATAATCACGGCAAGAGAGCCACTCTGCTATGTACAAAACCCTGACCCAGAAGCAGGTTGTCCAAGAATGGTTTAGCACCAGGTTCCCCAGGAATATACATGGAATAATTTTATAGCCATCAAAAATCCCCAGTGCTTCACCTTTTTAACCCTCCTTCATCTCCAAACCCCTGGCAACCACAAGCTTTGCCATCTCTATAGTTTTACCTTTTCCAGAATGTCACATAAGTGGAATAATACAGTATGCAGGCTTCTCGGACTGTCTTCTTTCACTTAGCAACATGCACTTAAGATGGATGCATCAATGTTGTTGTGTAGAGTTACTAATTGTTCTTTTGGATTTATCCTTTATTTTACCTAATTCTTTTATGATTTCAGTTTTTACAATTAACTCTTTAGTCAATTTGGTATTTATTTTGGTGTATGGTTTGGAATAGAGATCTAACTTTCCCTCCAAATAGTTAACAAATTTTGTATATTTATTGGAAGGATTCTTTTCATTGAATTTGAGTTGAAATACCCTAACATAACTAAGTTGATGTGCATGGGATGGTCTGTTTCTCAGCTTTCTAAGGCTCAATTTTTCTGTTATTTAATTCTTATGCCACTCCCAAAGTATTTAAAATATTGTAGTTTTATTATATAATTTAATATTATATTATATATTTAAATATTAAACTAAAATATTAAATTATATAATGACCTCTTTATTCTTCTTCATTAAAATTCTTTATATTTTTCCTCAAGTCTTTCTTTTGAATCAGTTTTAGATTTGTTTTCTTTATTATGAAAACCACATTGCAATTCAGAACAGAACTAAGTTTACAAGCTAAATTAAGGAAGAATTCATATCTTTACAATATTGTGTCTTTCTTTACCTAATCATGATATACCTCTTCATGAATTTGAATGAAGTTTTTTAATTGTTCAGTTTTCTTCATTTGAAACTTGCATATATTTTATTAAGTTTATTTATTTCTAGATACTTGCATATTTTTCGGCATTGTGAATTTTTGATGTATGCTGTACATTTTCAATTACATTTTCTAAAAAGTTAATTTCTTATATGTGGGGGAGCAATTAATAGTTACATTCTAACACATAGTATGACCTTTTATTAGATTTTAAGTTGTCTTTCATAGACAATTATATCATATTCAAATAATGATGCATTGATAGCTCCTTTCTTAATTGTATATTCCTTTCTTTTACTTATTCTGTTGGTTGGAACTTTCAGATGAGTGGAACTAGTAGATTATTTTGTCTTTCTTCCTACTTTTAATAAAAATGCCTGTAATGTTTAATTGAAAGAACATATTTTAAAGGCAACACAGATTTTTCTTATTCAAAGAGATTCTAAGAGCATACTTGATTTGATTTTGCAAATGGAATAATTATCAATTAATTTATCTCTTATAAAACAAATCATCCCTGTACTTATTGTTTACTTTAGGAAAAACATACCAGTATCTGCTTTTTTTAAAACCAGTTCTATCAATATATAACTAGAATATCTTCTTATTGCTAACAACAGGAGCACTGGGATTAAATCTATTTGAGGTACAGCATTGAAACTGAACACAGCACTTTAATTTCCCAGTTACTTACTTTTCTAGCTGTACTCCACCATCCATGTTGCAGTACATTTTGACAGAAGTCTGTTTGTCTACCTATGCTGACAAAACGTACCATTTTGGCTATGAATATATTGGAATTTAAGCTTTTGTTAATTTACATAAACTTAATTTCTTAAACTTAACACTTTATGATTAAGTTTAAGATATAATGGCACACAAGTCTGTGTCCATTCTGATTGGTTAAATATTTCTTCTTATTGATTGTTGACTATACTATACCAGTAATAAATATATTTATATGACCATAAACATTTTGGCTATTGTAAGATAATTAATCCTTTATTTAAAAAAATATTTTCATTCTCTAGTGCCATGCAACATCGCATTCCTAGTTAATGGAACATGAAATCAATTTCAGAATTTTGATATACTAGAGGGATATATCTCTCTCTTTCTCTGTCTGTCTCTATCTCTGTGTGTGTGTGTGTGTGTGATATATATATATGCTATATATATAGATATATGATATATATAGATATATATGATATATATGATATATATAGATATAGATATAGATATATATGCTAAAACTTGTTCTTAGTCAATATATCAATCAATATCTACTGAGTTTCCAGTATCATTCAGGTCATTAAGTGCTATCGAATAGATAAGAGTTGTATAAACCCTTTGGTGGGCAGACGTTTCTGGTCCAGAATTCTGGATAGGGAAGGGACAGGCCTCTAGTATTTTGTACAATTTAAATATAAGAACATTATCTTCCTTTTCCTTTTCCCCCCAAACTCAGCATTTCCTTTTATCAGGAAGATGTTTCTGTTTTCCAATGTGGAGTCCTGGCAGTTAAGGTTACCTTGCCTTTGCAGTTTACATTGGTGATGGCTCAGAAGACCGCCCAGGTTCAACGAGTGACAAATCATTACTGACTGTACAATGTAATTAAACAACACAAGCATTGATTAGCGATGAGCTAAACCTGAGACCAAAAAGTGGGAGACCCAGAGTAGCTGGCACCATTTCTCATTGGATCTGTCTGAAATGGAAGATGTTTGCCCCTGCAGGCATGGCGCGAGGCCCATTGTGCATTTCCATTAGAGACCCACACTGGATCTGAGCATGCCATTGATGTTGGCCTATTTATGAAAGGCTGTTGAAAGAGGTTTCAGAGCTAATTGAAAAGAGATGTTTCTGAACTACAATCACTTCAAACAACATAGCTCCAAAATCTGTTTCAATAGTTGGAAAACTGGTGCGTTTCCATAATTTACACATGAAATTAAACAAATGATTTGGAATGAAAGCTTCATGGCATTTAGTAAGACTTAGTTCTTTAAAAAAATTATTAATTGAACAGTTGGCTGAGTTTATTATAACAGTCCTTCCCCACATCTATCTGTGCTTCCATTATTTAGTCTATTCCTGTTTTCAGGGATGTCAATTGCAGTTGCCTAAATCTACCTTGTCTGGAGACAAGGAATTTAGCCTGAACAAGATGCTGTCAACTACTGTTCAGTTGCACATTTTTATCTTCTAGGAAAAAGAAATCTCTCACAATCTACTTTGCAAAAAAAAAAAAGTAATAATAACAACATCTTACAGAAGCTTCCACAAGATTTTCTCAAGGTAGAACTTAATAGAAAAACTCTAGGGCGAGCTGCACCTCGACCACACTGAAAATTGAGTGTATTTATGTGAACAGAATGCAAACATAATTATTAAAAAATGTTCTCCCCCAGGCAGTTTTCAATCAAGATCTGAAAGCATTAGCAAACATTGATTTCTTCCATAACACTTGTACTTATTATTGGACCTGATTTTTGTCTATTCTTAAAGCAGACATTGAGGTCTGATAACTGAAGCCGGTGTGGCCAAGTTTACAAGTTACCCATTGCCTCCAGGGGTAGGAAAGTAGGGATTGATGTATAGCTATTCCTCAAAGCAAAGGGGGAGTCAGGTTCATTGCTATTATCTCAATTATCATAATTACTCTGTCCTTAATGTTTTAACAACTTTTTTTTTTTTTTTTGAGTTAGGAAGACTGGTGTCAAGCAATTTACCTGGTTAGGCATGTAGTTGGTGCTAAACCAGAAATGAGATACAGTTTATCACCAGTCTCTTATTCTGGTGTGGTTTAAAGCAAACAATCAGGTTTTAAAAGTTTAACCACCAAGGGGAATACCAAGTCCCAGTTTCTATGACTGATTGAGAAGGGTGTTTAAGGCTTAATTGTCATAACATCAATTAGATTTTACCACAACGGAGATAATTTGATTCTTTGATTGAAGTAAATGAATTAAGATGGTAGCTGCAGTTACTTTGGGTATATCTCTGACTGAATTGTTTTAGCTTAGGAGAAACTTAGTGCCACTTTCTGTCTGACAACAGAAAATGTCCTCAAGTTATTTCTTATTCTGGTTCGAGCACTTAGTGGCTGTTTTATAATTACATAACCTTATCTGCTTCTTGAGGGCTACAGTGACTCTGAGAGATCCCAGGACATTCATAAGAGCTGGGACAGACGATAGGAATGTGGGAAAAGGACTGAGGCAGTCTTGAAAATGATTTGCCTTAGACGCTAAGGCGAGGGTTCAAAATTGCTTGGGATGGTGTAGGAAACATAAAAGATTGCATGATTCTGCCTCCTCCATGTAGACCTGGTAAAACTAACTTTTAAGCCTTCCTTTCAATAGATGATCATGAGCTACAGTGGTAGAGTTTTAGAGCCTCTGGCCTTAACTATTAATCCCTACCTCTATGGAAGCCTTTAACACATGTACTCTGTGTGTGTGTGTGGGGGGGGGGGGGTTAAATTAAGACTCTTAGGTAACCCTAAGCTGCGTTTCATGTTTGATCCCAAGTGGATTTAATGGGGATATGCTAGAAGTCCAGAGCTTTAAGGGGGAGAAGCGATGAATATACCTAACAGTGGTGGACAGTGAAAGACTGGGAACCAATGTGATCTGATTTGAAAGGCATCAGGTAGATCACAGGAAACATGGGAGTTTATATACAGTGATTGTTTAGAAATCGAAAAAACAGCAATATATTTTAATAGGTCCTAATTTTGGTATCTTCTTCTTAACTAAGCATTCATGGGAGAAGAAATGAAAAGGAGGAGAGAGCTGGTCAATTTAACATTGATCCAGTGCTTATGATGTGTAAAGTACTGCACTAACCTTAGCCTGCATTATCTCATTTAGTCCTCATACCTTCCTGTGAAGGAGACACTGTTATTATTCCCATTTTACAGACTAGGAGACTGTTCTCAAACCATAGAAAGGATCAGGTTTATATCCAATGTGAAAGTCACACACTGGATTGCAAACCTAGCTATATTTTATGCCTAATAGTTTTCTTTTTTTTCTTTTTTTTTTTTTTGAGACGGAGTCTCGCTCTGTCGCCCAGGCTGGAGTGCAGTGGCGCAATCTCCGCTCACTGCAAGCTCTGCCTCCTGGGTTCACACCATTCTCCTGCCTCAGCCTCCCGAGTAGCTGGGACTACAGGCACCCGCCACCACGCCCGGCTAATTTTTTTGTATTTTTAGTAGAGACGGGGTTTCACCGTGTTAGCCAGGATGGTCTCGATCTCCTGACTTTGTGATCCGCCCACCTCGGCCTCCGAAAGTGCTGGGATTACAGGCGTGAGCCACCGCGCCCGGCCAATAGCTTTCCTGTATGTTAAAGTAAAGTAAAGAAAAAAAAAAAAGAGAGAGAGAGAGCGCACAAGAGAGGAAAATAGAAAGTGAGTTTATAGGGTACAGACCCAAAACCAATATTTATATATAATCTGACTCTCTGGAAGTTACATGTTTTCCAAATGATTTCTCCATTATTTTCCATGGCTGCCTATGAGAGCTAAGCTTGTAAAGAGATGGAGTGGGTAAGCCATCTGACAAACCCAGAGCCAATTTACCAACATGGCTGAAATTATATTAGTAGGAAGGATCATATGCATGTGTGCATGCACATGGCTGAGCAATTGTGAAGCAGAGATTAAGGCAGAAGTTTCCTTTTAAATCATAAATACAATCTGAGAATAGTATGCACTTAAGCAATCTCTGGACATCAGTATGAATCATTTTTATGGGTAACAGAGGACTTTTCAAAAGCAAATGGTAAGTCTATTCATGGAGTTTAGTTTTGTATCTGTAATTCTTCAAAATGTTGTATTATTTCTAAGTGAGTAATACACTTATGTGGTCTAAGCAGAAAAAGTGTTATAATCAATTATGCATGGAAAAGGTTTGTTCACAGAACAGTTCTTGTCCCCACTGCTTCCTCTAGATAATTACTTGCTTAAATTCTCCTATATACTTCTAATATATAAAAGCAAACATGAATATCTATTCTTATGAGTCCGCTTTTTACACAAAGGTAGCATACAAGAGATATTTCTTTAATACCTTGCTTTTTTCTCCTAACAATATATCCTGGATGTTTGGAGATCTTTTCATATCAACACAGAAAGTGGTCTTTCCTTTTATACAGCTGCATAGTATTCAATTACATTGTGTGATATACTATAGTTTAATCCATCACTTCCCTATTTATGGGCACCGGGGTTGTTTCCAATTCTGCAAACAAATAACCCTGTACAAATGTCATTTTGTATGTGAGCAAGAGTTGCCATAAGATACATGACTAAAAATTAAGTTGCTGTAAGAAACAGTATTTATATTTGTAATTGATAGATATTGCCAAATTGTACTGCACAGCACTTGTATCAATATAATAAATTCTATGGATAAACTTTGATTTTCTGTTTATAAATGTTGACTAATTCTTATGAGAGGAGATGGCATGTTGGCAAGCACAAGGGATTTCAAATCAGGGAATTGTGCTGGGTTACTGTAGCACTCTGGGCCTCATTAACCCAATCCATAATGAGAAAGAGTAGAGTGTAATCGTTTATAGGGTTTCTTCCTCCAAAAGCTTTTTAAAATAATAAGCTTTTTTGGGAGGCCAACGCAGGCAGATCACGAGGTCAGGAGTTTGAGACCAGCCTGACCAACGTGGTGAAACCTCGTCTCTACGAAAAATACAAAAATTAGCAGGGCGTGGTGGCAAGCGCCAGTAATCCCAGCTACTCAGGAATCTGAGGCAGGAGAATCATTTGAACTTAGAGGGTAGAGGTTGCAGTGAGCTGAGATTGTGCCACTGCACTCCAGCCTGGGTGACAGAGCGAGACTCCATGTCAAAAAAACAAAACAAAGCAAAACAAAAATAATAAGCTTTTATATTTCCTATAGTTATCAATACTGTGTACTTCATGTTTAACATTACCCCAATTCTGTGATCTTTTCCAATATTCAAAAGTAAAGCAAAACCTTTCAATAGCTGTTTCACCCAGAACAAGTTGTCTAAGAATGATAACTACTGTTAGTTACTTTGCTGAAATGAAATGAAACTTAGGTGCTACCTAGAGTAGACTTTGGCTGCTCGTTGGTTTGAACAGCTCTCAAGCATCACATTTCACTGCAGCTGCAGTGTGTGCTAGAGGCTTATGGCATGGTTAGCAGCTGGACTAAGCTTCGTCAGATAAATAGCTACATGACTGTGATGCGATCCATGTCAGGTGCTCCCAGCCCAGTGTTTCGACAGGCAGGCACTGTCAGCCAGCCATGAAGAGCCCGTCTGTTGCACATGCATTGTGGTGGGGTCTCCAGTAAGGATGCTAAAAGACATCTAGTTGGCAAATGCAGGAGGAGGCTTCATAATATTAGGAGTAGGCTGGATCTTGCTGCGTGTTCTGGTTTGAAGTCTGCGTGGGTATGCATTATGGTTTTGGAGAGAAGGCAGCAAAAAGTCCAGTATTTTTTGGTACTCTAAATTTTATATTTTGCCATCTTATTGCAAAACTTCAACCACCTAACATTTTCAGTAGGTTGATATCTGAATAAAAATATATTTGTTGTGGGCTATCCCATTATGTGTGTAAATATCCCAGTCTTTTTTTTTCCTGCCTCTGTAAGTTTTAGCAATAGAGAATAAAAATCTTTTGTGGCAAATAGAAAAAGGGAAGGGATGCAGAGAGAATGCTGTTTGTTGAATGTCTACTTTCTGCCAAACTGAACTGGCTGCTTTACATGTAAGCAAAATTGGAAGCTAGGTTTTGTTTCCCCCTGGAATTAGCAAACTCTTTTTGCTGCCAAAGTTCATAGTAGGCTTTCAGAATCAGGAAATGAGGACCAAAATTGAACACTACACTAGGTGTATAGATTATTATATGACAGGAAGAGAATATTATTGAGAAGCTGATCGTGTTTTAGATGTTGTGTAGAAAACTGTGAATGCAACAAAATTAATTGTCTCTGTGCAGATAAATCCTGCCAGAACACTGAAGTTATCAAATCTCCATCTCTTCAAAGCCCCATACCTAT
Organism: Homo sapiens; assembly: GCF_000001405.40. Classification (NCBI taxonomy): domain Eukaryota; kingdom Metazoa; phylum Chordata; class Mammalia; order Primates; family Hominidae; genus Homo; species Homo sapiens. The sequence goes on from NC_000006.12 coordinate 51,020,897, forward strand.
GTTGCTCCTTATCAGGGGACACACACACACACACACACACACACATATACACACACACAGAGATAATAGTTCCCCAGGAGTAAATATCTTGTCTTATTTTTCCTTTTTTATCTCACAGATAAAAATTGCAATTTGAAAAGATAATTCTTCCCAACTGTCAGACCCCACTAGAATTTCTGCAGCTTGATGTTCTTTAAGGTAAACATGCCATATGCATTTACTGCAACCAACTCATCGTATTTACATTTTGATTGTCGAACACTGTACAAATTGCACATAATTGCCTTCTGTATGGCTACAATCTTGCTATTTGAAACTTTTGAAAATCTTCCTCATCTGGAATTTAGTAACAGATTAATCTTCCCATCAAATAAGGGGACAGGAAATTATCTTCTGCAGTTGTATCCTGTGAGGACACTACTAATTAGAAGCCATTTCCTGCTCTCTGACCACTTACTAGCAGCACTCCCTGGAGGTCCAAGAGATGTCACGTGATTTCATTCGAGCTGAAGTCCTTGGTGGTCAGTAGAACTTGTCTATGTGCGGTGTTTGGAGATGGTAGGAATCCAAATTATTTCCAGATTTGTGCTGTCTGTAGAGCAGGGTTTCTCAGCCTTGGCAATATTGATATTTTGGACCAGAAAATTCTTTGCTGTGGGACTGTCCCATGCAGTGTAGGATGTCTAGCAGCCTCCTTGGCCTCTACCCACTAGATGCCAGTAATGTTTTGACAACCATAAATGTCTCCAGACATTGCTGAAGATCCCCTCGGGGACAAAAATCACTCCTGTTTGAGAACTACTGATGTAGAGAAATTGAAATTATATTAAGTATCCAAATGTGGGTGAGCTCACTGGCAATGTTAAAATGCAATCATTTGGATGAATTTCTTCCCTGTCTCTACACAAATGTCAGAAGGAAACTGGTTCACACATTAGCTTCTTTCCCCAAATTTCTCTCTGGTTTGGTGGAATCAGAACAGAGGTTTGACTTCTCTGATCCATTGTTTTTAACAGCAGTAGTTCTAGCTTTTATTTAGCAGTCTCCAGAGTCCAGGTCTAGTTTCTTTCCAAAAAATGAGGTTGGTGACCTCAGGACAGTAAGTGTAATTTCCTGGAATGACAGTGAAATTCATTTTGATATTGATAAGAATTAGAAGTAACCTATTCTTTAGCTTCTGTCTTGGCTGTCTTGGTCTGTTTGGTTGCTATGACAAAATATCATAGATTGAAAGCTTATAAACAACAGAAATTCGTTTCTCATAGTTCTAAAGTCTGGGAAGTCCAAGATCAAGATACCAGCAGATTTGGTATCCACTTTCTGCTTCATAGGACCCACTTTCTGCTTCATAGTATAGGGCCTTTTCACTGTGTCCTCACATAGTGGAAGAGACAAGTAAGCTCTCTGAAGCCCTTTATAAGGGCATTAATCCCATTCATGAGGGCACTAACCTTATTACCTAATCACCTCCTCAAAGGCACCACCTTCTAATACCATCACCTTGGGGGTTAGCATTTCAACATATGAATTTTAGGGGTACACAAATATTCCAACTATAGTGGCTTCCATCATCATGCCTGAATGGGTTCAAAGAAAAATATAATCATTTATATCTATCTCTTAAACATATGTTTGCTATTTTGAATGATAGATTATTTTATAGTTGGGGGACAAAGGACACTTGGTCCTAATAATCTATTTGTAAGCTTCTTTAATCACACAGCCCACCATATATATACCTGACAGTAATTTTAACCCTAATGGTGCTTATTTATTTATATAGCTACCTCTCACTTATAGATATCAATTTCTTAACAGTAGGAACAATGTCTGTTTTATGTTTGTCTTCATTATCTAGTACAGCAGTTGGAACATATGGGGCCAAAATCACTAAACTATATATTCCATGAGAAAGGAACTATATCTAGTTCACCATTGTTTCCACAGGACTTAGCATTTGCCTGGCAGATAATGGGCACTCAATGCATGTTTATGGAATAAATAAATGATTGGGAGCTACATTGGAAAACCGGAATTAAATTCTGGGTGCACAGCTTAAATGGATTTTGACTTCATAGTTCAAATGAATCCAAGTTAACTCAATTTTACTTGTTTCAGCTAGAGTTTGGGGGAAAAGTACTCTGCCTCCTTTTTTTGATTTGCTTTATTTATAGGCAACCCAAAAGAAAGATGTGGGAAGTCCAACTAAATGCTCACAAAAGCACTTGACATCTAATGAATAAGTGCAAATTGGTGTGACCACAGCTTTCTTCTCATGAACCCAGGTTCCTATATCTACTCCAGCTGAAAGAAATGAACACTTTCTTTCATTAGAGTCTCTTTTCCCCTACAGTTTGCTTTAAAAGGCAGGTTAGCATAGTGGGTTAAGAGAGCAGATTCTATAGTCAGACTGATCAAGTTCATATTACACTATTTATTGGATGTGTGACCTTTCAAAAATTGCTTAACCTTGCTGTACTTTAATTTTCTTATCTAATAGATACACAAGTTTAAAAATGGTACCCACCTCATAAAGATATTAATGGGATTACATGGATGAATGAGTAAGTTGCTTAAAACTCTTAAAGGGTATGCCATGTCAGATAGGACTTTATTTTTTAGATGGGGATCTCTATATATCTATATTTCTCTGTCTATATTCATTTCAGTTAAAAAATTAGATTAATTCTTTTTTTTTTTTTTTTTTGAGTCGGAGTCTTGTTCTGTCATCCAGGCTGGAGTTCAGTGGCGCAATCTCAGCTCACTGCAACCTCACCTCCTGGGTTCAATCGATTCTCCTGCCTCAGCATCCCTAGTAGCTGGGATTACAGGCATGCACCACCATGCTAATTTTTAGGCGGCTAACATTTTTTGTATTTTTAGTAGAGACGGGGTTTCACCATGTTGGCCAGGCTGCTCTTAAACTCCTGACCTCAAGTGATTCACCCGCCTCGGCCTCCCAAAGCGCTGGGATTACAGGCTTGAGCCGCTGCACCCAGCCTAGATTAATTCTCATACTTCCCCAACTTTAAACATATTTGAATAAATGATAAAAAAGCAAAACTCCACTCCATTGAAATTCTTAGGAAAAGAATATCCAAATTGTCAGCTTTTGAAGGCAGGAAAGCCTCATGTCATTGCAGAGACATAGCTGGCCTTGTGGCTTTAGCAAAAATGAGATGCTAATGAAGGATGCAAAGGGAACAGCTGTAGGGGAAACAAAGGTATAATGCAGCAGAAATTGAAGACTAGAGGCCTTCCATTTTGTAAATATTTGGATTGGTAGAAATTTGTTAATTGAAGCAATTGATTTTCACCTGAAAGTGGTAGCAATATCTAATTCATTAAATCCTGAAATAACATCCTTTGGGCCAAATGGGGTCATTCCATTCTTAACCTCTTAGTGATATATTAACAGTCGGAAAGCATTTGGACGCATATCTTAAAAAGTGCCTTATTAACAGGAATACATGGTGGAAAAAAAAATGCACAAACCCACATTTGCACTGAGACGGGAGAAATGCCTCCATGGCCTCCAGCCCCTGTCCTCCCCTTCAGTAGTATTTTAAAGTCTGTGTTTAATATTGCCAAGCCTACTTGAGTGATAAATGTAACTGTATAAAAATTACTTATTACAAGCTGTCATGTTGCCTCACTCACATCGGCTGGGCTGGAGGCACTGTACATAAAACTTGAATCTCTACCTTGACAGAGTCAGCCGCGCTGGCTTTAAAGTAAAATGCTTTCAGTCATGAATACAAAACATAATTTACCTTTTCATAATACTTCAGTTTGAAACAAGTTGGAAAGCTCGTGTTACTGTCAGACCTGTACCTGAGCTGAGTAGGGAACCAGTGAATTCCAAGCTGTCACCTGAAACCTACTGCTGCTTCCCTGCAGTCCTTTGAAGCAAACTTAAGCTGTTAAATTATGGGGCCTCTAATTTTTAAAGTCGTATTTGTGTGTAATTCCTTTTTGCAACTTTGCAGTGACAACATGTTGTCAAGGTGGATTAGCTCATTTTCTAAATTGGTATTTGTATTGGAATTCCTGATTGAATGAATTTTTCTCCTCTCGAAGCTCTTAGGCCCCTTCTAGCAACTATTCATTCAAGAGGTCAGGAAGCTTTCACTGATAGATGTATATTTTCAAAAAATGAAACCCTTAGCCATTTGCAAACACAGTCAAGTCTACCGTGAGTTCTCTCAAACCAGCAAAAGCTTTCAAACCAGTGGCCCAGTCAGCGAGTGAGTCACCACCAGTCAGGGACTTGTGGGTTAGTTTCGAACCTGTTTAATCGAGCCTCTGACTACAACCTGCGGATGTCAGCCGGATGGAAATTGAATGTGAAGGTTCCAAGGAGCCTCTCCGCAGCACAGCTGATTCATTGTGACTGTTTTTATGGCTGGTCATGACGCATACAGTATGTGAGGATCCATCTGCGGGGGTGTCTGCCCACCAGCCTCTATGCCACGTCGGCAGACCTGGCCCCCACCAGAATGCAATGGGGATGGAGCTGCAGATGCCTCCTGTTAGCCCAATTCCTTTTGACAATGTTCACATTCAGTTAGGGCCCAAAATGCTTGTACTTGTCAGTTGGGATAAATGATGAAGAAAATAGTTCCCCTGCGGAAAGTGAAACAGAATGGCCAAAGGAGAGACTTTCCTGTACTGATCCTCCACGCTGTACTGCTAAAAACTCATCCTTATAAAACAGCTCCTGCGTTTCCCACTTCTCCTTCACTTTGCCAGATATGACTGTTGGAGAAAAGACGGCTGACCTGCAGGGGCGTTCAATATCGTGGGCTGTTCTCTTTTTGAAATTTTAGGGCAAGTGAAATTGATTCTGAAAGAAAACTAGCGGGGCAGGGAAAGTATTTCTGCTTCCACAAAGACAACTCCCTCAGAAATGTTGGATTTTGATTTCATAGTTTGCCTATTTGTGTCTACATAACACCTTTCCCTAAGGAATTTAAAGCATTATACAAACACTACTTTTCATGTTTATAAAGGCCCCACTGGTAAATGTAATATTCTTTTTACTAGCAGTTTGAAGATTTTCCAAAATGTAGCCCCAAGCTCTCGTGTCCAGCTCTTTTCCTAGGACCATGATTCCCCCTTCCCCCAGAGGTACTTGTCTTAGGCAGACGTACTCCATTCTTGACTTCATAGCTTTCCAGTGCCATCATTACACCCCAGCTTGCCAATTATTCACCTCCTCTTTCTTCTTCATTGCTGCCTTCTCTGATTGATGGAAACACATTTTCCTTTATCATACCAGGTTATGTAAGACACATAGTGTAAATCCTAAGTTAAAAAGGTAAAGTCTCTTCTCTCTGGGGTTTGCCTCGTGTTCCACATTCTCCCTCAGCTATAGGACCCTTGCAATGGACACCTGAAACAAAATGTCCTGCCATGTCATGCCACATCGTATCTCATCATGTCTCCATTTCAACACATATTTATTGATTGATAGAAATTTTGCCAGTGGACTTTTTCTCCTGCTGTATTATTTATTCTCTGTACATTAATATAGATTATCCTGGGAATTATGTTATTCTAAATGTACAGGACTTTTAGATAGTGCCCATTTGAACTTAGAAGCATATAAACTGGTGCTGGGTCTAGACTATGTGTTTTTATGTGGGATCTTGATGGGTCCTAATTGGATATGAGTGTGTGCTAAAGTAACGTTTGATGATTTTCAGATATTATTTTTAAAGTGTCTAAAGGTTAAACGGACCCTTACTGGGTTCTGGGATAAAGCTCTAGTATGAGATGCCTTAGATCAGTGGTCATCAGATCTGTATTTCTTATGTCCCACTGAACACATGTGGAAGCAAATTTATTCATTTGTGCATTTATAAGTGTTGTATTAATTTCTAAATTTACGATGACATTGTAGTCATACTGTAGCTAATAATACTATTATTTTGGAGATCACTTCTGATTGTCACTGTTCATACATGTGCCTCTGAACCAGGTAAGCTGATTATATAAAGTACAAATTAATTTTTTTCTTACATTTAAATCGTTGTAATGTGTATAGATTTACAAATATATCACAACATAAAGCGCTATGTCAATAGTCAGCTGACATATAGGGATTATCTATTTATTAAGCAAAAATTAATTCATAATTTACTATGGGTTTAATGTATATCTTCCTAGTTACCTGGGAGGATAAAGAATGGCAGAAGGTGGTAAGATAAGCATATATTTTTTACTCCCAAGATGAACAGTATGTTAATAAGTACTGTAGAAGCTCACTGAAATGGGAGATGAGTGGGTCTGTGAAAAGGTAAGATGTGAATACAAGTTTAAAAAATAGAGAGGAAGGGAGAAGAGGGTCAGAAGATGCAATATTTGCTGTTGAGACTAAACATGGTATGTTTGGGAGACCCTGGGGGGACGAGTTTGATTGGATAGGAAAGTTGGGCTGGGTAAAATGGGAGAAAAGTGGTTTTTGAAGATGTATGACCATAGAAAAAAATCTGAGGAGGCTGGATTTGTCCTGGAAAACATGATAAACCCAAGAGCCACTTGCCCTGATAAAAGCCTCTCTCTCTCTCTCTCTCTCTCTCTCTCTCTGTGTGTGTGTGTGTGTATGTGTGTGTGTGCGTGTGTGTGTGTGTGTGTATGTGTGTCTGTGTAGGGGAAGAGAATTAAAATTTGTTGATTACCAATATATGTTAAGTATGGTTCTAAGTTGATATTTTTTCATGTTTGTCCCCTCCAATTCTCATGTTGAAATGTGATCCCCAGTGTTGGAGATGGGGCCTGGTGGGAGGTGTTTGAATACTGGGGGCAGATCCCTCATGAATGCCTTGGTGCCTTCCCAGGGGGTAATGAGTGAGTTCTGGCTCCATTAATTCACACAAGAGCTGGTTGTTTATTCATTTTTTTGTTTAAAAGAATAGTTTAACTTTTATTTTAGGGTCAGGGGCACATGCGCAGTTTGTTATATGGGTGAACTCGTGACTCAGCGGAGTGGTATATAAATTATTTCATCATCCAGGTACTAAGCATAGTATCTGAGTTTTCTTTTTCTGAACCTCTCCTTCTTCCCACTCTCCTTCAAGTAGGCCCTAGTGTCAAGTGTTCCCCTCTTTCTGTCCATGTGTTCTCATTATTTAGAGAGCTGGTTGTTTAAAAGAGCCTGGCACATCCTTTCCTCTCTATTGCTCCCTTTCTCCTCATGTGACACACTTGCTCCCCCTTCACCCTCCACCCAGATTGTAAGCTTCCTGGGGCCCTCACCAGAAGCAGATACCAGCACTATACCTCTTATACAGTCTGCAGAACTGTGAGCCAAAATAAATATTTTTTTCTTTATAAATTACCCAGTCTCAAGTGTTCCTTTATAACAATGCAAAATAGATGAATACATAAGTGTTTCACATATGTTATCTTATTAATTATCGTAATGATGAATATGAAGGAAGTATAATCATTCCAGTTTTTATGTAAATGTTGAGGCTGAAAGACTCATATTCCTCCTCTAAAACCATTCAACAAGTAAGTTTTAGAACCAGAAGCTGAATAATGGACTACTTGGGACCAGTGTCCAAGGTCTTTGGGTAAACCTTATGGAAGGAATGTGTGACTCATAGTTTAAATATTATGGCTCACTAATTTGTACAACATTTCAGTTAGAACATACAGGCAGATATTTGATTTAACTAATAACTTAGTATGGGCCACATAGCATCTGCTTGCCAGTATTAATGTAGCTGTGGCTCATTAAGGTCAAGGAAAAGAAGGATGGCCCTTTAAATGGTCCCAAATTGTTTTTAATTTGCACTATCATCTCTTGACATTAAATGCTTTTAAATTTTTTCTTCTAGCAGTTTATTGTCACTCTAGTTATTATGAAACATTCAGGACAGACAGACTGATATTCAAGTATTGTTGTATGGGTGACTTTCTTTCTATCATATTTGGGTACCATGGCAGCTTGGAGAATATACCTGTCAGACCTCCTAATAGAAGGTGGTAATTGACCAATGGCTGCTGAAGCTGAATTTTAAATTTCTGTGCCATGTGTGCTGTGAGGCCTCACCTTGCACAGGCTGCTCCCTGCCAAAGACTGCATGCTGCAGGATGCTAAGGTTTCAGGAAGACACTGGGATTTCTTTGTCAAATAACTGCCTGAATCACTTGCCTAGGGTTTTGGCCAATCTTTCTGAGACCATGGGCAGGAGGGTCTACATTGCTTCCACCAGCCATCTCTGCTGTTCCTCCCCTCAAGTTCTGATGATTTCCCTGACCCTTTCCAACTCTTTCCCCATTTCCTTTTGCACATGTATTTTCCTTAATAAAATTCTTGCATGTTTAATCAATGACTCATTTTCTCAAACAACTAAAATGGGGAGAATAAAAATAAACACAATAAATAAAAATAAGAAATGGGTAAGTTGATTAGAATAAAGTTCCCATAAGAATATGTTAGAAGATATTTAAGAGTAAAGTTTTCTCTTGGTTCGTACATGGATCACTTACTTTTGAAAAATTATGTTGTAGCACTAAAAAATTCAAAAAAAGAAAAAATGTCTATGATCTCATAATCATAACATTTATTTTCATTTTTCCATATAACTTATTAGCCCTTGAGTACATATATGTGTATTTTATGTAATTGTAACTAATGTGTGCATACCACTTTATTGTTTGATTTTCCACATGTCCACATAGTTTGAATATCTTTTTAATGACTTTTTGATATCACAATAGTTCAAAATTTTGTCATATTATTTTCCTATCATGAACTTTCATATTGTTTCCAATTCCTTTGTGCTATTATAAATATTCTGCTATGCTCACTCTTAAAACATTTTGGTTATGTTGAAACTTTTCCAGAGTGTAAATTCTTGAGAAAGAGTTTACAGAGCTAAGGGAGATAATAATCTTTATCTCACGTCCTGTATTTGGCTATTTTCTTTTCCAAAACTGTGGCACCATGCCACCAAAAGAAAATGAGAATTCCAAATTCAGCTTAACCTCACCAGCACTGAATGTTGGGCATTATATAAGGTTTTCTCATCTGTTACATTTTTTTAAAATACTGTAAGGTTTCTTTAGCTTGTAATTAATTGTTAACAAAGATGGATATTTTCCATTGATATATGTTCTAAAGTAAGAAGAAAAACATACATCTAATTAAATCAAAATCAATATCAGTGTATTGACTCAATTGTTAATCAACTAGGAATACATATTTTTTCCCTTTCATTGTAGGAATATTTACTTTGAGGTTTTAAAGAAGTAATTTGTCTCCTCAAAGTCAAGTAGCTATTCCTTTTTAATTTCATAACACCATGACAAAGCAACAGGTTCATTCTGTAACAGCAGGTAGAATGCATGAACATTGTAGATAACTTTATTTAGCATTATTTGTTTATCATCTTTTTACCCTAGGAAAACAATAACAGAAATCAGAAGGTCACGTAGAGGTTATATAATGGAATCTCATTCTCCTCCATGCATATTTACAATTCTGGGACCAAATAAGAACATGTCAGCAGGTTAGCTCCCTTTGAAGTAAGGGCAGGCAAGACTGAGAATTCCAAGTGGGCATCTGAGCCTCATTCACTGAGACACATGCTGCCTTCTTTCAGAGAGATGTTGGCTCATTTGTTCTGGCACCTGGAAGGTAATTTTCACCTTTTCTCTTGAGAGTGAAAAAGCACTGGAGAAGAATTAAGGAAGGGAAAGTTTTGGATTGTTCTTTTTGAAAATTCTATCAGGGATTTTCCTGGAATTTCTTTTTTTTTAAAAAATAAAATTAATCCCACAGCTAGAACTACTTCTAAAATAAGTTTTCTAAAACTTATTTTTTAACAAACTTTCTAAACTTATTAAACTTTCTAAAACTTATTTTTTAACAAACTATTAAGACTTATTGTTTTATTGTTTATTATTAAGACATTGTTTTAACAAACTAACTGAAATAAGTCTTCCCAAAATCATATAATCACTGAAATGTTTCCTCATGAGAGAATTTATTGCTCCTTCCTCTATTCTCCAAAAGCATTTTGCATAAACTTTATTTATTTCATGCTACCTCATTGTACGTATTGTTTAATTTTTGTATTCCTCATTCTCCCTTTTAGAATGAAAGCTCTTAGTAGGAAAGCCTCAGTTAATATTTCATTCCACGAAACTTCTAATAAACTAACATTCAGAGGATGCATCACAAATGGCAGGAGTACCATTTCACATGCTTTACATCATTTAATCCATACAACAACTCCATTAAATAGTTACTATTCTCTCCAGTTTACTGATGAGGAAGTTAAGACTTGAGGAGGTTAAGTAACCTGCCCAGGGATGCACAGTTATTTTGCGGCAGAGCTGGAATTCAAATCGGATCTGTCTGACTCCGAGCTTAAATTCTTTGTATTTTTTAATTTTTTTTCTCTGTTGATTCTTTAATTAACATGAGCCGGACACTTTCCACTGTCTTCTTGGCACTTTCAGGATTTCTTATTTTTTTTTCTTTTTTTTTTTTTATTATACTTTAAGTTTTAGGGTACATATGCACAATGTGCAGGTTTGTTACATATGTATACATGTGCCATGTTGGTGTGCTGCACCCATTAACTTGTCTTTTAACATTAGGTATATCTCCTAATGCTATCCCTCCCCCCTCCCCCCACCCCACAACAGGCCCCTGGGTGTGATGTTCCCTTTCCTGTGTCCATGTGTTCTCATTGTTCAATTCCCACCTATGAGTGAGAATATGCGGTGTTTGGTTTTTTGTCCTTGCGATAGTTTGCTGAGAATGATGGTTTCCAGCTTCATCCATGTCCCTACAAAGGACATGAACTCATCATTTTTTATGGCTGTGTAGTATTCCATGGTGTATATGTGTCACATTTTCTTAACCCAGTCTATCATTGTTGGACATTTGGGTTGGTTCCAAGTCTTTGCTATTGTGAATACTGCTGCAATAAACATACGTGTGCAAGTGTCCTTATAGCAGCATGATTTATAATCCTTTGGGTATATACCCAGTAATGGGATGGCTGGGTCAAATGGTATTTCTAGTTCTAGATCCCTGAGGAATTGCCACACTGACTTCCACAATGGTTGAACTAGTTTACAGTCCCACCAACAGTGTAAAAGTGTTCCTATTTCTCCACATCCTCTCCAGCACCTGTTGTTTCGTGACTTTTTAGTGATTGCCATTCTAACTGGTGTGAGATGGTATCTCATTGTGGTTTTGATTTGCATTTCTCTGATGGCCAGTAATGATGAGCATTTTTTCATGTGTTTTTTGGCTGCATAAATGTCTTCTTTTGAGAAGTGTCTGTTCATATCCTTCGCCCACTTGTTGATGGGGTTGTTTGTTTTTTTCTTGTAAATTTGTTTAAGTTCTTTGTAGATTCTGGATACTAGCCCTTTGTCAGATGAGTAGGTTGCAAAAATTTTCTCCCATTTTTTAGGTTGCCTGTTCACTCTGATGGTAGTTTATTTTGCTGTGCAGAAGCTCTTTAGTTTAATTAGATCCCATTTGTCAATTTTGGCTTTTGTTGCCATTGCTTTTGTTGTTTTAGACATGAAGCCCTTGCCCATGCCTATGTCCTGAATGGTATTGCCTAGGTTTTCTTCTAGGGATTTTATGGTTTTAGGTCTAACATTTAAATCTTTAATCCATCTTGAATTAATTTTAGTATAAGGTGTAAGGAAGGGATCCAGTTTCAGCTTTCTACATATGGCTAGCCAGTTTTCCCAGCACCATTTATTAAATAGGAAATCCTTTCCCCATTTCTTGTTTTTCTCAGGTTTCTCAAACACCAGACAGTTATAGATATGTGGCATTATTTCTGAGGGCTGTGTTCTGTTCCATTGGTCTATATCTCCGTTTTGGTACCAGTACCATGCTGTTTTGGTTACTGTAGCCTTGTAGTATAGTTTGAAGTCAGGTAGCGTGATGCCTCCAGCTTTGTTCTTTTGGCTTAGGATTGACTTAGCAATGCGGGCTCTTTTTTGGTTCCATATGAACTTTAAAGTAGTTTTTTCCAATTCTGTGAAGAAAGTTATTGGTAGCTTGATGGGGATGGCATTGAATTTATAAATTACCTTGGGCAGTATGGCCATTTTCATGATATCGATTCTTCCTACCCATGAGCATGGAATGTTCTTCCATTTTTTTGTATCCTCTTTTATTTCATTGAGCAGTGGTTTGTAGTTCTTCTTGAAGAGGTCCTTCACATCCTTTGTAAGTTGGATTCCTAGGAATTTTATTCTCTTTGAAGCAATTGTGAATGGGAGTTCACTCATGATTTGACTCTCTGTTTGTCTGTTATTGGTGTATAAGAATGCTTGTGATTTTTGCACACTGATTTTGTATCCTGAGACTTTGCTGAAGTTGCCTATCAGCTTAAGGAGGTTTTGGGCTGAGACAATTAGGTTTTCTAGATATACAATCATGTCTTCTGCAAACAGGGACAATTTGGCTTCCTCTTTTCCTAATTGAATGCCCTTTATTTCCTTCTCCTGCCTGATTGCCCTGGCCAGAACTTCCAACACTATATTGAATAGGAGTGGTGAGAGAAGGCATCCCTGTCTTGTGCCACTTTTCAAAGGGAATCCTTCCAGTTTTTGCCCTTTCAGTATTGGCTGTGGGTTTGTCATAGATAGCTCTTATTATTTTGAGATAAGTCCCATCAATACCTAATTTATTGAGAGTTCTTAGCATGAAGCGTTGCTGAATTTTGTCAATGGCCTTTTCTGCATCTATTGAGATAATCATGTGCTTTTTGTTGTTGGTTCTGTTTATATGCTGGATTATGTTTATTGATTTGCATACATTGAACCAGCCTTGCATCCCAGGGATGAAGCCCACTTGATCATGGTGGATAAGCTTTTTGATGTGCTTCTGGATTCAGTTTGCCAATATTTTATTGAGGATTTTTGCATCGATGTTCATCAGGGATATTGGTCTAAAATTCTCTTTTTTTGTTGTGTCTCTGCCAGGCTTTGGTATCAGGATGATGCTGGCCTCATAAAATGAGTTATGAAGGATTCCTTCTTTTTCTATTGATGGAATAATTTCAGAAGGAATGGTACCAGCTCCTCCTTGTACGTCTGGTAGAATTTGGCTGTGAATCCATCTGGTCCGGGACTTTTTTTGGTTGGTAAGCTATTGATTATTGCCTAAATTTCAGAGCCTGTTCTTGGTCTACTCAGAGATTCAACTTCTTCCTGGTTTAGCCTTGGGAGAGTGTATGTGTCGAGTAATTTATCCGTTGCTTCCAGATTTTCTAGTTTATTTGTGTAGAGGTGTTTATAGTATTCTGATGGTAGTTTGTATTTCTGTGGGATCAGTGGTGATATCCCACTTATCATTTTTTTATTGCATCTATTTGATTCTTCTCACTTTTCTTCTTTATTAGTCTTGCTAGCGGTCTATCAATTTTGTTGATCTTTTCAAAAAAACCAGTGCCTGGATTCATTGATTTTTTGAAGGGTTTAATTTTTTGTCTCTATTTCCTTCAGTTCTGTTCTGATCTTACTTATTTCTTGCCTTCTGCTAGCTTTTGAATGTGTTTGCTCTTGCTTCTCTAGTTCTTTTAATTGTGATGTTAGGGTGTCAATTTTAGATCTTTACTGCTTTCTTTTGTGGGCATTTAGTGCTATAAATTTCCCTCTACACAGTGCTTTGAATGTGTCCCAGAGATTCTGGTATGTTGTGTCTTTGTTCTCATTGGTTTTGAAGAACATCTTTATTTCTGCATTCATTTTGTTATGTAACCAGTAGTCATTCCATGTAGGTTTGTTTAGTTTCCATGTAGTTGAGTGGTTTTGAGTGAGTTTCTTAATCCTGAGTTCTAGTTTGATTGCACTGTGGTCTGAGAGACAGTTTGTTATAATTTCTGTTCTTTTACATTTGCTGAGGAGTGCCTTACTTCCAACTATGTGGTCAATTTTGGAATAGGTGTGGTGTGGTGCTGAAAAGAACGTATATTCTGTTGATTTGGGGTGGAGAGTTCTGTAGATGTCTATTAGGTCCACTTGGTGCAGAGCTGAGTTCAATTCTTGGATATCCTTGTTAACTTTCTGTCTCGTTGACCTGTCTAATGTTGACAGTGGGGTGTTAAAGTCTCCCATTATTATTGTGTGGGAGTCTAAGTCTTTTTGTAGGTCTCTAAGGACTTGCTTTATTAATCTGGGTGCTCCAGTATTGGGTACATATATATTCAGGATAATAAGCTCTTCTTGTTGAATTGATCCCTTTACCATTATGTAATGGCCTTCTTTGTCTCTTTTGATCTTTGTTGGTTTAAAGTCTGTTTTATCAGAGACTAGAATTGCAACCCCTGCCTTTTTTTGTTTTCCATTTGCTTGGTAGATCTTCCTCCATCCCTTTATTTTGAGCCTATGTGTGTCTCTGCATGTGAGATGGTTTTCCTGAATACAGCACACTGATGGGTCTTGACTCTTTATCCAATTTGCCAGTCTGTGTCTTTTAATTGGAGCATTTAGCCCATTTACATTTAAGGTTAATATTGTTATGTGTGAATTTGATCCTGTCATTATGATGTTAGCTGGTTATTTTGCTCATTAGTCGATGCAGTTTCTTCCTAGCCTCGAAGGTCTTTACAATTTGGCATGTTTTTGCAGTGGCTGGTACCGGTTTTTTCTTTCCATGTTTAGTGCTTCCTTCAAGAGCTCTTGTAGGGCAGGCCTGGTGGTGACAAAATCTCTCAGCATTTGCTTGTCTGTAAAGGATTTTATTTCTCCTTCACTTATGAAGCTTAATTTGGCTGGATATGAAATTCTGGGTTGAAAATTCTTTTCTTTAAGAATGTTGAATATTGGCCCCCACTCTCTTCTGGCTTGTAGAGTTTCTGCCAAGAGATCCACTGTTAGTCTGATGGGCTTCCCTTTGTGGGTAACCTGACCTTTCTCTCTGGCTGCCCTTAACATTTTTTCCTTCATTTCAACTTTGGTGAATCTGACAATTATGTGTCTTGGAGTTGCTCTTCTCGAGGAGTATCTTTGCGGCGTTCTCTGTATTTCCTGAATTTGAATGTTGGCCTGCCTTGCTAGATTGGGGAAGTTCTCCTGGATAATATCCTGCAGAGTGTTTTCCAACTTAGTTCCAATCTCCCCATCACTTTCAGGTACACCAATCAGACATAGATTTGGTCTTTTCACATAGTCCCATATTTCTTGGAGGCTTTGTTCATTTCTTTTTATTCATTTTTCTCTAAACTTCTCTTCTCACTTCATTTCATTCATTTGATCTTCCTTCGCTGATACCCTTTCTTCCAGTTGATCAAATTGGCTACTGAGGCTTTTGCATTCATCACATAGTTCTCATGCCATGGTTTTCAGCTCCATCAGGTCCTTTAAGGACTTCTCTGCATTGGCTATTCTAGTTAGCCATTCATCTAATCTTTTTTCAAGGTTTTTAACTTCTTTGCCATGGATTTGAACTTCCTCCTTTAGCTTGGAGTAGTTTGATCATCTGAAGCCTTCTTCTCTCAACTCATCAAAGTCATTCTCTGTCCAGCTTTGTTCCGTGGCTGGTGAGGAGCTGCATTCCTTTGGAGGAGGAGAGGCACTCTGATTTTTAGAATTTTCAGATTTTCTGCTCTGTTTTTTCCCCATCTTTTTGATTTTATCTACCTTTGGTCTTTGATGATGGTGACGTACAGATGGGGTTTTGGTGTGGATGTCCTTTCTGTTTGTTAGTTTTCCTTCTAACAGTCAGGACCCTCAGCTGCAGGTCTGTTGGAGTTTGCCTGAGGTCCACTCCAGACCCTGTTTGCCTGGGTATCTGCAGCAGAGGCTGCAGAACAGCGGATATTGGTGAACAGCAAATGTTGCTGCCTGATCATTCCTCTGGAAGTTTTGTCTCAGAGGAGTACCCGGCCATGTGAGGTGTCAGTCTGCCCCTACTGGGGGATGCCTCCGAGTTAGGCTACTCGGGGGTCAGGGACCCACTTGAGGAGGCAGTCTGTCCATTCTCAGATCTCAAGCTGCATGCTGGGAGAACCACTACTCTCTTCAAAGCTGTCAGACAGGGACATTTAAGTCTGCAGAGGTTTCTGCTGCCTTTTGTTTGGCTATGCCCTGCCCCCAGAGGTGGAGTCTACACAGGCAGGCAGGCCTCCTTGAGCTGCAGTGGGCTCCACCCAGTTCGAGCTTCTGGGCCGCTTTGTTTACCTACTCAAGCCTCAGCAATGGCAGGCGCCCCTCCCCCAGCCTCGCTGCAGCCTTGCAGTTAGATCTCAGACTACTGTGCTAGCGATGAGTGAGGCTCTGTGGACGTAGGACCCTCCAAGCCATGTGCGGGATATAATCTCCTGGTGTGCCGTTTGCTAAGACTGTTGGAAAAGCACAGTATTAGGGTGGGAGTGACCTGATTTTCCAGGTGCCGTCCATCACCCCTTTCCTTGGCTAGGAAAGGGATGCCTCACCCTGCTTTGGCTCAGGCTTGATGCACTGCACCCACTGTCCTGCACCCAGTGTCCGACAATCCCCAGTGAGATACACCTGGTACTTCAGTTGGAAATGCAGAAATCATTTGTCTTCTGCATCGCTCTTGCTGGGAGCTGTAGACTGGAGCTGTTCCTATTTGGCCATCTTGGCTCTTAAATTCTTTATTACAACAGATGATGGTATTACCTTTTTTTTTTTAAGCCTGGGGAAAGTTTTTGGCCCGTGGATATGAGACTCTTTCAAATGTCTGAATTATCAGGACTTTAGCGTAATGAAATATAGTAGTCTGCTTCTACCACCCTATAGAAATGGAAGGTTTTTATGTCTGGATGCCAATTCCAATGACCATTTTTTAATGTTCATCTTACGAAGGTAGGATCATATTGTAGAAAGAACATGACTTTAGAGTCAGTCTAACCTGGGCTCTAATACCCACCCCATAATTTTATAGCTGTGTCATCTTTGATAAACTACATTATATGGTGGAACCTCCGTGTTTTCATCTGAAACATAAGGATATAATACCAACCCTAGGGCTTTTATGAAAATCAAATAAGATCATTTTAGATTGTAAATCTATGAGTGGGGCAGCATATTTATTTTTCACTGTCATATGTCCTGTGACGTAGCCAGTACCTCACACAGTACTGTGAACATAGTCCTCAGTAACCATCTGTTGAATAAATGAATTAGCTTACATAACACCTTACATATAGAAGATGCTCAGTTTCAGGCAGGGCTCAGTGGCTCACTCCCATAATCTCAGCAATTTGGGAAGCCAAGGTGGGCAGATCACAAGGTCAGGAGTTCGAGACCAGCCTTGCCAACATGGTGAAACCCTGTCTCTACTAAAGATAGAAAAAGTTAGCCAGGCATGGTGGTGTGTGCCTGTAATCCCAGCTACTCAGGAGGCTGAGGCAGGATAATTGCTTAAATCCAGGAGGCAGAGGTTGCAGTGAGCCGAGATCATGCCAATGCACTCCAGCCTGGGTGACAGGGCAAGACTCCATCTCAAAATAAATAAATAAATAATAAAAAATAAGATGCTTAATTTCTGCTAGTGTTTGTCCACCTAAACTTTTTATTTTTGCACTCACTATTGTTTAGCATTGCCTCCTTGAAACTCTGTTTTCTTGCCTTTTGGGGCAGCATGTTTACTTTAGAACTTCTATAATGCTTTGTGTTAATTGTCCATTTTCTAAGTCTTTGTACTCTCATGAAGTGTATCTTTGACTCTCATCTTTTTTCATCCTAACTTGCAGCCTTGAGCAGAACTATATTGCCAGTTAAATGTGAGAAGTGAAGATGAGAACTCAAGAAGGGTTCTCAGCTTCCAGTCCTGTTGTCTGGGTGTACAGGGGCTGGTACTGGCAATCACAGACAGAGGGATTTCAGTTATATGCAGGGTGTGAGTTGTGTGACTATTAAAGTAGGCTATGCACAGTGTGAACAGAGCCTGGACAGAGGTGCTTAAAATGTGTGTGTGTGTGTGTGTGTGTATATATATATATATGAATGAAGTGGTAGGTAGAGCAGACATTTGGAAGAACCAACAAGATATGGTATTAGAGGTTGGAAGGCAAGGAAAAGAGAAGAATGAAGTTTTTAGGTAAGGTAACCAGAGAAGTAGAGGTATGTTAAGAGAAACAGAAAAATCGTAAGTTACTAATTTTCAGAAAATGTTGATGAAATTCTGTTTTTTATGTGTTAGATTACAAGAGTAATTATAAAAAGTCATTATTGTACAGAGCAGAAATACAATTACAGTCAGCCCTCTATATCGGCGGATTCTGCATTCTCAAATTTAACTACAGATTGAAAATATAGTATCCATAGGATATGGAACCCACAGATAAGGAGGGCTGACATTTTGTATCCACAGGTTCCACAGGGCTGACTGCAGGACTTGAACATATGAGGATTTGATATCTATGAGGTTCCTGGAACCAATCCCCTACTGATCCCTAGAGAGGACGGTATTCATGTATGGGCTGCTGAGATGTTTTCTTCTAACTAAATGCACCTCAAATACCTTGTTTTTTGTTTTCATGTCTAGTTTTATAATCTTAGTGCAACTATTCAATATTGTCAGTTACTTTTTCTATTGCCAGATTCTATCAATGAATTATTTTTTTATATTCAATATTTTTAAAAATTTTATTTATTTATTTTTGAGACAGGGTCTTGCTGTGTTGCCCAGGGTAGAGTACAATGTTGTGATCATGGCCCACTGCAACCTCAAACTCCCAGGCTCAAGCAGTCCTCCCATCTTAGCCTCCTGAGTAGCTGGGATTACAGGGGCACATCACCATGCCTGGGTAACGTTTTTGGTTTTTTGTAGAAAAAAACTCTCACTATGTTGCCCAGGCTGGTCTCAAACTCCTGGGCTCAAGCAGTCCCCCTGCTTCGGCCTCCCAAAGTGCTGAGACTACAGGCATGAAGCACCATTTTTTTTTAATACTTTAAGCTCTAGGGTACATGTGCACAATGTGCAGGTTTGTTACATATGTATACATGTGCCAAGTTGGTTTGCTGCACCCATTAACTTGTCATTTACATTAGGTATTCCTCCTAATGCTATCCTTCCCCCATCCCCCCACCCCATGACAGGCCCTGGTGTGTGATGTTCCCCACCCTGTGTCCAAGTGTTCTCATTGTTCAATTCCCGCCTATGAATGAGAACATGCGGGAGGCACCATATTTTATATTATTTATTGAGTGGATCACTATGTACTAGGCATTATGCTGAACGTTTTCATGCATGAAGTCATTTAATCTTCAGAGAATCTCTGTGTCATAGATGGCTGTATTTGTCATTTATTGCTTTGTAATCAGTTTCCAGTAAGACTTTTCTTGCTTTCCTACAAGCCCACACCTGCTGTATCCTCAAAGTACAAAATTCTCCACAATATGTTCAAAGCATGTTAAGTGTTAGCTAATATTTTACCCAAAGCCCACTCACTGTCTGGTTCCAAAGCCACTTTTACATTTTAGGTGTCTGTTAAAACAGCACCACACTTTCATTACCAAAATCTGTATTAGTGATCTATTGCTGTATAAAAAATTACCCCATGGCTTAGTGGTTGAAAAATAGCACACATTTGTCTCAGAGTTTCTTATTATCAGGAATCTGGGAGTAGCTTAGCTGGGTCATTTTAACTCAGGGTCTCTCACAAAGCCTCAATTAACATGTTGGCCAAAATGCAGTCATCTCGTCTCAATTGGGAGGATCCACTTTCTCTCTCTCTCTCTTTTTTTTTTTTTTTTTGAGATGAACTCTCACTCTGTCACCCAGGCTGGAGCCCAGTGGCATGATCTCGGCTCACTGCAACCTCCACCTCCAGGGTTCTAGCCATTCTCCTGCCTCAACCTCCCAAGTAGCTGGGACTACAGGCATGCACCACCACGACTGGCTAATTTTTGTATTTTTTAGTAGAGCCAGGGTTTCACCATATTGGCTAGGCTAGTCTCAAACTCTTGACCTCAAGTGATGGGAGGGTCCACTTTCAAGGTCACTCACACAATTGTTGTTAGGACTCCAAAGATCCACTTCTAAGTTCTCTTACTTGGTTGTTGTCAGGCCTTATGTCCTTGTTGCTTGTTGGCTAGAGACATCAGTTCCTTGCCACATTGGCCTCTCCATGAGGCTGCTCACAACATGTGCAGCTTGCTTCCCCCAGAATAAGGTTTCTGATAGAGAAAGAATGGACATTATAACCTAATTTCAGAGGTGACATCTCACTGCTTCTGATGTATTCTATTTGTTGAAAGTGAGTAATTAAATCCACCTCACATTCAAGGGGATGGGGACTCCACAAGGACATGAATACTAATGAACCACGAATTATTGTAGCTCATCTTCTGGGCTGTCTACTACCATGAGAAAACTGAAACACACAGAGAGAAGTAACTTTTAGCTGAATTACACAAAAGGTGGGTCTGACTCTAGAGTCTCAATTCTTGATGGCTATACTATACTGTTATCATAAATACATTGTGTGCTAAGAAATCATATAGCCTATTTGTTAGAGAAATTCAAAAATACTATTTGTAGCTCCCTTTGAAGACTTATGGAGTTAAGCATGTAAGTTTTTTGTTTATTTGTTTTATATCAGGCTATTGCAGAGACACACAGAAAACTTTTTGTTATTGTTGATCATGGTGTTGTGTATTTTAGCTTACATTTGACTTGGGTTTCAAGTGTTAAACTTCCAGATAACCATGATGTTTTATAACTATAATTATAAAACAAAGAATAAAAAAACATTGAATCAACATTCCTGTTTATTGACTTTAGGGTCCTGAGTACAATGAGAAAAAGAATATAGCTCCATAAAATTACCCTAGAAGGGACAAAGAAAGATCCAAGAAAATTCCAATATGAAATCTAAATAAACATTAAAGCCAGAGTTGTGTTAAATGTGTGAGAGGGAGGAGGAAAAATTGTGCAAACTAATGTATATTAATGCTTACCTTTAACTTTCCAATCAAGCAATATATTGTGATAGCAAATGTTACATGTTTGATAAAATTAAATGTGTTTAATTCCTTTAGAAAGCTTTGCTTACTATTCAGCAATCAGATTTCATTCATGTAGAAGGTCTGGTCAGCTTACGTGATGAGAAGGTCATCTGCTACAACCTAGTTAGGAGGACTTGGACAGTAGTTAACGAACAAATACCATATCACTGTGTCCCTGGAGTTCTGCTGTACAAGACAAATGATGCTTTTTCAAGAGGAAGTTGAGACTGTAATTTCTCCAATGTGTAACAGATCTTTGCATCTACTTAGCAGTTAAGGAGCCTGAAGTGATTTTAAAATACTTTGAAGTTTTCAAGAAAGCATTTAGACTCATTTCTTTTATCACTGTTTCGTCTGCTCTATGGGACACGCATACTATGAGAGACTCAATGGCAAAAGAAAATTCTGTGGAATAAGTTTGTGAATAAATAAACCTGTGAAAAAAAGAACAATCTGTTAAACATAGACCTGAGCCAACAGATGCAAGAGAATGGATTTGTGCTACTGTGGTTGTGACCACACAATCTCTCTCAAATGAGCCTCCCAGGGAAGTGGCCATGAGGTGGGAAACCTTTATCTAAGCTCTGATGCAAGGAGGTGAGCTTGTCTCTCCACGCCCTATACCTTGTCTTCTCTTATCTTACTGTTCTTGTTGTGGGAATTATACCAAGCAAACCATACCCTGATCCCAAGAAAGGAAGAAAAGCAACTCCATCTCCCTCTCTTTGTTTTTCTCCTTTGATGCCAGCAGTCAGGTTTGGGTAGGCTGTGTTTTGCCTTCTTTGCCCAAATGACAGCCTTGAAATTGTTAAAATTGCATGTAACTTTCTCCTTAGTTTCAGGGTGAGATGCTCATAGATGACTGAGAGACGTAAGTATGTAAATAACGAAATATTGTAAGATGTGATAAATGCTATGCAGATGTATAAAGTGCTAAGAGAATGCACAGAAATTAATGACCCCAAATGGAACAATGTGCTGGATATTCACACTTTGCCCCTTTCAGATCCACTCTTCATCCTCCCCTTCTCCACCCCTCTGCCTTGCTTTGTGCACTTGTAAACCGAAGCAGACTTCTATGGACTTTACAGCAGGCTTCTCTTGCTCTCCGTTGCTTCTGCTTGAGTTTGGCCAATGGAAAGCACCATTCCTTGCTAGTTACCCTTAACTCTGCCTGCATCTTAGTGAATAGTCCCTTTATTGCATTCTTCTTAATTACACCTGCTGAGTGTGTCATCTCCTCCCTACTGAATCCCTGACTCTAAAATGACTGGATAAATGAAAAGAATAAATCATACCAGGGCCATAGCTTGCTTTTATAGATAGTGCTATCTCTTAAGTGAAAAACCACCTTTGGAGTACAGAAATTATATAAAGAAGTAAAAATTAGGCCCTTTGATGATTCTTTAAATCTTATGATTGTATCATTACAAAAATTTATTGTAAAATTTTAGCCAACTCTGAAAGCAGCTATGAGAGAAGCATTTTAAACATGAATTCAGGTCCTGTACATTAGGTAAGAGAGCAGTTAATTTTTATGAACATGATATTGCTTCAAGCTTCCTTTTAAACGTGATGTCTTTAAATATATCCCATAAGAGAATCTACTCAAACACGTACATTTTGAAAACCGATTTTACCTGCAAATCTTGCCAAATACCTATCACTTCTGTAAATTGCTCTATTTTTTTTTACTCAGAAAGGTATTTGGCTCCATCTCAAAATTTGAAACTCATTAAAGGAAAATAGTAAGTGATTACAATAATTCTTTAAGCTTTCAATTAATGTATGATTCAATTTGACAAAATGTGATAGAAAAATTTATTTTTCTAGATTTGCTTGTTGAGGAGAAGTTAATGTTTACAGATAGTAAAAGATAGTTTTAAAGAATTAAAGAAAACAAGAACCCTTTCAGGGATATAATTTATACCCTTATGTATAGAAAGATTTTCTAGTCCCTACTATATTTTAAAGAATTACTATTCCATGGAGACATACCAAATAAATGCTACAATTCTGTAAATGACTTATAAGAAAAGATAATAGACAGATAATCAGCATACTAGGGCTAGTTTTTGGCTCATTATGTCATTAAACATGTTAGGTCTCAGTTTCTTCATTTATAATATAAGATGTTGGACTGGATCTCTTTTCCAAGCCATTTCTCAACATTAAGAATACAGTATGTTTTGTCCAGCAGAGACACATAATTTTTTCAAAGGCAGGATAATTGCAGTTAACAAAAATCCTGAGAGCTAGACTAGATGAAGAAGTTGAAAGGTAGCAATGTCTAAGTAAGTTCAACCCAATCAGAAGATGTCCCTTTGGTCCTGTTAGGTGACCATAACTCCTTTGCACTATTGCTTTATGCCATGGGGTCCAGATTATCCTGTTCCAGTGATATATTTTCTATTAGAAAGGTGTCTGGGGGTAGTTCTGATGTTATTTTAAACTAGAGAGAGGCCCAGAAATAAACCAGCAAGTGACAGATCTAATGAGGTCAATTGCACAGCTTTATGTGAGGCCAGACAAAGGTGAGTTTGTAAAACACTAGGTTTGCATTGCTGTCTCCATCTTTCATTTCCATATAAATTCAGTAACAGTCTCGAGGCACCAGCAGAAGTATAGCATGCTGAACAAAAACCTTTCAAATAGATCCTTTCTTGAAGAATTTCAAGAAGCAGCAGCGGCTATTTAAAGCAGCATGTATGTTATTTTCCATGAGAAAATTGAACCAAAGAAATTTGCTTTTCCATTGGTGTTATCTTCCTGAATTCTAGATATCTTTATAGATGTACTATAGCTAGAGCTCAAATATTTGTACTCCAAATGAGCTTTTAAGAGATTCAATCCTTGTTTTCCCAAACCAAGATTACAATAAAAACAGTTTGGACTAGCTAGCACAATTTTATGGTTTATATCACCAGAGACTAAATATAAAACTTGAAGAAATATGTTTTGCAAGAGATTTATATCTCTTTCCATGTATTAACATTTTAAAAACCTATTGCTTCAGTATTTTTTCTCAGTCATCATAGTGGCAAATTGCTTGCATGAATAACTGTCCAAATGAAATTAATGATCACTAGCAAAGAGAACACAAATAGTCAACTTGGAATATATCAGCATGTCCATTTCTGTTTGGTGTCATGTAATAACAATAATTTTAAAAAAAACACACACACACGCATACAACACCTGGTTCCCATTTAAAAAAGAGAAATTAAACTATAGCTTTTCAATGCTGACCTCCTGAGACAGAAAGGTGAATAAGAGGTGTTTGTTTGTTTTTGAGTGGTACAGCCAATTTTCAGACAAACGCAATGTTTATTAATGAGGGCAAATTGTATTTTAACCTCTTAGGCTGGGCCTGGAAATTTTGAAGTGCTATTTGTCACATTCTGATATGACAGATTTAGAAATCAGAATGACTTGTGGCCTACATATAGGCCCAAGAATACAGGGATTCCCGCTTAGCCTCACTTCTGCTCACAGCAGCCAACAATAGTTTAAGAAACATGTGGAGATGCTTTGGGATTTTCAGGAATTGTCAATGCCTGTCTCAGTTGACCTAAAACCACCCCACAGGATTTGTAAAATAAAGACCAATTAACCCTCAAAAATAACATACTGAGAAGTGTGGTTAAAATAGCAGCACCATTCCTTCTTATTGAAAGGAGTCATCGTTTTTAAAAACAGCATATTCCTGTGAATTAGAGCTATGTATTTTGAATTGCGAGTGGGAAATTTGAAACTAAACTATCAGCTATTCTACTTTGAAACTCACTTAATGTAGCACCTGCCTAAGTGTCAGGTGTGTGCTCAATGACTGGCTTTATGAGATGGTGTTTTTGTCCAACTTTCTGTTGTAACATGTCAACTCCCTGGGGGCAGACACATCATCTCCAATTTCCTTCCTTACTAGATAAGTAGACAGCAAATGCTAAAAAGTTTGGCTGACTGACACATGTTGGCCATTAAGAAAATTAAAACAAAAAGATGGAGTTATTGTTTAAAGGGCACAGAGTTTATGTTTTGCAAGATAAAAAAGTTCTAGAGATGAATGGTAGGATGGTTGCACAACAATGTGAATGTACTTAATGCCACTGAACTGTACATTTAAAATTATTTAAAATATTAAATTTTATGTTATATATATTTTAATGCAAAAATGATGGAGTCATTAAAGGGGAGAGAAAATGGTAAAAGTGAAACTCAGGCTTATTTTTATCTATACGTTCACAATTATAGATTGTTTTCTCTTTTCCTTCTTTTCCTTTGCTCACATCAAAGTGACTGATCACTAACCAATGGGGCCATTAAGATCTGTCATATGTATAGCTTGAAAGTGTTTCTTCTTAAGTGTTCTTGATTGTATTATATATTTCTTTTTTTTAATCCGATTTGAAACAAAGAGATAGAAAATGCAAAAGGACCAAAGGTTTTATTAATTGTAGTATTACCCTATCTAAGTCAGGGCATACACTACTGAGAGGAATGTGAGAGGTGCTGATCCAGGATCTACCACTACTGAGCCCAACTTCATTTTTGCAAAATCACTTTGGGATCACTTCCAGCCCATAGAATCCTTTTTCACATGGGGAGGAAGATGCCAAGAAGTTCTGGATTTATAAGAGAACTGTGGCCACAGGATGGGGGCAGAACAAAGGAGATATAGAAATGGATATTCTTTAGGTCCAGAAGAGGAAGGAAAAGAGAAAAAAAAGTCTTTAATTTCTCCAGTGAATAATTTTTCTGATATGATTAATCTGTCATACTTCCACTGTTCTGTAAAAGCTACTCTATACATGTTAATATTTTCCTGTGTGTGATTTAAGGCAATGAATCTATATACTTAATTTACATAAGTGATTGTAATTCATATAACTATGCACAAAACAATAGATTAATATTCAAATGCATTTTTCAAATTTCTTTAGTTTTTTTTTTTTTTTTTTTTTTTGAGATAAGGTCTACTCTGTTGCCCAGGTGCAGTGGTGCCATGTTTGTTCACTGCAACCTCAACCTCCCAGGCTCAAGTGGTCCTCCCACTTCAGCCTCCCAAGTAGCTGGAACTACAGGCAAGCACCACCACACCTGGCCAACTTCTGGTTTTTTTTTTGTTTGTTTTTTTTGTGGGGGTAGAGACGGAGTTTTGCCACATTACCCAGGCTGGTCTTGAACTCCTGGGCTCAAGCACCAGGAGTCTGGCCTTCCACACTAGCCTTCTAAACAGCTGGGATTACAGGCATGAGCCACTGTGCCTGGCCAAGTACGTTCAGAATATAAACTTTTGGCATGTTAAAATGTAAAAGATTATTTTATGTATTTTTTAAACTATTGGAATGAAATATAAAAGCAATAACAAGTCAAAGATGTTGGCTTATAGTAAACCAAACTAAGCTGGTTTGGAATATATAAAAGTTGCTTGTTGTAATAATTATGTTTGTTTCTTTAGTGAATAGTGCAACTAAATAAATAGCCTTCAAAAATAATCCTTCAAATACTTGAACTAAAAACTTGATAGAACTTGGTGTTCAAGTTGGTGGAATACTTGAAGTGTTCTGGTGTAAATCAGCTAGTAAATGAAAATTTAGGTAAGCTTTTGAGAGTACATATTTCTTATTGATCTCTTCCTTTTTAAATTGGTTTCTTATATGGTATATAAGAAAGTATCTGTTAGAACAAAAAGACTGAAATAAATGGCTAGAGGCTGGACATGTTTCTTTGAATGCAGTTTTTGACCTGAGTGTGTCCTGTGGTAGGTGACAGGTACTGTCCCAATATCCTCACTTATTTGACAGTCCCCATTTAGTCATGAGTTTAGTGGAGAAATAGAGCATGTATAGTATTTGCTAGATGCAAGGACAAGCACACTGAGCTCACTTCATAACCACATGCTCATCACTGCCCTTGGATAATATAGTAAGGTTCTCTCTCTTCCTCTCTGTCTTGCTTACTTAAAAAATTTAAAACAGGCCAGTTGCCGTGGCTCATGCCTGTAATCCCAGCACTCTGGGAGGCCGAGGCGGGCAGATTGCCTGAACTCAGGAGTTTGCCACCAGCCTGTGCAACACGGTGAAACCCCGTCTCTACTGAAATACAAAAAATTTAGCCGGGTGTGGCAGTGTGTGCCTGTAGTCCCAGCTACTCGGGAGGTTGAGGCGGGAGAATTGCTGGAACCTGGGAGGCTGAGGTTGCAGTAAGCCGAGATTGCACCACTGCACTCCAGCCTGGGCAACAGAGTGAAACTCTGCCTCAAAAAAAAAAAAAAAAAAATTTAAAACATACTTACTGTCCAAAAGCTGTGGGCCTCACTTATAACAATATCAGAATCACAGATTTGTATCACAGTTAAGTGGCAGTTGGCCTCAAAGTGGAAGTGGAATACAGGCCCACTCAGTCATAGAAAACTACAATCTAGGCTCTTCCAAATTCATTATATTTGTGGGCAACAGGAAAGAGAAACCTGGAGTTATGATTGTGGATGTAGATTTGTATCCCTTGGCAAGAGAACACTGGAACTGACATCTTACAAAACTGGGAGTCGGTTGTAGAAAGGATGACTCCCTAAAAACACCTAGATTAAAGGAAGATAGTATGGACTCTTCCCAATTTGCCAAGTAATTATTTGGAGCACCTATTATATCAATCATGTAATGACTAAGAAGTAGTACCCAAGGTACCATTTTCTGGGAGATGTTGATACAGGAAATTTTATCTTAAGGTATATGTATAAAGACAGGTTATTTTCACTTTAAGACAAAATAAATAGCTAACATTTAGAGAGCTCAAACTGTTTTTGAAACACTCTTCTCTGTATTATTTTATTTAATATTTGCATCTCTACAAGATGCTACTGTTATCATCAAACTCTCTTACAGAAAAAGAGACAAGTGTCACTGTACTACCTACGCCTACTCTGCTTAACAAAGGAGCCTTCCTATAACCACAGCACCAAAAGATATGTCTCCAGAGAAGCTTCAATCCTCAAATTATGCTTAAGTTAGAATGCCATTTTGAAGCTAAAATATAAAGATGACTCATTACCTGAATCTGGTACTGGAGACCCTGCAGCAAGTAATGGACATCCCAGTTCATGCCCCATCGCATGGGGTGTGGTTATGAGGAACATGAGGGAGACCCGAAGAACTAGATCCAGGTATCACTTCTTCCTGGTGTGAAGGGTCTGGAGACTGACATTAGAATTTATTGTTACACCATTATATTAAATTTCTTTAGGAAGTTTATATTCTCCTTATTAAAGAATATGGGGCCAGCCATTTCCCACAAATCCTCCACTTGACTTTATAAGCTTAGTAATTAGCAGTGCCAAGATTTTTGTTGTCCAGAGTAAATAAAACTAGGTAAACATCATCTTAGATATTTGAGTCATCTCTGTGTCATATTAAATATATTATTTCTCTGGGTCTCAGTTTTTTAACCCATAGAATTAAGAAGTTCAAGCAGATAAGTCCTACAAAGCCCTTTCAACTGTAAAATTCTGTAGATTCCAGGGCATGATGGGAATCATAGCCTCATGTAGTTGCCGAAATGGTGCTTCTTATCTTGGACATAGACAATGTCTTAGAGTTCTTTACCTGAAGCCTCACAAAACATTTAGCTATATATGTTTACCTGCTCATACTCCATGTTTGAAGGGTGTGGGGGGATGGGGTAATTTTTCTGCCTAGTCTCCTCTGTAAACCCTCTTCAGCTGATGACGTGGGAAGCCCAGACCCTCTCCTAAGGAGGAAGGCCTTCCCAGGTGTGATTCATTTGTTTTTATCTTCCTTCTCCCCACCCTAGGAAGAGGAGGTACCTGGGCAGCCTAACTGTCTCTAAACTACAGTAGTTACTGCCTAGCAGGGTTTGGGTGCCTGTAAGCTCTATTGGGTAGTATAGTGCAGGTGTGTTGTGACTTGTCTTTAGTGCTAATTGGCCATGACAGTAATAATTGCAGATGACGTGAAGCCTGAGGAGTGCTGAGAAAGGTGTACTGTCTACATGATAATGGATAATTGAATATTTCTCCTTTCTGTTTCACAGCTTTGTGAACACCAGATCTGGCAGATTTAAGCTGAGGCCTGTAAGTTCATTTGCCATTTTCTTCCACCACAAGTGGCCCCTGCTGGGCTGATCTGTTCTTCCACTTGTTCCTCTGGCACCTGCCCATGTGGAGGGGATTCTTCAATAGGGCACATCTGTTGTAGCCTCACAGATTCTTCTGCTGTTGGAGAGCCCTGTGTGTGGAAGAGTCCCTTTGTGTGAAAATCATCCAGCCTCAACCACACAGTTCAGCAATTTTGCTGAAAGGAACAGTCTTGGCTGCACTTGGTGAGTCAGGATGACATTAGCAATCTTGCCTTGTTTCTGCTTTGCAGAAGGAAGAATCGCAGCTTCTATTCTTAGCTTGTGCTGTGGCTATACAGATAAATCATATGGTTTTCATGCTTGAACTGTATCAGACCTTATCTATTTGACAACACCTTTGTAAGACCTCTAAGTAGCAAGATCCTATGAGTGTTATCTACAGTAACATACAACCCTTAAACTGTATTCCTACACATTTTCTATTAGTCAGTAGTCACCAATTGCAGTTAAAAGCAAAAAGAGTGTTTTTGATGAAAAGAACAAAAGATTGCTTGTTTAGTCCCTCAGTTTTTTGAGTCACTTGTTGCTGCAGCTTTTAAAATTCAAGTTCTTTATCTTCTATTGTCTGAGATTGTTCATTGCTATTTGGCATATTTATGGGGGTCTAACAACTTTGTGTCACTGGAACCTATTCTGGTTTTCACTCTACTGTGGGTGAATCAACATTTGCGGTCTTTTTTTTTTTTTTCTTTTTTTGAGGGGGAAATGTTGGTAAGCCCTAAGCCCTGAAGGAAACTCCAGTTTGTTCTTTGAACTTCTTTTGTCCTCTATGATTTGCTATAGTAACTGCCATACTTTGGGCATCTTTATTTGTATTTCAGTCTGTGACTAGCAGGAGGAAGGCCCTCCTGAAGGTAAACATCACCAATCAACTCTTGTTTTTGTATTCCTAATACCTGGCATTGTGCTTATTTGGATAGATAGACAAATAATTAGATGAAATTTAGGTTTAATATTTGATGTTGTTCACAAATGATGTTTTGCATAGATAGCCAAATAATCTGAAGGAGTTTTCTTCATAAATCTTGCTAAGCTAAAAAAAAAAATGTACTTGTGATAAGTTTTAGCTATCCTGCAACTCCACCAGTTTCTCCTCATTTATCACACATGTGCTACCTTTATTTGCCTCTCTGCCAAGACTGTTCATGAATGGCCACACTCTCATAGCCACCATGTAATCCCCAACATCTTCAATATCTCAGTCCTACTGACCATCTCTGCTTTCTTGAAAGTCTCCCTTCCTTCTTGTAAATTACACCGCTGAACTGCTTCTCTTCACTGCTTATTTCAAAGGGCTGTGTTTTTTTCTGTTTAGAAAATGTTGGCTTTTCTAAATATTCAGTGTCTGCCTTTTTAAAAAATATCATCTCTCTTGTTTGGGGATCATTGATCACCTATCATCTCTAGGCACACCTGTATCTGTTGCCCTGCTGTCTCTTCTGTGACCTATGCCTACATTTTCAATTGCTTGTTCCACATCCCAACTTAGGTGCTCTACCAACCCCCGACCAACATAAACATTTATTTTACTGAATGAGTTTTCAGAAGGCTGGCTTTTTCTCATTTTCTTAATTCTGTTGAGAGCACTTCTCCTTTCTTGGTATCCCAGGATAAATGCCTTGGTGTCACCTTTGATTCTTGTGCTTTTATTTCTCCATCTCTGGTGGGAGAGTCCTGAAGATTCTGTACCTGAAGATACAGGTAGGGACCTGTATCTGTCCAATTTGTTCTCCTCATTTCATACAGTGACAACCACTTTGTGATGGTTAACACTGAGTGTCAACTGGATTGGATTGAAGGATGCAAAATATTGATCCTGGGTGTATCTGTGAGGGTGTTGCCAAAGGAGATTAACTTGAGTCAGTGGACCAGGAAAGGCAGACCCACCCTTAATCTGGATGGGCACCATTTAATCAGCTGCCAGTACAGCTAGAATATAAAGCAGGCAGAAAAATGTGAAAGGACTAGACTGGCCTAGCCTCCAAACCTGTATCTTTCTTCTGTGCTGGATGCTTCCTGCCCTTGAACATCAAACTCCAAGTTCTTCAGTTTTGAGACTTGGACTGGCTTTCCTTCCTCCTCAGCTTGCAGATGGCCTATTGTGGGACCTTGTGATAGTGTGAATTAATACTTAATAAACTCCCCTTTAAATATATATCTATCTGATTAGTTCTGTACCTCTACAGAACCCTGACTAATACAGATCTTGGGACCAGGGGTGGTTCTAGAGGAACAGTATATTAAGGACAGAGTTCTTTTCTTGGTTTTGGGGTTTCTGGAGTTGGCTGCTTAATATGATTAGACCCCAAAATGCTAAGGATTCTAATTCTAATAGTATGGAGAAGACTGATGCTCCTTGGCATGAACTGTTTAGAGAGTTATGCAAAATAAATGCATTTAACACTCCTGATTCACTGCTCATGAGAGACAAGGAGTTTAGTGATTCTATACATAATGGCTTTGACCATATGTGGAGAACCAAGGAACATAATGAAGCTGGTTGGTTGCTCCTAAGTTCAATGGACAAAGTGATAAAAGAAAATAAGCTCAGGGATTCTAATTCATGGCTTCAGAAGCAGATACAGAGCCTCAAATCTACTAAGATTACCCTGAGTGAGAGTCTTATCTCCTAAAGAGAAAGAGCTGAAATTGTGGAAAAACAGACACAAATTCTTATCATGCGAGTGGCTGACCTGCAACAAAAGATGCATCCACAGCCTCGCCCGGTGTCTACTGTTAAAGTGAGGACATTGATTGGAAGAGAATGGGATATGTGGGAGGACCCTGATGAAGCTGGGGACACTGGGTTTGTAAGCTCTGATGAAACTTTATTGCCCAAAGAAACAGTTTCCCCATCCCCAGTAGTGGCAACATCCCCTCCCAGACCCATGCTGCCATCAGCCTTTCCACCTTTGTCTGAGGAGATAAACCCTGTGCTGCCTGAGGCAACAGTGATGGCCTCCCCTGAGGCAGTTGCCAGGCAAGATAATGTTGATTCTCTTCAGGAGCCACCCCCCAACACCCCTGTTTGCTTCTAGACCTATAACTAGACTAAATTCCCAGAAGGCCCCTAGAGGTGAAGTTGAGAGTGTGACCCATGAGTAGGTGAGCTACATTAGAAAAGAATTGCTTGAGTTTTCTAATTTATACAAGCAGAAATTTGGAGAACAGGCATGGAAATGGATATTAAGGGTGTGGAATAACGGTGGAAGGAACATAAAAGTTGGATCAGGCTGAATTTATTGATTTGGGCCCACTAAGTAGAAACTCTGCATTTAATATTGCAGCTTGGGGAATTAAAAAAGATTCTGATAGTTTATTTGCCTGGTTGGCTGAAATATGCATTAAAAGATGGCCCACTGTGAGTGAGTTGGAAATGCCTGATCTCCCTTGGTTTAATGCAGAGGAAGGGATCCAAAGGCTTAGGGAGATTGGGATGGGTGGAGTGGATTAGTCACTTTAGACCTACTCATCCCAGCTGGGAGGGTCCAGAAAATATACCCTTGACCAATGCCTTGTGAAATAGATTTGTGAGGGCAGCACCTGCGTCTTTGAAGAGCACTGTAATTGCTCTTCTCTGTACGTCAGATCTAACAGTGGGAACTGCAGTCACTCAACTACAAAATTTAAATACAATGGGAATAATTGGATCCTGAGGTGGCAGGGGCCAAGTGGCAGCACTCAACCATCAAAGGCAAGGTGGGCATACCTACTGTAATGAACAGCAGAGGCAAAGCAGCATTTATAATAGTCTGACTCCTATAGTGCTCTAGCATTGGCTAATTAATCAGGGTGTTTCTAGAACACCATGAAATTGAGAGGAAGCTTACTGCATTCCTACTTAATTTATATACACAGAAAAATTTCTAGGTTTTATGGACAAAAGACTAATTTGAATTATGAAAACAGAATCAAGGCCCCTCAATCAATTTCTAGACTTAAGCCAGTTTACAGACCCAGAACCCCTTGAATGAAGGGGAGGCTGGGTCCCCTTGTGAAGGGGATCCTACTACACTATCGACAATTTATGCTGTTAATCTTTCTCCCATCCTCCCCCAAGAAGATCTCCAGCCTTTTACCAGGGTAACTGTTCACTGGGGAAAGGGAAATGATCAGACATTTCGGGGACTACTGGACACTGGCTCTGAGCTGACATGGATTCCAGGGGACCCAAAATGTCATTGTGGTCCTCTAGTTAAAGTAGGGTTTTATGAAGGTCAGGTAATTAGTAGAGTTTTAGCTCAGGTACGACTTACAGTGGGTCCTCGCACTCATCCTGTGGTCATTTCCCCAGTGCCAGAATGCATAATTGGCATAGACATACTTAGCAGCTGGCAAAACCCCCACATTGGCTCCCTGACTGGTAGGGTGAGGGATATTAGGGTGGAAAAGGCCAAATGGAAGCCATTAGAGCTGCCTCTACCTAGAAAAATAGTAAATCAGAAACAATGTTGCATCCCTGGAGAGATCGTGAAGATTAGTGCCACCATCAAGGACTTGAAAGATGCAGGGGTGGTGATTCCCACCACATTCCCATTCAACTCTCTTAATTGGCCTGTGCAGAAGACAGATGGATCTTGGAGAATGATACTGTAAGCTTAACAAAGTGGTGACTCCAATTGCAGCTGCTGTACAAGATGTGGTTTTATTGCTTGAGCAAATTAACACATCTCCTGGTACCTGGTATGCACCCATTGACTTGGCACATGCCTTTTTCTACATTCCTGTCCATAAGGCCCACCAGAAGCAATTTACTTTCAGCTGGCAAGGCCAGCAATATACATTTACTGTCCTACCTCAGGGGCATGTCGACTCTCTGGCTTTGTGTCATAATCTTATTGGGAGATAACTTGATTGCTTTTTGCTTCCACAAGATATCACGTTGGTCCATTACATTGATGACATTATGCTGATTGGATCCAGTCAGCAAACACACTGGACTATTGGTGATACATTTGCTTGCCAGAGTTTGGGAAATAAACCTGATTAAAATTCAGGGACCTTCTACCTCAGTAAAATTTCTAAAGGTCTAGTGGTGTGGGACCTGTCGAGATATTCCTTCTAAGGTGAAGGATAAGTTGTTGCACTTGGCCCCTCCTACAACCAAGAAAGGGGCACAGTGCCTACTGGACCTATTTGGATTTTGGAGGCAACATATTCCTCATTTGGGTGTGTTACTCCAGCCCATTTATTGAGTGACCTGAAAGGCTGCCAGTTTTGAGTGGGGTCCAGAACAGGAGAATGCTCTGCAACAGATCCAGGCTGCTGTGCAAGCTACTGTGCCACTTGGGCCATATGACCCAAGAGATCCAATGGTGGTTGAGTTGTCAGTGGCAGACAGGGATTCTGTTTGGAGCCTTTGGCGGGCCCCCATAGGTGAATCACAGTGAAGGCCTCTAGGGTTTTTGAGCAAGACCCTGCCATCTTCTGCAGATAACTACTCTCCTTTTGAGAAACAGTTCTTGGCCTTTTACTGAGTTTTGGTGAATGTTAGACTATGAGTCATCAAGTCACCATGTGACCTGAACTGCCTATCATGAACTGGGTGCTTTCTGACCCATGTAGTCATAAAGTGGGTCATGCACAGCAGCATTCCATCATCAAATGGAAGTGGTATATACGTGATTGGGCTCTAGCAGGTCCTGAAGGCATAAGTAAGTTACATGATGAAGTGTCTCAAATGCCCATGGTCTCCACTCCTGCCACCCTGCCTTCTCTCCCCTAGCCTTCACTGATGGCCTCAGGGGGAATTTCCTATGAACAGCTGACAGAGGAAGAGAAGACTAGGGCCTGGTTTACAGATTGTTCTGCACAATATGCAGGCACCACCCGAAAGTGGACGGCTGCAGCACTACAGCCCCTTTCTAGGACATCCCTGAAGGACAGCAGTGTCAGGAAATCTTCCCAGTGGGCAGAACTTTGAGCAGTGTGCCTAGTTGTGTATTTGCCTTGAAGGAGAAATGGCCAGATGTGCAATTATATACTGATTTATGGACTGTCATCAATTGTTTGGCTGGATGGTCAGGTACTTGGAAGAAGCATGATTGGAAAATCAGTGATGAAGAAATTTGGGGAAGAAGTATGTGGATGGACCTCTCTGAGTGGTCAAAAACTGTGAAGATGTTTGTATCCTATGTGAGCACCCACCAACGGGTCACCTCAGCAAAGGAGGATTTTAATAATCAAGTGGATAGGATGACCTGTTCTGTGGACACCACTCAGCCTCTTTCCCCAGTCACCCCTGTCATCATCTGATGGGCCTATGAACAAAGTGGCCATGGTGGCAGGGATGGAGGTTACACATGGGCTCAGCAACATGGACTTCCACTCACCAAGGCTGACCTGGCTATGGCCACTGCTAAGTGCTCAATTTGTCAGCAGCAGAAACCAACACTGAGCCCTCTATATGGCACCATTCCTCAGGGTCATCAGCCAGCTACGTGATGGTAGGTTGATTATATTGTACCTCTTCCAACATGGAAAGGGCAGAGTTTTGTCCTCACTGGAATAGACACTTACTCCAGATATGGGTTTGCCTATCCTATGTGCAATGCTTCTGCCAAGACTACCATCCGTGGACTAATGCTTTATGCACTGTCATGGTATTCTACATTGCCTCTGACCAAGGCACTCACTTTTTCAGCTAAATATGTGTCACAGTGGGCTCATGCTCATAGAATTCACTGGTCTTACCATGTTCCTCATCCTGAAGCAGCTGGATTGGTAGAACTGTGGAATGGTCATTTGAAGTCACAATTACAATGACAGTACTTTGCAGGGCTGGCCAGAAGGCCGTGTATGCTCTGAATCAGCATCCAATATATGATACTGTTTCTCCCATAGCCAGGATTCATGGTCCAGGAATCAAGGTGGGGAAAGTGGAAGTGGAACTACTCACCATCACCCCTAGTGATCCACTAGCAAAGTGTTTGCTTCCGGTTCCCACGACATTATGTTCTGCTGGCCTAGAGGTCTTAGATCCAGAGGGAGAAATTCTGCCACCAGGAGACAACAATGATTCCATTAAACTAAAAGTTAAGATTGCCACCTGGACACTTTGGATTCCTCCTACTTTTAAGTCAACAGGCTAAGAAGGAAGTTACAGTGTTTGCTGGGGTGATTGACCCAGACTATCAAGACAAAATCAGTCTACTGCTCCACAGGAGAGGTAAGGAAGAGAATGCATGGAAGACAAGAGATTCATTAGGGCATCTCTTAGTATTACCATGCCTTGTGATTAAGGTAATGGGAAACTACAACAGCCCAATTCAGGCAGGAGTACAAATGGCCCAGACCCTTCATAAATGAAGGTTTGGTCACTCCACTATAAAAAAAAACCACTACCTGCTGAGGTGCTTGCTGAAGGCAAAGGGAATATAGAATGGGTAGTAGAAGAAGGTAGTCATCAATACCAACTGCAACCACATGACCAGCTGCAGAAACGAGTACTGTAACGGTCATGAGTATTTCCTCCTTCTTGTGTTAAAAACGCGTTTGTACATGTATACACTTGTACTAACAAAGTATCTTCATTTATTTCCTTTTCCTTTATCATGTAACATAAGATTTATTGACTTGATATCAGCATTTAAGTATTTTTTTAAATGCAAAAAATATTTATGTAGTTAAAAATTTTAAGGACAAAAATGTTAAAGATAAAGATATTTCATATTGACAAAATTTTTAAAAATCCATTGAAAATGAAAATGATACTAATGACTTTCAAGTACCTAATATTGCTTCAAAATATATATTAAATATAGAAAAAAATTGCTAAAAGAAATGAACAAATACAAAATACTATTAGGACTCTTTTTTTTTTTTCCTAGCACATACGATTTTTTTTTTTTTATACTTTAAGTTTTAGGGTACATGTGCACAATGTGCAGGTTAGTTATATATGTATACATGTGCCATGCTGGTGTGCTGCACCCATTAACTCGTCATTTAGCATTAGGTGTATCTCCTAAAGCTATCCCTTCCCCCTCCCCCCACCACACAACAGTCCCCAGAGTGTGATGTTCCCCTTCCTGTGTCCATGTGTTCTCCTTGTTCAATTCCCACCTATGAGTGAGAACATGTGGTGTTTGGTTTTTTGTCCTTGCGATAGTTAACTTTATGTAATAGTATTTGGGTTGAGGATTGGTGTGTTCCGGTTGTAAAAAAAAGATAGTTGTATTATGTTAGTGTAATTATGACCTTATTATTGTCTCTGTTTGAAGATTACTTATGATCTCAGGAGATGTGTATGGGTTCAAGTTGACAAGAGGTGGACTTGTGATGGTTAACATTGAATATCAACTTGATTGGATTGAAGGATGCAAAGTATTGATCCTGGGTATGTCTGTGAGGATGTTGCCAAAGGAGATTAACATTTGGGTCAGTGGGCTGAGAAAGGCAGACCCACCCTTAATCTGGATGGGCACCAGTTAATCAGCTGCCAGTGAATATAAAGCAGGCAGAAAAATGTGAAACCACTAGACTGGCCTAGCCTCCCAGTCTACATCTTTCTCCTGTGCTAGATGCTTCCTGCCTTCAGACATCAGACTCCAAGTTCTTCACTTTTGGGACTCAGACTGGCTGTCCTTGCTCCTCAGCTTGCAGATGGCCTATTGTGGGACCTTGTGATCCTGTGAGTTAATACTAATAAACTCCTATATATGTAAAATATAATATCATATTATATATATAAAATATAATATCATATATATATATAAAATATAATATCATATATATATATATATCCTATTAGTTCTGTTCCTCTAGAGAACCCTAATGAATACACATTTTATTTCCAGTTTTTACATGGCCCCCAACCATTTTCAGAGTTAATAGCTGTTCTTCCCACCTTCCAATCTGTAACTTAAGTTTCTTAGTCTTTAGTCGTAATCTGGTATTCCAGAATGTCCAGTACCCAGATAAACTTTACCTTTATTTTTTTTGCAATGCCTCTGCATTCTCCTACTGATGGAGACATTTTAAATTATTTTCTGTTATTACCCTCATGTTTCTATACTTCGATGTCTTTGTATGCTGTTCAATTTATTAGAATGCCCTTTCTAACGTATTTGCCTCACAAACTTGTATTCATTTCTTATGATTCGATTCAAACATCACCTCCTGAAGAAACACTCAAAACTTTTATTACCCTTCTGACAGACATTGACTATGACTTAATGTGCTGTATTTAAAAATTGGTTTATACGTCTGTCCTCCCATTCAGCTGTGAGTGTCATAAGGGTAAGGATTGCCTTATTTCTCTTTCTCTAATACTTTGTGTGGCACATAGTTAGCACTTTATAACTACTCACTAAATACTCTGAAAATACAGCTTCAATCATTGTTACATATATGGAAGATCTTAATTGGTTCTTTTCCCTCTGATTTCCGTTGAGTTGAGAAATAGAAACAATGAAACAGTGTACACCATCTGTTTCATTGTTGGCAAACCCAGATAAGAGAAATTGGTTGAGCCTTCTTGAGTAGGCAGTGGAAGTATGAGATGAGACCCCCACCATGGCTAAGCATAGCTGGCCCAGGATGGTGAGAGAGAGACTATTAGTTTTTGAGGTAACCCATGGAC
The DNA here is from genome assembly GCF_000001405.40 of Homo sapiens. Lineage (NCBI taxonomy): Eukaryota > Metazoa > Chordata > Mammalia > Primates > Hominidae > Homo > Homo sapiens. The sequence goes on from NC_000006.12 coordinate 51,059,610, forward strand.
ATGTGAACCAATCAGTTTGGCCATTGTTCCTCCTGAAGGGAAAAATGAGTTATGGGGGTAGAGTAGGACGACCAGCTCATCCCAGGTTTCCCAGAACTTTCCTTGTTTTAGCACTGAAGTGCCATGTCCTGCAAACTCCCATAGTCTTGGCAAACTGGGATAGGTGATAACCTTAAAGTAGAAACAAGGATGGAAGCCATCTTCTCATCACTTGTGAAAGAACAGAAGAATTGGTGGCAAATGACATTATTAGATTGAAGAAAAGTTCTCCCCAACTATTATGCTCCTTAGTGGTCCAACTATGAGTGGTTCTACCTTGTCCACTAAATTAATTATAAAATACTCACCTAGGCATTCTAGGACTTTCTCAATTTAGCCCCAGTCTGCCTTTTTTATTTATCACCTAGTATTCTACAAATGTCTATTGAGAACCTACCATTGGCCAGTTATATTTTATACCCATGGAACAACATAGTAAAAAAAATTATAATATAAAAGGCTTTAAGCTTCCTAAGGGCAAGGTCTGTGGTGATACACAGTCCCTCACATGGCCCCAGTGATGACTCCTTCCATGTTATAATTCTCTCCCTTTTAATGTGGGCTAGACCTATTGACCGACTTCTACTGAACAGAATAGTGCAGATGTGATGGGATGGTGGGATGTCACTTCTGAGGTTAGGCTATAAAAAGACAATGGCTTCTGTTTTGGGTGTTCTCTCTTGAAGTGTTCTCCCTGAGAACACTGGGAAGTCAGTTGTGTCCCAAGGCAGCCCTGTGGAGAAGCCTACATGGTAAGGGACTAAAGTATGCCGATAACCGTGTGAGTGAAATAGGAAGCAGATCCTTTTCTAGCCCCCTTCCTGTGCAGTTGAGCTTTCAGATAAAATAGCAGCTCTGGCCTGCAGCATAACTTCCACTCATGAGGGATTTGAGCCAGAGGCACCTGCTGAGTCATGACTCAATTCCAAACCAATTGAAACTATGGAATAATACAATTTTGTTGTTTTAAACCACTAGGTTTTGGGGTAGTTAGTTATGCAACAATGTATAATGAATAATGAATACATCTATACCTGTGCTTCTTTTGTTGGATCCTTTTCACTGACGGTCTCCCTAATAAAGTGCTTGTATATAACAGATGCTCAATTTCACTAGAGAATGAATGAATGAATGACACGTCTCTCCTGAAAGAAATTCTGCTGATTTTTTTTGCAAAAAAAATTGTAAAACTTGTTTATATCAGGGACTCTATCTTTGAAACAGGTTTATTTTTCTGTATTGCCTATGATAATGTTTTATGCATATAGGATCTTAAATATTCTTGATTGGATTTGATGTCTTACTATTTTTTAAATACATAAAATATGTGAAGCTACCACAGTGCTGAATTAGAATACAGAGTTGGAGCTCATCTGGATAAAACCCAAGCTTGTATGAATAAGTATAATGAAGACCAGTGAATTGATCTCAGGCCAACTCATAACCTCATAATGTTTATTTCATTATTTCTTCTTTTTTGATGTTCATTACGTCAGTCACATCTTTTATCACTTGTTTAATTAGAAAATGGGCATGGGAATAGGCAGAAAATTTGGTGACTCTCATACCCATAATTAAAGCTATAAATTGGAAAGATTTCTCTATTTGGGGAATTGACTCAATTCCAAATGGCAGGGGGAATGGTCATAGAATTGCAAATAGTACTAGCCCAGGAGTTAGGAGACTTGAGTTTTTGTCTTAGTTTTGTTAGGAAGTAGTCCTGTAAGTATAAAAATTCAAGTCCTTTCCTTGTGCTTTAGTTTCTTTATCAGTAAAATCAGGAGGCTGGGCTAAGGCTCTCTGTTTCTTTCTAGGAAGAAAAACAAAAGGCCTCTGTGGCTACCTTCTGTGAACTAGGCACTATATAACTGTTACAAAAGATAAAGAAAAAGGCTTATTTTTTAATGACTAAATTATTTGAGCTTGCAAAAATTAGTAATTTGCAGATTGTATGCAAAATGTGATTGAAAAAAGTCAGGGAAATCAGAGTGAGCCTAGAAAGCAGGCTTCTGGGGAGAGGCAGATCTGCTGGGAATCACATGCCCCCAATAATGTGATGTTACCAACCGGAGTGCAGAAGCTATTTGGAAAGCTGACCAATGGGATTGGGTGAGATTCAGTAATTATCAGCAATTGACTAATATTTATCTTTTATTCCTTGTCAACATTTCCAGGTAGGAGCCTCTCTTCTGTCTGGCACAGGGTAAGTACTCAATAAATATTTGTGAAATGAATGAATTTTTTTAAAAGTTCCTCTTTTTCCAAGTTCCTGTTCCATGACTCCATAATTAAGCATCTACCATATGATAGGCACACTATAAAAGCCTGCTCAATGCACCCTCTTTCAGCATGATGGAGTGGTAAGATAAGGGACTTTGAAGGTGGTCTTATTTGGGGTTAAAGGTATGGACTTGCAAAGGGTCCTTAACCTCTCTAAACTCCAATTTCATCACACATAGATTATTTTTCTAATCTCAAAGGACTGTTAGAACTACTTTAGAATAAATAAAACAGTTACACGTAACATCTGACCCAGAATATAAGTTCAATATATTTTAGTTGTTTTCTTTTATTGCTTCACTTCCATTTTTAGTCACCTTTTCTCTATTATTATGTCCATGCAAAACAAAACGAGATGAAGAAAAGTAACAATAATATATCAAAGCCCACAATAGAATTGGAAAACGCTGTGTGTGTGCCTTATGTGTGATTCACCCTGTGAGTTCTAGGGGCCAGATAAGATCTGGTTATGTTATGCATGATTATATTGAATTTTTCTTAGACTTTGAACCCTTAGGAATTAAAAGCATATCTTCTATTTTGTGATATTTTTGTAGTCTACATTGTCATTTGTTTGAAGTTTCATTAATATTGACTAATAATGATGTCAGTTCTCTTAGCAGTGTAAAATACAATGACATCACTGAAATTTATGTAGAAGAAATTGTTTTTGTTTTATGACTTTATCTCTTCTAAGAGCTATTCATTGACAAATTATTTTCATTATGTGAATGTTAGCTGGTGGGAGGGGGAGGATGGAGCTGAGGGCTAATGGGGGAGAATAAAATGGTCTAAGTATTTACAAATGAGATCTCTCTAGAGAAGTAGATTTTACCAGTTAATACATCTAAAAAAAATAAATAAAATCTAACGCTTCCTTCCTGTCTTCTCATTCTGGGTGTACATGGAACAGAATCAATTGGAGATCCCACTACCTGCACAGGTTGTGAGCCCTGGGCAACCATTACTGACAGGAATTTGTTGTATTCCTCATGATAGAAAAAAAAATGCTTGAAAATGTCAATGTGTATGTTTTCATGGCTTAGAACAATGCTTGAGAATATCTTTGTCTTTGTTTTCATGGCTTATGAATATAAACATGGTAAGTTTTCACTCAAATCATTTGGTCAGCAGTCACAAATTCAGATATAATGTCATCTACCTTCACTCTTGTTCATTCTTTAACTGACTCTTGATTGTCAATCTTGTACCCTGTGTTAGTGAGTCTAGTCCTGCTGGTAATTGTTATGGTGCTGATTCCTGGGAATTTGGACTGGAGATGAAGGGAGGGAGAACTAAATAGAGGCAACTATTCATTATGAATAAAAACATTACTGTGATTTCTTATAATGTATTTTTCTCTTACCCTGTATTAGAATCTGTAAAACCTAGGCTTAATTGGACAAGCTTCCACATTCAGAACTCTAACTGCTGTGGCTTATTTGAGAAGTATTTGTCAATGTAGGCCTCTTTACTATTACAGTTTTGGGCAGAAACCTTTGCAAGAGCCACTGAATTAATGAGATAGAACTTTGGGGAAAAATCAGAAAGATTTTATTGAATCCCTGAGTTGAAGGATTCTGTAGCAGAGGTTCTTATCAGTCTCTCAACAGAGGCTGGGCTGTAACAAAATTTGTACTGGCTTGCTGCAAATGAGAAAAGCACAAATAACAACTGTAAGTTTTCCATGAGGCTAAAATATTTCAATTCGAATTGCTGTTCTTTGTTCTGAAATTATAAATTTCTTGTCTTTTTGCTGGGAGAGGATTATTTCTTTTATGAGACAATGGTAAATAATAGTAAAAATGAATGAGAGTCTTTTAAAATGTTATTAATGTCATTAATTGGCAAAATATCATTTTAGTCCCCCTATATTAAAAAATTATGATCTGTAAACAAATTAGGAAAACATTTCACTAGGGATAATCTATTATAGTGATTTAAAAAATGTAATGAATAACCCCTCCATTTTTCCCACAAAATGAAATTTTATATGGAAACTTATGTGCAAAGTAAAATTTCTCTGGTTGGAGCAAGATGAGGGAGGCTACTGATCTTCCCCACAGCTCCTGAGATAACCCTTTCATAGAATCCTTGGGCTCCCTCAAACATAGTTTTAGAAGGATTGGTTTGGATGACAGTTTCTCAACTTTGACACTCTTGCTGTTTTTGGCTGGAAAGCTGGAAAGTTCTTTGTTGTGGGGACTATCCTGTGCATTGTAGTTTGATTAGCAACATCACATGTCTCTCTAATGCAAGTAGCACTCGCCTCTTCTAATTGTGAAAAACAAAAATGTCAGTAGCACCCACCTCTTCTAATTGTGAAAAAACAAAAACGTCTCCAGATACTGCTGAATGTCCCCTGTGTGTGGGTGGGGGGGTCAAAATTGCCCCCAGTTGAGAACTACTATTCTAGGCAACATATGAACCCATACAGTGCAGATATGAAGAGATGAGCTAAGTAGTATTGTGATGCTTTTTGCTTTTCTAAAAAAATCTGTTATTCCACCACCTTTCCTCTGTTCAAACTATGTTTGGACTCTATGTGCCAAGGAAATTGAAGTCACAGCTGAAATGCAAAGAAAAACAAAATAAGGTAATGCTCAGCTTCTGATCTCCCAAGATCTAGAGCCTAGATTAAACAATAAACTTGGAAGAATACATAGCTATCCTGTTTTACCTGGCACAGTGAGTGAATATAAAACCTTCTAGGCTAGAAGAGACAGGCTAGAGATTTTAGAAAGGAGGTAAGAGTATTAGATGAGGTGTGAAAGTTCTGTGTGTATGATGAGAGGGGCAGAATAGAATTTTTTTTAGGCTTGAGGATCTGAGATTAGAAAGCAGTCTTCCTCTCCCTGTGGGCGAAGCCATAAAAAGCAGAGAACTCCCAAGCAACCCTGGGATGGGCACCAGAGAATGGAAATGCCGTTGCGGTCTGTCTAGGTGTAAGAAGACCAAAGAAAAACTGTCATGTTTCCTGCAGCCACAAAGAGGGACTGGAGAACATGCAAAATTTCTTGTGCCTCATTCCCTGCCCCTTGCTCTGTGTGAAGGAAAATGAGCTATGAAACATGTCAATGGGCATGTAGAAGTTTTGTCCTTGCAGGGAATGCCACATTGAAGACTACAGAGTGGAACAACCCTCTAAGGAGTGAATGATACTCTAGTTACACTTCAACCAGTGCTGGCATAGAAGAGGACGTGTCCGTGGACCAGAGAGGACCTAACACATCTGATATGATTCCATAACAGGAGAGATACTGATCAAGATTGTGAAGAACATACGTCCATCACCAATGCCTCAGTTCCTTAGTGTCAGCCCTAGAATTGAAGAGTGATAGGTGAATCTTGAATGTCATGGAGCTTAAATCTGAAATGTCTGAGGGAAATCATAATCAGGAAGGCAGCTGAATTTACCACCATGTAATTGTATCATATTTTCTGCACTGTGCTGAATGGAGCTTGAGATGGAAATCTATTCCTCTTCGTCCCCACTTTGCATGTTCCCCATAATATTGCCATTAGAATGATCTAACAAGTAAAATACCTTCATACAAGCAAAAAGACAAACTACTAAAAAACCAAAAGTCCTTAGCTAAAAGCACCAATGTTATCATTCAGTGACTAGATTAGCATCAGGATAAGAGAAAATAAAAACCACACTGAAATTTAGAGTTACTGAGGTCTGTAGCTTACTTTGAGTGCTTCAAAAAATAAGATGATTGGATAGCAGGTGAGAGAAGTGGATATATATGTGATAAAGCAAATACAGAAAATGTTAATTATGGATTCTAAGTAGTGGATATATAAACATTCACTGCAAAGTTGCTTCAACTTTTCTGTATATTTGAAAATATTCACAGCATGTCAACAAAACAAGCATGATAAAGCCACTGTTTGTGCTAAGACCAGCTTGTATTTAGTTTAGGCTTATTATGTAGTAGTAGAAACATTAGAAATGGTTTTAACCTCTTTAAATATACATATGTTTATGGGAAGGTTATGTATATGTTTATATGTAATGAATGTGAACAAACAAAGGTCAGATACACATTCTGCTTCCCTCCAGTCCAATTTCGGCTGCTGTGCTGCACATTTTAGGAGTCTTAATAGAATTAGCCACATTCTCCCCACTTGCCCTTACTTCTCATATTTCACAACTCCTCCTGGAATTTTCTAATAATTGTACAGTAGTGTGTTGTGGTTCATCATCTTGACTTGACACTTTTGGGGGGGAATGTAAACAAAAATACTTCTCACTACTATTGAAGCCTTTGAAACATAAATTAGAATTCCTTGTCCTAATTTGCCGTTGACAAGTCTTAGAGGCAGAGGTAAAACAAAATTCTTCAACCAGCAAACTTGCTTCTACAGGTACAAAGGAATTTCAATAGTAGCCTCAGGAAAAAATGGATGGAACTGTCAGTCACATAAAAGAATTGAAGAGGGGAAAAGAACTGATGCTTCATGAAATGGGAGAATTCAAATATTTCAGCATGTCACTGACCTTCGTACTGAATCTCACATTCTTTGAATCCCTAAAGATTAAAAAAATGGTTAGGTACCTCCATTAAGGCCTAATAAAAAGTGTTCATATCTCACATATTAATTATATGTAGTATTCATCCCACATAACAATATCAAGCCATAAGAACTTCTGGTGTGTAGCCATTTTGAATATCTGTAATACCTCTTTTAAACTTGAAATATAATTAGCATGTCATAAAAGGCATGGATTTTAAATATTCAGTTGGATTTTTTTTTGGCAATGTAACTGCTCTCCTAAAATACTTGTGACATTCTTAAATTGGGTCAAAAATTTCAAATAATTTCAAGTGTCTCATTGCTAATTAGCAGTTATATGAAATTAATAGTAAGTATTGCTCTAAGTGGTAATCTAAATAGTTCATGACCATACTTGAAATTGTGTATGATAATGAACCTTCTTCAAGTTCAATTTGATATGTTTCCTGGAAGGAGGGAGCAGAGAAATCTTACTAGATGACTGTAAATGTTTGTGTTGTATAGGCTTTAAAATCTTGACAAAACCTGGGAGTTTTGACCAATATAATTAATTTCAAAAACAACAATAACAACAAAACACACACACAAATTTTATTATGACTGGAGAAAAATAAATTCCAAATAAGATAGTAAATTGGGGTTTGTTTTTACAGCTCCTAAATACAAGGGTACTGTTTGCCCCAGAGAGAAGCTGACTGCTATCATAGCAGCCAGTAACCAATGCCCATGGAGTCCCTCCTCTCAGTATTGCCTGAGTACCTCTGCCCCTAAGGAGCCACCCTCAGGTTTGTTGTAGGACCAGAAACTCTGTTGGTCTGTCTGAGTGTGCAGTGCTGGAATCCTATGCTGGGTCCAAAACCTCCTCCCTCCAACAGAACCATTAAATATGCACCTATTCTGTGGAAGGTATTGGATAAGTATACTACATTCCTTATTTCCTTGTATCCTCTTCTTCAAACTATTCCCATTTTAGAGCTAAAGCCTATGAAGCTTAGAAAAATTAAGAAAATTTTCAAAGTCATCCAGCTAGTAAGTGGTACGCCTTCTAAATGGACTGTGTTGACACTATTGCCCAGAAAGTTAAAATTAAATTAATTCAATGAGATAACTGTATTAAAACAAATTTTAATTTGGGATGTTTAACACATACAGTTAATAAACATTAAGCACCATAAAAGTTAGGTATAACACATTCTAACGGTTTTTGTTACTGTTTAGAGAAGGGAGGAATGGGCTAGCCTATTAATTAAACAAAAATGGCTTTACTTGTATCCATTTAATTTGTTTATGATCATGATTAATATTTTATTTGAATGCAGCCTTCCATGAAAAATAAGTCTGAAAGCCACTGATCTGGTCTAACTCTCCCATAATATAGGTAAATAAAACTGAGGTCTACAAAGTTGTTTGTATTCGGTTACTCCAAACTGAGTGGGAAAGCCAGAATTAGTTTGACCCAGTTTGACAAACATATATACAGTTTCTGTTATGCAAGTGACCTTGAGTTAGTTAAACAAGTTAATATGCATAATCCTGGTTCTCTACCAGCTCACAGTCTATGAGAGAACACAAGTTTCGTGATGATAAGTCTATTAATGTTTCTGCCTTATCTCATTGCTGATTGTTTAATTTTACCAGTTCATACACACTGTCTCTCATCTGCCAATCATTTCATACTAAGTATGAGTAGCTTTGCTCAAGACTCACTTATTAGATTTGCTTCCCTGTCCTTAAAAGGGTAGCCACAGAGAATTGTGTACTTTGGGTAGGGGAAAAAGGGAGAAGGAGAAGGAGACTGTCTGAAAGATAAACGAATCCTGAAGTGGCATGGGTGGGTGGTAGGCTTGGGAATGCAGGAGACAAACTTTGCCTATGTTATTATTTACCCACACTCTTCCTAGGCTCTAGAGTCTCGTGCATGGTATTACAGGGTCTTGAGCAGAAGGATAGCTCAAGTAAAAATATAAGCATTGACTTTGGCAGGTGATGATACGTATTAGGCTGCTCTTGCATTGCTATAAAGGAATACCTGAGACTGGGTAATTTATAAAACAAAGAAGTTTAATTGGCTTATGGTTCTTCAGGCTGTACAGGAAGCATATCGGCATCTGTTTGGCTTCTGAGTAGACCTCAGGAAACTTACAATTATGGCTGAAGGCAAAGGGGGAGGAGGCACATCACATAGTGAGAGCAGGAACAGGAGAGAGATGGGGGAGCTGCCACACACTTTTCAACCACTATATCTCTCAAGAACTCACTCATTATAATGAGGACAGTACCAAGGGAATGGTGCTAAACTATTCAGGAGAAATCTGCCCCCAGGATCCAATCACCTCCCATTGGGCCCCACCTCCAACACTGGTGATTACATTTCAACATGAGATTTGGGTAGGGACACATATCCAAAGCTATATCACAATGTCATAATCCTTAATATCAATTTTCTCATCTCTAAAATGTAATTACAATAGTGTAAATAATAATAGAAATGAAACAATTGAGGTAATGCTTATGAATGTCTTCGGACAGTGCTCAATTTAATGGGCCTCAGGGCAGTCCTGACCATAGAATGCTATCCAGAATAACTGAAGGTGACTGGCTATTGTTTGGGAATTAATTACAATGACCTAGCCTGGCCATTTGGCCAGTACATTGGTTTCCTTTGCTTATTATAAAGCCAGAGTTTAGGGAAGTCTCTCTACCTGGAGAGACTTTCTTTGCAGGGCATCTTGAATTATTCTGATTTTTTAGTTGCGTTCAGAAATGGCTAATTCCTGGAGAGATAAACCAGATGCAGATTATAAACTTGTGTGATGGACCTACTCATGTGGGGAAACCCGTGGCTTCCTGGCAGTGAACTTGGTTGCAGCAACCAAGAAAAGAAAGACCCTTGAGCAGGATTGGCGCATAATCACTCCCCTCAATATTATCACTCCATGAACCAATGTTAGACCTCTGCACAGGTGGAGGTTCGTGCTTGAGGGCCATTGAACACTACCCATTTCCCTAATGCATCATAATTAAACACCTGTGCTAAGTAACTTCTTACTGATCCACTGTGGAAATTTGCTGGGTGCTCAACAGTCCTTAACATTTTCTATCTCTTACTTGGGAGGGAGGTCTCACGGTTATTCTTTGGTTCTCCTGGAAAAAAAAAACAAACAAAAAAACAGCCCAACAACTTCTTTCTACCCCATGAAAAACTGTTATTGAAATGTGGATTTCAGGGCCTTTCAAAGACACTTAGGGAAGAAAATATTTTGTAAATTCAGGAAGCATTCCTGTTTTCTCAAAAGCAGTGGTAATTAAAATGCACTGTCCAACAGGGAAAACTGTGACATGCATGACAGCGCTATTTTTTTTTTTTTTTTGAGATGGAGTTTCACTCTTGTTGCCCAAGCTGGGGTGCAATGGCATGATCTTAGCTCACTGCAACCTCTGCCTCCTGGGTTCAAGCAATTCTTCGGCCTCAGCCTCCCGAGTAGCTGGGATTACAGGCACACACCACAACACCCGGCTAATTTTTAGTAGAAACGAGGTTTGACTATGTTGGCCAGGCTGGTCTCGAACTCCTGACCTCAGATGGTCCGCCCACCTCGGCCTCCCAAAATGCTGGGATTACAAGCCTGAGCCCTGCACCTGGCCTGAGGGTGCTGTTTTTTTTGTTTTTTGTTTTTTAATTGTGTTTTTAATGTCACTGATTCAGTGAAGAGAATGTCTAAGAATGTAGCATGTTTTTAATGAAGTTGGCTGTGCTATTAATATGAGAAATAGGTATAAATTAGGTAAACTAATGTTGCAGTGTGTCAAAAGCTCAGCAAAAGGGCCCTTCTCCATTGTCATTCACAGTTGCAATACACTTCCATACTGCTGCATTGAGCCTTTTTCTTTCATCTTGAACAGCAGCCAGAAAATAGGTTTGGCTCTAGGATAAATTTGTGGCTTAAGTGGAGTCTGTCTTCAACTTGTATCACTTCTCTTTCTTGGTAATAACCTCACATTTTGGGTGTTGTGTCTCTTTTCTGTTTACATTGTTCCCTCTGTCAAAACAAGAAATAGTAATAGCTAATGGATACTCTTTATTGAGTATCTATCTAATCTTGTCTGTATTGTCCACGCACACTGAATAAAGCACATTTTTTAACCCCTATGTTACAGCTGACATAAGTTATGCTGAGAGAGATTAAGGCAAGTTTATTGGGTCCTATCGTACTTATGTGTCATGGTTGGCCATTAAACCTACAATCTGTGTGACACCAAATCTGTGAACTTTCCAATCAAGGAGAGCATCTTTATCTGTAATTTATGCTTGGTGATTGTTTCAGTAATTACTCTTTAGAAAATGTGTTCTCTAGATTAGGTACTTTATTTTAAGCTTTTAATTTCTAGCACTGCATTGAAATGCCTGGCAAGGAAAATCTTGGACATTATCAAAAAGGTAGGGAGAAATTGGGAAATCCATTCATATATATGGGGTATTGAGGCAATTCTCCAGATTTTCTTAATTTTGTCACTTAAGGTGATTAATTTGGGGAGAATTCTCCCATTTTCCCCTTTTTCCCCTTTTCTTCACTTTCCTAGGAAAATATTTAACTCTGTATTTGTAGAACAAGCAAGAATCCCTGAGGAAAATATCATTAGTGTGGTTTTGGGGATGCAAGGCTACAATTTTATGTTTCTAGAGACAAATGTGCCTTCAGTTCTGTTCAGTAATTCTTTCCTATGTTCCATGTCTTTCATTTCTAACAATAGCTATTCCACACCTTTATCACGTTCTTCAGGATTTAACCACCTGTCAGGTGATGACTGCAATCTGAATTGACAGAGACAAAGCTCTCAAATAAGAATTCCATATTTTCCTTGGGATTCCAATGGATATAAAAACCATTCACTTTCTCATTTCTCTCTTTTTAGAAAAAGATATGTCTGTTCTTTTCCTCGGAGATAATCATTTCACCTTTGTGTTCTGGATCTTCTTAACAGCTCTACCTTGCTCTATCATTTCTTCTTTCTCTCTTCTGCAACTTTTGTATTTTCTTTTCTACTGATTCCTTCCTTTTACTTATAAACATGCTCTAGTTTCTCTTGTCTTACAAAATCAAAATAATAATTCTTAAAAATGATCAAACTTCTTTTGATCTTATGTCTCCTCCATCTATTGTTTTATCCTTATTTTTCTTACAGGTTTATTGATATTTTTTTCCCAGCCTTTGGTTCACTTCCCCACTGCCTAATAACTCTTCACTCCCTTGCAACCGGCCTTCTATCTCCTCCACTGCATGAAGCTTATGACTTCTGAACCACGCAGCCCCATCAACAACTCAGTCCTGGTTTCATTGAGCATGTCTGTGTAATTGAATACTCTTGTCTTATCTTCCTTGACATTTTTCTTCTGTCTTTCCTTTTGATTGTTGCAGTCTTTCCAGTCAACATTATAGACATTTCTTCCTCCACTTAATCTATAAATATGGGATAGGTTCTTTCCTCAGTTGTCTTTTCCCGCTTTACACTCTGTCCTTAGGTGACCTTATCTAGGCCTGTGACTTTCCCTACACTCTGATGATGTGCAATTCTGTATCTCTATCTCAGATCTCTATTCTGATTTCTCCAACAACATAACAAACCATTTGTTGATGTTATCACTTGGCTGTACTGTGGGATCCCCAGATTCATCATGCATTCATTCATCATCTCCCCCTACACACCTCATCACAAATCTTTTCTTTAACCTTTTCTTTTAAAAAAATGTATTTCGGCCAGGCACAGTGGCTCACATCTATAATCCCAGCACTTTGGGAGGCCGAGGCAGGCAGATCACGAGGTCAGGAGATCGAGACAATCCTGGCTAACATGGTGAAACCCCGTCTCTACTAAAAATACAAAAACAAAAAATTAGCTGGGCGTGGTGGCGGGTCCCTGTAGTCCCAGCTACTCGGGAGGCTGAGGCAGGAGAATGGCGTGAACCCAGAAGGCGGAGCTTGCAGTGAGCCGAGATCGCACCACTGTACTCCAGCCTGGGTGACAGAGCAAGACTCTGTCTCAAAAAAAAAAAAAAAAAAAAATATATATATATATATATATATATGTATATATATATGTTTCTATAGGTTTTTTGGGAACAGGTGGTGTTTGGTTACAGGAATAAGTTATTTAGTGGTGATCTGTGAGACTTTGGTGCACCCATCACGCAAGCAGTGTTCACTGTACCCCATGTGTAGTCTTTTACCCTTCGCCATCCCTTACCCTTTCTCCTGAGTCTGCAAAGCCCAGTGTATCACTCTTATACATTTGTGTCCTCAAAGCTTAGCTCCCACGTATGAGTGAGAATATACAACGTTTGGTTTTCCATTCCTGATTTACTTCACTTAGAATAATAGTCTCCAACTCCATCAGGTTGCTGTGAATGCCATTATTTCATTCCTTTTTATGGCTGAGTCATATTCCATATATATAGATAGAGATAAAGATATGTATATACACACACATACATGTATATAATATTTTCTTTATCCACTTGTTGATTGATGGGCATTTGGGCTTGTTCCATATTTTTGCAATTGCAAATTGTGCTGCTATAAACATGTGTGTGCAAGTATCTTTTTCATATAATGACTTCTTTTCCTCTGGGTAGATACCCAGTAGTGGGATTGCTGGATCAAATGGTAGATCTACTTTTAGTTCTTTAAAAATCTCCACACTGGTTTCCATAGTGGTTGTACTAGTTTATATTCCAACCAGCAGTGTAGAAGTGTTCCTTTTTTACTGCATTCATACCAACACAGGTTATTTTTGAATTTATTGATTATGGCCATTCTTGCAGGAGTGAAGTGGTATCACATTGTGGTTTGGATTTGCACTTCCCTGATAATTAGTGATGTTGGGCATTTTTCCATATGTTTTTTGGCCATTTGTTTATCTCCTTTGGAGAACTATCTATTCATGACCTTAGCCCACTTTTTGATGGAATTGTTTGTTTTTTTTCTTGCTGATTTGTTTAAGTTATTTGTAGATTCTTGATATTAGTCCTTCATCAGATGTATAGATTGTGAAGGTTTTTCTCCCACTCTGTGTGTTGTCTGTTAACGCTGCTGATTATTTCTTTTGTGTGTGGAGGATTTTTAGTTTAATTAAGTCTTATCTATTTATCTTTATTTTTGTTGCATTTGCTTTTGGGTTCTTGGTCATGAAGTCTTTGCCTAAGCCAATGTCTAGAAGGGTTTTTCTGATGTTATCTTCTAGAATCTTTATGGTTTCAGGTCTTAGATTTAAGTCTTTGATCCATCTTGAGTTAATTTTTGTATAAGGTGAGAGAAGAGGATACAGTTTCATTCTTATACACTTGTCTTGCCAATTATCCCAGCAACATTTGTTGAATAGGATATCCTTTCCTCACTTTATGGGTTTTTGTTTGTTTGTTTGTTTTGTTTTGCTTTATTAGAGGTCAGTTGGCTGTAAGTATTTGGCTTTATTTCTGGGTGCTCTATTCTGTTCCATTGGTCTATGTGCCTATTTTTATACCAGTACCATGCTGTTTTGGTGACTATGGCCTTATAGTATAGTTTGAAGCTGGTTTATGTGATGCCTCCAGATTTGTTCTTTTTGCTTAGTCTTGCTATGTCTATGTGGGCTCTTGTTTGGTTCCATATGAATGTTAGGATAGTTTTTTCTTGTTCTATGAAGAATGTTGGTGGTCTTTTGATGGGAATTTCACTGACTTTTGTAGATTGCTTTTGGCAGTATGGTCATTTTCACAATATTGATTCTACCCATCCATGAGCATGGGATGTGTTTCCATTTGTTTGTGTTGTCTATTATTTCTTTCAGCAGTGTTTTGTAGTTTTCCTTGTAGAGTTTTTTCATATCCTTGGTTGGGTACATTCTTAAGTATTTTATTTTATTTGCAGATGTGAAAGAGGTTGAGTTATTGATTTGATTCTCAGCTTTGTCACTTTGTTGGTGTATGGCAGAACTACTGATTTGTGTGCATTAATTTTGTATCTGCAACTTTGCTGAATTCGTTTACCAGTACTAGGAGCTTTTTGAATGAGTCTTTAGGGTTTTCTACGTATACAATTTTATCATCAGCAAGCAGTAACAGTTTGACGTCCTCTTTACTGATTTGGATGCTCCATTTTTCTTTCTCTTGTCTGGCTAGTACTTCTAATAGTATGTTGAACAGAAGTGATGAAAGTGGGCATCATTGTCTTATTCCAGTTCTCAGGGGAAATGCTTTCAACTTTTCCTTGTTCAGTATAATGTTAGCTGTGGGTTTGTCATAGATGGCTTGTGTTACCTTAAGGTATGTCCGTCTCATGCCAATTTTGCTGAGAGTTTTAATCATAAAGGGATGCTAGATTTTATCAAATGCTTTTTCTGCATCTATCAATATGATCATGTGATTTTTGTTTTTAATTATCTTTATGTGGAGTATCACATTTATTGACTTGTGGATGTTAAACCATCCCTGGTAATGAAACCCACTTGATCATGGTGGATTATCTTTTTGATATGCTGTTGGATTCAGTTTGCTAGTATTTTGTTTAGGATTTTTGCATCTATATTCATCAGGATATTGATGTATAGTTTTCTTTTTTTTTTGTTATATCCTTTCCTGGTTTTGTCATTAGGGTGATACTGGCTTTATAGAATGATTTAGGGAGGATTCCCTCTTTCTCTATCTTTTGGAATAATGTCAGTAGGATTGGTACCAATTCTTCTTTGAATGTCTGATAGAATTGAGCTGTGAAGCTCTGTGGTCCTGGATTTTTTGTTGTTGTTGTTGGCAGTTTTTTTATTGCCATTTCAATCTCACTGCTTGTTATTGGTCTGTTCAGAGATTCTATATCTTTCTGGTTTAATCAAGGAGGGTTGTATATTTCTAGGAATTTATTCATCTCTTCTAGATTTTCTAGTTTATGTGCATAAAGGTGGTTAAATAATATTTTGTATTTCTGTGGAATCAGTTGTAATATCTCCCATTTCATTTCCAGTTGAGCTTATTTGGATCTTCTCTCTTCTTTTCCTGGTTAATCTTGCTAATGGTCTATCAATTTTATTTATTGTTTCAGAGAACCAGATTTTTGCTTCACTCATCTTTTATATTTTTGTTTGTTTCAATTTCATTTAACTCTGCTCTGATCTTTGTTATTTCTTTTCTTCTGCTGGGCTCAAGTTTGGATTGTTCTTGTTTCTCCAGTTCCGTGAGGTGTGACCTTAGATTTTTTTATTTGTGCTCTTTCAGACTTTTTGATGTAGGCATTTAATACTATGAACTTTCCTTTTAGCACTGCTTTTGCTATATCCCAGAGGTTTTGATAGGTTGTGTCACTACTATCATTCAGTTCAGAGAATTTTTAAATTTCTGTCTTGATTTTATTATTGACCCAATGATAATTCAGGAGCAGGTTATTTCATTTCCATGTATTTGCATGATTTTGAAGGCTCCTTTTGGAATTGATTTCCAATTTCATTCCACTATGGTCTGAGAGAGTACTTGATATAATTTTGATTTTCTTAAATGTACTGACACTTGTTTTGAGGACTATTATATGGTCTATCTTGGAGAATGTTCCATGTGTTGATTAACAGAATGTATATTATGCAGTTGTTGGGTAGAATGTTCTGTAAATATCTGTTAAGTCCACTTAAAGTATACTTTAAGTCCACTGTTCGTTGTTGACTTTCTGTCTTGATGGCCTGTCTAGTGCTGTCAGTGGAATATTAAAGTCCTCCACTATGACTGTGTTGCCATCTATCTCATTTCTTAGGTCTAATAGTAATTGTTTTATAAATTTGGGAGCTCCAGTGTTAGGTGCATATATATTTAGAATTGTGATATTTTCCTGTTGGACTAGTCCTTTTATCATTATATAATGTCCCTCTTTGTCTTTTTTAACTGCTGTTGCTTTAACATTTGTTTTGTCTGCTATAAGAATAGCTACTCCTGCTCACTTTTGATGTCCATTTGCATGGATTATCTTTTCTCACCCCACACCTTAATTTTATGTGAGTCTACAGCAGAAACTTGGTTAGTGAATTCTTATCCATTCTGCCATTCTGTATCTTTTAAGTGGAGCATTTAGGCCATTTATATTCAATGTTAGTATTGAGATGTGAGATACTATTTTATTCATCATGCTATTTGTTGCCTAAATACCTGTTTTTTTTTTTAATTGTGTTACCATTATATAGGTCCTGTGAGATTTATGCTTTAAGGAGGTTCTATTTTGGTATATCTCAAGGATTTGTTTCAGGATTTACAGCTCCTTTTAGCAGATCTTGTAGTGCTGACTTGTTGGTGGTGAATTCTCTCAGCATTTGTCTATCTGGAAAAGACTGTATCATTCCTGCATTTATCAAGCTTAGTTTCACAGGCTACAAAATTCTTGGCTCATAATTATTTTGTTTAATGAGGAGAAAAGTAGGACCCCAATCCCTTCTATTGTGTAGGGTTTCTGCTGAGAAATCTGCTGTTAATGTGAGAGGTTTCCCTTTGTAGGTTACCTGATTCTTTTGCCTCACAGATCTTATGATTCTTTCCTTCATCTTGACATTAGATAACCTGATGAGTATGTGCCTAAGTGATGATCTTTTTGTGATGAATTTCCTGGGTCTTCTTTGAGCTTCTTGTATTTGGATGTCTAGGTATCTAGCAAGGCTGGGGAAGTTTCCTTGATTATTCCCTCAGATATGTTTTCTGAACTTTTAGATTTCTCTTCTTCCTCAGGAACATCCATTATTCTTAGGTTTGGAAATTTAACATAGTCCCAAATTTCTTGGAGTCTTTGTTCATTTTTTAAATTATTTTTTCTTGTCTTTAACAGATTGGGTAAATTCAAAAGCCTTGTATTCGAGTTCTGAAGTTCTTTCTTCTTCTTTTTGATTCTATTGCTGAGACTTTACAGGCATTTCTCTAAGTGTGTCCTTGATCTCCAGAATTTGTGATTGTTTTTTATTTGTGCTATTTATTTCACTGATGAATTTTCCTTTCATATCCTGTATCACGTTTTTTATTTCTTTAAGTTGGATTTCACCTTTGTCTGGTGCCTCCTTGATTAGTTTAATAATCAACCTTCTGAATTATTTTCCTGGCAACTCAGAGGTTTTATTTTGATTTGGATCCATTGCTGGTGAGCTGGTATGATCTTCTGGGGGTGATAAAGAAATTTGTTTTGTCATATTACCAGAATTATTTTTCTGGTTCCCTCTCATTTGGGCAGCCTATGTCAGAGGGAAGATCTGGGATTCAGGTGCTGCTGTTCAGATTCTTTTGCCCCACAGTGTGCTCCCTTGATGTGGTGTTCTTCCTGAGAGCTGAACTGTAGTGATTGTTTTTGTTCTTCTGAGTACTGAGACTGGTAGTGGGGAGTGTCTGCAAAGAGTCCTGTGATGTGATCTGTCTTCAGGTCTCACAGCCATAAATACCAGCACCTGCCCCCATGGAGGTAGCAGGGGAGTGAAGTGGACTTTGTGAGGTCCTTGGTGGTGTTTTTGTTTAGTGCGCTGGTTTTGTGTTGGCTGGCCTCTGGCCAGGAGATGGTGCTTTCAAGAGCACCTTAGCTGTGGTCCTATAAGGAGGATGCAAACTTGCCCTAGGGACACCTGGTTAAGCATTTAGCTTTCTCAGGCGGTGGGCAGGGCCATAGAGCTTCTAAGAAATTATGACCTTTGGCTAGAGAAAGACCACCTGGTGGGGACAGGGATAGGCTCAGCCTCTCCTTGGGGAGGGCTTGCTATGGCTGCTGTGGGGGATAGGTGTCTGGTTCCCAGTCCAGAGGATTTATATTCCCAGGGGGATTATGGCTGCCTCTGCTGAGTCATACAGGTTGCCAGGGAATTGAGGGAAAGCCAGCAGTCACAGACCTCACCCCATTCCCATGCAAACAGCAGTCCTAAAGGCCAATCTCACTCTCACCATGCCCCTGCAACAGCACTGATTCTATTTCCAGGCTGCTAGTGACCAGGGCTGAGAACTTGCTCTAGACTGCCAGCTTCCCCGCTGAGAAAGCAAGCAGATTTCACAGTTTTTCCACATCTCAGGGAGCCTGCAGCAGCTATACAGTTCCTTCAAAGGGTCTGTGGATTCTCTCCGCTTTCCTGGTTTGTTCCTATGGTAGTTCTTGGAGCAAAAGTTCACAATGTGAGTCTCCACATGCTGCTGTGTCTGTCCAAACAGGAGCTGCAAGCTAGTCCTGCCTCCTATCCACCACATTAATACTCATCCTGAATCTTACTCCTGATCCTCCTTAAGAACATAGCCATTCAGCTATATTCCCAAGCCAGAAATGGGAGAATCTTCTCATATTCTTCCAACTCTCACCCTCCTTGCCACATGCAATTTGTTATCAATTCCCTCTAAATATTTCCTTTGTATTTTTAATATTTTTAGCTTTATTGAGGTATAATTGACAAAATTATATATATTCAAGGTATATACAACATGATATTTTGATATACCTCTACATTTTGAAATGACTACCTCAGTCAAGCTAATCAATATATGCATGACCTAACCTTTTGTGTGTATGTGATGAGAATGCTTAACATCTGCTTGCTTAGTAAGTATAAATATATATACTTGTTTTTGTCTTATTATCTGTTCAGTCTTATTACTTCAGTTCAGGCTTTCTTCACTGTTGGCTGGACCACTTCAACAACCTCCTGACTGATATGGTTATTACACTATTGGAAGCAAGGAAATCAATGAAAACCTTTTGCAGCAATTTAGGCTCATGATGAAGTCTGCCTTAACTAGGGTAATGACTTTGGGGATGGAGGATGAGGGAAGTGAGGCAGGGGAACAATGGAAGAAAACAGAGAATGTATGAAACAGTTGTGAAAAACTGGAAATTGAACTGACCAGAGAAATGCATGAGATTTCTTAGACAGCCTGAGATCCACTTGAAAAACTCTGATTCTCTAGTGGACCCATTCTGTACAAATGTGATACCTCTAGCAGCCCCTGTATAAGTGAAGAGAAGTGGGCGTTTGACTTTGTAATGGGTTAACATTTTTATGGATGTTGAGATGGGGTGAATATATTTTGCAAGTGGGAGGAACATGAATCTTTGGGGTCCACATGTCATACTACAGTAGGCAGAATAATGCCTCCTTAAGGCCTCCAGGTTCTAATTCCCAAAACCTTTGACTGTTTCTTCATATGGAAAAGGGGACTTTACAGGTGAGATTAAGAATCTTGAGATGGGGAGATTATGCTGATTATTCTGGTGGGCCCTAAAAGTAATCACAAATGTCCTTATAAGAGGGAGGCAGAGAGATATTTGGCAGAAAAGGATAAGGAGATATGATGACTGGAAACAGGTTGGAGTGATATCCTTTAAAGATGGAGGAAGGGGTCATGAACCAGGGAACATTGGCAGCCACTAGAAGGTAAAAAGGCAAGGAATTGTTTCTCCACTCATAATTTCCAGAAGAAACTAGCCTTGCTAACACCTTGATTTTAGCCTGGTGTAACTGATTTTAGACTTCTGACCTCCAGAACAATAAGGGTATATTTGCATTGTTTTAAGTGACTAAGTTTGTGGTAATTTCTTATGGCATTAACAGGAAAATAATGCAGGCTTAATTTAGGGTAGGGGTTTTAGCAGAGAGATGGGGAGATGGAAAAAAGGCATGAGAGTAGAGAATAATTGGAACAGAATAGTTAAAATGATAGTTTAAGTACTCAGTTTATTAGGGTAGAAGTGGAGATAGACAGGGACTGATAGGAAGAAAGTAGAAGGCTCAAGTGGTTGGAAAGCCCAGTACAGGACCGGAAGATTTCTATTTCAATTGCAGTAGCTGGGTGAATAACTTATAAATTATATAAATTTACCTGGTTTTAAAAACATACCAGCTGGGCGCTGTGGCTCATGCCTGTAATTCCAGCACTTTGAGAAGCTGAGGTGGGAGGGTGACTTGAGGCCAGGAGTTCGAGACCAGTGTGGGCAACATAGTGAGATGCCATCTCTACAAAAAATAAATAAATTAACTGGATGTGATGGTGCATGCTTGTAGTCACAGCTAGTCAGGAGGCTGAGGTGAGAGAATCGCTTAAGCCTGGGAGGTTTAGCATATAGTGAGCCATGATTTGATTTGATCCCTAAAATCACCAAATATGGGTTGATACAGTTGTTAACAAAGTATTAAAAGTACATGCTTTGGTAAAATTTTTGGAATACAGCAGCCCAATCTGTATTGGGATTGAGATAAAATAAAAAGTCCAGCTAGGAAAGCTGATAATTTACATTTCGATAGAAACAAATAGAATAATAAAAATCTGGTAACATATCTGCTCAAGTCCAAAAAATATCGCAAGAAATCTACACTTACAGATGCACACATGCATAAATAGTCAAGTATGTAATTAACTGGTAGACGGGTCATAGCAAGTTTAGGAACTGAAACACATCAAAGTCCATTTCATAATACTATTAGCAAATATGATATATTTTATTATTTTATACCCACATAGCAGGAAGCTAATGTTATTTGGAAACGATTCAAAAAGGTAGTTTAGTTAGATTTACATATTAGTTATCTCACCCAAAATGTCTATCTATACCAAGACACATATTTAGCTATAGGGTCATACTATTATAGTGTTCATGTTAGATTCATAAGAGTATGCACATGCATTGTATTTATATGACATTTTCCTTGTTACTTACAGTATTACCTATGATTGCCCATCTTCTTTTATCACAATTGGATGCTTAATTTATGGAGAAAGCTGCTGTCAGTTTTTATCTGCATCTCTTCTCCTCTCCTCTGGGTTGTTATGTCCCTCTATTGCTGTGAACTTCATGTAGTCCGACTATAAACCCATCCAAAGGAAAACTTAAGCAGCCTCATTGTCAGTTGGACTCTTTGCCTTTGTTCTATAAGCAATAAAACTATATGTCCCTGGCTAAATGTAAATAGAGAGGTTTAGTATTGTCCTTCTGGAGATAAACTACAATGGTTTATTTTTCCACATTGAATCATTTAATGGATTTTTTTTCCACGTGATGGTTTTTTATATGCTAATGAAACATGTAAAGTGTGACATTAAATGGTATAAGGGTCTAAGTAGTACTAACATGGTAAGATTAGAAAATTCTTATCTAAGTTCTCATCCCTGTGATGCATTCAGCACATCAGTCAGTACAACCAAGTTGTCTTGAGCAGTCACTCATTTCAGTATTCCAACAATCATAGGAATAATACTGCCTAGCTATATCAAAAGCACATTTTATATTAGGGCACAGACTAATAAATTATAGTCCATGGGCCAAACCTGGCCAGTTTCCCATTTTTGTGAATACAGTTTTACTGAAACAAAGCCACAACTATTCACTTGCATATTGTCTGTGGCTGCTTTTAGGTGTACAATGACAGAGTTCAGTAGTTGTGCCAGGGACCTTATGGTCTGCAAAGCCTAAAATATTTACCTGGCCCTTTAAGAAAAAAGGCCCTTAAGTATGCCCTTACCTCACTAACCCCATATTTGAGTCAAGTATGTATATAATACAGTTGTAGTGTCTTACTTTGAAATGTATCTTAAATGTTCTGAGTTAATTTTCATTTCAAACTTTCTCTTGTTTCCATAAATTATTTAAGTGTCCTAGGAATTCCAGTTTCGGTATCTAAACTTCATTTGTGCCTTCTTGACAAAATATGCATTCTGACTTTTGTTTCAAAAACAGGATTTCTGTTTCTATAATACACTGCTTTTATTTTAGAGTTTTTTATAATGTGAATGTCATACTTGCCTCTTGACACTTGTATTATAATGAAATTTTATTTTATGTGTGGTTTCCAAACCAAATTCAAATCATTTGAGTTTTGAATTCATAAATAACAGAGCCTATGCTGTGGGGTTTTATTAACAGTGGTGACCTCTCTAATGCCACTTTTAGGAATTGTCTGAGCTTTGGACTCATCACTTAGTTGCAATATAAACTAACTTGCCTTATTTCCAAAATGAAACTATTAGTTGCTTGTCTGCAAGGATATGAAGCACCCTGGGCTTCAGAGTCTGTGCTCTTGGCTTTTGTATGTTGAACTAGCCTTGTATCCTAGGGATGAAGCCGACTTGATAGTGGTGGTAAGCTTTTTGATGTGCTGCTGGATTTGGTTTGCCAGTATTTTATTGAGGATTTTTGCATCAATGTTCATCAGGGATATTGGCCTGAAATTTTCTTTTTTTGTTTCTCTGCCAGGTTTTGGTATCAAAAGGATGCTGGCATCATAAAATGAGTTAAGGAGGAGTCCCTCTTTTTCTATTGTTTAGAATCGTTTCAGAAGGAATGGTACCAGCTCCTCTTTGTACCTCTGGTAGAATTTGGCTTTGAATCTGTCTGGCCCTGGGCTTTTTTTGGTTGGTAGGCTATTAATTACTGCCTCAATTTCAGAACTTGTTATTGGTCTACTCAGGGATTCAACTTCTTCCTGGTTTAGTCTTGGAAGGGTGTATGTGTCCAGGAATTTACCCATTTCTTCTAGATTTTCTAGTTTGTTTGCATAGAGGTGTTTATAGTATTCACTGGTGGTAGTTTGTATTTCTGTGGGATCAGTGGTGATCTCCCGTTTATCATTGTTTATTGTATCTATTTGATTCTTCTTTCTTTTCTTTATTAGTCTTGCCAGTGGTCTATTTTGTTAATCTTTTCAAAAAACCAGCTCCTGGATTCATTAATTTTTTGAAGGGTTTTTCGTGTCTCTATCTCCTTCAGTTCTGCTCTGAGCTTAGTTATTTCTTGTCTTCTGCTAGCTTTTGAATTTGTTTTCTCTTGCTTGTCTAGTTCTTTTAATTGTAATGTTAGGATGTCGATTTTAGATCTTTCCTGCTTTCTCCTGTGGGCATTTAGTGCTATAAATTTCTCTCTAAACACTGCTTTGGCTGTGTCCCAGAGATTCTGGTACGTTTTGTCTTTGTTCTCATTGGTTTCAAAGAACTTATTTATTTCTGCCTTAATTTCATTATTTACCCAGTAGTCATTCAGGATCAGGTTGTTCAGTTTCCATGTAGTTGTGCAGTTCTGAGTAAGTTTCTTAATCTTGAGTTCTAATTTGATTGCCGTGTGGTCTGAGAGACTGTTTGTTATGATTTCTGTTCTTTTGCATTTGCTGAGGAGTGTCTTACTTCCAATTATGTGGTCAATTTTGAATACGTACAATGTGGTGCTGAGAAGAATGTATGTTCTGTTGATTTGGGGTGGAGAGTTCTGTAGATGTCTATTAGGTCCACTTGATCCAGAGCTGAGTTCAAGTCCTAAATATCCTTATTAATTTTCTATCTCATCGATCTGTCTAATATTGATGATGGGGTGTTAAAATCTCCCACTATTATTGTGTGGGAGTCTAAGTCTCTTTGTAGGTCTCCAAGAACTTGCTTTATGAATCTGGGTTCTCCTGTATTGGGTGCATATATATTTAGTATAGTAGCTCTTCTTGTTGCATTGATCCCTTTACCATTATATAATGCCCTAAATTGTCTTTTTGATGTTTGTTGGTTTAAAGGCTGTTTTATCAGAGACTAGGATTGCAACCCCTGCTTTTTTTCTTCTTTCCACTTGCTTGGTAAATATTCCTCCATCCCTTTATTTTAAGTCTATGTGTGTCTTTGCACATAAAATGGGTCTATTTGTTTCCCCAAGAATCACATATTTTATAAAAGGAGAGTTCTAACCATCTGTTTCATATGGGACTGTGGGTCACCATTAACCTGTGGGAGGAAGCACAGAGTGCTCATAGGCCCACTTGTCTGCACACAATACTGTCAGGTGTGAAGTGAGGAAAGTTGGGTTAAGAGGACCTCTGGCATGAGGAAGTAAAAGGGAGATATTTTTTCCTTCTAAAGTGTGGACAAGCCACCCTCTGGTGAGTATGCTGCTTTTGTACTCATAGAATAGGTACTTTTTTTTCTCGACTTATGAAGAGGCACCCATATTGAATACAAATTAAATAGACATGGCTCTTGCAAGTAGTCAGTGAACTCTCTCTCCCAGGGCACCATGGTATTTGGTAAGTTATTTCCCGCAGAATGGCAGCTTAATTCCTAGATAATTTGGACCCCTTTATGCAGATGAATTTGTGTTGCCATCCCCCCTCCGCTGCTTTTTAGAACAAAGCTGATGGAAATTTAATTCTGTGAAACAAAAACAAAAATAATAGTATAAGTTAAATGCATTCAAATGCTCAGCTGTTTTCATTTCATTGCGTTTTGAGGAGATTTAGCAATACTGCTCTAGGCAGATGACAAATTCGGAGAGGATATGAAACTGCTTGTATAGATTATTTTGTAAGAGTTAGAATACCTAGTTGTATTTACCAAGGAAAAAGTTTAGTTAGGATTAAAGTAGCAAAGCTTCCTGTTTTAATGAGAACTAAAAGTGAAAGACCCAGACAGGGGCCTTGTGACTCCCGAAGAGTGCAATGGGATTCTAAGTTGCTTGTGAAGGATAGGTTCAAGACGTTTAGCCTTCCCTTTCTATATTTTTATCAATGGACATATGTAATCACTGAGCTTGCTCCCCTCCCCATCCCACTCTCTATCTAGCCCACTGTTGAGCACCAAATCAGGTTAATGGAACATCTACTCTTTTTGAAAATGGCCCAAAAGACCTGGATTAGGAATTTTATGACTATCATCTCTTTAGGTTTATTTTGTGTTTTACTTGAACATATCTATTCTATTAAATCAGGTGGTGAGTGATATTACCCATGTTGTTCTGTCACTTGCTAGAAATAGCTCAAGATGCTCTTGCAAGCAGCCTAATTACTCAATGTATCTGCATTCCGCTGTTTGGGTTGCAATCTGAGCACCTTTGTGCCATCCATGAAAGGCTCTTCAGCTCTTCTTTACTTGCTTTCAACCCTCGCCTCTAGTGCCTCAAGAAGATGGGTTAAGAGCCAGCCATTCTAGGGATAAATACCTGGTTTGTTCCTTAGTCTCATCTGTATAAAATGGGAATTAGAATAATAGTATTAACTTCATTAAATTATACAATAAATAAATAGGATCTTAGAAGTATATCTGGCACACAGTTCCATACTGTATGTTCCTAAAGAGCTAGTCCTAGATGATAAAATAAGATTTCCCTCTGAAATGTGAAATGCCCAGTGACTGGGCAGAATAAGTAATGATAGTAATGCTAGTTATTATTATTAAGCTGAATGTCAATGTAAATATTTTTAACTTCACTCTGCTCTTATTATTGTTCCTTTTTTTCTTATTTTATTTTCTTCCCCTTTTAATCCTTCAGTCTTTCTTAGAACCCTTTTGCAACTCATCTTCTAAGAGTTGTGTCTGGTGTATTCCTGTTCAATTATCTCTTTATTCACATGTCATTCATTGTGCCCATTGCCATCTCATTCCCTAGCTAGACCTCAACACTGGCAATAATCTTCTAGGCAATGTATAGCAATGGCATTGTTATTCTTAATGATATTCCAGAATGGTATGTTAATAAGCTCAATATGTATACATGTGTGATGAGTTAATTTGAGTCCTGAGATACTTCAGATTATGAAGATGGGAGAACCAGAGCATAACTCCAAGCCGTCAGGTACTTGTGGGATTTTTCATTGTATTTTTTTCAATTTCCATTAGATTATATGTTTTCTTAAATGAAGACTAGCCAATCAGGCTGGTGTTATGTGAAGACTCTTAATAGCTACCACAGTCACTCTTTCCACTCTTTACACCCACTTTACCTAGACCCTATTTGGATATATTTATACACATATTTTCAGCCTCATCTTGGCACTGGCCAGGTGTCTGAGTCCTTGAACAACCAAAAATTACACCTTAAGCTCCATGTTCCCCTATCAGAGCAGTAACCTGAGGGCTGCTATAAAGACGCTATTTTGCCATTTTGAGCTTTTTTGGTTTTAGAGAAAGAATAATTTCTAAGGCATCACCCTGACTGCAGATGAAAGCATATGATTTTCTCCAGTTCTGCCAGTTGTTTTAGTTATTTAATCTGCAGGCTGTCATATCCCACTTCCACATTTAAAGTCTCAGGCAGGTAGTTGATCTTTTCCTGATCTCAAGGATATCTCCAGAATCATTATTTTAGTGGCTCATGAACTATTTTAGCTCATAATGGGCTGTTTGCTTCTGTTTCTAGGAGAGTGGGTACTAGTTGAACAATAACTGCAAATATTCTCGCTAACATGTATCATTGTTTTTTCAAGAAGGGAGCAGACTGTAAATATTTTAAACTTTACAGGTCATACAGTCTCTGTTACAACTATTCAACTCTATTATTTTAGTATGACTGTAATTTTAAACAAATGGGTGTGGCCATGCTCCAATAAAACTTTTTATTAACAAAAGAGGCAGATAGCAGAATTTGCCTCGTGGTTTGCCAACTCCTGATTTATACTAATACCTTGAACTATAATTAGCTGCACACTTGCTTGTGCCAGGCGCAATACTAAATGACTTACATTCATTAATTCATTTAATTCTCAGAACAACTTTGAGAGATAGGTGCTCTATTATCATAATATCTCAAGAAAACTGAGGCACAAAAATGCACAAAGAAGTTTAGCAAGTAGCTAATTAAGTGACAATGCTAGGATTTAGCCCAAGTACATTTAACCTTAAAATCTAATTTCTGTCTACTATACTCTGCTAGTTTGTATTATATATAATTCCAAAGTATTATTTGGTAAATGATGAATGAGTGCATAAAAAATTTTGATTCAAGTTATCTGCTAAAAACATTTTATACTCAAATAAGACTGCAATACACGATCTAATGTTCAATTACATATTATCCTATAATTATTGGAGTATGTCACAACTTGAAACCAGACCCGACCTAGACAAATTATTTCAAACAGAAAGGGTTTTAGCAATAAATTAGAATAATTACCTAGAAGGTGCTGAGAAGGAAGATGTTTTGTGAATAAGGCTCTGCCTATTCTAGAAATGACAGTATTGTACACAAGGCTGATAGAAAGCACAAGTCTCAATAGCCAATAGTCAGAAACAGAGCTTTAAGGTGAGGGTGGCTGGCCAAAGAAATGGAGATCAAACAACAAGTAGTTTTTTCCCAGTCATAGAAGTAGATTCAGGTCTCCATTCTCCAGAAGAACTAGAAAAGGAAAAAATATCTTTTGTTGGAGGATTTTGAGGTATTCTGCAGCTTAAATTTATTTAGGAAGTTAAAAATAGAAACTAAGACAGAAATCTGTGTCAGAATGAGATATGGTGTGGTCTAGGTCTACTAGCTAGTTATGTTAAGATATTGAACCATAGAAAGTAGAGCTAGGGATGTTTAAGAACTTTCTTCCGTAAGGAAAGGTAGTCCAGAGAGCAGGACAAGGAGGAGCATATGAATAGGGAACCATGTGGAACCAGCTGTAGATAAAATTATGCAGGGACTAAGATACCAAACTAGGTCTGACCAAAATATTGACTCCTACCAGTATATAAGCTCCCGAAGGGTAAGAAAAGATGACTTCCTTAGCATAGCACTAAGGTCTACATGGCAGAGTTTCAGGCTCTAAATGCATACTCAATAACATTTATTGATTGATCTATTAAAAAAATCTCTAAGAAAATATGGAGCAACTAGTACCTGAGTTTTCTATCTCCTAACTCTTTGCTCCTTCATCAGTTTTGCCATTGCATACTTGATTTTTGCTGATTCAATTTTACTTCAGTGTCCAAATTTGCATTGCAGAGAGTGCCACCCTTTTGAACATCCTGTGTATCTGGGAATAGTGTATATGCTTGCCTTCATCTATTTTGGCTGCTCTAACAAAATACCATAAATTGGTTAGCTTACAAACAACAAAGATTTATTTCACATAATTAATATGCGTCTCACAAGTTGGATATGTAGTCATTTCATAATCATTCATTTAAAAATATATTTTAGGCCAGGCGCTGTGGCTCACGCCTGTAATCCCAGCATTTTGAGAGGCTGAGGCAGGTGGATCAAGAGGTCAGGAGATTGAGACCATCCTGGCTAACATGGTGAAACCCCGTCTCTACTAAAAATGCAAAAAATTAACCGGGAGTGGTGGCAGGCGCTTGTAGTCCCAGCTACTCGGGAGGCTGAGGCAGGAGAATGGTGTGAACCCCGGAAGCAGAGCTTGCAGTGAGCCGAGAACGCGCCACTGCACTCCAGCCTGGGCAACAGAGCGAGACTCTGTCTCAAAACAAAAAAAAAAAATCTAATTTACATCATGATCTTTGTCTTTGATCTATGGATTATTTAGAAGTGTGCTTATTAATTTTCAAACATTCAGGGATTCTTATTTTTTAAATATTTTTGTGATTCAATTGAACTGCAGTTGAAGATCATGCACTGTATGACTCCAATCTTTTGGATTTTTTTATGTTTTGCTTAATGACCCAGGATAAATTCACTATTGTAAATATTTCATATATACTAGAATATTGTTGATTGATTGATTCAAAAAAATTTTTTTAGGTTCAAGGGTATAGGTGCATGTTTGTTATCTAGGTAAATTGCATGTTGTGGGGGTTTGGTGTACAGATTGTTTAATCACCCAGGTAATAAGAATAGTATCCAATAGGTAGTTCTTGCTTCTCACCCTCTTTTCACCCTCCACTTTCAAGTAGGCCCCAGTGTCTATTGTTCCTTTCTTTGTGTCCATGTGTACTCAATGTTTAACTCTTGCTTATAACTGAGAACATGTGGCATTTGATTTTTGGAGGAAATGTTTTCTGCAGTTTTGGCTGAAGCATTATGTATGTTCATAACTCACATTTGTTCATTTTGTTTGAACCTTGTGATTTTTGTATTTAACTGGAGCATTTAGCCTATATTTATTACTAATATATCTGGGCTTATATATATAATTTATCTGTATTATCTGTCTTGCCTACTCTATATTTTTATTTCTGTCCTTACCTCCTTTTCTTTCTGTCCTTACCTTTATTTGGGAAAAAAAAAATTTCTTTTACTAGTTTATAGGTTATGGTTCTTTCAGTGCTTATTCTGGAAATTACAACACACATTTTTAACTTGTCAAGGTTAAAAGTTAGTCATTGCCTTCACCTTCCATCCTTACAATATAAGTTCCTTCAGAAGATTTAATGTCATGTATGCCTCTCCTGACTTATTATTGTTATGTATTTTACTTCTATGTTGGCATATTTAAACTCTAAAATTTTCTTATTGTTTCATTTAGTATTTATTTAGGGTTCCTCCTACATATTCTTCAATCTTTACTGTCTGTTTGTTATCCCCAACCCATTCCTTCCACCTAAGATCACTTCTGCCTGAAATATGTTTATTAGAATATTCACAAGTATGGGTTGCTGGTGCTAAACCCTTTGTCATTTTGGAGGAAAGGGAATATCTGAAAATGTCTTCATGTCTCTCTCATTCCTAAAAGATATTTTTGGTAGACATATTCTGTGTTGTCAACTATCTCTTTAAGCACATTAAGGATGTCATTCCACAGACTTCTGGCAATCATTTTGTTATTTAAAATGCAATGGACAGTCTGTCACCGCCCCCCCTTTTTTTTTTTTTTTTTTAGTTAGGGCTACACTCTTCAGTTTGGTTCTTTATTTATAGTATATTTTGGTTCATTTCATATTGTTAATCAATTTTGGAGTATCCCCACCCCATCCTGCTTGATTCTAATTATTATTATTTTTTAAATTATACTTTAAGTTCTAGGGTACATGTGCACAACGTGCAGGTTTGTTACATATGTATACATGCGCCATGTAGGCATGGGCAAAGACTTCATGTCACCCCTTTTAAAGACAATCTGTGTTTTTTGTTGTTGTTTTAGATTGCTTTTAATACTTATTCTTCACTTTTTTTGGTTTTGAAGTTTTATAATGTGTCTAGATGTAAATTTATTTTCTTTATCTTGTTTTGGATACCCTGTGTGCCTGAATCTGTGGATTATTTCTGGTAAGTTCTTCAGCATTTTCTCTTCAAATATTGCCTCTGCCACATGTTTTCTCTCAGCCCCTTCTGGGGTTCCAATGAATTGTATGTCAGACCTTTTCACTCCAAACATTATCCATGTCTCTTAATTTTTTTTTTTCATTTTTTCCTCTCCTTCTTGCATCCTGGATAATTACTTCTGATCTACCTTCCAGTTTGCTAATTCTCTCTTCAGTTATGTCTAATCTTTGCAAAAATTCATTTTTGAGTTTTACATTTTAGTTATTTTTCATTTTTCAAATTCATTATTTGACACATCTACAGTATTATTTAAAAATAGCTATGGTTTCCTAGGAGAAAATGTTGATTTATCTATTATTTCTTAAAACACAGTAGACATCATTTTACACAGTTGTTTAAATCTTTGTCCAATAATTCCAATATCACATTTTGACTATTCTAATGTCTAATACTTTGGTGAGCTCGTTTCTGTTTTCTGTTGCTGCTGTTTCCTGCTCATGTTGCCTCATTGCTATGCTTACTTACTTTTACTCTGCATGGTTCATTTTCTTATATTATTTACAATATTTTTCAGCATTAAAATGAAGAGTTATATTTTATCAGAGAGGGTTTCCATTATCTTCTGTCAGGTGCCTAATAGCATACCTGTTTAGGGCCACTTCAAACTAATTTTATTTCATGGCTTGAGGTTTTCCTTTTTTGTGGAGGTGGAGTAAGATTTTGTGTTACAACACCTACTGAAAACATACAGTTACTCACAGACTGCCCTCCCCCAAATAGTCACTGAGAGATGGGGAATTGAGATCTTTACATCTGGTGTATTTTTACACTGATGATATAGCCCTGTGAAGTACCAGCGCTAAAGGAGAAAGAGTCTCCTTGGCTAGATCCTGGCTGTTGACCATCCTGTGGACCCAGACGGACTAGAAAACCAGTTTGTCAAATTCAGCAAATGCCTCAAGGCAAAAGTGGCTTTATTTAAGTCTCTGGGTTAGAGGTTTTGTGTAGATTTTGGCCTGCTAAATTGTTTTTGTTGTTGTTGTTGTTTGTTTGTTTGCTGTTTTCAACTTTAAAGTTCCAGGGTAGAAGTGCAGGATGTGCAGGTTTGTTACATAGGCCGTGGTGGTTTATTGCACAGATCAGCCCATCACTCAGGTATTAAACCCAGCATCAATTAGCTGTTCTTCCTGATGCTGTCTCTCCCCCCTCCCCACAGGTGCTCAGTATGTGTTGTTCCCCTCTATGTGTCCATCTGTTCTTATTGTTCAGCTCGCACTTATAAATGAGAACATGCAGTGTTTGGTTTTCTGTTCCTGCATTAGTTTACTGAGAATATTGGCTTCCAACTCCATCCATGTCCCTGCAAAGAACATGATCTCATTCCTTTTTATGGCTGCATAGTATTCCATGGTATATATGTACCATATTTTCTTTATCCAGTCTATCATTGATGGGCATTTAGGTTGATCACATGACATTGCTATTGAAAATAATGGCTGCAAGGAACGTACGCATCCATGTATCTTTATAATAAAATTATTTATATTTTGGGGGTTATATATCCAGTAATGGGATTGCTGGGTCAAATAGTATTTCTGCTGCTAGGTCTTTGAGGAATCATTTGGCCTGCTAATTCTATATTAACTTGTTCATGCTTTGAGGCCTTTAAGATGATATATATATATATATATATATATATATATATATATCCCATATATATCTCATATATAAAAGATATATGATATATATATCCCATATATATCTCATATATAAAAGATATATGATATATATATATCCCATATATATCTCATATATAAAAGTATATGATATATAATCCCATATATATGTCATATATAAAAGATATATGAGATATATATATATATATATATAACATTTATATTTAGTTGTTTTTTTGGAGAGAAGGGTCAGTGGATGTTATCAATAACTTAATTATTATATTATAGAAACTACTTTATTCTGATTGATATTATATTTATATTTATATTTGAACTGTCTTACTCTAAAATTAATATAAGGTAGTTTAACTTAGTTTTGTTTGATTTATGTGCATCTTATTTAGTTAACATGCTTACATTTATTTTTCAATTAATTAAAAAATCTTCAAATTTTCAGCAGATTTTTTATGGACTTTCTTATTTTAAAATCCTGTCTTAAACCTATATACCTATGTTGCTTTTCTACCAAGCAGTCTTGATACCAGCATAGGAAAAGCATCAAAGAGAGGGATTGTAGCAGGTCCTTTTATGATTTTTCTTAACTCACAATCATAGATGGAAATTTTATATCAAAGCAAATAAAACAAAATTAACAGAAAAGTATTGGAGAGCCTGTCTAAATAATCTCTCTAGTGGTAGCCATGATATAACAGATTAGAAAGACTCAAGGGTCCTGGGACAGAAGGTGTGTACAGACATCTTTCTAAATCCATTACCTTATCCTTTGTCAGGGCCGTGTGTTTCACGTTAGTGTTCATGAATTTTCTTAAATTTTTATTATATCTTCCTGTGGGTTTTAATGCTGAAAGATGACATTTAGAAATTATACAATCAAATAATACTGGAAAGGAATTAGAAGTAACGACTGGAAGGTGTGAGCATCTCTCTCTTATGTAGCTCTAGTGGAGAGAACACTGGCTCTCAAGATGGAATGCTTGGGTTTACCCATCTACTCTACGACTCAGTTTCCTCATTTTAAAAATAGGAATGTTAAGAGTATTTATCTCAGAGCTGTTTGAAGATTAAATTAGTAAATATATGGAATGTGGGCCAGGCAGGGTGGATCACGCCTATAATCCCAGCACTTTGGGAGGCTGAGATGGGTGCATCAAAACCAGCCTGGGCTGGGCAACATGACAAAACACCGTTTTTACCAAAAAATACAAAAATTAGTTGGGTGTGGTGACACACCCCTGTATTTCCAGCTACTTGGGAGGCTGAGGTGGGAGGATGGCTTGAGCCTGGGAGGCAGAGGTTGCAGGTTGCAGTGAGCCAAGATCAAGCCACTCACTGAACTCCAGCCTGAGTGATAAGAGTCAGACATTGTCTCAAAAACAAACAAACAAAAAACAACAACAACAAAAGTGTGTGTATGAGTATGGAATGTCTTTAGAACTAAGCCTGACAGTTGATGAGTGCTGTATGAACGTTTTCAAAGCACAGTGGAGGCTGAGTGAAAATACAAATACTGCAAGAGAGGTAACACATTGACGATGTTCCCATTAGCAGGTCCTTTTTAGGGAGCAAGGGCCAACAAGGATGGAGGGCACGAAATACCTAAGGGATGGAAATGAGAAAGGAGTTTAGGACAAGGGTGCAGGGGTGCTGCTCTTAGCTCAATTTACATTTAGCTCAGGGCTATTGCTTTTGTGTTTTTTTTTTAACTGCTCTCTTTCTCAGTTACATAGGCCTAGTTCTCTTTTGTAGAAACCAGTGAGTATACAGACTGGTTTTTCTTTTAAGCAAGGAATATATTAAGTAAGGTTGAACATGAGTTGTTATTGTGCCACAAGGGGAAAAGAACTGATTCGATTTGATTCTCAAGTGTATTCCTACATTGAATAATAATGACATTATCATTTAATTATTTAGACATTAGCTTCATTCGCATATGTAGTTTGGGACCATTTAGAAAAAACCTAGAAAGAACAATATTCTGTTTTTATTGTAGAACCCCACTGTTAAATTTCTCACAGGCTAATGTTTAATCACATTCTTAGTCTTGCACAGTTCTTGATAATAATTAACCTGAAATAACTACTTCCATACGTGAGTTGGGGACATATTTGCTTTTGTTGTTTAAATTTCCTTTCTCAGGAAGTTAAATGGTTAAAACTTGCAGATCTAAATTGTCCATGAATAGCCATAAGAGGAAAAAGCCCATGAAAGATAGAGATTTGGAGCTTTGTATATATTTGCTAATACAAACCCAAGCATTTATTATACATTTAAAGACTATATTTACATGCATGTTTCTTTTTAATATCATATGACTAGAATATTTCAAGTTTGAAAGTCTTATGCTCCACTATGAAGAGTCTTTTTCTTGTTTCTGGTGACTAAAGTCAAAAGAATCTAAATATTAAGGCCTCTCATTAACGGTAACTTAGATGAGTCAAGTAGCAGCTCTACAACACAAGGCTTGTGTGTGTGTGTGTGTGTGTGTGTGTGTGTGCACTCATGTGATAAAACCATTTTATTTATTGAGGTATGATTGACATGTAAAAAGCTGTAAATATTCAATGTATACAACTACTTGACTTTGGGGATGAATATACACCCATAAAACTGTCACCACCATCAAGGACATATGAGTATTCATCACTTCCTAAAATTTCCTCCTTCCCCTTTTATTATTATTATTATTATTATTATTATTACTATTTTTATGGTAAAAACACTTAACCTAAGATCTATTCTATTAGAGAAGTTTAAGTTTATGATACAGCATTGGCTATAGGTACTATGCTGTGTAGTAGATCTGCAAAACTTATTTATCTTGCATTACTGAAACATTGTACCCTTTGGCCATCAACTTCCCATTTCTCCTTCCCCATCCCCTGACAATCACAATTCTGTTCTGTGCTTCTGTGAATTAGACTATTTTAGATTCAACAGATGAGTGAAATCATACAGTATTTGTCTTTCTGTGTTTGGCTTATTTCACTTAGTATAATATATTCCATGTCCATCCATGTTGTCATAAATGGCAGGACATCCTTTTTTAGAGCTAAATAGTATTCCATTGTGTGTATACACTACATTTTTTTCATCCACTCATTCATTGATGGACATTTAGGTTGTTTCCATATCTCAGCTATTGTGAGTAATGCTGCAGTGAACACAGGAGTACAGATAGCTCTTTAACATCCTGATTTCAGTATCTTTGAGTAAATATCCAGAAGCAAATTGCTCGATCATGTGATAGTTATACTTTTAATTTTTTGAGGAATGTTCTTACTGTTTTCCATAATGGCTATACCAATTTACAATCTTAACACTAGTAAATGAGTATGAGGGTTCTCTTTTGTCCACATCCTCATAACACTTATGGGTTTTTTTTTTTTTAATTATAACCTTCCTAACAGGTGTGAAGTGATATCTCATGATTTTTATTTGTATTTTCCTGATGACTAGTGATGTTGAATACCTTTTTGTATACCTGTTTTCCATTTGTGTCTTCTTTATATAAATGTCTATTCAGACCTTTCACCAATGTTTAAATTGAGTTATTTGTTTTTTTCTATTGAGTTGTATGAATTTCTTATATATTAAAAGTATTTATATTATTCCTTATAGTTTAAAAGTATTTTGGTATGCATATAGAATGAGGAAAATATCCTCCTCTCCTTTTTACATATGAGACTTTCTAATATCCATAGGATTAATTATTTCTCTTGAGGTGTTTTTATATGCTTAATGGATATGGTCTCATCTCAATATGACAGTAGCTTCTACTTTTTCTAGAGGGAGATGTGTTCATGCATCAAGAAAATGTAAGTTTACTTTTGTGATGTTAATAACTGCCCCCCATTTTTTGTTAAACCTGTGTCATTAGGTTACTATTTTTAGATTTTTATTTCAGAGAAGGCATATAATGATATCTTTATAAAAATCTGTGTCCCATAGCAGTATAGTAACCCTTTATTGATTCTTGAATAGAAACTTCCCAGAATCTGCCCCAGAACACATTCCTAGAAGACAATATAAATCTTTCCCATACTTTAAGTTCTATCCTAAGTCAACTTCACCACCTCCTTGAAGCCTCCCTGATCACACCCATTGCTACTAGTCCCATCAGCAGCAGTCTCTTCCACTATATTACTTGTCCGTATTGTATACTAATGCCCATTCTGTGGGGATGCTTTGGAGGTGGAGAATGGGTTGCCTGGCACCCCACACCACCTCCGTGTTCACTGAATACATGAATCTGTTAGGGAAGGAGCATGTGCATTGATGAATAAACTAGATCATGTGAAGTTTCATCTGTGGGTGTCAGCTGGCTTTTATTATACTCTAATTAAATCTTGTCTCCCTCAGAGTAAAGTAAACTCCTTGAGGGCAGTTGTCATGTCAGTTCATTGTTGTTTCCCACAGCACTAGGCACACAGTCATGGCTTAGCAAGTACTCACTGAATGTAATTGAATTGAATTAGATGGGTAGGAAATAAGAAAAACTTGTTTGAGTCAGGCTTCATTTATTTGGGATTGAAACACAAATCCTCAGTGTCACTAATCTAGTCCTCATCCCTTTACTGTTGGGGCAAATTGCACTACAAATATCCACCAATGCGCTGCTCAAATCATTTCTATTTTATGAACAAATTGTAAGCAGTTGAAAAATAAGGACTTAGGCATTTTTCTTATTTATTCACACTAACAGTGTGCACTGGCTGGAGTTGCTAGAGAGATGCTGACACTCCTGTTGGTGTTAGGTATTGTGGCCATTATCCCCCCATTCTGTAGCACAGACATTTTCTGACTCTTATCATGGTAACTGGGTATGCTGTTGATGTTTATTTACAGCAAACACCCAGAACCAAAAGATACTGTGAGGGGCGATGAGGAAGAACATGGTATCTGACACCAGATAGATATAAATTTGACTCTCAGTTCCAG
The DNA here is from genome assembly GCF_000001405.40 of Homo sapiens. Classification (NCBI taxonomy): domain Eukaryota; kingdom Metazoa; phylum Chordata; class Mammalia; order Primates; family Hominidae; genus Homo; species Homo sapiens. The sequence continues at coordinate 51,096,985 of NC_000006.12, forward strand.
TACTCATATGTATTAGTTGAATGTCTTAGATAAGTCACATAAACTCGCTGTACCTCTGTTGCCTCATTTGTCAGTGGAATAAATGTCTACTTCACATGTTTCTGGAAATGTTATAGATAAAGTGATGAGGTGCCTACCACAGTGACTGACACAGGGCTGGAAGATAATACGTGTTAACCTCTGTTATTATTTGCATCTTTGGTCCCTAACACAATGTCTGGTATATAGTAAGTGCTAAATCAATTTAATTTCAGTAAGTTAACTCTTTTGGGCTCATGAGCCAACTTCTGTTGTGATGACTGGAAAAAGAAGCTCAATAAAACCATGGAAAGGCCCAGTAAATGTGAGCTTTCCATGAACTAGGAAAGGTGGAAAATTCTGTCCTTGTAGCTATGAATGGAACTATGTAGTTTAACTTGTGTGTCCATAGTTAAGTATCTACTATGTGATTAGCACAGAGGACATTGTTTTTTGTATTCCAAAGGATTGAAATAAGGTAAAAACAGAACAGGCATTGAATGTTGGTGAAGAATATGCCACCTCTGTTGTGGAATAAAATGCTAGACAAGCTTCTGAACCAAAGTACCTGCTGTCACGCTGCCTAAAATTCCATTAGAAATCCATCCCTTTGTTGTAATTAATACTTACCATGGCAGTGCCATACATTTGTGTTACACTTTTCAGTTTATGATGCACTCTAACAGACATAATCTTATTTTATTATTTTTGTTTTTATTATATGTATTTAAGGTAGACAATGTGATGTTTTGATATACATATATGTATATGTAGTAAAATGATTACTTTTATCAAGCAAATTAATATGTCCATCACATAGCTCTTTTTTAGTGATAAAATTACTCTCCTGGCAAATTTTCATTATACAATACAATATTATTGATTATAGTTCTTATGCTATCCATTACATCTCTAGACTTATTCATGCTACATAACTGCAACTTAATGCCCTTTGACTTACATCTCCCCACTCCCACCCTGCTCTCTGCCCTTTGTAACTCCTGTTTTACTCTCTTATTTTATTATTTTTATATCAACTCAATGAAGTAAGAAGAAAAAATCCCCATTTTGTAAATGTTCATATAATTTGAATTTTATGATGCAAGAAAACTTTATGTATAGTCGAGACCTGTTTCTCCTATGGGCTTTAGAATTCCTCTACTAATAGGAGAGACTGTAGAGAAGATGATTTAACTTCTTATTGTGGTAGCTGAAAGCCAAGTCCCCAAATAATGGTAGGCAAGCAGCTTTAGGTTGGCAATGGTAGGCAAGGTCTGAGGTTCTGAGGTGGGGAGAATACTCTGTGGCCAAGTTCTTCAATCTTAGCATGTTGCCATTTTGACTGATTGCATTTTTGTTTGGGGGGCTGACCTGTGCACTGTAGGATATTTCACAAGCATTCTTGACCTTTACCCGTGAGATACCAAAACCGCTCCCTCAGTTGGGACAGCAGAAAATATTTCCAGACGTTGCCAGACTTCCCTTGGGTTGTCAGGGTGGGAGAGCAAAGTCCCCCTGGTTAGAAACCAGTGCTCTAGAGAAGGGATGAGAGAATAAACTTCATCAGTGTTACAGTTTTCCATACGGCCAGATCTGAGGAGAAGTCGCAGTCCCTAAACCAAAGCAGTTACCATTTTTAGCAGATAGAGCTACTACCCTGCTTCTTAGGAAGAGTCTACTTGGTGCTGGAAGCTAGAGAATATTGTGAAGGTAGGGACACTTTTCCCCTGAGAAAAGACACAGCTGGTCTCCTAGGGAGAAATATTCTGCTAGTACTCCAGGGCATAAGGACAAGTAGAAACAGACAGGGAGAAAATGGAGACTTGTCCAACTGAAATGTATCCAGAGTGTATTAACCACACATCTGCTCTTTTGTAGTGTGCTATATAATAACCTTGAGCAGCATCACTGTCTGTTTCTGGCACCAAAAGCAGAGCCTTGCTTTCTGTCAGTATCATGCTACTTTAATGCTCAAAGGGTGCAATAGGGGAGCATATTAGGTTATGAGTCAGACTCACTGGAGTTAGGCATTAGTCACCAGTATTAACCTTAGGCAAAGCACTTCTCTTCCCTGGATCTAGGTTTCTGTATCTGAAAATGAGATTAATTTTAATGTCTCCAAGCTCTAAAACTATGGTTTTCTTACTCTTACTATCACAACTAAAATCACTACTCTTACTGCCACATAATATGAATGTATGATTATACTGCCATGCATATCACCATAAGTAATATGGTAATATTGGCGGTATCATTCTTGTAAAGTTAAAAAAAATATTCTAATGAAGCAGATTAAGGCTACTTACAAAATATGCCTTCTTGGGCTCAGAGGGACTAGGGAGGAAATGATCTACTTGGATATGAGAAATGAAGTAGCCACGGTATTGAAATCCATAACTCACCATGGTTAATGAATCTTCCTCTCCCTAGCCCAACACCCCAGGCAAAGATAGGCATTGGTGCCTATTAAATAAGAGCTAGGAGAAAAGGAATTACAGTCAAAACCCTCTTAAGACATTTTCAAAGGAGAAGCCATTAAAACTTCTAAACCAGGAAATCTTCCTTGGAGAGAAATGGAAAATCATAGGTAAGGTGCCATGCAAATGTGTTCATTTAATAAATACTATTGGATGAGGAGGACGATAAGAATAAATGTATGCTGGAGGGAAAAGTAGGAAGCAGGAAGCTTTTAAGGGAAGCTTATTATCTTTCTTTCTTTTTCTTTTCAAACTGAGTTTATACTTGTGGAAATACCATGTGACCTGAAGATGGCAGATCTTTATGGACCGACATCTCTCACTCCAGATTTGGGCTTTGGTGGTCATTGTAGCCATGTGGATATAAAGGGCACATTTTTCGTTTTGGGAAGGAGGGGTCATCAGTTTCATAGTCAGATGTATTCTCTGAAATGGAAAGTCCTGCAGTCCCCTTTCTTCGTCCCTTATTCTTTCCCTGATGAATGCCAGCCCTTTCATTTTCCTCTGCACTAGCAGCAAAGATATGCAGAGAGTGAGGAGGCAGTGATAGATGGTGTCACAGAAGAAAAGTTAGCTTTTAAAGTGAATATTGTAGTAACATCAAAGCCATTTCTCAAGAGTATTTGGAATTGGTGAATTTTTTTTCTGGGGACACTTACTACCCTCTCAGTGGAAGCATAGGTATGGGTGAATGCTGGCATTCTTTGCCATCTCCTTCCCTCTGGTCATTACGCATCCATTTCCTTCCTCCAACCCAAAGTCCCATTAGTCACTGAATGCATCTTCATGTCCAAGACCTCCTCCAGGTGATGCTCAGATATCTGGTCAGGATATGGTGATCTAAGAACAATAAAGGAAAATTATCTGCATCCTACCGCCACCTAATATAAAATGGAGGAGTAGGGAAAGATTAATTGGAATATAAAATCTGTTATAGCCTGGCTCCCTAGGAAGCAGACCCTGAGACAGAGATCACCATGAAGGAGTTTCATGAAGGAATACTCTTGAAAACCAAATCTGTAGGAGTGAAGGGAAGGAAGCAATCCCAACACAGTCCTCAGCCAATCCCACAGTGATGCTGGGGTGGTCTTTCAGAATTGCCTCAAAGCAGGCAAGGAGGATGAACCTTTATTCCCTAGGTTGACCAGGTTTTGAATTTGGATGCCTCTGTAAAGGGAAATCACCTTGGACAAGGTGGGAGGCAACTCTCTTTAGCTAAGACAATTATCAAAACGTGCTATGTGAGGGCTGTATTCAGCTCTCCCAACAACTAGGGAATTAAATTCATCAATGCAGTATCAGGATCTGGGAGGTACATCATAACAACCATTACAAACTACCATTCAGGAAATGCAGCAAAATAACATTAATTGGTCCATAACAGCACTGGGAATTCTGCTTACAGGCTTTGGAAATTTCTTCTCCCTATAGAAGGAGAAGATCTCTGATGAGATCTCTGAGAGGAAACTTCCTCCACTTTTCTCCATGGCTCCACTCACTGGGGAAGTTCCCTTAATTATCCTCCATGTGCACATATGAAGTGGTCAGTGGCAAGTCTTTCATCCTTGGGACTATGTGTGTTTTGAAGACATATTTCTGTCCTTGAAAAGTCAGAACGCTGAAGGGGCTGCTTGAAATCTTGAGCTGTGAGAGAATTTTACAATTTAGGTTAAGGGCTTATTGACAGGAAGCCTTCCTTAAAAACTTAATAGACTTCTTAATTAGATCCCATTTGTCAATTTTGGCTTTTGTTGCCATTGCTTTTGGTGTTTTAGACATGAAGTCCTTGCCCATGCCTATGTCCTGAATGGTAACGCCTAGGTTTTATTCTAGGGTTTTTATGGTTTTAGGACTAACATTTAAGTCTTTCATCCATCTTGAATTAATTTTTGTATAAGGTGTAAGGAAGGGATCCAGTTTCAGCTTTCTACATATGGCTAGCCAGTTTTCCCAGCACCATTTATTAAATAGGGAATCCTTTCCCCATTGCTTGTTTTTCTCAGGTTTGTCAAAGATCAGATAGTTGTAGATATGCGGCGTTATTTCTGAGGGTTCTGTTCTGTTCCATTGGTCTATTTCTCTGTTTTGGTACCAGTACCATGTTCTTTTGGTTACTGTAGCCTTGTAGTATAGTTTGAAGTCAGGTAGCGTGATGCCTCCAGCTTTGTTCTTTTGGCTTAGGACTGACTTGGCCATGCGGGCTCTTTTTTGGTTCCATATGAACTTTAAAGTAGTTTTTTCCAATTCTGTGAAGAAAGTCATTGGTAGCTTGATGGGGATGGCATTGAATCTATAAATTACCTTGGGCATTATGGCCATTTTCATGATATTGATTCTTCCTACCCATGAGCATGGAATGTTCTTCCATTTCTTTGTATCCTCTTTTATTTCATTGAGCAGTGGTTTGTAGTTCTCCTTGAAGAGGTCCTTCACGTCCCTTGTAAGTTGGATTCCTAGGTATTTTATTCTCTTTGAAGCAATTGTGAATGGGAGTTCACTCATGATTTGGCTCTCTGTTTGTCTGTTATTGGTGTATAAGAATGCTTGTGATTTTTGTACATTGATTTTATGTCCTGAGATTTTGCTGAAGTTGCTTGTCAGCTTAAGGAGATTTTGGGCGGAGACAATGGGGTTTTCTAGATATACAATCATGTCATCTGCAAACAGGGACAATTTGACTTCGTCTTTTCCTAATTGAATACCCTTTATTCCTTTCTCTTGCATGATTGCCCTGGCCAGAACTTCCAACACTATGTTGAATAGGAGTGGTGAGAGAGGGCATCCCTGTCTTGTGCCACTTTCCAAAGGGAATGCTTCCAGTTTTTGCCCATTCAGTATGATATTGGCTGTGGGTTTGTCATAGCTCTTATTATTTTGAGATACGTCCCATCAATATCTAATTTATTGAGAGTTTTTAGCATGAAGCGTTGTTGAATTTTGTCAAAGGCCTTTTCTGCATCTATTGAGTTAATCATGTGGTTTTTGTCTTTGGTTCTGTTTATATGCTGGATTACATTTATTGATTTGTGTATATTGAAACACCCTTGCATCCCAGGGATGAAGTCCACGTGATCTTGGTGGATAAGCTTTTTGATGTGCTGCTGGATTCGGTTTGCCAGTATTTTACTGAGGATTTTTGCATCAGTGTTCATCAGGTATATTAATCTAAAATTCTCTTTTTTGGTTGTGTCTCTGCCTGGCTTTGGTATCAGGATGATGCTGGCCTCATAAAATGAGTTAGGGAGGATTCCCTCTTTTTCTATTGATTGGAATAGTTTCAGAAGGAATGGTACCAGTTCCTCCTTGTACCTCCGGTAGAATTCGGCTGTGAATCCATCTGGTCCTGGACTCTTTTTGGTTGATAAGCTATTGATTATTGCCACAATTTCAGAGCCTGTTATTGGTCTATTCAGAGATTCAACTTCTTCCTGGTTTAGTCTTGGGAGGGTGTATGTGTCGAGGAATTTATCCATTTCTTCTAGATTTTCTAGTTTATTTGCGTAGAGATGTTTGTAGTATTCTCTGATGGTAGTTCGTATTTCTGTGGGATTGGTGGTGATATCCCCTTTATCATTTTTTATTGCATCTATTTGATTCTTCTCTCTTTTCTTCTTTATTAGTCTTGCTAGCGGTCTATCAATTTTGTTGATCCTTTAAAAAAACCAGCTCTTGGATTCATTAATTTTTTGAAGGGTTTTTTGTGTCTCTATTTCCTTCAGTTCTGCTCTGATTTTAGTTATTTCCTGCCTTCTACTAGCTTTTGAATGTGTTTGCTCTTGCTTTTCTAGTTCTTTTAATTGTGATGTTAGGGTGTCAATTTTAGATCTTTCCTGCTTTCTCTTGTGGGCATTTAGTGCTATAAATTTCCCTCTACCATCAGAGTGAACAGGCAATGTACAAAATGGGAGAAAATTTTTGCAACCTACTCATCTGACAAAGGGCTAATATCCAGAATCTACAATGAACTCAAAAAAATTTACAAGAAAAAAACAAACAACCCCATCAAAAAGTGGGCAAAGGACATGAACAGACACTTGTCAAAAGAAGACATTTATGCAGCCAAAAGACACATGAAAAAATGCTGACCATCACTGGCCACCAGAGAAATGCAAATGCAAATCAAAACCACAATGAGATACCATCTCCCACCAGTTAGAATGGCAATCATTAAAAAGTCAGGAAACAACAGGTGCTGGAGAGGATGTGGAGAAATAAGAACACTTTTACACTGTTGGTGGAACTGTAAACTAGTTCAACCCTTGTGGAAGTCAGTGTGGTGATTCCTCAGGCATCTACAACTAGAAATACCACTTGACCCAGCCATCCCATTACTGGGTATATACCCAAAGGACTATAAATCATGCTGCTATAAAGAAACATGCACACGTATGTTTATTGTGGCACTATTCACAATAGCAAAGACTTGGAACCAACCCAAATATCCAACAATGATAGACTGGATTAAGAAAATGTGGCACATATACAGCATGGAATACTATGTAGCCATAAAAAATGATGAGTTCATGTCCTTTGTAGGGACATGGATGAAATTGGAAATCATCATTCTCAGTAAACTATCGCAAGAACAAAAAACCAAACACCGCATATTCTCACCCATAGGTGGGAATTGAACAATGAGAACACGTGGACACAGGAAGGGGAACATCACACTCTGGGGACTGTTGTGGGGTCGGGGGAGGAGGGAGGGATAGCTTTAGGAGATATACCTAATGCTAAATGACGAGTTAATATGTGCAGCACACCAGCATGGCACATGTATACATATGTAACTAACCTGCACATTGTGCACATGTACCCTAAAACTTACAGTATAATAATAATAAAAAAAAAACTTAATAGACTTCGTATCTATTTGTTTCCATCAATTCCATGTGGCAGAAATCATACTCAGATTTCTTTTTTTCTAGACGTTGCCTCCAAATAGGCTCTCTATATTTGTTTCTATACTCTCATGCGTCTCTTTATTTCAGTGTAATAGTGGCTACTTCAAGATATCTGTCTCTAATGAGAAGGCCAACCCTTTGCTCAAGACTGGGTATTAAGGGGCTTTCATTTGTCAAAATCTTTGTCTATCTTACTTTTCTACTTTTTGAGGTCTAGAAAATTTTTTCTAGAACATTTTTCTAAAGCTCAAAAATCTTGAATTTTATTGTTTGTTCCATTTTGTAGCTGCTTACTAACCAATCATGTTTCTCATAAGCTTATCTCTTTCTTGCAATACCTTGCCAAATGCAGCCAACAGTGGCCAGCACATACTAACATCGAGCCAGTCACCTCCCTTACAGTTGCCAGCTCAGTAGGCACATGGTCCTCTTCTCATGTTATTTCAGTTATTTCAGATTACAGTTTTTGTTGTTGTTGTTGTTTGTTTTTTGAGATGGAGTTTCACTCTTGTTGCCCAGACTGGAGTTCAGTGGCAAGATCTTGGCTCACTGCAACCTCCGCTACCCAGTTCAAGTGATTCTCCTGTCTCAGCCTCCCGAATAGCTGGGATTACAGGCCCCTGCCACCACACCCAGCTAATGTTTTTGTATTTTTAGTCGAGACGGGGTTTCATCACGTTGGCCAAGCTTTTCTCGAACTCCTGACCTCAGGTGATCTGCCCACCTCGGCCTCCCAAAGTGGTGGGATTACAAGTTTGAGCCACCGCGCCTGGCCCAGGTTACAGGTTTATCAAATATTTTTCCACTGTATAACATGTATCAAAAGTCTGCTATATTCATTTTTTCACCACATAGTATATATATTTGAGATAGTTATTTGTTACTTCATCATCCTACTTTAAGTTACCAATTTCTAGATTTTTCATAGTGTCTCACCATTGTAACAAATAGCCCAGTGACTTAGCACTATAAAAATACCTTTCTCATTAAGATCACATCCAATGTATGTTAGGTATCTCTTCTCCAAATACTGATTCAGGTATCCACCCTCCTCTATTTTGGTGCCACCATCTTCAACATATAGCTTCTAAGAAAACAGAGGATGGAGCATGGGGGATTTTGAAGGGAGATACTGAGCCTGAAAATGTCAGATATTACTTCCACCCACATTCCATTGTTTATGACTCAGCCACATGCTTCACTGTAAGGAGGTTTGAAAGTATAGTTTAGTACATATTTAGGATGAAGAGTAGAGAGTGTCGGTGGGCAGCCATTGTTTGCCCCAGATGGGTTTACATAAGAAACAAATTATGAAGAGCTTTGTATTACTCTACTCTGAAAATTGAACAGCAACATCAAAAAACAATTTAAGGGAAGTGGCTGAAAGAAAGGGAAAACAGAGGGTGGGTGGTGATATACCAGGGAGGAATATCTCACAGTGAAAGCTGAGAAAGAGTATTCAGGAAGGCATTGAAAAGGCTTATGAGAGAGTGATGTCCTAGAAGCCAAAGGAGGAAAGTATTATCTAAAAGTCTAAAGTGTCAAATGCCACAGAGTGATCAAAATGATGGGACGGTGAAAGGGCAGATAATACCAAGTGTTCAAATAGTTGTGGGGGCAGCTAGAATACTTATACACGTGTGTTGGAGAACTGTATTTACTAAAGATGAAAAATAAATGTATTTATATGTGATCCGAAAGATATATTTGGATATTAATAGCAACAAAATTTGTAATAGCCAAGAACTAGAAATGACTCAAATGTACAGCCACAGTAGAATGGCTAAATATGTTGTGGAATATTCATATATTGAAATGCTATATTGTAATAAAAATAAACTTTGTGAATAAATCTTGCAAATAGTGTTGACCAAAAGAAGTCAGGCACAAAAAATACATACTGCATGATTCCATCTATATAAAATTTCAAACATTCAAATCTAATCTTTGGTATTAGAAATCAGGATAGTGGTTACCCACGGAGGCAGGTAAGACTTCAAGGAAACAGGAAGGGTCTTTTTAGGTTCTGGTAATGTTTGAGATTTAGGTAATAGTTACATGGTATGCTGAATGGAATAATGGCCTCCTAAAGGTATTCGTGTTCTAATTCCTGCCATCTGTGAATATGTAATCTTACATGACACAAAGGACTTCACAGGTATGATTGAGAATTTTGAGAATATTAGTCTGGCATATCTGGATGGGCTTGGTGTCAGGATGAGGGTCCTTATAAGGGGAAGGGAAGTAGCTCAGAGTGAGAGACATTTGTAAATAAAAGGAGAGTTTGGAATGATGCACTTTGAAGTTTCAGGAAGAGTCCATGAGCAGGCATCCTCTAGAAACTAGACAAGGCAAGGAAACATACTTATCCTAGAGTGTCCAGAAAGAATGTAGCTCGGTCAACACCTTGATATTAGTCCTAAGAGCCATTTTGGATTTCTCGTCTCCAGAACTGCATGATAATAAATTGACGTTAAGTCACTAATTGTGTGGTAATTTGTTACAGCAGCAAAAGAAAGCTAATACATATAGGCATGTTGACTTGGTGAAATTCCATTGTATACTATTTCAGCAAAAATTACATCAAGGAAAGAATGGAATAAGAGAATTATCAGATTTGACAATTAGAAAGTTATTTATAACCCTATTTAAAGCAGTGTTTAGAGTGGTGGAGGTAGAAGCCAGATTATAGTGGCTTGGAAATCAAAAGGAAGTTGAGGAAGTAAAAGCATTGATATTAACACTCATTTAAAATATTATCTGTTATGGAAAGAAGAAAGTTAGGTTGAGTTGGGGGTGGAGTGGGATGCATAGGGGTAGCATTAAGGAAAGAGTTCTATTTAGACGGAGAAAGCCTTAAGCAATTTTTTTTTTTAGACTGAGGGAAAGAAACTAGAGAAGTTATAGAAGAGAATGTGAAAATAAAAAAGACTGGAACTAGTCTATTATTTCCTTTTCTGCTGCTAAGCAAGAGGAGAACTGAACATTTATAAGCATGTGAAGGAATACCTGGAGATTTTACTCATATGAGGAGGTGAAAGTCCCTTCATCTGCTTTATTAGGGTGGGAGGCACTGGACTAAGCTTTCCTATTAGTATTTGTGTTAGTTGGCTATTTACTATGTGTAAAAACATGTGCCCAAACTTAGCAGCTTACAACAAAAATAATATATCTAGCTCATGAATTGATAGATCAGTCGGGTGGATTTTCTAGTCTTGGTTGATTTTTGTTTGTTTGTTTTTTGAGACTGGGTTTCACTCTGTCTCCCAGGCTGGAATGCAGTGGCATAACCATGGCTCACTTCAGCCCCAACCTCCCAGGTTCAAGTGATCCTCCCACCTCAGCCTCTTTAGTAGCTGTTGTGCACCACCCCTCCTGGTTAATTAAAAAAAAACTTGGTAGAGACAGGACTCTCACTATGTTGCACTGGTCTTGAACTTCTTGTCTCAAGCCATCCTTCCTCCTTGGCCTCCCAAAGTGCTGGGATTATGAGTGTAAGTCTCCATGCCTGGCCAGCTTGATTGATTTTTGCTGGGCTTTCTCATTTGTCTGCAATCAGATAATGTGTCCATTGGTCTAAGATGGCCTCAGACATGTTTTGTCTCCATCACACGGTCTCTTTTACCCTTCAGTAGGCTAGTCCTAGACTATCTCGTGGTACAGGCAGGGTTTAAAGATAGCAAGCAGATGTATACAAAGCATTTTGTGGCCTAAACTTGTAATAGGAATGCTGTCACTTCCACCTTATCCTTTTGGCCAACATAAGTCATGAGACAAGCCCAAAATCAAGATAATCCAAAATGTAAACAGTGGAGAAATAAATTCAACCTCTTAATGGGAGGAGCTACAAAGTCACATTGAAAGGGGCATGGATAAAAGGAATGGGACAATTCAGGCCATTTTTGTAATAAATATAGTAAAATATTCTTTCTGAATGTTATTGTCAATGATAACATTTGAGGGATATATTTTCATGTTGATTTAGCCTAACTTTGCTGTTACCCTGATATCAGCTTTTCATGAGCTGATTTCTATTCCACAGGGCATACTCTTTTGGCCACTGGATAGTCAAGATATAGAGTGACTAGTGGTAGGGTATTTGGTTGTCTTAGGTGTCCAGAACCGATTGACCCAGTGTTCTGTAAGATCAGCCTTTTCTGTATCTCTCTAAATTTTAGGGGGAGGGAATTTTTCTCATTAGTAACAGAGATATGTAGAAAATACAATATTCAAGCTTAGATTTATCAGAAGATAATTCAAATTATCTCACTTAACAGATTCTGGATCTGTTTAAATTCACTGAAAATCTGGATCAAATACTAGCTTTTCTATTACAGAGATATCAAATTTCGGATATGCTTCATTATGACTCAATTTCTTGGCACATGCTAAAAAGCACCCCAGTAATCCAGTGCAAATGAATGTAGAACATATCACAGACCCTGCTTTGGGTCAGAATGTCCCCACCTCCTCTCTACCTGCTCACTCTATTTTTTTCGCCTGAATAGGATACACCCCAATATTGATATTCAGTACGGATACTGAGCATGTAATTTATTATGTCAAACTGAAAAATGCCTGTGGTGATACAAGTTTTTATAGCTGTGGTTTTCTCTAGTTCAAATTGCTTTGAGTATCTATGTGTTGGCAGAAAGTTCGAAGTAGGATGGATACAGAAACCATGAGTGGACAAAAGACACCTTTAGAAACTACAAACCAGCAACCAGAAAGCCTTTTAGCTGTAAGTCAGCAGACTTTTATGTCAAGCTTGGCTGACTAATTATTGCTTATAATTTGCATTAGGATTAATTAACTAATTAGAGAGGAATGTCTGAAGGCAAAGTTATGGCTCTGCTTGTCAAGCTGAGGACTTTAATTATTCTGATATTTTTAATTATAATCAGCTGCTGAATGAGTATTACATTGTCAGCTACTATCGCTGAAACTAGGCTGGGCAAAGGGGCTGGAGGAATTATGGGGACTTGCGGCTGTTCTTCCTACTAGCAAGGGAAAGGTATGGCCCAGCCACCCGGAGGAAGAAAATCTTCCAAGAGCAAGTCTTTAAAAGTGCACACAGAACTGGGTAAACCACAACAATTCAGGTTGGTTTGCCAATTAAAGACTGAAGCAGAAACTTCTCCAAAGCAGAATGAGAAAACCAGCCTCGTGTTCACTTCTATGGTTGGCAAGAAGCCTTATAAGATGATCATACCAATGGACTGGACTTAGCCAACTAGACTTTTTTTTTTTTTTTTTTTTGGAGACAGAGTCTTGCTCTGTCTCCCAGGCTGGAGTGCAGTGGCACGATCTTGGCTCACTGAAAGCTCTGCCTCCCAGGTTCATGCCATTCTGTCTCAGCCTCCTGAGTAGCTGGAAATACAGGCGCCTGCCACCACACCAGGCTAATTTTTTTTTGTATTTTTGGTAGAGATGAGGTTTCACTGTGTTAGCCAGGATTGTCTTGATCTCCTGACCTCGTGATCTGCCCACTTTGGCCTCCCAAAGTGCTGGGATTACAGGCGTGAGCCACCACGCCCAGCTGACATTTTTTTTTTTTTTTTAAATGAATACTAGTGTTAGCTTCCTGGAGCTCTGTGTAAATTGTTTGCTATAAAATTGGGCTTATATGACTTTCTGCTTTTTCCCTAAGTGGCAAGTTAGGAGACTTAGTATGCATGTCCTGGAAACTGCTATGTGTGTGCCAAAGAAAATTATTAATATTAAATAAATGTGCCTAGCACATGGTACATAACCAGTAAAAATGTATTGAATGAATTGTGACATATTGGTATATAATACACAATAACTAGCAAATACAAGTGTACTACCACAGCAGCTAATTTCACAAGATATCTGGGGATTTCTGCTAGAATAACAGAAATAAGAATCAAACCCTTTATCTTGGACATGATATTTAAACAATTGTCAGAAACACAATGAAAAATAATACCTCCAAATAATTCATTGAAAGATGAAACATGGTGACTTTTCCCTGTTGCTTAAAGAGCTTAAAACTTCTCTGTTCTCTTTAGATAATTACAACAAAGAAACTCTGAGCATAAGTGATGTTAAAGGTTCCAAATGACTTACAAACTGGCAAAGGCCCGCAGATTTAATGTTAAGGCATTACACAAATGTTGTGCTGATTTCTTTTCTTTTTAAAGATGCCCAGGAGTGAATTCACAGATTCTCAATCACACAGACACTCTATGAGAATCAGCAGTGTTTTCTTTGAGAATGTGGTTTAGGAATGAAGAAAGTCATTTAGCCCTTCATTATTGCAAAAATGCTCTGCATTTAGCAGTCTCTGTTTTCCTATATTGTACAGAAGAGGCAAATAAAATCCATAAAATCATAGTCTATTAGGACCAGGAAGAGACCTTTGAAAGGGGCAGCAGTGTGTATAGTATTTTAGAGGATATACACCCGTATTTGATTTATTTAACAAACTCTTGCATAGACTTTGTCTTGTGCCAGGCATTGTTTGAAGCACTCCTAAACAACCATAAAAGAAGCCCCCATATTACTGAGGCACATGGATTAAGGGACTTGACCAAGGTAACACAGCTAGCACGTGGTGGGGCTGGGAATTGAGCTCTGGCCTAAGAGGCTATGTTCCTCACAGCTGGGATGCAGTGCCTCACATGGTGTGACTTAAATCTTGGCCTCTTTTGGTCCTCTGTGTCTTCATCTGTTAGTAGGAAATAATAATAGTATTTGCATCATAGTGTTGTTGGGAAGATTCAATGAAGAAATGTCAATGGGACATTTCACATAGATCTGAAAATACAGTACATGCTTAATAATACTTGCGCCATTTAGCTAGATATCAGGTCCAACCTCCCAATTTTGCAAATGAAGGATCTAAGGAACAGAGGTTAAGTGACTTGCTCAAGGTCACTACATCAGCAGGTACCCCAGCTAGGAGGAGAATGTTGGACACCTGATTCTCAGTCCAGTGCTCTGTCCACTGTCTACATCATGGCTCTTGGAGTCACTAACTTGTCTTCCAAGTTGCTTGGGACTTTCCTGATTTTTGGATTGACAGGCAAAATCAATAGTTGGTCACTCTAGTTCTCATGTAATTTTACTCTGCAAAGGACAGGTAGTCTTGCCTCTTTCCCTAACATCTGATTTCTTGGGAAAAAGGTACCTGGGCTTGGGAAGGACACAGACAACTGTTAATATCTTTATACCAAACATTGGTGAGAAAAGCTCTATATAATGATGTGCAAATCTCTTTACTATCTTAACAGATGAAATTGGCTGATTTTTGTGACTGCTCTTATTGAATATTCCTGTGTTGACACAGCATAAATAAAATATCATAGGAGTTACAGCATCATGATATTGCTTTAATTACATATTGCTTTACATTTTCAAAATGATTTCCAGTGCATTATCTTACTTGGTCTTGTTTTGTTTTTGCCATGTTCTTTTCCATTTTACAAATGGGGAGAGGAGGGCTCAGATAATGGTGACTTGCTTAAGGTCACAAACCTGGGCCCCTCACTCAAAGCCTAATGCTTTTTTTTTTTTTTTTTTTGCTGCCCTTTACTAGTACATGGTAGGATTGTACAATAATGGGTAATTTCTCTTCAGGGAAATGTCCCATCAAGAGATGGGACAAGAGAAACATGTACCTTGGTGCAAAATTGAAGGAGTCATCCAAAAACTGAGTAATCAAGATAAATAATATTTGAATGTACTATTTGTTGAAATTGAAATGTATGCCAAAAAAATCCATGATGAACAAAATATCAACATTTTAAATAAAGACAGGCCAAACCTCTACTTGTGCAACCTTGTCTCCCCAACCTCCCCCTGATCTTGGCCTTGCACACAACTTCATTTCCCATGATGGAGAAAAATCAAGTCCCTTAGCACATTGGAAGATAAATTCAGTTAACCCTGTTTCCCCAGGGTTCAACAAACCTACATCACTTAATTTTCATTTATTTTCTAACTTATTTCCTTCTTAGAGCATCTTCCTCTCTGTCAATACTTCCTAATAATATATATAAGAGCCAGTCTTATTCCGGAGTTACTTATGGATCATTCTCCAGAACCTAGACCTTGGAGGAAAATGTGTTGTTTGTCCTCACCTTGGCCCTCCATAAACACAGCTCACCTGTCATGGGCAGGTCTATGTTAATAGTTTGGTGACGATTAGCACAGGTGAAAGAGATCCTGGTGTATGATTGGGGCTGAGTCTTGGGAGCATGTGCTGTGGTTGGCACTGCAAAGACAGCACACCCAGGGCCAGGGCATTGGGGGCACAGAGAGGGTCATCTCCATGGTGGTGGCAGCAGCTCCCCAGGCTGCAGGTTCTCTCAGATGTTTATGATTTGGGGCCTGCCTTACAAAGAACGCTTCTGCTCCAAAATGAAGCAGTGTATTCACCAGTAGAGGTTGGCCGGCTGTTCTTTATTAGAGAACATCTGTGGGGAGTATTTGAAGTAAACTTCTCTGGAAAAAGTGTACACGTTTATGCTCTGGCATGCCATTTGCATCACACTGGCTCCTCTACAAAATATGTTCAAAAAAATTTCAAGCTGGCTGCTTTATTTCTTCCTCACCAGTCAGCATTCTTTTTCTTGAAAGGGCTTTCATCTACAAGGCTGCCGATACCCACTCACTTCCCCCACCCCTGAGGAATCAAAAGCCACTTCGTCAAGCTCAGGCATCAAAATGAACAAAACATAATGAGACTGTCAATGTTCAGTGACTAATGCAGGTTTATTGCTGTGATGCAGGTATGGAAGACAAGTGTGGACATACCTGTAATTGTTTCTAATAACAGCAGGCCGATTAACATTGTTTTTTGGATTATATGATTAATGAAAATAGAGCAGAAATGAAAAATAGGGCAGAAAAACTAAGAGATATTTTCACCTGCAAGGAAAACTGCTCCTTTATTCCCAGAGCACCAAAAAAAAAAAAAAAAAAAAAAGGATCACAGCTCCTTTGAATTTTTATTGTACCTGCAATAGAAACACATAAGCTACAACCACCTCTTTTATCAGGGGTGGCACTGAAAGGAACTGTTCCATGTCAGTGAGTATTTCAGAAAATGGGTGTGTTTTTGTTGCTGTTGTTATTGTTTTTTAAGGTGCCCAAACAATAAATTGATCCTTTGGTCATGACATAGGGTTGATCATTCCTGAGACTCCTGATAAGCTACAGCAGTTACTCTCTTCTCTATCACCCAGTGGTGGTGTCTTGAAGGTCTATTTGCTTGTACAGAGATTTTTGCCTCTATCCTAAGTGACCCCAGACATGGTGCTTTTTCATCTAACACCTGTGTCCATTGCAGTCATTTTTACATTCTCTTTGTTGACTACTATCAGTTTCCTCAACATTTTATCTGCTGTCAACAGTACTGCAATTGTGTCTGACTCCATAAGTCTTCCTAGCAGTCCTGTCTCTTCTGATTCATTCTTTTCATCTACTTTGAGCTAGGATGCCAGGCCACCAAGGCTTCTAAATTTGTCAAAAATGAGGCACCAAGAAAAGTCTGTATATATATGATGTGAATAAGCAACAGGTCATGAGTTTAAGTTCATGAAGGCTTCCCCCGCCACCCCACCCCCCCACAATATACTATTTCCTCACTGTGTTCCAGATAGCTGAGATTGCTAGAGAACTGTTTCAAATGAGTGTAATGTCTTCTCTTCTTTCTTTGAGTAAGAATTTAATAGACACAAGGCCAGCCATGCCACATGGGAGATGAAGCTGGTACTCAAGTCATCTCATTGAAAGCTCATAGGTTAAGAGTTTTTCAAAGGCAATTTGGGGGAAGGGGTGGGAATGGCCAGTAACAGATGCTTGCTGCTGGTTGGCTAGGGTGGAGTTGAAATCATAAAGGGTCATCGAAGTTGTTTTTGCATGTCATCTCCCTAAGGTCATTGTAAGCACCAGTGTGGCAGGGACCTCTATCTTACAAGTGTTTACATTTCTTGCACTATCCAGAAATGGCACCTTATACATTGTTGGAATTTAGTGAATTTCACAATGACTGAATGTGCTACTCAAGACTTTCTAAGACTCAGTTTCCTCAATTACAATGCAATGGATTTGGTCTCTATGAATAATTTCTTAGATAACTGATAAAAAAACAGTAATTGACAAAAAAAATAAGGTGCTATCTGACAGTGTAAGCAAGTGAGTCTCTTTCCTTCTTTCTGAGGTTATATCCATCTTAATTCTTGGTGCTAAAATAGCTGTTCTTTGAGGAGGTGATGATGCCAACAGATGATTTTTAAAATGTCCTTACAAAGTGATACATTGGTAACCCTGTGTCAGACTTCAATTGAAATGAAACAAATGACGTTTGTCAAAATTTAAGAGCACTGAACAAAAATCCAGTCATACCATTCTAAACATTTATAAATCTGTCTTTAAATAAATTGAACCATATTAATTTCAACAACACAGTAGAGATTGAATATATAAATAAGTTTAAGAAGGACTAAGTTACTATAGGCACAATCCCTAGTGCATACTTAAAACAGGCAAAATTTCAGGGATGACGGGGAAGATAGAGCTTACTTTTTGCAGTTGATGTCATGAAATTCACCTGTACTTTCCAGGCTTGTTCATTAGTTCCTCAGAAGGTCAGAATATAGGCCCAACAAGTCTTCTGAGCCTGGAGGACACCTCTTATGCTTCTGTAAACATTCTTCCTTCATATTCCATCTCCTGTCCCAGCCACTCTCCACTCCAGCTCTGGGTTCTGAAGAAGAAGAAGAAAAAGATAAAAAGAATGGAGTAAAGTTACAAGGAGGGAAAAGAGAGAGACATTTTCTTAACCTTTTGGATGTCTGCAGGTAACCTTGCTTGAAATTCTAGTCCAGGCATTTTATTTCCTCTTTCACAATGTCCTTAGTTTATCACCATTATGTGTGGCTCAGTGATAGTTGAGACCTGGGATAGCCATACTCAAGGTGGGACAGGATGACCCAGCAAAAACAATTCATTTTTCCCCTATTCTTTCTGTTTTCCTCACAAGGATGTGAACCAGGCTTACCTCTGAGGCTGCAGGAGTAAAAAGTCTTCATCTCCTTTTTGTTTTCTCTGTTTTATTGGCCGCAGCTTACTTAGAATCACTCACCTGAAACCAGTGACTTCTGTGGCTGCTGGCAAAGCAGCATTCCTCTTTATTTTCAGGATACTATGGGGGGATGGAGCATAAAACTGAGTGGCAGGGGCAGCTCAGGAGCCCACATGGCTGCAGCCATTGTCTCTGCTGTTGAGAGAACTCCTGAGCAGTGCCTGGGATACTACCTTCCTCCGCAGTAGTTTGGGGCTGAGTGCTCAGAAAGATCTTGAAATGCTTTAGAGAAAAGTTAGGGAACATTTTGCGGGACTGATTTTCTTTCATTTCTTTCATGACCTTTCCCTCCCTTCATTTAGAGAGCTGCCAGTTATGACATTCATTCATGTATTCATTCAATATATATTTGTTTAGTATGGAATGTATGCTGTACTGCATTGGATTCTAGGGATTCAAATATAAACTCCTGCCATTGAGGAACCCCTAGTCTTGTAAGACCCAGACAGAAGTGAATACTCAACAACACTACACTTGGCTAAAGGGTAAGCATGACTCCTACACTCTGCTAAGTGCATGGACAGGTTTGTGTATGTGGTGAGTGACTCTGCCTGGGAAGAGGAGTAAGCAAGCAGGGCAGATGTCATCAAGAAGGTGACACTGAAATTGGGGATTAAAGCTCTGTAGAACTTTGTGTTATACAAAAAAGATGGGAAGCAAATAGAGGACAGAAGGAACAGGATGTGTGGAGGCCTGGAAGTAACTGTGAATAGGTGAGTGTGGCTGGACTATTGGATGTGTGTTAGTTTGGATTAATGGGGGATGATGCTGGGAATGGGACATTTAAGGCCCCACGTAGTCTCACAGCTTCTCATTCCCATTAAGGAGAGATGGTGGATTAATACACTTGGCTTGCCTCTATTTCCTGCTTCTCACCTGAATCTCAGAGGACCAGGAAGTAAGAGGAGTTGGGGCAACTAACTAGCATGGGCTATGTGTGCGATAGGTCAGTCACTGAACTGGGCCCTTTATATGTGGTCTTAGTTAATTCTCACAACAAACTAGGGAGTTATGAAATTGTCATATTTGATCAATGTGGAAGCCTGACGGTCTCAGAATTTGACTCAGATCTGTGTGGATTTAAGTAACCTTTCTAGGTCCTGTTGCTTCTGACGGCTACTTTGATGGCTACTTTCAAAAAAGATTCATGACGCTGTTACATATGAAAATAAAAATCGGATGAATTTTATGAACTTGGTGCAAAATGTGGGCTTTACCCCACAAACAGTAAAATGTCACTGAACCCACAGGGCCAAGCAGCTTGGGAGCTCCAGCAGGACTACCAAGGGCTGCCACTGGCTGTCTGACAGTGCCTGGCAGGAACACAGCCCATCAAGCAGGAGAGAAGAGAGCAGCACATAGCCAGCTGCAAGCCCCCGAGAAGTATACCAAAATCAGGGAATTTGCATAGTAAAATTGAAAGCATATTTGCATTCAAGAATCAAACGCATGCATTACCACTGTCCTGGAAATAGGCTGACTCAGACCATACGACTAAATAAAAGAATAATGTTTACTCAGAACTGATGTACTTGTTTAAAAAGTTAATGTTTTAAGCTTTCTGCCTTCTAGCAAAACATTGCTAATCTAATTAGAGCTTTCCAACCCCTCTTGGCCTGCAAGCAGGCCTGCTGTGCATTGACTGCTCACCAGACAGGATGGACCCTGGGCCCTTTCTGCTCACCCCCTCAGCTTAAAAAGTTCAGCTCAACCCTCCTTCTCATCTCCAAATGTTTTCTTCTAATTTCTAAGCCAGCCACCAGCACATTCCAGCACTTTGCACTCCCTAGAATCCCAGAAAGCAAGTTTATTTGTGTGATAGGTCTTCCCTCAAAGACATTCTTAGAACGCTATGTGGTGGAGCAACTGCTATCTAATTGCAAAGGCAAGGAGGTTTTAGCAACAGTAGAGGGTTTTTATCATGTTGAGGCCACTTATGAGGAGGGGATCTTTAAACCTTCCCCAACTCAAACTTCAGCAAGTTAGTTTATTGAAACTTTTTTCCCATACCCAAGTTGAAGCTGGCTAGCTCTTTTTTTATCCAGGGAACTAGAGGGTGGTGGCTGGAGAGGTTATGGATGATAAAGTTTAAGATTGAGGTGGAATTAATTAGTGGTAATCTCATTCTAAACCTAGTTTGCTTTCAATCATTCTAGATTCAGGAAGGAGTGAGCCCCAAGGGTGTTATAAAAATATCGTGAAATAAAAATATAAATGCAAGTCTGTGAAGTTTTCCTGCAATTTACACCGAAAGGGAATTAGTCTGGCTGCAAAGTGTCTGGGGATGCTGGGTAAGAACATGGTAGGTGGGGAGCCCTGCCTTATTTCTCCCCAATTCCCACAGTTGCTGACTTTGGAGATGACGAACAAATGAAGTAGAATTGGTTTTAGGGGCAGAAATCATGGAAGTTTGCATTCAGCACTCTTGCAGTTCCAGAACCTCCTTCTACCCACCTCTTACTTCATATTTACATATCCCACAAGGGGGCAGTTTGTGGAGGCATTGGCATTCCCACTTAACAAAGGCATCACATGAGACACGGAGTGGTTAAGTGGTTTGCCTAGGATCACATGGCTATTTCGTACCATAGGTGGGATTAAAAACTTAGCAAATGCAGTTTCCAAAGCCCTGAATTGTTGAACTATTCACTGTAGGAAATGTTAAGATTCCTCCTTTCTCACAGATAGGTTGTAGGGGAAGCAAAATCATAACCGTTTCTTCCTCATCTCAGTTCCCCTCTGCACCTTTGAAAGGTTGAAGTATGTGTATTTAGTGACTCTAGGACAAGAAACCCTGGAGCCTGATGAGATACAGTTCCGTCCTTGCATCTCAGTGCTCAGAGCTCAACCCTTTAACCATCTCTTAGGGCTGAGTAGCTTTATCATGCATCCACACCCAGGAGGGCCCTTGGCTCCTGTGTTTGCAAATGCATAGGGTATCTCTAAGCAGAAGAACTTATTTTCTTTCAATTCTCCCTAGCATCTGAAACTGACATCAAATTCTAGTTGGTAGGTTTAATAATCCTGGTGAAGAAGTATTATTAAACAGTGAAATCAGCAGTTAAAAAAAAAAAACAAACAAAAACAAGCAAACCAACCAACCAACCTAGTGTGCTTGTGGCTCAGAACAAATATGGTGGAAGGAAACCAGCTTATTTTGTTCAAGCTGTTACTCAAGCATGTTAATGTTGAGTGAATTTTTTAAACATATGCTGAGGTAGTTCACCTGTTCATGGTTTGCTTGAGTCAGATTCTGTTGTGTCTTTTTTGAGAAAAAAAGCTGTGATTCTATTTCCTAGTTAATTTATTAATTACGCTCCACCTGAACGCAGCAGTTAGCATTGCTATTATCTCCTGGATCAAATGCCACTCTGCACAATACTTTCATTGTAACTTAGAATTCAGCCATCACCCAGTTGCAATATATGGGAGATTATATCAAAAGTAATGTTTACAGTGTGCTAACAGCCTCATAAAGATAAACATCAGAAATTCATTTGAAAACCTAAATCACTGTGTCAGTTATGTTTCCATAAATGGCTTCCTTATGTATTTGTCTATACTTCAGCATGCATCTATTTGCCAAGACTTTCAGCAGACCCTGCCGTTGACTCATTCCAGGAGGAGTGAGGGTATGGCCTGTGGATACAGAGGAACAGTTGGTTCCACAGGCCACTTCTCCTACTTCCCTTTGGTTCCATTGCCAGACACATAAGGAAAGGAGATGCTTTCAATTTAGGAGCTGAGAAAATAGTTCAACCATACTCCCTGATGTTGTGTAGAGTCTGGTTCTGTCTGTGCTGCTTCTACCCAGGAACTGAGTTGGTGAGGCAACTTTCTGACTCACCTATTTGTGCTCCCATTCCTGAATCAAGAGGAGAAGATGATGTTGATGTAGGACACTTCAAATGCCCACATTTTTCTGGTGCAGGGGCTAGGAGTGCTGGCTTTGGAGTCACTGAGACTTCAGATTCAGCACCAATTCCATCACTTGCTAATTGTATAATTTGCTTACTTATACAATAGGATAAGTTACTTACACTCTCTGAGCTTCAGTTGCCTGATACTTCAAATGGGGGCCATGAGTGTAACAATCTAATAGGGCATTTGTGAGGATTAAGTAATCACACATATAGCACCTACGTCAGTCTTCCAAGTAAATGAAAAAAGTACCAAGTAAATGATGAATAAAGGTAAATTAGTATTGTTATGTTTGCCAACTGGGAGGACCACCTACAGGGCTGTTACAGAGAATAAATATAAAAATGCAGGCCAGAGCCTTTAGCACAGCCCTTGGTCTGTGCCTGCAGACTTTCTGGTATGACAATAGAGAGAAAATCTGTATTCATACTCAATTGGTGGATTTTAATTAGTCAGTAAAATAAACTATCTCTCTAGGTGCCATAAGGTTGCAGGTGTGGGAATCTGTTTCAAATGCCCTTCTCATTTCTATTTGCTGTTTCTTTGTTCTGACACATGCTGGGTAGATGGGCGCATTTCCAAAGCTGAAATGTCTGGATTTGGTCAAGAATCAAAACATTGTCTGTAGTTTATCTTCTGATCGCTCAGTTTATCCCAGGAGACTAAAGACCACCCTGAGACTTTAATTTTGGCATTCAAGCAAACTGGCATCCTCTGGAGATGAGCACCCAGGTACCAAGTATGTATAATTCTTGATGCATAAATATATACGCAGGCAGAAAGCCAGGATTCCAAGCTTGTGGTGAGTCAGCCTGAGCCCCAAAGGCTAACAGGACTGAGCGGTACTTTTTGTGCTGAGCCTAGAGGCCCCTAGGTTGGACTTTGATAGGATTTTTGATCTAAGTACTTTTTATCAGGTAATGATGCCATCTGAAATTTCCACAATATATTCTTTTCAAAGATCTTTTACATACAATATTGTATTACAACAATTCTGTGATATAAGCAAGGCAAAGACTCATTCTCCCTTTACCTTAGGAAGAAAATGTATGTCTAGAGAGATTAAGTGGTTCCATGCACACATTGAGTTATTGACAGCTTGGAACACGTAGTTAGGAAGGATACTTGAGGAGAGATTTGCTGCTGGAATGGTTATCAGTCAAAGAGGGGTCTCTTTTTCTCTCTGGGAGGGGAGCTCCTTATAAAATGAGGGCTTTGGATGAGGTTACTTCTGTGGTTCCGTGGTTCTTACATGTTACATTGTTGTTTCCTGATTTCCAGCCCTTCTTGCCTGCCTCCGGGATTCTCAGTTAGCGTGTGATTTTCAGTTCTGATGAAAAATTCTTCCTTGGCTCTAGGCCTACCAACTTCAGTCAATATTGCTAACTCTATGAAATGGTTCTCACACTTTTGTGTGCATCAAACTTATCTGTGGTACTTGTAAAAAATAGACTACAGACCAAAGTTTACAACACTTAAGAGACTCTGATGGGAGTGTGTGTGTGCATGTGGGTGTGTGTGTGTTGGTTGGTTGAGAGTGAATTCAGTGGTGTGCTGGACCAGTGCATAATGGCTTGCAAGAACATACTGAGCACATCTTTTGCCATCTTTACATTCTGTGAAAGTTTATCTTGAAATTGACTATGGCAGTCAATTGAGTTTTCACCCAATGGAAATCAGCAAGTACTACAAATTAGGGCTCCTCAAAAAACAGCGGGTTATTGCTGGTCACAGTGGCTCACGCCTGTAATCCCAGCTACTTGGGAGGCTGAGACAGGAGAATTGCTTGAACCTGGGAGGCGGAGGTTGCAGTGAGCCGAGATCGAGATCGAGCCACTGCACTTCAGCGTGGGTGACAAAGTGAGACCCTGGCTCAAAAAAAAAGCTGATTATTAAACATTTGCCCGCACACCATTGAGTGGTTTCATTGAGTTCCAACCTCATAATTAGCTCTCAGATAATTCAATCTAGTGCTTATAAGTCCTGAGTGGAACACTTGGGTAGAAATATCATGACTAGGAGAGGGCAGCCAAGATGGCTGAATAGGAACAGCTCCGGTCTACAGCTCCCAGCGTGAGTGACGCAGAAGACCGGTGATTTCTGCATTTCCATCTGAGGTACCAGGTTCATCTCACTAGGGAGTGCCAGACAGTGGGCACAGGACAGTGGGTGCAGCACACCATGCGAGAGCCGAAGCAGGGCGAGGCATAGCCTCACTCGGGAAGCACAAGGGGTCAGGGAGTTCCCTTTCCTAGTCAAAGAAAGGGGTGACAGACGGCACCTGGAAAATCGGGTCACTCCCACCCGAATACTGCACTTTTCTGAGGGTCTTAAAAAACGGCGCACCAGGAGATGATATCCCGCACCTGGCTCGGAGGGTCCTACACCCACGGAGTCTCGCTGATTGCTAACACAGCAGTCTGAGATCAAACTGCAAGGCGGCAGCGAGGCAGGGGGAGGGGCGCCCGCCATTGCCCAGGCATGTTTAGATAACAAAGCAGCTGGGAAGCTACAACTGGGTGGAGCCCACCACGGCTCAAGGAGGCCTGCCTGCCTCTGTAGGCTCCACCTCTGGGGGCAGGGCACAGACAAACAAAAAGACAGCAGTAACCTCTGCAGACTTAAATGTTCCTGTCTGATAGCTTTGAAGAGAGCAGTGGTTCTCCCAGCCCGCAGCTGGAGATCTGAGAATGGGCAGACTGCCTCCTCAAGTGGGTCCCTGACCCCTGACACCTGAGCAGCCTAACTGGGAGGCACCCCCCAGTATGGGCAGACTGACACCTCACACGGCTGGGTACTCCTCTGAGACAAAACTTCCAGAGGAACGATCAGACAGCAGCATTCACGGTTCACGAAAATCCGCTGTTCTGCAGCCACCGCTGCTGTTACCCAGGCAAACAGGGTCTGGAGTGAACCTCTAGCAAACTCCCACAGACCTGCAGCTGAGGGTCCTGTCTGTTAGAAGGAAAACTAACAAACAGAAAGGACATCCACACCAAAAACCCATCTGTACATCACCATCATCAAAGACCAAAAGTAGATAAAACCACAAAGATGGCGAAAAAACAGAGCAGAAAAACTGAAAACTCTAAAAAGCAGAGCACCTCTCCTCCTCCAAAGGAATCCAGTGCCTCACCAGCAATGGAACAAAGCAGGACAGAGAATGACTTTGACGAGTTGAGAGAAGTCTTCAGATGATCAAACTACTCCGAGCTACAGGAGGAAATTCAAACCAAAGGCAAAGAAGTTAAAAACTTGAAAAAAACTTAGGTGAATCTACAACTAGAATAACCAATACAGAGAAGTCCCTAAAGGACCTGATGGAGCTGAAAGTCAAGGCTCAAGAACTACGTGAAGAATGCAGAAGCCTCAGGAGCCGATGCGATCAACTGGAAGAAAGGGTATCAGTGATGGAAGATCAAATGAATGAAATGAAGCGAGAAGGGAAGTTTAGAGAAAAAAGAATAAAAAGAAACGAACAAAGCCTCCAAGAAATGAGGGAATATGTGAAAAGACGAAATCTACATCTGATTGGTGTACCTGAAAGTGACAGGGAGAATGGAATCAAGTTGGAAAACACTCTGCAGGATATGATCTAGGAGAACTTCCCCAATCTAGTGAGGCAGGCCAACATTCAGATTCAGGAAATACAGAGAAAGCCACAAAGATACTCCTCAAGAAGAGCAACTCCAAGACACATAATTGTCAGATTCACCAAAGTTGAAATGAAGGAAAAAATGTTAAGGGCAGCCAGAGAGAAAGGTCGGGTTACCCACAAAGGGAAGCCCATCAGACTAACAGTGGATCTCTCAGCAGAAACTCTACAAGCCAGAAGAGAGTAGGGGCCAATATTTGACATTCTTAAAGGAAAGAATTTTCAGCCCAGAAGTTCATATCCAGCCAAACTAAGCTTCATAAGTGAAGGAGAAATAAAATCCTTTACAGACAAGCAAATGCTGAGAGATTTTGTCACCACCAGGCCTGCCCTAAAAGAGCTCCTGAAGGAAGCACTAAACATGGAAAGGAAAAACCGGTACCAGCCACTGCAAAATCATGCGAAATTGTAAACACCATCAAGGCTAGGAAGAAACTGCATCAACTAATGAGCAAAATAACCAGCTAACATCATAATGACAGGATCAAATTCACACGTAACAATATTAACTTTAAATGTAAATGGACTAAATGCTCCAATTAAAAGACACAGACTGGCAAATTGGATAAAGAGTCAAGACCCATCAGTGTGCTGTATTCAGGAAACCCATCTCATGTGCAGAGACACACATAGGCTCAAAATAAAACGATGGAGGAAGATCTACCAAGCAAATGGAAAACAGAAAAAGGCAATGGTTGCAACCCTAGCTTCTGATAAAACAGACTTTAAACTAAAAAGGTCAAAAGAGACAAAGAAGCCCATTACATAATGGTAAAGGGATCAATTCAACAAGAAGAGCTAACTATCCTAAATATATATGCACCCAATACAGGAGCACCCAGATTCATAAAGTAAGTCCTGAGTGACCTACAAAGAGACTTAGACTCCCACACAATAATAATGGGAGACTTTAACACCCCACTGTCAACATTAGACAGATCAACGAGACAGAAAGTTAACAAGGGTACCCAGGAATTGAACTCAGCTCTGCACCAAGTGGACCTAATAGACATCTATAGAACTCTCCACCCCAAATCAACAGAATATACATTTTTTTCAGCACCACACCACACCTATTCCAAAATTGACCACATAGTTGGAAGTCAAGCTCTCCTCAGCAAATGTAAAAGAACAGAAATTATAACAAACTGTCTCTCAGACCACAGTACAATCAAACTAGAACTCAGGATTAAGAAACTCACTCAAAACTGCTCAACTACATGGAAACTGAACAACCTGCTCCTGAATGACTACTGGGTACATAACGAAATGAAGGCAGAAATAAAGATGTTCTTTGAAACCAATGAGAACAAAGACACAACATACCAGAATCTCTGGGACACAGTCAAAGCAGTGTGTAGAGGGAAATTTATAGCACTAAATGCCCACAAGAGAAAGCCGGAAAGATCTAAAATTGACACCCTAACATCACAATTAAAAGAACTAGAAAAGCAAGAGCAAACACATTCAAAAGCTAGCAGAAGGCAACAAATAACCAAAATCAGAGCAGAACTGAAGGAAATAGAGACACAAAAAACCCTTCAAAAAATTAATGAATCCAGGAGCTGGTTTTTTGAAAGGATCAACAAAATTGATAGACCGCTAGCAAGACTAATAAGGAAGAAAAGAGAGAAGAATCAAATAGATACAATAAAAAATGATAAAGGGGATATCACCACCAATCCCACAGAAATACAAACTACCTTCAGAGAATACTACAAACACCTCTACACAAATAAACTAGAAAATCTAGAAGAAATGGATAAATTCCTCGACACATACACCCTCCCAAGACTAAACCAGGAAGAAGTTGAAACTCTGAATAGACCAATAACAGGCTCTGAAATTGTGGCAATAATCAATAGCTTATCAACCAAAAAGAGTCCAGGACCAGATGGATTCACAGCTGAATTCTACCAGAGGTATAAGGAGGAACTGGTACCATTCCTTCTGAAACTATTCCAATCAATAGAAAAAGAGGGAATCCTCCCTAACTCATTTTATGAGGCCAGCATCATCCTGATACCAAAGCCGGGCAGAGACACAACCAAAAAAGAGAATTTTAGATTAATATACCTGATGAACACTGATGCAAAAATCCTCAGTAAAATACTGGCAAACCGAATCCAGCAGCACATCAAAAAGCTTATCCACCAAGATCACGTGGACTTCATCCCTGGGATGCAAGGGTGTTTCAATATACACAAATCAATAAATGTAATCCAGCATATAAACAGAACCAAAGACAAAAACCACATGATTATCTCAATAGATGCAGAAAAGGCCTTTGACAAAATTCAACAACGCTTCATGCTAAAAACTCTCAATAAATTAGATATTGATGGGACGTATCTCAAAATAATAAGAGCTATGACAAACCCACAGCCAATATCATACTGAATGGGTGAAAACTGGAAGCATTCCCTTTGGAAAGTGGCACAAGACAGGGATGCCCTCTCTCACCACTCCTATTCAACATAGTGTTGGAAGTTCTGGCCAGGGCAATCATGCAAGAGAAAGGAATAAAGGGTATTCAATTAGGAAAAGAGGAAGTCAAATTGTCCCTGTTTGCAGACGACATGATTGTATATCTAGAAAACCCCATTGTCTCCGCCCAAAATCTCCTTAAGCTGACAAGCAACTTCAGCAAAGTCTCAGGACATAAAATCAATGTACAAAAATCACAAGCATTCTTATACACCAATAACAGACAAACAGAGAGCCAAATCATGAGTGAACTCCCATTCACAATTGCTTCAAAGAGAATAAAATACCTAGGAATCCAACTTACAAGGGATGTGAAGGACCTCTTCAAGGAGAACTACAAACCACTGCTCAATGAAATAAAAGAGGATACAAAGAAATGGAAGAACATTCCATGCTCATGGGTAGGAAGAATCAATATCATGAAAATGGCCATAATGCCCAAGGTAATTTATAGATTCAATGCCATCCCCATCAAGCTACCAATGACTTTCTTCACAGAATTGGAAAAAACTACTTTAAAGTTCATATGGAACCAAAAAAGAGCCCACATCGCCAAGTCAGTCCTAAGCCAAAAGAACAAAGCTGGAGGCATCACGCTACCTGACTTCAAACTATACTACAAGGCTACAGTAACCAAGAGAACATGGTACTGGTACCAAAACAGAGAAATAGACCAATGGAACAGAACAGAACCCTCAGAAATAACGCCGCATATCTACAACTATCTGATCTTTGACAAACCTGAGAAAAACAAGCAATGGGGAAAGGATTCCCTATTTAATAAATGGTGCTGGGAAAACTGGCTAGCCATATGTAGAAAGCTGAAACTGGATCCCTTCCTTACACCTTATACAAAAATTAATTCAAGATGGATGAAAGACTTAAATGTTAGTCCTATAACCATAAAAACCCTAGAAGAAAACCTAGGCATTACCATTCAGGACATAGGCATGGGCAAGGACTTCATGTCTAAAACACCAAAAGCAATGGCAACAAAAGCCAAAATTGACAAATGGGTTCTAATTAAACTAAAGAGCTTCTGCACAGCAAAAGAAACTGCCATCAGAGTGAACAGGCAACCTAGAAAATGGGAGAAAATTTTCGCAACCTACTCATCTGACAAAGGGCTAATATCCAGAATCTACAATGAACTGAAACAAATTTACAAGAAAAAAACAAAGAATCCCATTAAAAAGTGGGCGAAGAACATGAACAGACACTTGTCAAAAGAAGACATTTATGCAGCCAAAAAACACATGAAAAAATGCTGACCATCACTGGCCATCAGAGAAATGCAAATCAAAACCACAATGAGATACCATTTCACACCAGTTACAATGGCAATCATTAAAAAATCAGGAAACAACAGGTGCTGGATAGGATGTGGAGAAATAGGAACACTTTTACACTGTTGGTGGGACTGTAAAGTAGTTCAACCCTTGTGGAAGTGAGTATGGCGATTCCTCAGGCATCTAGAACTAGAAATACTATTTGACCCAGCCATCCCATTACTGGTTATATACCCAAAGGACTATAAATCATGCTGGTATAAAGACACATGCACACGTATGTTTATTGTGGCACTATTCACAATAGCAAAGACTTGGAACCAACCCAAATGTCCAACAATGATAGACTGGATTAAGAAAATGTGGCACATATACACCATGGAATACTATGCAGCCATAAAAAATGATGAGTTCATGTCCTTTGTAGGGACATGGATGAAATTGGAAATCATCATTCTCAGTAAACTATCGCAAGAACAAAAAACCAAACACCGCATATTCTCACTCATAGGTGGGAATTGAACAATGAGAACACATGGACACAGGAAGGAGAACATCACACTCTGGGGACTGTTGTGGGGTGGGGGGAGGGGGGAGGGATAGCTTTAGGAGATATACCTAATGCTAAATGACGAGTTAGTGGGTGCAGCGCACCAGCATGGCACATGTATACATATGTAACTAACCTGCACATTGTGCACATGTACCCTAAAACTTAAAGTATAATAAAATAAAATAAAATAAAGAAATATCATGACTAACATCCTTGATTGCTCAACTATATTTTTCCTCCTAAAATAGAAAAAAATGCAATGTATGCTTTCCCCTTTCTGAGCAGACTTAATTTTGTATATATATATATATATATATATATATATATATATATATATATACATTTCTAGCATATGTTGCAGCTCCTTGAGCACCTACTATGTTCCCAGTGCCATACTACTGAATTAAAAAAAAAAATCCTCTCGCACTTTTGGAACATGCATAAAATTCCAAAGTCTTTAATTCCTTGGAAATTTCATAGAATTGAAGGAGATTACATGTAACGTGAGCATAATGAGGAAGAGGGAATGATACCAGATGAGGTTTGCCTTGTAGGCAGACCCAAATAAAGGGTTTGTATTTGATTTGAAATTTAATAGGAAGCCCTTATACAACCTCAAGCAGAGAAGGCAAGGGTTCAGATTTATATTTCAAGATCACTCTGGTTGCTGTGTGAGAACTTACTGTAGAGGGCAAAAGAGAAAACTGGGTAGTGAAACCATTTTTTCTTAAATTTCTTCAAAGAAAAACCTTCTAAAATTCCCTTTGGCCCTTTTGTTCACAAAATTTCTCTTTACAACAGCAAGAATGCAAATCTTTGAGTCAAACAGTGGGGAAAAAATTGCATCACTGGAGAATAGGTAAAGTCATCTCAGAAACAATGTGATATAACAATATATTTTTATAGTACTATATTTTTCAAGACACCTGGTCTCCTCTGACCATAAAGTTCAAGCCCTAGAATTCAGGTTGAATTACATTCAACTAGCATCATCCAAGAGGACTTTCTACAATGATGAAAATACTCTATATTTGCATTCTCCAATGTGGCACCTCTTCTTCATGTGTGGCTGTTGAGCACTTTAAATGTGGCCAGTGTGACTGAGGAGTTTGATATTTAATTTTTATTAATTAAATTTAAATTAAACAGCCACATGTGGCCATTGCCTGTTGTATTACACAGTGCAGTGTTAGACCATGTATATCTCTGACCATACAAGTGACCTCTCTGAGCCCTATATTTGTATAACAGTACTTTCCTATTAGGGAGGTGAGAATTAAATAATACACATAAAAGCAGAGAGCTTTGTGCCTAGCAGCTCTCAGGAAAAAAAATGGAAGCTGGATTCGGTAGTATACTGGAGTGGGAGTGAACTGGTTTGTGAGAGCCAATTGTGGACATCTCTTTTCAACTCCAGGTTCATTGACATCACATGTGGTCATAGTGGGAATATATATATATATATACCATGAAGGTCAGCAACTAGTACAAATTAGGGCTCCCTACCCCTACACTAAACCCAAGAGCCAGTTGCTAAACATTTACCAACATACCACTTGTTTGATGCATTTACAAATTTATTTTAGTATTTCCACTATCAGACAAACAAATAAGCATCTTAAGCATTTATTTCTCACACAATAAACTAGAACCTTAATTTTTCAGTAATTCTTTTTTAAATTCTTTTCACAATATTATTTTATTCTTCTGTCCCTTTCCTTATCTGACTTTCACAGACATGTTTGCTTCTGTATTTCTGCTGCCTCAGAGAAGCTTCTCCCTGAGGAAGACTTTGAATATTTGTTCTTCCTTCCTTTTTCCTCTTGCTTCAACACAACCTGTGAACTTTTGGTCATTTCAGTTTGTCTACTCATTCTCTCCTACAAGGAAAGGAGCCAGCCAACCACACAACTCAGTCACAATGACATATTCAGAAATAAGACCAGGTGTTACATGTCCTCTCTCCACACCCTTCCTGGGTTGGTGCTCTCTATAGTCCTAAGCTTTTGCATTGTCCAGCAAAATGTTTTACAAAATGTTGCAAATTACATCTTTGCTTTGCTCCCATCCTCCTATTTGCAGTCATTTTAGGTGATGCTTTATCTGCAAACTAGATTAGAAAGATTCTATATTTATATTAGGGGTGACTTTCTTTTCTCAGCAATATGTTCTTAAGATAACTGCCTGAAAATTTGAAGTCCCTAAATCCTGTCTCAGCCTGAGACTTAGTAAAACTCCTGCAGATAGTTTATTTGTTAAAAAGCTTAAAGTAAAGATGGTCCCGAATGAAGACCCCTTGCTTCCCAAACTGCTCAGAGCCCATATGGACTTGTGAGCTCTGATCTCTACCAACAGGTAACTCTAATTAACTTCACTGGTATGATACCTTTTGAGTAGATGCTAAGAAAGTCTACCCCTTTGGTGTTCAAAACATTAACAAAGATTTTCTTAAGCAGTGGAATTTTTTCTTCAAAGATAATTCACATGGAAGTCCAGTATACAAAACAAGTAAAAGCTTAGGTTTTTCTGGTTTTGGTGTGTGCAGAAAATCTATCCAAGGGTCAGGGGGCTTTAAATAGTACTATTGGAAAAATCAAATTTATTTATTTATTTATTTATTTTAAAGGTGAAGTCTTGCTCTGTTACCCAGGCTAGAGGGCAGTGGTGCCATCATAGCTAACTGCAGCCTCAATTTCCTGGGGTCAAGTGATCTTCCTGCCTCAGCCTCCTAAGTAACTAGAACTACAGGCAGGTGCCACCATGCCCGATTAAAGATTTATTTTTTAAAAAGCAATTCTATTCTTCACCATATTATACATTTATTCTGTTGGTGGGAAGTCTTTCTAAACTATACTATACTATACTATATTTTCTCTTTTAAAAATAAGTCTTGGTTTCTCTGACTAAAATTTTATGTAACAATCAAGAGATCAAATAGATTTAAGAATACCTTTGCTGTCATAGATAATTTTTTATTATACGTTAAGTTCTAGGATACATGTGCAGAACGTGCAAGTTTGTTACTTAGGTATACACGTGCTGTGGTGGTTTGCTGCACCCATCAACCTGTCATCTACATTAGGTATTTCTCCTAATGCTATCCCTCCCCTAGCCCCCCAACACCCGACAGGTGTGTGATATTCCCCTCCCTGTGTCCAGGTGTTCTCATTGTTCAGCTCCCACCTATGAGTGAGAACATGCAATGTTTGGTTTTCTGTTTCTGTGTTAGTTTGCTGAGAATGATGGTTTCCAGCTTCATCCATGTCCCTCCAAAGGACATGAACTCATCGTTTTTTATGGTTTCATAGTATTCCATGGTGTATATGTGCCACATTTTCTTTATCCAGTCTATCATTGATGGATATTTGGGTTGGTTCCAAGTCTTTGCTATTGTGAATAGTGCTGCAATAAACATACATGAATATGCATCTTTATAGTAGAATGATTTATAATCCTTAGGGTATATACCCCATAATGGGATTGCTGGATCAAATGGTATTTCTGGTTGTAGATCCTTGAGGGATCACCACACTGTCTTCCACAATGCTTGAACTTATTTACACTCCCACCAACAGTGTAAAAGTGTTCCTATTTCTCCATATCCTCTCTAGCATCTTTTCCTGACTTCTTAATGATCACCATTCTAACTGGCATGAGATGGTATCTCATTGTGGTTTTGATTTGCATTTCTCTAAAGACCAGTGATGATGAGCTTTTTTTCATATGTTTGTTGGCTGCATAAATGTCTTCTTTTGAAAAGTGTCTGTTCATATCCTTTGCCCACTTTTTGATGGAGTTTTTTTTTTCTTGTACATTTGTTTAAGTTCTTTGTAGATTCTGGATATTAGCCCTCTATCTGGATATTAGTAGATCCTCTATCAGATGGATAGATTGCAAAAGTTTTCTCCCATTCTGTAGGTTGTATGTTTACTCTGATGATAGTTTCTTTTGCTGTGCAGAAGCTCTTTAGTTTAATTAGATCATATTTGTCAATTTTGGCTTTTGTTGCCATTGCTTTTGGTGGTTTAGTCATGAAGTCTTTGCCCATGCCTATGCCCTGAATGGTATTGTCTAGGTTTTCTTCTAGTGTTTTTATAGTTTTAGGTCTTATGTTTAAGTCTTCAACCCATCTTGAGTTAATTTTTGTATAAGGTGTAATGAAGGGGTCCAGTTTCAGTTTTCTGTGTATGGCTAGCCAGTTTTCTCAACACCATTTATTAAATAGGGAATTCTTTCCCCATTGCTTGTTTTTGTCAGGTTTGTCAAAGATCAGATGGTTGTAGACATGTGGTGTTATTTCTGAGGCCTCTGTTCTGTTCCATTCGTCTATATATCTGTTTTGGTACCAGTGCCATGCTGTTTTGGTTATTGTAGCCTTGTAGTATAGTTTGAAGTCAGGTAGCATGATGCTTCCAGCTTTGTTCCTTTTGCTTAGGATTGTCTTGGCTATACAGGCTCATCTTTGGTCCATATGAAATTTAAAGTAGTTTTTCCTGATTCTGTGAAGAAAGTCAGTGGTAGCTTGATGAGGATAGAATTGAATCTATAAATTACTTTGGGCAGTATGGCCATTTTCACGATATTGATTCTTCCTATCTGTGAGCATGGAATGTTTTCAAATTTGTTTGTGTCCTCTCTTATTCTTTCAGCAGTGGTTTGTAGTTCTCCTTGAAGAGGTCCTTCACATCTCTTGTAAGTTGTATTCCTAGGTATTTTATTCTCTTTGTAGCAATTGTGAATGGGAGTTCATTCATGATTTGGCTGTCTCTTTGTGTGTTATTGGTCTATAGGAATGCTTATGATTTTTGCACATTGATTTTGTGTCCTGAGACTTTGCTGAAGTTGCTTATCAGCTTAAGGAGATTTTGGGCTGAGACGATAGGGTTTTCTAAATATACAATCACGTCATCTGCAAACAGAGACAATTTGACTTCCTCTCTTCCTATTTGAACACCCTTTATTTCTTTCTCATGCCTGATTGCCCTGGCCAGAACTTCCAATACTGTGTTGAATAGGAATGGTGAGAGAGGGCATCCTTGTCTTGTGCTGGTTTTCAAAGAGAGTGTTTCCAGCTTTTGACCATTCAGTATGAAATTGGCTATAGATTTGTCAAAAGAAGCTCTTAATATTTTCAGATATGTTCCATCAGTACCTAGTTTATTGAGAGTTTTTAACATGAAGGGGTGTTGAATTTTATCAAAGGCCTTTTCTGCATCTATTGAGATAATCATGTGGTTTTTGTCATTGGTTCTGTTTATGTAATGCATTATGTTTATTGATTAGTATATGTTGAACCAGCCTTGCATCCCAGGGATGAAGCCAAGAAGCTGACTTGATTGTGATGGATAAGCTTTTTAATGTGCTGCTGGATTTGGTTTGCCAGTATTTTATTGAGGATTTTCACATGGATGTTCATCAGGGATATTGGTCTGAAATTTTTGTTGTTGTTGTTGTGTCTCTGCCAGGTTTTGGTATAGGATGATGCTGGCCTCATAAGATGAGTTAGGGAGGGTTCTCTCTATTTATATTGCTTGAAATACTTTCAGAAGGAATGGTACTAGCTCCTCTTTGTAGCTCTGGTAGAATTCGGCTGTGAATCTGTCTGGCCCTGGGCTTTTTTTTGTTGGTAGGCTATTAATTCCTGCCTCAATTTCAAAAGTTGTTATTGGTCTATTCAGGGATTCGACTTCTTCCTTGGTTTAGTCTTGGGAGGGTTTATGTTTCCAGGAATGTATCCATTTCTTCTAGATTTTCTAGTTTATTTGCATATAGGCGTTTACAGTATTCTCTGATGGTAGTTTGTATTTATGTGGGATCAGTGGTGATCTCCTCTTTATCATTTTTTATTGTGTCAAGCTGATTATTTTCTCTTTTCTTCTGTATTAATCTGGCTAGCAGTCTATCTATTTTGTTAATCTTTTCAAAAAAAACAGCTCCTGGATTCATTGATTTTTTTTAAGGATTTTGTGTCTCTATCTCCTTCAGTTCTGCTCTTATCTTAGTTATTTCTTGTCTTCTGCTGGCTTTTGAATTTGTTTGCTCTTGCTTCTCTAATTCTTTAAATTTTGATGTTAGAGTGTCAATTTTGGATCTTTCCTGCTTTCGCCTGTGGGCATTTAGTGCTATAAATTTTCCTCGAAACACTGCTTTAATTGTGTCCCAGAGATTCTGGTATGTTTTGTCTTTGTTCTCATTGGTTTCAAAGAACTTATTTATTTCTGCCTTAATTTTGTTATTTACTCATTAGACATTCAGGATCAGGCTGTTCAGCTTCCATGTAGTTGTGCGGTTTTTAGTGAGTTTCTTAATCCTAAATTCTAATTTGATTGCACTCTGATCAGAGAGACTGTTTGTTATGATTTCCGGGTTTTTTTTTTTTTGTTTTTGTTTTGTTTGGTTTGGTTTGGTTTTTTTTTTTTTTTGCATTTGCTGAGTAGTGTTTTACTTCCAATTATGTGTTCCATTTTAGAATAAGTGAGATGTGGTTCTGAGAAGAATGTATATTTTGTTGATTTGGGGTGGAGAGTTCTGTAGATGTCTATTAGGTCTGCTTGATCCAGAGCTGAGCTGAGTTCAAGTCCTGAATATCATTGTTAATTTTCTGTTTCGTTGATCTGTCTAATATTGACAGTGGGGTATTAAAGTATCTCACTATTATTGTGTGGGAGTCTAAGTCTCTTTGTAGGTCTCTAAGAACTTGCTTTTTGAATCTGGATGCTCCTGTATTGGGTGCATGTATATTTAGGATAGTTAGCTCTTCTTGTTGCATTGATCCCTTTACCATTATGTATTGCCCTTTTTTGTTTCTTTTGATCTTTGTTGGTTATAAGTCTGTTTTATCGGAGACTAAGATTGCAACTGCTGCTTTTCTTTGCTTTGCATTTGCTTGGTAAATATTTCTCCATCCCTTTATTTTGAGCCTATGTGTGTCTTTGCATGTGAGATGGGTCTCCTGAATACAGCACACCAATCGGTCTTGACTCTATCCAATTTGCCAGTCTGTGTCTTTTAATTGGGGCATTTAGCCTTTTAACATTTGAGGTTAATATTGTTATGTGTGAATTTGATACTGTCATTATGATGGTAGCTGGTTATTTTGCTCATTAGTTGATGCAGTTTCTTCATAGTGTCAATGATCTTTACAATTTGGTATGTTTGTGCAGTGCTGCCATTGGTTGTTCCTTTACATATTTAGTGCTTCCTTCAGGAGCTCTTGTAAGGCAGGACTGGTGATGACAAAATCCCTCAGCATTTGCTTGTCTGTAAAGGTTTTTCTTCTTCTTTCCTTATGAAGCTTAGTTTGGCTGCATATGAAATTCTGGGTTAAAAATTCTTTTATTTAAGAATGTTGAATATTTGTCCCGATCTCTTCTGGCTTGTAGGATTCCTGCAGAGAGATCTGCTGGTAGTCTGACAGGCTTCCTTTTGTGGGTAAGCCGACCTTTCTCTCTGGCAGCCCTTAACATTTTTTTCATTCATTTCAACCTTGCTGAATCTGACGATTATGTGTCTTGGGGTTGCTCTTCTAGAAAAGTATCTTTGTGGTGTTCTTCGTATTTCCTGAATTTAAATTTTGGCCTGTTTTGCTAGGTTGGAGAAGTTCTCCTAGATAATATCCAGAGAAGTGTTTCCAATTTGGTTCTATTCTCCCCGTCACTTTCAGGTACACGAATCGTATGTAGGGTCTTTTCACATAGTCTCATATTTCTTGGAGGTTTGTCCATTCCTTTTCATTCTTTTTTCCTCTAATCTTGTCTTCATGCTTTATTTCCTTAAGTTGATCTCTGATCTCTGATATCCTTTCTTCCACTTGATCGATTCCATTATTGATACTTGTGTATGCTTCATGAAGTTCTCATGCTGTGTTTTTCAACTCCATCAGGTCATTTATGTTCTTCTCTAAACTGGTTATTCTGGTTAGCAATTCCTCTAACCTTTTTTCAAGGTTCTTAGCTTGCTTGCATTGGGTTAGAACATAATCCTTTAGCTCGGAGGAGTTTATTATTACCTGCCTTCTGAAGCCTACTTCTGTCAATTTGTTAAATTCATTCTTTGTCCAGTTTTGTCCCCTTGCTGGTGAGGAGTTGTGTGTGATCCTTTGGAGGAGAGGAGCCATTCTGGTTTTTGGAATTTTCAGCCTTTCTGCACTGTTTTTTCTCATCTTCGTGGATTTATCTACCTTTGGTCTTTGATGTTGGTGACCTTCGGATGGGGTTTTTCTGTGAACGTTCTTTTTGTTGATGTTGATGCTATTCCTTTCTGTTTGTTAGTTTTCCTTCTAACAGTCAGGCCCCTCTGCCGCAGGTCTGCTGGAGTTTGCTGGAGGTCCACTCTAGAGCCTGTTTGCCTGGGTATCACCAGCAGAGGCTGCAGAACAGCAAAGATTGCTGCCTGTTACTTCCTCTGGAAGCTTTTACCCAGAGGGTACCCACAAGATGCCAGCTGGAGCTGGAGCTCTGCTGTTTGAGGTGTCTGTTGACGCCTGCTGGAAGGTGTCTCCCAGTCAGGAGGCATGGGGGTCAGGGACCCACTTGAGGAAGTAGTCTGTCCCTTAGCAGAGCTCGACCACTGTGCTGGGAGATCTGCTGCTCTCTTCAGAGCTGGCAGGCAGGAATGTTTAAATCTGCTGAAGCTGTGTCCACAGCGTTCCCTTCCCCTAGGTTCTCTGTCCTAGGGAGATGGGAGTTTTATCTATAAACCCTGACTGGAGCTGCTGCCTTTCTTTCAGAGATGCCCTGCCCATAGAGGAAGAATCTAGAGAGGCAGTCTGGCTACAGCAGCTTTGAGGAGCTGCAGTGGGCTCCACCCAGTCTGAACTTCCAGGGGCTTTGTTTACACTGTGAGGGGAAAACCACCTACTCAAGCCCCAATGGCAGACGCCCCTCCCCCCACCAAACTTGAGTGTCCCTGGTCCACTTCAGACTGCTGTGCTGGCAGCAAGAATTTCAAGCCAGTGGATCTTAGCTTGCTGGGATCTGTGGGGGTGGGATCCACTGAGCTAGACCACTTGGCTCCCTGGCTTCAGCCTCCTTTTCAGGGGAGTGAATGGTTCTGTCTCACTTGTGTTCCAGGCACCACTGGGGTAAGAAAAGAACTCCTGCAGCTAGCTCGGTGTCTGCCCAAACAGCTGCCCAGTTTTATGCTTGAAACCCAGAGCACTGGTGGTGTAGGCAACCAAGGGAATCTCCTGGTCTGCAGGATGCAAAGACTGTAGGAAAAGTGTAATATCTGGGCTGGAATGCACCATTCCTCACAGCACAGTCCCTCAGGGCTTCCCTTAGCTAGGGGAGGGAGTTCCCCTACCCCTTGCGTTTCCCTGGTGAGGCAACACTCCACCCTCCTTCTGCTCACCCTCCGTGGGCTGCACCCCCTGTCTAACCAGTCCCAATGAGATGGCCCACATACCTCAGTTGGAAATGCAGAAATCACCCATCTTCTGTGTTGATCTCATTGGGAGCTTCAGACCAGAGTTGTTCCTATCTGGCCACCTTGCCACCACCTCCTCTTCTCCCCTTTCATGCATGATTTTTTAAATGCTGTAATTTCACAGTGAAATACATCAAAATTAGCATAATGTTGCTTGTACCTTTATAATGTCTCTTGCCATGTAACGTTTTACATATAGAAATCAGTTTATGTAATAAGCTGTGTGACCTCAATATTGATGTTCAATTACTGCTACAAATAATTGTACAAACAAAAAATTCCATATTTTAACAGGACTTTAAGTCTCAATGGCTTCACGATAATCCCCTGGGGAAAAATCAGCAATTTCAAGTGGCCTAAGATTTAAGTCTTAAAAGTTTACAGTACCTTTTGGAAGATCGATATGCATGCTTCTCTGTCCTTTCCTTTCATATGTTCATGTTATAGTTTTATTGCCATGAGCGAGTAATGTCCTCAACCCACAATTGGTCATGCCATACAATTTTCATCAGAAAAACAAGTTAATATCAATAACATTAAAATCAGAAGGATTACTATATTTTTCCAAATTGTTTTGTATCTAATAAAGCCATAGTTCAGGTAGATTCATATGACCACTTAACCAAAACTATTTTATCCAATGGCTTCTTTGGACTAAGAGCCTAAGGACCATGAACTTTGCAAGGGCTTGCTAAAATGTTTGAGTTCAGAAAGGAAAATATGTTAGCCTAAAAATAATAAACAATAATTCCCTGCTAAGTTATAAT
The DNA here is from genome assembly GCF_000001405.40 of Homo sapiens. Taxonomy (NCBI): domain Eukaryota; kingdom Metazoa; phylum Chordata; class Mammalia; order Primates; family Hominidae; genus Homo; species Homo sapiens. Next base: position 51,137,595 of record NC_000006.12, read on the forward strand.
GGATAATTGTTGAATCATGTATCTTCCAAAGCTAACATTATGTTAACTAATTTAATGCCACTCTTCTAGTTATATGTTAATATAATAATCTTTAAAACAAAAAAGAATTCTTTATTCTTCATACAACTAAAGAAAAAATACAAAATTTATTAAGACAATTTGCAGCATAATAATATATTTAAGGTGGAATATTGATAATATTTAATGTTTACTGTGAAGCTGTATGAAACCTAAACAAGGAAAAACTACAGAAGTCTTTTTTAAAGTCCTGGACATTTAGCAATTAATTAACCTTTGCAGGTTCATTAGTCAACAAAATTTCTTGGAAGAACTATCTACTTTGAATATTGTCAGGGTCAAAGGTAACTTGGAAACACTCCAGAGTAATGAATAGTGGGTATTTAATACATTACTTATTCATAGTGGGAGTAGACTTAGAACTGTTTCTGGAAAATAATTTCACTTTGCCAAGTGATACATCTATGACCCACTATGTGAAAAGAGGAAAGTTGTATTTGTAAGTTTCATTTGCACTTCTTGGTTGATTTCTATAGTAAGAAATCAACTGCTCAAGTGTTTCCTATAATTAAACATATTCAGCTGGTTTCTCAGTGCTTATCAGAAACTCTGATGATAGAAGTGATATTTATGGAGTATTGCAGGAAAAACCTATAGTCCATCTATCCTTCCAGATAAACAATTGGAATCCCCAAATCTGCAGTCAACAACTGATGAATGGGATTTAAAAGATGCATCATTCAAATGCAGCTGTGGGTTAAAACAAAAATCTATCAACTCTCCTAAATTATACAAAAATATTTGCATATGTGAATATGTGTGATTTTTCTAAGGTGAAGATCTATAACTTTCATAATCTTCTCAAAGGGATTCATGTATTAAAGAAAAAATAAACCCTGCCTTAGATTATCTCCTTGGATCCAGCCAGACTATCAGAGTATATATACTTAATTGTATTATCTTAAGCCTCATCCTTCCCTATTCTTATTCATTTACCTACTTCTTGGCTGAGAATAAGCCTACCTGAACTAGGTTTCAATTTTAAATCCAAAGTTCTGTAGGGATTTTGAGAAATAAACTTGTGAAATTTTTAACTGCATCTGTGTTTTAAAAGAGGATCCATTTGAGAAAATTCTTTCAGAGTGAATCTTTAGGAAAGACTTCCCTTCTACCACAAAACTGACAATGTTTTCTTTTTTTCTGAAGAAAAGTCTAGAATCATCTCTGAATGCCAAAAGCCATTTGAGGGTTCATGCTACTTGCATAGTTGTGCCCACTCCTGTTCCTCTTGGTCCTTGTTTCCACTTTCTACTCTTCTTGATATTTTCTTCTCATTCTTAGTTGTATTTTTTACTTTTGTGCACGTCATTGAGATAAGCCTCCTCAAAAAAGAGCCAAGGGGGAAACAAACGAATATCCAACTTGCAAATGGGAAAGTTAAATTTCAGTTAAGTAGCTACACCAAAGTAACAGAACTTATCCCAGGTAAAGGTGACTACTCAAACCCAGGCTGCTCATATACCAGGCTTATTCTTTTAATAGTTCACCATATAGATGGTTCAAAGTGCTGCTTATTGGCAATGCAACTTGAATATAGATCTTCAGGAAACACTCCTACCCTCTATTATTCCCCAGGTTATAAAACAACATCCCGTTTAGCTCTCCAGAAATATCATGCTCTTACTTATAGGCAACATAGTGACTATGCAATATTTCTTCTCTATTATAATATTTCTATATTTAAAATAGTATTTTGGGGTGGTAACAGAGTGCAAGACAAAAGGAGGAGCAGAAAAGCTTGGATGTATGTCTTTTGCTCTCTCTGCCCGTGCCCCCTCCTGCAAAGAGAAATAAAGTAGCGTGGTCATTAAGAATGTGAAGTCTAGAGCCAAACGGATTATGAAGTCCAGCTCTGCACTGACCAGATGTGTGACCAAGGGAAAGTTACTTAAACTCTCTGTGCACAATAAAGGTGATTATCATTTACTGTATAAGACTGTTGTAAATATTAAGGAGTTAATATATGTGAAAGACTTACAACAGTGCCTGGTATATAGTAGGAACTCAGTTAAGTATTATATATTAAAGTTACTACCAGGATTATGAATAGGTACTACATAAACATTCTCAACTTGCAGAAAGAGACACCACATAGGAAAGACAATTGTTTCTCCTACATGTAAAAAGAATTAGACTCAGAGTTTTACAAGACACCGTATTTCCACCAGGTCAAAATACAATGGGCACAGAGATGGGCTTAAAAAAATTCCAGATGGCATATGTGGATACAAATCAAGGCCAATGACTGAATTTCAAGCCATTTCTCTGGTACTTGCCCAAATCTATTCTGGATGAGAACAGAAGGAACAGAGTGGGCTGTGGAAAGAAGCCATTGAAATCGCGTACACAGGGCTGTTGTTCCAACTTTGGAGGTTGGAGTAAAGCCACCTCAAAGATTTGGCCTTGTATGTTTGTGATCCTAGGAAATTTCCCCAGCATTAAAGTTATGCTTCAGGGAAGAGAAAGAAGTAAAGATTTTTGTATCTGTAAATAAGGCTGTTGCTATGTGTGAGTGGCAATGTTCCATAGACATAGCTATTTTCACTTTCTTGTGGTCCACCCATGAATTACAAAGCACAAAAGGGTGTTTCCGTTCCAGTTGAAAATTGCTTTTGGCAGAGTTATCTGACACAGTTTTTCAATGAGCCACAGGACCTGTCACCTCAATCATTTTGCTTTCCCTTTCATCCTCCTACAAAAGTGATTTGAAAGAGGGAGGGTAACTGATCAGATGAAGCTAAGGGATATGTGAGCATGTTAATAATAACCTGTCGACACCTGGAATAGCCAGATGCAAACACACTGGATTAGTGGTGAGATGGGCTCCTACAATGTTCATACCCTGATCCACTGTAATCTCTGTGCAACTGTCACTCTTCCTCCTCCCATCCTGAGAACCATTTTATCATTAATATCATGAAAATCAATAGCAAATAGCAAATCCCCCACCCTCTTTGTAAGGATATACAAGGCACACAAATGATAAAAATTCACCCTTGGCCTCCTTGATTCCCCAAATAATTAATAAAGTTGCTCCAGAATATTCCTTATTGGGAGTAACATAATCAAACAATGATCAAATATTTCATAGCCCTTTCAAAGCAACAAAGTCCAGATCTTAAAATTGACCCTACTGTAGCTACTGAAAATAAGTGGAGGTCTTCTGAGTCACAGTTAAAATGGGCTACCTTAGTATTGTTCCAAATATTTTACTTATGTAAATTTAGACTTCTATAAAAACCTCATGAGATTGATACCATGATTATCACCCTTTTATAGACCAACTATGTTTGCACAACGAATCAAGTGTTAGAGGTGAGATTCACACCCAGGCAGTTTGGCTCCAGTTGCTCCTCTCCACCATATGATGCCGTCTCTGTGACAAACAGAAAGCATCAGTGGTACTTAGTTTCTGAGAGGCAGTGATAAGTGAGAATTCATTGAGTCTTGTTACCTTCTCATAGATCAACTGCGGTAGAAGTATAGAAATCCAGAGGTGCAAAGTGTGCTAGAAATCACTTAGGCCCAGGGACATCTTGCAGTTTCCCTTTCATCCTTCTACATCCTCTCTGGTGAGACACCCAGAGCTCAACATCTGGGCTTCCTCTCTCCTTGTCTAATACCCCATTTCTCATACCATGGATGACTAATCAGTGTGCATTTCAGGGGAAATATTTTTGTAATATTATTTTACCTCCTGTCCTACTGTTCCTGCTTCTGCGTGGTGTTTCCTCTCCAGTGCCTCCTTCTTGGTGAAGTGGCACACTGGAAGAATGGGCAGATGGTCAGGACACCAAGGTTTGAGTCCTGACTCTGATATTTTCTGGCTATGTGAAACTAGGCAAAACTCCTTACCTCTCAGACCCTCTATTTTCCATCTATTAATATATATTGGTATTAAATACTGGCCTTTTATTGTGTCACTGGGTTTTCTCAAGAATAAAGATTTCTGGGTCTCTAGGTCTTTAAACTGTGGTCCACAGCCCAACAGCAATGGCATCACTCATTGCTGATTGGAAATGAAGAATCTCAGGGTTGACATCAGACCTATTGAATTGAAATCTGCATTTTAATAAGGTCTTCAAGGGATTTGTGTGCATATTAAAGTTTAAAAATCACTGTGAATGTTTCACAACTGACACTGCAGTTCAGATAAAGGGGTTGCTATTTCTTTTCATGTCTACTTCCTCTCTCCCATTTGCTGCTCTAAAAGGGCAATTCAGGTCACCAGTCTCTTACTCTTGGAATTTGGAATTAGGAACTTTTTGTATATTAAAAAGGCCATACACTACATATATTGTATATTATTTAACACCCTCACTGGGGTCTGTGGTGGTGCCTTGAAATAAAACACAGTGACTATTAATTACATTGAATGGAATAAATATTTTAAAAATAGCCACATGGCATCTCCAGTGAGTTTTCACCTTCAAATGTGTTTACTACAAACTTGGAAAATAACTTCTGAGTTTCAGAGCTTTTTGGGTTTTGGAATGGTTGATGGGGACTGGGCATATGAACTTCTCAGGGAAACCTTGACCTCCGTCTGGGAGAGGTGTGAGGTATGAGTCTCAGCCTGAGCAGCTTCTCCCAGGGTAAAGCCTGTGTGGACCACAGCTGGACTAGACATGGGCAGATGAGAGACTGGCATGGAGCACCCTGAGATCCTCTCAGACACTATCCAGGACATCCTGGTTCTGCAGGAGCCCATCAACTGCCCCAAACAAGAGGCAGATTTATGGTTTAAGGAAAACCATTTTCTCACTGGTCTTGTAATATGAAGCCTGAGGAAAGAGTGGAGTAAGCAAGAGGCATAGACAGTTCTCCATATCACACAAAAGAATGCTTGTCTCCTAAAAAAGGGGGGACTCAGCTTTTGGCGTTTTTTTGGGTTCAAATCATCCAAAAATCTAATAAAAACCCAAAGAGAAAATGTATTTCATAGAAGATACTGATGAGGAGTTTTTTATTTAAATCAAAGCAAAACCTGTGCCTATGATAAAACTTCTCTAAAAGAATGAAGACTGGAGGCATCATGCTACCTGACTTCAAACTATACTACAAGGCTACAATAAGTAAAACAGAATGGTACTGATACCAAAACAGATATATAGACCAATGGAACAGAACAGAGGCCTCAGAAATAACACCACACATCTACAACCATCTGATCTTTGACAAACCTGACAAAAACAAGCAATGGAGAAAGGATTCCCTATTTAATAAATGGTGCTGGGAAAACTGGCTAGCCATATGTAGAAAGCTGAAACTGGATCCTTTCCTTACACTGTATACAAAAATCAACTCAAGATGGATTAAAGCCTTAAATGTAAGACCTAACACCATAAAAACCTAGAAGAAAACCTAGACAATACCATTCAGGATATAGGCATGGTCAAAGACTTTATGACTAAAACACCAAAAGCAATGGCAACAAAAGCCAAAATTGACAAATGGGTTCTAATTAAACTAAAGAGCTTCTGCACAGCAAAAGAAACTATCATCAGAGTGAACAGACAACCTACAGAATGTGAGAATTTGTTTGCAATCTACCTATCTGACAAAGGGCTAATATCCAGAATCTACAAGGAACTTAAACAAATTTACAAGAAAAAGACAACCCCATCAAAAAGTGGGCAAAGGATATGAACAGACACTTCTCAAAAGAAGACATTTTTGCAGCCAAGAGACATTTGAAAAAATACTCATCATCACTGGTCATCAGAGAAATGCAAATCAAAACGACAATGAGATATCATCTCACGCCAGTTAGAATGGCAATCATTAAAAAGTCAGGAAACAACAGGTGCTGGAGAGGATGTGGAGAAATAGGAACACTTTTACCCTTTTGGTGGGAGTATAAACTAGTTCAACCATTGTTGAAGAAAATGTGGCTATTCCTCAAGGCTCTAGAACTAGAAATACCATTTGACCCAGCAATCCTATTACTGGGCATATACCCAAAGGATTATAAATCATTCTATGATAAAGACACATGCACACGCATGTTTATTGCTGCACTATTCACAATAGCAAAGACTTGGAACCAACCCAAATGTCCATCAATGATAGACTGGATTAAGAAAATGTGGCACATATACACCATGGAATACTATGCAGCCACAAAAAAGGATGAGTTCATGTCCTTTGCAGGGACATGGATGAAGCTGGAAACCATCATTCTAAGCAAACTATCACAAGGACGGAAAACCAAAAACCACATGTTCTCACTTATAGGTAGGAATTCAACAATGAGAACACATGGACACAGGGTGGGGAACATCACACACTGGGGCTGGTCAGGGGGTGGGGGCCTGGGGGAGGGATAGCATTAGGAGAAATACCTAAAGTAAATGATGAGTTGATGGGTGCAGCAAACCAACACGGCACATGTATACCTATGTAATGAACCTGCACATTGTGCACATGTACCCTAGAACTTAAAGTATAAAAAAAAAAGAAGGATTGCACCTCTCAAGCTAATTCTTTGCCCTTTCCACTCTTTTTACACACTACCCTAAACGTGTTCAAATTATGTCTGGAGGGCTCCAGCAGGCAGAACATTTGGTTATATTCTCTAACATGGAACCCTTTGTTGTAGCCCTGCTGGAAGAAAAGGAAAGGCAGGGATGTGGGGACCATTAGTGTAACTTTATCACCAATATTTTCTAAGAAAAGGTCCACCTAAAATGAAAAATCCTTTGAAGAACTTACAAGTTGTAAAAAACGGACGAGAATAAGGTTTCCAGTTCAGAATATTTAACTTCTGATCTTAGCTCTTCCAAACTGCTGGGAGGAATTGAAACATTCTTCTGTATTTGTCTATGGTCCAAAGCATTTGGTGGATAGGTGGTTCTGGGAAATATGGACTACTGGGGGTATGACCTTTCTATCAGAAATATCCACCACTTACTCCAAGAATTCTTTCAGAGACAGTGAGACTGATACAACCAGTTTCAATGGAGTCAGCTCTGGAACATGTACAAAAGCTCATGTCTGATGACATCCAGAGCTTTTTCTTATCAGCGTAACACCTTCAGTTTTACTACTTCACTTAAATCTTCATCAAATCTTAGGAGATTATTGCCCCCATGCTACAGAGCAGAAAACTGAAGTTCAAGGAGGTTAAGCAAATTGCTAAAGGTTGCATAGCTAGAACCTGGGTCTGGCTGATTCCAAAAAGTGTGCTCTTAACCACTATGTGGTTTCTAGATTTGTTTGGAGCCTAAGATTTGTTTTAGGAGGCCTAGAGTTCAGAGTATAGGTGGAAGCACTGTATATAGCAGGGCTGGGCAGGCAACTCAAGTGCTGCCCATTGAAAAGATGTTGGGTGAAGAGGGAGAGAGGGTGGCAGTGCTGGGATTCATATGCCCACAGAAGATGATTTATGGCTCCTTTTCAACCTAACTCATGTGTCCCTTCCAGGGATATAAGTGAGATAATCATAGGATTATAATGATGAAATAAAACTCCTAAAGCCATCCAATCTATCCCTCTGCCTTCAGGCATTGATTGGTTCATTTAAACTAGACTATTTTCTCCCTTTGTTTGAAGATCTTAAGAGGAGGAATTTCCAAATCACTCAGATACCTGTGAATAGGGGCTCATAGGTCTCATAGCAATTAATCTTTTTGTGATGATAAATCACAAATTGCCAAGCATTTATTGAATTCCTATGCAAATGTGTGTGTGTGTGTGTGTGTGTGTGTATTTTAGATGTTTTCAGAGAGTCATAGATAGCTTGTTCTTAGGTTTCTTACAATATTCTTGGATCAACAAGGGTAGTACAATTGCAAAAATTAAAGCTCAGTAAAAATATGTTACAAAATTACATGCTAAGAACCAGCATTCTGCTTCTTTTCTGCCAGAAATTAGCCATGTGACTCTGTACAAGTCATTAGGCCTCTCTAATATTTAGCTGCCTTTTCTGTAAAGTGAGGGGTTGGATGACCTTGTCATCATGTTTGCTCAGCAGCATGAGGACTGCAGATTCTAATACAATGGGGGAGACTTTGAGGGTAATAAGAGCTCAGAAGAGGAGTGATCCTGGAAGGACTAGTTTGTTAAGGTGCTGGAAAGGAAGAAGGACTTTAGTTTGTTCCTGCAAAATGGGTAGCCTTGGCCTAGTGAGAAATAAAGGCACTCCAGAAAAACAGCATGAAGATGGAAGGACTTGCTGACCAGCAAGTGAAGGGCCAGCTGAGAGCAGAGATAAAAAGAAAAGGGTGGGACCAAATCACTTCAAATTATATTTAGATCTGAAGTGTTTGGGTTAGAGGTGGCATAACATTAACAGCAACAACAACAACAAAAGCTTCTTGAGAAAGGTAAAAATCAGAGAGAAAATAATTACATAAAGGGAGTGTCTTCAATATTACAGGCCCTAGGCTAGCTGACTTAAATATATAATACAACTATCCAAAAAGTAAGGATTCGCTTCTCCATTGTGATGGTCAATATTGTGTGTCAACTTGACTGGGCCCAGGGATGCCCAGAGAGCTGGTAAAACATTCTTTCTGGGTGTGTATGTGAAGGTGTTTTAAATAGAGATTAGCAGTGGAATTGGTAGACTGAGTAAACAAGATTGCCCTCACCAGTGTGAGTGGGCATTATCCGATCTGTTAAGTCTCCAAATAGAAGAAAAAGGTGGACAAATTTATTCTCTCTTGAGCCGGGACATCCATCTTCTCCTGTCTGCAGACATCAGTGAGCCTGGTTCTCCAGCCTTCAGACTCAGCCTGGGACTTACACCATTGGTTCTGCTGGTTCTCACACCTTCCAGCTTGGATTAGAAATACAATGCTGGCTTCCTTGTCCTCCAGCTTGCAGTCAGCAGATTATGGGACTCCTCAGCCTCTATAATCTCATGAGCCAATTTCCTATAATAAATTTCTTTATACATACAAGAAATTTATTATATATTTATATATACTCCTGTATATGTATATATTTATACATATATATTTCCTATATATGCATATATGCACACATATATAGGAGTATATAGAGTATAAAGGATCATTTATTATATATATGGTATGTATAACACACAGACATATATATCATAAACCAATGTTGTATGGTTGTATGACATATATATCATATACACACATACACACACACATATATCATATTTGTTCTTTTTCTCTGGAAAATTCTAATATATCCATCCTACAGATGATAAAACAAGGTTCAGAAAGATTATGTAATTTTTCTCCAGTCATCCTGTAAGTAAATGGTCACAAAGCTTGAAATTTCTGAATGCAGAAGCATGTAAAATAGCATGTGTTGTGGAAATTTCATGAAAACATAGTGAGAATTGCCTAGCATTAAGGAAACTGGAGAAGTGTTGAGGTAATGTAAACTTAAAGGTAGTAGGACAAGAGAGGAGGCAGATATTTGAAAGAAATAATCTGGAAGATAAAGGGAAGGTGGATTGGTGATGGATGAAACTAGAAATGGATAAATAAAAGATGACTGCAATGTTTGGAATATGAAAAATTTGGACATCCTTGATTTCACTGATATCAGGTAGGAAGAGAAGCTGGTTTGGAGATGAAGGTGACTTAGCTTGGCTATGTGGAGTCTCAGGTGAAACTGATTTTCTTGATTGGCCATGTCCAGAAGGATGCTGGTGCAGTAAGTGTAGGGATCTTGGCATAATGGCAGAGCTGAAGAGAAAGCTCTGGGAATTATTAGCAAAGAGAGATCATTCATTGAAATCTCAAAGAAGAGGAAACTCTGCAATGAAAATAAAAGAGAACACTCCTAGGAGGTGGGTGGAAAGAGCAAGAGAAATCTACATCAGAGACAGAGTACTCAAGAAGGACAAAAGAATATTAGGAAAGAAGAATATCTAGAAGCTGAGGGGAAATTGACACAGGAAAGTGGGGTGAAGGGAGGAAGAAGGGGTGTTCGGGACCTGTTAATCCTCAGAAATCCTAATTACAACAGAGAAGTCTATTCAAATGAAGATAGAAAAATCCACATGATTTTTTTCATCATTTCAAAGATCTTTTTTATTTTGTTATTTCTTCAGGCAAATGGTATAACTATGATCCTTGAGTTTTCCACAAGAGAAGAGATGCATTTAAGAACTTGCTGTGATATAAATTTATGCCTGAAAACATACACTTTTCTGGGTTTCCATAGGGTGTTAATTGCTGAAATTGTTGCCTAGATCTTTGTAGTGCTTGCACGCTCATTCAATAACTATTTAAGTTCCTGGATGAGCCAGGCCCTGTGCTAGGCATCAGTGCTGCAGAGAAGCGGGTGGAGTCTCCCCTCTCTACTCACCCACAAGTCATATTATTAGCCCAGCTAGACAAAGGGAGCAGCAGAGGAAAAAGAGTGCTCTTGGGACATGGAGGCCAGATAGTGGCTGAACCAGCTTCAGTTTCAAGCTCTGCTTCTATAATCAGTAAGGGCTGGGGATAAATTGCAATTCATTTCCAGTGTGAACTTCGATAGCATAAACAAGCCCAAACTGTATATGAACTCTAGCCCAGGAAGCCATTTTCCTCAAGCCAGATTGGCAGGGAGCTCAGGGGCTTTGCCCCTTTCCCCTGCAGAGATCATCTGTTGGGATCAGGTGGGTGTCTCCCCAGCAATCAATATCCTGGGAGAGCTGCCGGGACAGGAAAGGACAGCAAATGGGCTGGAGAGGTCTTGATTTCTCTTTCTTTGCTTAGTTCCTTCACCTTTCAAATACAGTGCTTGCCCACTTGCTTTGAAAGGTAAATCCAGACTGTTTGAAATTAGTACAGATTTAATTATATACAACATGTACTCTCTCTTCCCTTGATACTCATTTCACAGACAAGCAGGAGTTTTGGAAAATCACAGTAGCTTCTTTGCAGATAGCTCTCTCCATCCCCCACCCCATCTCTGCTGTACTACTTATACACACAGAAGCTTTTATAATCTATATGTTTTTATGCATGTAGCCAAATATGAAGGAAGGAAAAAAAACCTTTCAAAATATTAATCATCTTCTATTTTTCTTCGTCAGATGAAAATTTCCTGCACTTTTGTCCATGTAAACGCAAAATTATCCTCCTGTAAGTTGAGGTGGTGGCAGTTCCTGAACACAGTTATATTTTGCAGATAACAGGATTAGCTTGGATGTGGGTAATAAGTTGGTGAATCTCCCCCCGGCCATTTCTCAACACTGTGAGAGCACTAATCCTTTATGCTTTGATGTCTTCTAGTTTTCCATCAGGTGCGCCACGGACTATTTGTCCTGGGGCAGTCAGCTCTCTTATAAGATCTCATAGTGTCCTCATTAGCTGCGCCTATTTACCCAGCCAGCCTGTTGAACCCAATTTATAGTTTATGTGATTAATTCCCAAAGTACAGTAAACCCTAGCTCTAAGGCTCTCTATTATATGACTGCATCTCCTTTAAGGGCAAACACAAGCTTCAGCTCTTTTGCTATATGACTGCATCATATGTAATACACTAATAATTTTACTCTCGATGACACATTAAACATCTTTCTATACACTTTCTTTACAGCACACAGTTCATAAAGAAAAGAATGTTCCACACTGAACTGTAAAGTGCTAACTATATGAGGGAGTCATTTGGGTTTTTTGCTTTAAAAAATTATTTTTGCTGAAATTACCACATAGCATTACTATCAGGTTGAATGGTGAATCGGCAAACCACATTACTGTACCACTCTTTATCTACTAAATTATAAGTTTGAAAAGGCTTAAGAGGTAATGTGGCAGCACAAACCCATGGGCTCCTTTTCATCTTTAACATGCAGGCTTGGAAGATAAAAGATTTAAGTGTGCAAGTGTGTATGTGCACGTGCATGTGTGTGAAGAGGGTGAGAGAGCAAGACAAAGACAGAAGGCAAAATGAAGAGAGCAGCACTCAAGGCAACCTATGTCAACTTTGTTGGAATTTTTTCCTGTAGCAAAAAAGAATTAAGGAAAAGTCACTTACAATTGGTATGAGGTTAAAAAAAATACCACTACACTAGTAGTTTTCATCGAGGGTTATCTCCAGGGACATTTGGCAATGTCTGGAGATGTTTTGGTTGTCACAACTGGGTGGGGGTGTGTGTGCTACTGGCATCTATTGGGTAGAGGCCAGAAATAATCTAAACATCCTACAGTTAGCCCCCTACAACAAAAGAATTATTCAGCCCCCAATGCCAATGGTGTTGAGGTTGAGAAATTCTGCCAATCATTTATGTTTTTAAATCTTAACTGACCTCAAAGTTGAGGAAGCATGAAGAAATAGTTGACATCTGGCATCTACCTATCTTGGGTTTTTCAGAGTAAGTAGATAAGGGCTGATTATTTCTACTGTGAATTGTTTATGCCTCTCACTTTCTGCCATCTAATTTGGTACATAACAAATCTAATGGGTGGGCGAGCAAAGAAAAGTGTGAGGTATGATTCAACCTCCTTCAGTTTTCTACTGGTTGCTAGTTCTGAGAAAACATTTGATGGACTAAGATGTGGAAAGAAATGTCTTTGAAACTATATGTGGATTTATTATTCATATTACCTCTATTCTATTTCAATTTCTCTGTTTATATTACCTCTACTCTCCATTGCTATTAGAATAGAAAACTAGAGACATTTGCTGATGTGTTAACCTGTCCAACACATGAGTTACTAATCTCATAATTCTCTTTCTCCATTTCCACAAGATCATGGTTTTCAGTTACAGATATATAAACTGAAGTGGCGAAGGGAAAAAAGGTAGCACAGAAAAGACTGAGGAATTATTGTAGCACTGTGAGAGGAAGGTCTTAGAGTAACAAGCATCATTTCTACACTGGCACAATGTCTTTGTCCCTGATTCCAAAAAAATTGCAAAACAGTGTTTTTTTTTTTTCTGAGACGGAATCTCGCTCTGTCACCCAGGCTGGAGTGCAGTGGCGCGATCTCGGCTCACTGCAAGCTCCGCCTCCTGGGTTCACGCCATTCTCCCGCCTCAGCTTCCCGAGTAGCTAGGACTACAGGCGCCCGCCACCAGGCCTGGCTAATTTTTTTGTATTTTTTTCGTAGAGATGGGGTTTCACTGTGTTAGCAAGGATGGTCTCGATCTCCTGACCTCGTGATCCGTCCGCCTTGGCCTTCCAAAGTGCTGGGATTACAGGCGTGAGCCACGGCTCCCGGCTGCAAAATATTTTACAACCGTACAAGGCACTAGACAAATCCCTAAAGGGACTAGTTTTCCTTCTATTACAGTTGTATGGAGTAAGTTATTGCTCTAGAGAATACAACATCTTAGAGAAACATTTCGTTTTCAGGTTTGTGTTCTATGGACCTGCCCATGAAGTTTCCACTCAACATTCAGGGTCCCATGATAACCACTTGGAGTTTATTGTTAAGTATGTACTCTCACTAAATGTATAGCATAAAAGAGCTTTAGTTTCCTCTAACCTACCACCCTCACATTTCTTTGGAAATTGAGGATCTTTGACCATGTGAGATCCTCAGCAATCCAAATGGGACAGTGTAAAGCTTTTCTCACCAGGAAGAAAATTACATAAAAAATTGACATTTTAATTTAAAATTTAAATTTCTTTTAAAATGATGGAATGTATAAATTTTCTGGGAATGTGACATGTGGAGTGGATTCTCTCCAGGAATGTGAGGTAGTGGTCTCCAGTTTGGGAATGGTAGCATTCAGAAAAGCCAGCAAATCTCTCATTAGAGACAGTACTAACTTGGCTTTGTGTCATTTCAAATATTCTGACTCTTAGTATGCTGCCCTTTAGAATATAGATAGTAATGCTAGACACCCTCATGGAGTCTACAGGAAGAATCATTCATAAAACATACAGTAAAGTTTTTATGAAACACCATAGAACTATAATAAATTTGTGTTTGATACTTTCCCATTCTAAAATTGTTTGACTTTATGACACAAAATCGGGAATTATTGCAATCTGTAAAAATACAGTTGGTAGCAGAAGGTCCCAAGGCAGAATTTGATTCTGAGAAAGTGATGTTGCATACTTTTTGTTTTGTTTTACAAAATAGAGTTGGTTCTTGATTTTTCTTATAAATAGTAAATGGATATCATCTCAAGAACATGAGTCAAAATTTCCTGCAATTGAGTGACATAGGTAAGACATTTAGATATTGAAATCAGCTTACATGTTTGGAGCATGTAATAATGATAGATAATATTAAGTACCTACTATATCCTAGGAACTCTGCTAAGCATTCTAGGCAGGTTGTACTATCTCTACAATAATTCTAAGAAGTAAGTTGCTATTATTGTCACCAATTTACAGATGAGTGAACTGAAGACTACAGTAGTTACAAGACATGTTAATATGCATAGGAAAAAGTCATGACAGGATTCAAATTTGAATCTTTCTAATGCTAGAATCTGAGCCCTTAATTACCCCCTTACATGGCGTGTTGCTTGGATTCTACTTACAAAGAAATTTCACTTGAGACTAATGTGCACAGTTTTCCTATCATCTCTTACTGAAGCACCCTGAACTGAAATCTCTCAAATTTAGCCTCTCAAGTATATTTTTTGTCTCTCCAGTTGGAAATTAGCACTGGAAAAATTAGTCTTTCCTGAGAAATGGGTAGGAAATAAAACATGCTGTTGTATTCTGTTCTGCTGCCTGAGAAAAATCAGGGTGTGCAAATGCCGCCTAAAAATTCAGCATTGTGAAACCTTGGCAACTCTTTGCAGAGTAAAGCTTTTCTCTTCTCCTGGAGGGTTTAGGATGATAAAATGCTAACCCTGGGCTCAGGGAGCAACAGCCCTGACTGGACATCGGGTAATCTAATAGAAGGAGCTTAATAATATCAATAATGATAACAAAATAATAATTGTCTTTTTTTCTCTGATCATCATCACCACCCTCCACTATCTTCACACCCTCCCCCCGCCAAAAAAAAAAAACACCTTCCATGCTAGTCATCTTATGATTGACATGTTTTTTCTAAATTTTCACATGCTCTACAAAGTAGCCTAGGCTTATAGAGGTGGAAGAGGCATGGAGTGCTCTGAGTTTAAGAGATTGAGAGAAAGAATAAAACAGAAAACAAAGACAGTGTTATGGGGCATCTGCTGTAGGCCATCAGAACGGTAGGTGAGGGAAAAGCAGCTGCTGAGGTCAGTTGAACTCTCATAATGTTGAACTCCAGGGGGACTTGGATTCCCCAGACATCTGCTGGGTTAAAGACCCATGAAGGATCAAAGGAGTTACTGAATTGGAGAACTGCGACTTTCTGTTACTAACCGTAGCTAATGTAATTGAAGGAGAAATTGTGTTAGATCTCCTGCTTATGGACAGGTAAGATTTTATTGAAAGTAGGAAAACAAGAGGCAGGTTTAATACTATTGCCCATGTGATAATGTGTACATAGAAGAGTGAAAATGAGAAAACTGAATGCAACAGTGCCAGAGAATTTAAACTCTGAGGAAGCGTATTAAGTAATCAAGTTAGTACAAGAGAAAATATTAAAACTCAAGAGGGTGATAGAGGGCCAAAACAGTTTGGAGGACAATCATAATTGCAACTTGCTAAATTACAATTCCTCAGAAAGAGAAAGGTGGAGAAACAAACTAATAAACCCTCGCTGAGGCTTTGTGTAAGTTTGGCGTGGGTGATGACAAAGCTGACCAGGAAGTACCACATCAGTTAAAGCTGTCAGAGCAGTGGAGATAAGGACAGCAAGACATTTAGAATCCATTAATGATAACAAGAGGGTTAAAGTAGAGGGGATTTTATAGAGATATGCTAGGCAAATGGAAAAGATCAGAGAAAAATTTGTCTGGAGTATCTTACTGAAGCAAGACTGAGAGTTCAGAAGTCATTAATTCAGATTTTCATCCCAGTTCTTTGTGAGATATGAAGGCAATGGCTTGACTTATTGGCATCTGAAGTTTCCCCTTCAGTGAGAATGAGAGGAACCAGCTTTAAAGTAACTAAGTAGAAATATATCTATTGTTGAGATTTCAAAGGGCTCTGAAAAGCTTCAGCCTTCCCCACATGTCATGAAGATATTAATTTTTGGCTTCATTCAATAGTAAAGTTAGATTAAGCCTAGCAAGGATTGCACATTACAACTTATCAAGGGCACACAGGTATTTTTCTTAGAATAGGCTTTCAATTGGACCTTGGCCATTCAAAGAAAGAGGGCAACAATGAAATGAAGGAAATGGACCCAAGTGGGTGATGGGGAAGCTTGGAATAACGCCTTCATTCACCTCATAAGCTTATCTCAAAAGAGTAACTTCACCATATCATGGCCAATCATATATTAACAGTTTTTTTCAACCAAAAAAAGGGGGAGAACAATATACTGTGGGATAATTATTCTTATTTTTTCCTCATATAGATAATGATTGTTGAGAGCAATAATTACTGGTTGTAGGAGGGAGAGAGAGAGAGAGAACAAATCAATCATAAATTCCCTTTTGCTATGGGAATACAGGTTTATAATTGGAAGAGTAAAAAAGAGCTTTTTTATTTTTTAACTTTTTAATTTTTCCACATGTTATTGGGGTGCAGGTGGTATTTGGTTACATGAGTAGGTTCTTTAGTGGTGATTGGTGAGATTCTGGTGCACCCATCACCCAAGCAATATATACTACACCCTCTTTGTAGTCTTTCATCCCTCGCCCTCTTCCCACCCTTCCCCCAAGTCCCCAGAGTCCACTGTATCATTCTTATGCCTTTGTGTCCTCACAGCTTAGCTCCCACATATCAGTGAGAACATACAATGTTTGGTTTTCCATTCCTGAGTTACTTCACTTAGAATAATAGTCTCCAATCTCATCCAGGTCACTGCAAATGCTGTTAATCCATTCCTTTTTATGACTGAGTAGTATTCCATCATATAAATATACCACAGTTTCTTTATCCACCATTTTGCAACTGTGAATTGTGCTGCTATAAACATAAGTGTGCAAGTATCTTTTGTATATAATGACGTCTTTTCCTCTGGGTAGATAACCAGTAGTGGGATTGCTGGATCAAATGGTAGTTCCACTTTTAGTTCTTTAAGGAATCTCCACACTGTTTTCCACAGTGGTTTTACTAGTTTACTTTCCCACCAGCATTGTAGAAGTGTTCCCTGTTCACTGCATCCACACCAACATCTACTGTTTTTTAATTTTTTATTTTTATTATGGCCATTCTTTCAGCAGCAAGGTGCTATTGCTTTGTGGTTTTGATTTGCATTTCCCTGATCATTAGTGATGTTGAACATTTTTTCATATATTTGTTGGCCATTTTTATGTCTTCTTTTGAGAATTGTCTATTCACGTCCTTAGCCCTCTTTTTGATGGGATCATTTGTTTTTTTTCTTACTGATTTGTTTGAGTTCATTGTGGATTCTGGATGTTAATCCTTTGTCAGATGTACAGGTTGTGAAGATTTTCTCCCACTCTGTGGGTTGTCTGTTTACTCTGCTGACTGTTCCTTTTGTGGTGCAAAAGGTCCTTAGTTTAACTAAGTCCCAACTATTTACCTTTATTTTTAATGCATTTGCTTTTGGGTTCTTAGTCATGAAATCCATGCCTAAGCCAATGTCTAGAAGGGTTTTTCCAATGTTATCTTCTGGTATTTTACAGTTTCAGGTCTTAGATTTAAGTCCTTAATCCATCTTGAGTGGATTTTTGTATAAGGTGAAAGAGGATCCAGTTTCATTCTCCTACATGTGGCTAGCCAATTATACCAGCACCATTCTTTGAAAAGGGTGTCTTTTCCCTACTTTATGTTTTTGTTTGCTTTGTCAAAGTCAGTTGGCTGTGAGTATTTGGGTTTATTTCTGGGTTCTCTATTCTGTTCCATTGGTCTATGTACCTATTTTTATACCAATACCATGCTGCTTTGGTGACTATGGCCTTATAGCATAATTTGAAATCAGGTAGTGTAATGCCTCCCGATTTGTTCTTTTTGCTTAGTCTTGCTTTGGCTATGTGGGCTCTGAAAGAGTAAAAAAACAATTTCTTTCCCCAATTGTAAAAAAGTCTTAAACTTATCAAACTATAAAATAGCCCACCTGGAAGGAGTCTTAAAAAGTAAACTAAGTCCTGCCTCTTTTAACAGATGAGCAAGTTGAGGCCCAAAGAAAATGTTTGTCCACTCAGCTCATTAGTATCAGATCCAGGTGACTTTGAAAATCAAAGACACACTATTGGCAGTAAAATGATGTATGGAATAACTAGAAAACACTTTCCCTCCCAAGTCCTTTTAGTGACATAGCCACTTAGACTGCATTCTTTTCTTCTTGCCTCTCTCCTCTCACTTCTCTTATTTTTTTCGTATTTTGGAAAAGAAAATTATGCTATTAATATATATTATTGAGAAACTGATGTTCACCTTCATTTCTGTACCCAGAGAAAAGCATCCCTAATATTTTCAAAACACATGCAGTACATGAAAGCATTTTATTTTTCAAGAAATTATGACATAAAAAATAAAACTAAAGTCTTCCTTGAACTTCTCTTTACAACATTATGGTTCTCTATCGCCATTGCTAAAGGCAGTGATGTGTTGGATGGATGTTTTTCATTCTTTTTAGACTTTTTACTTACATATATTTGAAATCATTGAAAATATATAGCATTGGTTTGCACGTGTGTATTTTAAAAATATAAATGGTTTTGTGCTGTATACATAGTTCTTAGCTTGCTTTTGCTTCTCTACCATGTTTTTGGTATCTAAGCTGATATAATATTGATCTAGTTCATTGTTTTTCACTCTTGTGTAGTCTTTTATCATATAAATATTTTATTAATCTATTTATTGTTGTACAGTTAGATTGCTTTGATTTGTTGTTTTATAAACAATGATGCAATGAAAATTCTGACATCTATATACTTATGTACATGCATCAATAATTTTCAAGGTTGGATACCAAGAAATTGAATTGCTGGGTGATTGGAAATGTATAATATCAATTTTAAGATATCCTGAAAATTTGACTTACAACATAACTATACAAAGTTGCACTATCATCAGCAGAATACTGAAATACCAATTATTTTACATCTCTAACACTTAATACTGCAAAAAGTTTAATTTTGCCATTTTCCTAGATGAAAACAGTATCTTGTTATTGTAATTGGTACTACAAAACTTGGGGCTTTTTCATGGGTTTATCAGCTATTTGTAGTTCCTTCTGTAAATCACCTGTTCATAAACTAAACCCATATTAATCCATGTTTATACTAGAGTATTTGTTTTTTTCTCCATTTATTTGCAGAGAGTTTTTACACATTGTGGACACTGTTACATTGTTATATAAGTTAAAGCAATTATATCCTTCTCTAACTTACTTTAAAATTTGTTCCAGGTATTTTATGCTATACAAAAGTTTTTAATGTTAATTTGTTTAAATTTTGTTGTTATTTTATATATGAATCTTGCCTTTTGAGCTTTTGTAAGAAAACATATAAAGAAACTTTATAATTTTGTAAAGTTATAAATATTTTTCCATCTTTTAACAATTTTAAATTATGTCTCAGATTTAATTCTTAATTAATCTGTGTATGGTATAAGTAAGGATCTAATTTTTTAATATGGGTAGCCAACTTTTTGATACCATTTCAACTTTTTTTAAATATTCTATCCTTAGGGATTACCATTATTTAGATTTCTATCACTAGAGCTTTGTTTGTCTGTTCTTGGACTTCACACAGATATATACAGCATGTGATTTTCTATATCTGGCCTCTTTTGTTCCATGTAATGTTTTTGAAATTTTTTTATATTAAAAAATTAATTTATCTTCAATTACCAAAATCACATACCAGAGTGGGATGTGAGACCCACATATATTATTTGCAACTGGCATTTTCAAGATCTGGTCTGAAGTCTCAACTATTGCTAGCGTACAGCATTAGACCCATATGGTCACCCATTAAAAAGGCTAAAATAAAAAGGTAGAAAATGTCAAGAGTTATAAAAAATGTAGAGAAATAGGAACTTTCATACATTTCAGTTGGCATTTAAATTGATAGAAACACATTGGAAAATTATTTGGCACTGTTTATTAAAACATAGGAACATATACACAACCTATGGCTTAGCAATTCTAGTTCCTTGATGTATACCTATCAGAAATGAATGAATATATGAATACACAGAAAAGACATATATAAGCATATCTATGGCAGCGCAATTCATAGTGTTCCCAAAATAGAAATTATTCAAATGTCCATCAGTAATAGAATGAATAATACATTACAGCATATACATATAATGGAATACCATAGAGCAATAACAATAATCAATCTACAACAAATATAAGGATAAATCATACAAATGTAATATTGAGTGGAAGAAGCCAGTCACAAAAGAGAAAATATAGCATTATTTCATTTATTTAAAGTAAACGAACAAAAACTAAAATACAAAAACAGTCAAACCTATGCTCTCAGAATTCAGGCCAGTAGTTACATTTGAAGAGTTGATGATGGCAGGCCTTCTGGTAATGTTCTAGATCATGATCAAGGAGCTGGTTACATGGGTGTAATTGCCTGGTAAAAATTCATTGAAGCATATGAATATGATAACTTACTTTTCCATATTTATATTATATGTTAATTTGGAAAGTAATTAAACCTTCCCCATGACTCTGGACAGAGCTTCTTATAAGTTTGCTCTTATAAGCAAGTTTTTGAATCCATCTGGAACTGACTAAAGGAAGGAGGCCAGCAAAATACACTGCAATGTCCTTTTCCTAAGACTAAGACTCTTTACTGCATCCAGAGGCATCACATTTACCCCTCTCTGTCTGGAAGGGTAATTAATTCTAGGGCTGCCTTTCTGAAGTTTGAAGAAAAAAAAAAGTAACAGTCACAGGAGAACGTGGCCATCAGCTTCAGTATTTCTCCAGCCTATCTCTTGCTGTACTTGGGGGCCATGATGTGATGTCCTTTAATAACACAGATAGATTCAAAGAGGTCAAGCATCCTGAGCTACTTAAGGAAAAATTAACATCTGCTTTTTTCTTTTTATTATTATTATTATATTTTAAGTTCTGGCAGAACGTGAAGTTTTGTTACATAGGTATACACATGCCATGGTCGTTTGCTGCACCCATCAAATAGTCACCTACATTAGGTATTTCTCTTAATGTTATCTCTCCTCTAGCCCCCAATGCCCCACAGGCCCCAGTGTGTGATATTCCCCTCCCTGTGTCCATGTGTTCTCATTGTTCAGCTCCCACGTATGAGTGAGAACATGTGGTGTTTGGTTTTCTGATCTTGTGATAGTTTGCTGAGAATGATGGTTTCCAGCTTCATCCATGTCCCTAAAAAGGACGTGAACTCATCCATTTGTATGGCTGCATAGTATTTCATGGTGTATATGTGCCACATTTTCTTAATCCAGTCTGTCATTGATGGACATTTGGACTGGTTCCAAGTCTTTGCTATTGTGAATAGTGCACAATAAACATACGTGTGCATGTGTCTTTATCATAGAATGATTTGTAATCCTTTGGGTATATGCCCAGTAATAGGATTGCTGGGTCAAATGGTATTTCTAGTTCTAAATCCTTGAGGAATTGCCACACTGTCTTCCACAATGGCATCAAAAGCCAAAATTGACAAATGGGATCTAATTAAACTAAAGAGCTTCTGCACAGCAAAAGAAACTATCATCAGAGTGAACAGGCAACCCACAGAATGGGAGAAAATTTTGGCCATCTACCCATCTGACAAAGGGCTAATATCCAGAATCTACAAAGAACTCGAACAAATTTTCAAGAAAAAAACAAACAACCCCATCAAAAAATGGGCAAAGGGTATGAACAGACACTTCTCAAAAGAAGACATTTATGCAGCCAACAGACATATGAAAAAATGCTCATCATCACTAGTCATTAGAGAAATGCAAATCAAAACCACAATGAGATACCATCTCACACCAGTTAGAATGGCTATAATTAAAAAGTCAGGAAACAGCAGATGCTGGAGAGGTTGTGGAAAAATAAGAATGCTTTTACACTGTTGGGAGTGTAAATTAGTTTTCTACCAATTATAGAAACTAAGAGTTTACATTGCATTTTTTCCCAACTTTTATTTTAGATGGAAGATTTGGAAATTCTTTTGTTTATCTTAATTTCCAAAACCTTGCTAAATTCTCCTATTAGTGCTAATAGTTTTCAGTTACATTTTTTGTGTTATTTGAATAACAAATAACACATAACATGCACATTATATAGCACATAATTAACAACAAGCAACAAAGCTTAATCATTTCCTGTATAGGCCATACACACACATACATACAAACACACGTATATACACACGTAAGTTATGTATATGTATATATGTTATATATACACATAAGTCATATATGTGTATATATGTTATATATATACACATAAGTCATATATGTGTATATATGTTATATATATACACATAAGTCATATATGTGTATATATGTTATATATATACACATAAGTCATATATGTGTATATATGTTATATATATACACATAAGTCATATATGTGTATATATGTTATATATATACACATAAGTCATATATGTGTATATATGTTATATATATACACATAAGTCATATATGTGTATATATGTTATATATATACACATAAGTCATATATGTGTATATATGTTATATATATACACATAAGTCATATATGTGTATATATGTTATATATATACACATAAGTCATATATGTGTATATATGTTATATATATATACACATAAGTCATATATGTGTATATATGTTATATATATACACATAAGTCATATATGTGTATATATGTTATATATATATACACATAAGTCATATATGTGTATATATGTTATATATATACACATATACAATTAAAATGTGACATATTTATATAATAAAATACAACAGTAGAGTGAAATGAACTAGTTCAATATTATATTCACATATATACACAGATTTATATTTAAAATATATAATGTAGTATATTTGCTTTATTACATTCATTAAAACCATTAAAACTTCTAGTTGTAGCCCAGTGATAATAGTCATCCTTACATTGTTCTTGACTTTAATGGGGACACTTCTAATGTTTTACTGTTAGATATAACATTAACTATATAATTTTAATTGATACTGCTTTTCAGATTAGAGAAGTCCCATATTTTCAGTTTCTTCTGTTTATTTGGGTTTGTTTTGTACTTTTTGAACTTTGTAATTTAAATCTTAGTACTTTGCTTTTTCAAAGCTTTCCAGTTTCCCAATAAGTGCATTTAAGGCTATAGTTGCTTCTGAGGACTACTTCAGCTGCGTCATGTACATCTTGATACATGTGTATATTGCATTTCCAAATGATTCAATTATAGAAATTTTAAAAATTAATTTTCAATTTCATGACCAATTGATTATTTGGATGTCTGCTTTTTTTTTTCTTTCACTTTCAGACATCTAAGACCTGGGCTCTAGGTTATATGAGAGCTTGTTAATTTGTTAAGTTGTTTACAGTTTTTTCCTTTTAGCATTATAATCAGTAACTGTGGCCTAAATTATACTTTTGTGTTCTGAGATATTTCCTTTGTTCAAGTATACAGTCTATTTCTTGGATTGAATTTTCCATGTGTGTTAGAGAATGATGCATATTACACATCTATTTAATAATGAAGTAAATTGTTTCCTTCTGATTCCACGACATAAAAATAGAAAAAAAAACATTTAAAAAATGTTTCCACTTCACATCCAACAGGTTAGGTACAATTTTAAAAAAGTAAAATAACAAGTTTTGGCAAATATGTGGAGAAATTAGAAAATCATGCATTGCTGGTACAAATGTAAAATGGTGCGGACACTTTGGAAAGCAGTTATTCTGTTTCTTAAAATGTTAACCAGAGAGTTACCATATGATCCAGTATTTCTAGTGCCAAGTATATACTAAACAGAAACAAAAATGTATGACTAATACAAAAAATTTTATAAGAACGTTCATAGCAGCATTATTCCTAATATCCCCAAGGTAGAAGCAACTTAAATGCTCATCAACTGATGAATAAATTTAAAAATGTCATATATTCATGCAATGGAACAGTATTCAGCCATAAAAAGGAATGAAATACTGATACATGCTACAATATAGATGAACCTTAAAAACATTATAGTAAGTGAAAGAAGTCAGACACAAAAGCCTACAAATTATATTATTCTATTTATATAAAATGTCTTGAATTCATAGAGACAGAAAATAGATTAGTGGTTGTCAGGGTTTAAGGGAATATTGAATGGAGAGTTACTGCTAATGACTATGGGATTTCTTTTTGGAATGATAAAAGTAGTCTGAAATTGGATTGTGGTGATAGTTGCACAACCTTGTAAACATACTAAAACCTACTGAATTGTACATTTTAAAGTGGTGAATTCTATGATGTGTGAATTCTGTGTATATAAACAAAGCTTAAATACAAGTTAGGAAAATTTCCTTAGGCCTCTGACTGTGAAGTACCTGATCACCCCCCAAAAATTTATTACTCTTTTCTGTTTGCTCTAGCTCCATAACTAAGCTCAAAGAACACTGGGTGACTTCTGATTCAAGATGCCAATTATTTTGTGCATATGTGTGAAGTTGGAGGATTAAAACATTGATTGCTTTACATTTAATTAGAATTCACTAAATTTAAATAAATAAAATTAATTAATTTAAAAATCCCCAATAATTCCTTGTCCTAGTTTTCAAAAATTTAACAAAAACTAATGGAAACCAGTAAATTTCATAACTAGATCTCAATTATGTGCAGAAATGCAACTTTTCACTGCAACCTAAAAATATTAAGCACAATTTTAGCTGGTTATGAAAGAAAAGAAGTATGCTCAGAGCCACAAGAGCTCAATAAATACTGATATTGGAAATACATACTGGTAATAATGAATATTTGATTTCATTCTTAATCTTCCTCTAACTCCATAGTAATCATCCAGATAAATCACTTATGAAAATAAAATCATAAGACAGATCTAGAAGGACACAAAAAGTGATTTACTGATGTTTATGGCACCTCCTTTTGGGAGATCATTGAGAACAGCATAGATAGTCATCTCTCTAAAACAGTTCAGGCATGGCCCTTTCCTGAAGGCAAAAAGATAAATTTTCATGTTAGTCTTTCTAACCTTAGTCCTCAAGAGTCAGTCTTCTGAATGGATGAGAGAGTTTTCCTCTTCATTCCCATATTAGCTGTCATAATAGTTAAGTGGGTGGTTAATTGGTTCAGCATCAGATTTTGTTGCCTATGTTTTGTGTTTATTTTTCTCTTTCACCTCAAGTATTTTCAGTCAAACCTCTTGTGTGGTTTACTGCGAATCCTACATTTCAGTTTGAACCTTGAGGTAATGAAAAAACAACTAAAACCCTAATTCAAATATCTATTTATTCACCTTCTCTTTCATTAAAAAATTTTATTTAGCAATACTAAATGATTATGATACACCTGTCTCTGTGCTAAGAGCTAGTGATACCAAGATGATCGGTTTGGGTACTTGAGGATCTCATGGGTTACTGAGGGAAAATGAACATATAAGTAAGAAAAACTACGTATAGTGGTTGGTATTTGAACGCTGGGGTCAAACTGCATCAGTAGAAGTCCTGCATTTGCCAATTACTAGCTATGCAATTTTGTGCAAATTCTGTAACCTTCTATGTCTCTGTTTTCTTATTTCAAAGATGTTGATAATAATAATAATATTACCCTGAAGTTTAAGTAAGTTAATGCATGTAAAGCACTTAGAATAGGCATGTGATACATGCTCAATTTATATTGCCTTTATTAGGTATCACACCACAAAGATATTATTAATTCATAACAATAAACTGGTTCCCTAATATTATTTCACATTCCTAGAACCCATTCCCACAAAACCTGAGTCCATAAAATTTTTTACAAGCACTTTAAATGGCCATTCTGTTGGTCACTCTGAGATATCAGTTTGAGAAACACTGTTGGGAACTGATCTGGGACAAAAGCAAAGATATCAAGTCTACAGAAGGCTATGTAAATTTTTTCTTAATGATTTTCTATCAAAAAATATAAGATTCCACAAGTTTAGTCAGTTTTTATTATTTCCAACAGGGCTCTTGTCTGGCAAATAATAGTTTAGGGAAGACCTAACCTTCATCTAACCTTCATGAACCCACAAAGTACCATCTTAAATAACTGGATACATTTATTACAACATGATCTCTATGACCCCAAAGATAGATTTTTGTCTCAACTACCAAAAGTCAAATTTCCACATTCCTGATACGACTTTTTTCCACCACTCCCTTAGCTCCTTTAAGACTACGAGGGGTTAACTATTTATCTGGCGTATGAAAATAATCATTTATTTGATGAGTTAGAAACAAGATAAATATCTGGTTTAGAAAGAGACGCTTGTGCTCAAATAATACTGGCAGTAAGCAAACAATGCAAAGACTGGTTGAGTAAGATTTTCCTTTGGCATGCACTACATAATATCAAATTAAAGAAATTCCAGCCAAATTTTTTTTTTTGGTTACTCTTTAACCCTAACATAACAGACTTTTTCTGCTATTAACATTTACACATGAATGAAGTACATACAAATTAAACCTCAGACATCACCAATACTAAATATCAGAGATGCTATCTTAGTATATGATATGACCTATATGGCAGATATTCAAAATATTTAATAACCATTATGGCTTTGGCACTGGACTAATCAAAATGGATGTTGGAGCAAGTCAGCTGGTAGACCTATACTGGCAAGTACCAGCTGAATATTATTCCTTCTATGTTTTATAAATCATTTGGAAGTTATTGAAGACAAGTATTAACTGATACTTGTTCATGAAGATGTCGTGGTTAAGAAAACAGAAAGATTTATTGAAGAGACGGTTCTCTCTCCAATGTAGGCTTTTGCTGCCTTTGTTGAAGATCAGTGGCTGTAAATGCATGGATTTATTTCTGAGATCTCAATTCTGTTCCGTTGGTCAATATGTCTGTTTTTATGCTGACACCGTGCTGTTTTGGTTATTATTGCTTTGTAGTATATTTTGAAGTAAGGTAACTTGATCCCTCCAGATTTGTTCTTTTAGAACAAGATTGCTTTGGCTATTGGGGGCTTTTGTGGTTTCATACCAATTTTAAGATTTTTTTTCTATTTCTGTAAAGAATGTCATTGGTATTTTCATAGGAATTTGATTGAATCTGTAGATAGATTTGGGTAATATGGATATTTAAAAAATATTATTTGTTTCAATCCATAAACATGGGCTATCTTTCCACTTATTTATGTTTTCTTCAAGTTTTTAATTCAATGTTTTGTAGTTTTCATTATAGAAATATTTCACCACCTTGGTTAAATTTATTCTTAGGTATTTTATTTTATTTTATGTTTTGTAGCTATCATAAATAGAACTGCTTCTTTTGACTTCTTTTTCAGATAGTTTGCTATTGACATATAGAAATGCTACTGATTTGTATTCTGCAACTTTTCTGAATTTATTTATTACTCCTAACATTTTTTTGGTGGAATCTCTAGAGATTTCTTTATATAAAATTATGTCATCTCTAAATAAAAACAATTTAACTTCCTTCTTTCCAATTTGGATGCTTTTACTTCTTTATCTTGCCTAATTGCTCTGGCTAGTATTCTTACTTCTATCGTGAATAAAAGTGGTGAAAGCGGTCAGCCTTGCCTTGTTCCAGATTTTAGAGGAAAGGCTTTCATTTTTTTTCCGTTCAGTATGTTAGCTGTGGGTTTGTCATATATAGCCTTTATTGTGTTGGGGTACATTCCTTTTACACCTAATTTGTTGAGAGTTTTTAATAATGAAGGGATGTTTCTACATGTATTGGTATAATCATATTGTTTTTGTCCTTCATTCTTTAATGTGATGTATCATGCTTATTAATTTGTATATGTTGAACCATTCCTGCATCTCTGGGATGAATCCCACTTTGTCAAGGTTAATAATCTTTTTGATGTGCTGTTGGATTTAATTTGCTAGTATTCTGTTGATGATTTTTATATCTATGTTCATCAGGGATTTTGGCCTGTAGTTTTCTTTTTTTGTTATGTCCTCCTCTGGTTTTGGATCAGGATAATGCTGGCGTTGTAGAATGATTTTGGAGAAGTTTCCTCCACTTTAATTTTTTTAAAAAGAGTTTGAGAAGGATATGTATTACTTCCTCCATAAATGTTTGGTAGAATTTAGTAGTGAAGTCATTGGCCCTGGGCTTTTCTTTGATGGGAGGCTGTTTTATTACTGATTGAATTTCACTACTCACTATTGGTCTGTTAAGATTTTCTATTTCTTCATAATTTAATCTTGGTAGGTTGCATGTGTTCAGGAATTTGCCCATTTCTTCTAAGTTTCTAAATTTGTTGGTATATAATTGTTCATAATAGTCTCTAATGATCTTTTGTATCTCTATTGTATCAGTTGTGATGTCTCCTTTTTCACCCCTGAACACACATTGAGGAAAGGGAAGTCTCTTCAATAAGTGATACTGGAAAAACTGGATACCTACATGCAGATTAATGAAACTAGATCCCAATTTCACATTACTTATAACAATCAATTCAAAATGGATTAAAGTCTTAAATTAAATGTAAGACCCAAAACTTTGAAACTACCAGAAGAAAACATAAGGGAAACATTTTATGATATTGATCTGAACAAGGCTTTTTTTGAATAAGAACTCAAAAGCACAGGCAACAAAAGCAAAAGTAAATAAATATAATTACATCATACTAAAAAGCTTCTATACAGCAAAGAAAACAATCAATAGAGTGAAGAGACAATCTACAGAATGGGAAAAAATATTTGCAAGCTATGCGTCTGACAAAGGATTAATATCCAGAGTATGTACAGTACCCAAACAACTCAATAGCAAAAAGATAAATAATCTAATTTAAAAATAAGAAAAATATCTGAATAGACACTTCTCAAAAAAGGAAATACAAATGGCCAACAGGCATATGAAAAATTTGATTATTAAACATTGTATTCACATATCAAAACATCACACTATACCCCATTATATTTACAATTATTGTTTGTTAATTAAAAAGAGAAAGAAAACAGAAACAATGCTAGATATGTCAATGGAGATAATTTAATGTAGGAAATTGTTAAACAAGTGTTGGAAGACTGAAAAATCCAAATAATAACACTGAGATAACATAGACATAAGAACTGCAGGATGCAGCTGGCATTCCTAGAGCTGGGGGAATAAAGATACCGGGATTACTAGAAGCAATAAACTCAGAAGAGAGGCAACAAATGAGATTTAGATTTTTGAAAATTGTATTCTAGATGCTGGTACCTCAGGAGCTCTGAGATGAGGCCCAGTGGAATTGGTACTGAGAACTCTGAGATGTCACTGTCCAGATGATATAATATTTCTAAGGGAGAGTGATAGGCTGTGTCTGAGAGTGCCAAAAGAAGCTAGAAAAATCTGCTGTGCTATCAACCTAAGTGCCTGCTCTGGGGCAAGGCTGATAAGAATGGAAAGTAAATTTTGTTTTTATCCTTTAACCTTCTAGACTCCCGTGTAGTGCCTCCTATCAGTGGAACATACAGGAAGCCCCTGGTAAAGAAAAAAATATTTTTGGCAGAATGACAGCTATAGTGTTATAAATACCAAATCCAGAAGGGTGCTGAGAGACAATAGCTTCAAAATCAGCACAGTTTAGATTGTAGCAAAAAACCCCAACCCCATATATATGTAGTTATATAAAGCCCTAAAGCCATAGAATCTTTAATAAATTAAATAACTTATTTACTAATTGCTTATAAATGTATTTGTGAGACCTTTACTTGCAGATATGATGACAGACTAGAATCTTGAAACTCTTCCACTATAAAATGCCTAACAATGCCAAATAAAATAGTTTTAAGCCATCTTCTAAATAGATGACTGAAGAAGCAAGAACAGGAGTCCAGCAAAGTAAGTGAGCACAGAAGTCATGGAATGCCTGTAGCATCTACTAATGAGAGTTATCCCCTGAGAGCAGGCAGCCTGGGGCTTATGTTTCAATGGCTGACTGGTGGGGTGGGGTGTGGGGTGGCAAAGATAAAGCTCTGACATATCCAAGAGGTGAGAAAGTAGAATGAAAGGCTACCATTTCTTTCTCTGCCTAAAGTATTTTGTGATCGAGCAAACTCTACACCCTCAGGGGAGTAGAAAACTAGGAAACAAACATACCCTGCAGCTGCAGAATGTAAGGAAATTGATTTTTTCAGTTTTAACTCTAGGTAGAGAAGAAAAAATCTTTTTGGAGAGTTTCTGTACAAAAGCCAGTACTTATGTGTGCTTTGAGCCTGAATTTGTAACATTTACTTGAAACAAAAAACTGTAAGGTAAGAATTCTTATTTAATGTGTATCTAGGTTAGTAGTGGCTCTAAGTGTCTACAGAAACAAACAGTATCCTCTCTGAAGGAAACCAGCCTCAATCTAGCTCTAAAAGTCTTGCCTGAGAGACAGTACCAATGACCATGAGCTCACAACAGAAAAGTAACAAAGCCATGAGGAAATAAAACACCATTAGTGAGAATCAGCAGAAGCAATAAGCAGTAGAATCAAGCCCAAAGGCCTTTGAATACTAGAATTTTAGGATACAGACTATTTCTTAAAAATGTTTATTAAAGTCACGTAAAAGTGAACCAAAACTATGAGTCAGAAGGAAAGATTAAAGAAGAATTAATATTGTTAAAATCACCATATTGCCCAAAGCAATCTACAGAGTTGACTTAATCCCTACCAAATTGCCAATATCAGTTTTCACAGAATTAGAAAACACAATTCTAAAATTCATATGGAACCGAAAAAGAGCTCAAATAGCCAAAGCAATTCTAAGCAAAAGGAATAAAGCAGAGGCATCACATCACCTGACTTCAAATTATACCACAATGCTATAGTAACCCAAACAGCATAATAGTGGTATAAAAATGGACACATAGATGAACAAAACACGATAGAGAATCCAGAAATAATGCCACATACCTAAGACCAACTGATCTTTTACAAAGTCAACAAAAATACACACTAGGGAAAGGCTACACTACTCAATAAACAGTGTTGGGAAAACTGGATAGCCATATGCAGAAGAACAAAACTAGACCAGTATCTCTCACCATATACAAAAATTAATTTAAGATGAATTAAAGACTTAAAAGTAAAACCTGAAACTATAAAAATTCTAGAAAGAATCCTAGGAAAAACTCTTCTGGACATTGGCTTACGCAAAGAATTTATGACTGAGCCGTCAAAAGCAAATGCAATAAAAACAAAAATAGACAAATGGAGCTTAAAAGCTTCTGCACAGCAAAAGAAACAATCAACAGAATAACCAGACAATCTGCAGAATGGGAAAAGTATTTGCAAACTATGCATCTAACAAAGGGTTAATATCCAGAATCTGAAAGGACTCAAACAACTCAACAAGAAAAAAACAAATAACCCTATTAAAAAGTGAGCGAAGGACATAAGTAGACATTTTAAAAAACACACATACAAGTGGCCCACAAATATATGAAAGAATGCTCAACATCACTTATCATCAGATAAATGCAAATTAAAACTACAGTGAGATATCATCTTATATCAGTCAGAATGGCTACTAGTAAAAATATTGAAAACAACAGATATTGGTGAGAATGTAGAGGAAAAGGAATGCTTATATATTGTTGGTAGGAAGGTAAATTAGTACAACTTATATGGTAAACAGTATGGCAGTTTCTCAAATAACTAAAAATAGAACTATCATTTTATCCAGCGATCCCACTACTGAGTATCCAAAGGAAAATAAATCATTATGCCAAAAGATACCTGCACTCAAATGTTTATCACAGCACTATTCACAATAGCAGAGATATGGAATTAACCATCAATGCATGACTGGATCAAGAAAATGTGATAAAAATACCTTTTGTATGTCACCATGGAATACTATGCAGCTATAAAAAATAATAAAATGATATATTTTTCAGGAAGAGGGATAGAACTGGAGGCCATTATTCTAAATGAAAATAACTCAGAAACAGAAAGTCAAATACCACATGTTCTCATTTATAAGTGGAACTAAACAAAGGCTACACATGAACATATAAAGTGTAATAATAGACACTGGAGACTACAGATGATTGGAGGTTCAGAGCAGGGTGAGAGTTAAAAATTTAACTCTTGGGTGCCATGTTTACTGTTGGGTGATGGGTACAGTGAAAGCCCAGACTCCACCACTATGCAATATACGCTTGTAAGAAATCTGCACTTGTACCCTCTAAATCTATAAAAAGATAAAAGAAAATGACAAAGTCAATTTTAAGAAGAACCAAATAGCAGAAATATAAGTGAAAATAAATATTGTGTGGAATACATAGTTTGTGGAATGATTCAATAGCAGATCAGATGATGGATCAGCTAACGTTTTCTGTGAAGTGCCAAACTGCCATTTTTATTTTTTGTTTGTTTTCTGCTTTTTAAAACGAAAACTATTCTCAGCTTTTAGGCTACACAAATATAGGTTGTGGGCCAGGTTTGTTCTATAGGTTATTATTTGTTGATCTATGGACTAGACAATGCCAAAAGATAATTAGTTATTATCCAGAGGTAGATATGAAGAAATTATGTAGAATGCAGCACAGGAAGAACATTGATACAAAATACTAACTTGGAATTAGCGAATGGAGAAAAGACACAAAGTCAAATTTTCATCTACAAGATATAAGATAATAGAGGAGAGGTAAATACTTCAAGAGATAATTGCTGATTTTTTTCAAGAACTAATAAAGGTTTTGATTTGCATTTCACCGATGATTAGTGATACTGAGCATTTTCTTTTATGTATTTTTTGGCCATTTGTATGTCTTCCTTTGAGAAATGTCTGTTAGATTATTCGCCTGTTTTTTAAAAAGAACGTTTTTTATTTCTGTTGAGATGTTTCAATTCTTTGTATATTCTGTATATTAGACCCCTTTTGGATTAATAGTTTGCAAATTTTTTTTCCTATTTTGTTGGTTCTTTTTTTACTCTGTTGATTGTTTCCTCTGCTGTGCAGAAGCTTTTAAGTTTGATATAGTCTTATTTGTTTATTTTTCCTTTTCAGGTCTTATTCACAAACAATTTTCCCAGACCAATATTCTAAAGCATTTCTCCTATGTTTTCTTCTGGTAATTTTATAGTTTAAGATTTTACATGTAGGTCTTTGATCCATTTTGAATTGATTTTTGTATGGGGTGACAGATGAAGGTCAGTTAGGATAATTATTATCAAAAAGAGAAAAAACATGCTAGCAAGGATGCAGAGAGAGGGGGGCTCTTATCCACTGTTCATGGAAATGTATATTAGCACAGCCACTATGAAAGACAGTATGAAGTTTCCTAAGAAAACTAGAAATAGAACTACCAAATGATCCAGCAGTTTCACTACTGGGCATTTATCCAAAGGAAAGAAAATCAGTATATCAAAGAGATATCTGCAACCCCAATGCTATTCACAATAGCCAAAATAATTGGAATCAGCCTAGGTATCCAACAACAGATGAATGGGTAAATATATACAATGGAATACTATTCACCCACAAAAAGGATGAAATCTTGTTATTCACAGCAGCATAGATGAAACCGGAAGACATCATGTTAAGTGAAATAAGCCAGGAACACAAAGTTAAACACTACATGTTCTTAACTCATGTGTAAGCTAAAAAATAGGTGACCTCATAAAAGTAAAAAATAGAACAGAAGATACTAGAGCTGGGAAGTGGGGAAGAGAGTTGTTAAAAGATACAAAATTAGAGCTAGATAGGAAGAATAAGTTATAGTGTTCTATAGTACCCAAGGATGTCTATAGTTAACAATGATACATAGTTTCATTTAGCTAGAAAGAGGATATTGAATGTTTTCCAAGCAAGGAAATGATAAATGTTTCAGATGATAGATATGCTACTTACTCTGATTTGATCACTGTACATTATATGTATCATAACATCACCATGCACCCCATAAATATGTACAATTACTATGTATCAATTAAAAATGTTTTAATTATTTTTTTAAAAGAATAGCATGGAGCTTCTATAAAGACACATGCACACGTATGTTTATTGTGGCACTATTCACAATAGCAAAGACTTGGAACCAACCCAAATGTCCAACAATGATAGACTGGATTAAGAAAATGTGGCACATATACACCATGGAATACTATGCAGCCATAAAAAATGATGAGTTCATGTCCTTTGTAGGGACATGGATGAAACTGGAAATCATCATTCTCAGTAAACTATTGCAAGGACAAAAAACCAAACACCACATATTCTCACTCATAGATGGGAATTGAACATTGAGAACACATGGACACAGGAAGGGGAACATCACACTCTGGGGACTGTTATGGGGTGTGGGGAGGGGGGAGGGATAGCATTAGGAGATATACCTAATGCTAAATGACGAGTTAATGGGTGCAGCACACCAGCATGGCACATGTATACATATGTAACTAACGTGCACATTGTGCACATGTACCCTAAACTTGAAGTGTAATAATAAAAAAAAAAGAATAGTATGGCAAAGACAATCCTCAAATTCAAGAGGTCCAGTGAATCAGAGGCTGAAGTCTACACCTAAACAATCTGAAGACCGAAAAAAGAGAATTTCAAAGCAGTCAGGCTATCCTTCCTAGGTAAATTGACAACTGATTTAAGAGCTAATTTATTAATAGAAGTAAGTGGAAGCCAGAAGGTAGGGGGATAATATGTTTACAATGTGGAGAAAATATAACTAGCAATCTAAAATCTATTTCTATTATACAGTTTCCTTTTCCCTCTTGTCTCTGATAAATTTCATGAGATCATAATCTCTCCCTCAGATTTGTAATTGCTCTAATTCAATGAGATAGATGGAAGAAGTCACCATTCCTGCCTTTCCTGGAGAAATCAGACTGGAATATTGAACAGAGATTCTCATATGACTGCCCAAACATATACTCTCTATCCAGAAAATAGTCGAGTATGGACCTGAGTAACAAAAGCCCTTGAGCAGCCAAAATAAGCAGCAAATCTCTTTTTTAAGGCCCATGTACATTACTATTAAACAAGGCTCTGACATGTTCATTCCATTCATTCTTGTTTAATATACATATATTTTAAATGAAACAAACTTTTAAACTAAAATAATACCTATTTATCCTAGGGCAAGCAAGAAGTCAGAGCTCTAATTCACTGCTGTGTCCCCAGCTCCAATAACATGCCTTAAACATGGTAGCACTTATTACATATTGGTTGAACAGACGAATGATAGGGTTAGTGAAGGAGGGAGACGATTCTAGCTGACGAATTATTCAGATGTTAGTAACACCCCCAAATGGAGTCTTTTTTTTTTGTGGCACTCTCTTAGCATTGTGTATATGTTGATATAGTGCTTACAATGCTGTAATACAATTCTTTATTTTCATATTTATTGCTTCCCATAGTAT
The DNA here is from genome assembly GCF_000001405.40 of Homo sapiens. Taxonomy (NCBI): domain Eukaryota; kingdom Metazoa; phylum Chordata; class Mammalia; order Primates; family Hominidae; genus Homo; species Homo sapiens. Next base: position 51,173,093 of record NC_000006.12, read on the forward strand.
TATTCAAGAGAAGTACCATGCAGTTTTTTAAACTCGTGTTAAGCACACTGCACAGAATACATACCCACCTAAGAGAAAGATGAAAGATCAGTGTATGTTTGACCTATTGAGTGACTGACTAAATGAATGAATGAGGAAGATGGAAGAGGATAGCCATTAGCCTTCAGGGACCAGAGAAAGCACATTCCTTATACGGAAAAAAAAAAAAAAAGAAAGAAAGAAATTAAGGTAATTTCTAAATGACCTCCTATTTTTCCCTCTTATCTAGATCTACTTTAGCTTCAAAATGTATGCTCAGACATACACTTGAGATGACACAAATATACCACCATTCCCTACATTTGGTTTGGTTTATTCTGCCACCACTCTATTGAAAAATTTCTTTCATTCAGCGAGGGCAATAATTTCTCCTCAAAAGCCTCCCAACTTTGGCACTCTTCTGGACTCCCCTTCCTCCCCTCTTTATCACTCTCCTTCTTTCCAGATTTCCTCTTCCCCAGTTCCTGTTAAACATGAGTGTATCTCTGTTTTCTTGTTGCTTCTGTGCTCTTTTCATTTCCTGGAGAAGCTCATCCACCTGCACGATTTAACATCGGATTGACAAATACAAAATCATCTCCAGCCCAGGTTACTCTACTGGGCTTCAGACCTGTGTATTCCAGCTTCCTGCTATACACTTGTATTTCCTATAGGCATTGAAAACATACATATACAACTAAACTAATCATTGTAGCTGGAGTTTAGAGAATGAGAATGACATGGAAAGGCCCATACTGGGGAGGAGATGTAAATGTGGGATAGATCATGCAGTGCGTCACATGTCATAACTGGTCCACTCCTCAGGTTCTTCCACCATACCTGGGCCACTAGAAACTTTGGTGTGTGGGAGTCCTGGATTTGATACGTTTACCTCTGTATTGTACCTCCTTACCTGTAAGACTTTGAGCAATCCAGATATTTGTTGCTCAGGGGACTTTTTAGCATATTTCTGTATCCTTTTTTTCAGAATCCTCAAGAATATATTTTCATTTCAGGGAAATTTCTTTCTCCTTAAAACCTCTTTTTATCAGTAGGCTGTGGCTTTTGGAAATAAAAGTCAGGAAGCTATGTGAAGAATTCCCCATGAGTTAGGAACAAAGCAGAGTGTCTTCCCTGCTTAATGTAGATAAGGCAAAAGATTTGGAAGTATATCTGATGACAGCAGGCAGGGTTGCCCATGATCAAGAGTACAGAAGATCCTTGAGGAGGGGAACCGAAGAGAGCTGAGATGCCAGTAAGTTCCTAAGAGGGACCTCACCTACACCATTTAGGGCAAGTCTGAGTGCAGGGGGAGAAAAGAGGACCTGAGAAAAATGGCATCAAATCCCAGAGTAGCATCTACAAAGATGGCAAAATACCATAGTTACCCTATTCCCAACACTGTGTGAGAGCAGAAGTAATACACATATGGTTGTCTTTATAAGCAGAAGACCCTGAGAAAGCTCCACAGATTTCCCTGTGGTATGCCAAGCACTGGAGCAAAAGGATATTTCTAGGTGACTGAAAGCATCGAGAAACAGATTCCCACATTCCAAAGTGAAGATTTTCTAAGTTCCCGAGAGTAGCACCTGAAGAGGCTGCAGGCTCTGGAGCAAGCAGGATGTAAGGGGACCTGTGTAGACCAATAGCCTCACAGTGAATGGAGATGTGACTGTGTCAGAATATGCCCAATTTGATGGAGGCTGTATTAGAAACCAGATGCCCCTCTGAATGCTTTAGAACTGTTATATGACTACAGGACAAAGAGAGAGTGGAATCTTTAATTCATTGCAGTTGATTTCCCTTCAGTGTAGGCTCAAAATAGAAGTAAATATTAGAGAAATAAATTTACTAAAAAGTGCATCCAATTGTGTATCTTTAGGTGATTTGATATTCTGTAGAAAGGTCAAGTGGTTACAAAACATGTTGCTGGAACTTGAGAAACAGAAACAAGGAAAACTGCAAAGTCCAAAAAATCTTGAGTGACTCACTAAATAAATGGAATGAATGAGGAAGATGGAAGAGAATAGCTGTTAGTCTTCAGGGAGCAGAGAAAGCACATTTCTTACAGGTTAAAAACAAATAAATTAAGGTAATTTCTAAATGACCTTCTATTTTTCCCTATTTCTAGCAGCCCAGGTATGGTATGGAAGCACCTGAGGAGTGGACCAGGTATGACATGTGAGGCCCTGCATGATTTATCCCTTATCTATAGCTCCTCCCCAGCTTGGGCCTTCCCATGTCATTCTCATTCTCTAAACTCCAGGTACAATAATTAGTTTAGTTGTAGGTATATGTTTTCAATGCCTATGGGAAAAACAAGTATGTAGCAGAAAGTTGGAATACACAGGTCTGAAGCTTAGTAGGTGCTGGTTGAAAAAAATTTTTAAAGATAATAGTTTTTAGGAGAGAATCTACTTTTCAGGAATGTTTCTTGAATTACGTAAGAAAATACTTTATGGGAAGAGAGTTATCTGACAGTTCTCTTTTATTTGGTCTACATTTGATTTCAAGAATTTATGTTCTTTTTAAAATACATATACGGGCATTCTATGTTAATTTTAATGTTTTAATCCTAACCCCCATTATTTTAATGAGCCCCTGGTCTTGCCAAGTGTGGTTTTTCCAACCATGGCACATTTAAGGATTGTTACTCTCAATTGGCAAGAAATTTAATTTCATATATTAAGAAAGGAGGATGGATGGGTGTCCTTTTAAGATGTTCAAACTGGGTTGAAAGAAACAGGACTTAATTATTCATTTAGCAAAATTCACTACTTAAAACACTCAGTTGCTGGACCATGCCACCCACTTATGATATAGTTTTCTTAAAATTATAAATTCTGCTTTTTAGTGGCTTCCTTTACCTAGTCATTTCTAGATAATGGAAGATCTTAATTTGGTGCAAAACTATGAGTTGATATATAAAGGCTAAGAGTAAAAATGAACACTAACCTCAAATTTATAATATTATTCTACCATCAGAATTCAGCATTTGTGATACTTAATGAAACAATAAGCAATATTTTAAGGTTGCAAAGGCAGAGGAAAGAAAATCAAATTTGAATTATTATGATATGCTAGTCATTGAATCTATTAAACCCACTTGCCCTTAAGACTTCTTGCTGTTGTGGAAGGCATTTCACAAGGTTGTAATTACGTTTTTTTTTTTTCTCCTTTGCATATAGGCTATAGCTTTATTAAATTATTCATTATAATATACCAACTTTAAACCCAAAAAATGTATAAATACAAGATCATGTAACCTGAACATAGCATCAGACCCTTAGGAACTAAACAAAGGTATGCATTCTACTGTATTATTTTCTGATTTTCACTTGTATTCCCCATTGCTTTAGCTGCCCCTATTGTCATAAATTAAGTACCCTGCAGTCTTACCAATGTAATGCTGTATCTTCTCCACACCTAATAATTGGATATTTGAGAATCAGGAATGACACGTTGGATGACACTTATACTCACATATTACTTTTCTTCAGATGGCAACAAGGACCACAGACAGTGAGCAGATAGGTGGATTTTTAATTGGGAAAATTAAGTTACAAGAAGACCATAAAGAAAAACAATTCAGTAAAGGAAATAATACAATTATTTTATTTGTGAAAATTGTTTTATTACAATCAGTAGTTAGAAGGCATTATCCTATTTTCCAGATCTTTTGACTTGTGATATTTGAGTAAAAGAACAAAGAAATGTCAAAATAGAGGGTTTCAGCGCTGCATGTTTGTGTGTGTGTGTGCATGTGTGTGAGAGTGAGTCTGTTAGAAGAAGAAAAGCTACTTTACTCAAATTTTGCACTGGGATAATGCCACCACCAACTTTACCTGAAATCTCATAATCCCATTGTTGTATTCCCATCTCTCTACGACTGGCTCCAGTATCTGTTTTCATCAACCCCCACCCTAATAAACTTGTTTTTAATGCAATTGGTATCTAACTTTCCCATCTTTTGGAGGACAGGAACTAACTCATTTCTTGCACTCCTTATGCATCAGCCATTTTAGAGTCTGACTATAATAGGTGCTCAGCAAATGTTTGCTACATGAATAAGAAAAAGTGTGGCTGTATTCAATCATAATTTTATGTAAGATAAATATCATATCCTTGCATAATTATAAAAGTTTATACATAAATACATTTCTGTCAGAAAAGATTTAAATCATACAGGATTACAAAATTAAAAGTAAAAGTCGTCTATTTTTCTAGCTCCATCTCACCCACACTATCCTACTTCTTTTTTCATAAGTAACTATTTTCATCAGTTAGCAACATTAGCTATTGCAATATCAGTTACAGTAACTAATGTTGCTAACTGATAACAATAGTTACTTATGAGGAAGCTGATTGCAATATCAGTTAGCAATTGTTACCAATTTTTTTATTTTCTTTTTTCTATTTAGACACACACAAACACACTCTCACTGGGCTTATGCCTTTTTAACATAAATGGGATCATACTGTTGTGTAAAAATTGATTTTTTGGCTTCACAGGTATTTTTGGAGATTTTTGCAACGTTAATATTTAGAGATGTACGACATTCTTTTTATGATTGAAGAACATTTTATTGTGTACATATACTGTAATTTATTTAATAGCTTCCCACTTGAAGAACATTTAGGTTGTTTACTGTTTTGTTAAACTTTTACACTTTAACTATTTGGTGGATGTGAATAATAGCCCACTTCAAATGTTACAAAATCTTGATTACAAGTGAGGTTGGTTGTCTTCACCCATACTTACTTTCAGGCATTCTTAAATTGTTCACATGCTTTATCCATTTTCTATTGGGTAGTTTCTCTTTTTCTTTTCTGATTAGCATGATCTAGGAATACTAAAGCGTTTTCTTTATAAGGCTACAGATATTTTACCTTATTCACTTGTGTTCTAATTTTGAGTTAGTGTTTATGATTTTACATTTAAAGTTTTCATATCAGTTTGTTTTATGTATGCCTTCTGTAAGGTATATATAGTGTTTTTTTCTACCCATTCTGAGTTTCTCTTTTAACAGAGAATTTAATAACTCAAATGTTGCATAATTATTATAGTACTTGGATTTTGCCCTGCCATCTCGGTTGTATAAGAATTGATTTGCCATGTGTTTTTCCTTTTTGTCTCTTGTTTCCCTTCCACCCTCCTTTGCTTCTTTCTTGTCTTATGGGATTCATTAAATTATTTTTCTTTCATTTTTTTTTCTATTTCTATAATTCTCACTAAATTTTAAAAAAATCACATGTAAACTTTATTTTTTGCTGTTTAGAGGAAATCAGTATGTTTAGTTCCTCTGAAGATGACAAGAAGCTTTGTATGCTTTCATTTCTTATCTCCTCCTCATCTCTTATGTTGAAATAACTTGAGATTTTCACTCCAGATTATTTCTTTACATTTTTCATAAATAATTATTCAGACTTAAGTGTAAGCTGCCTGTATCTCAAATATTCTACTTACATATATTTTTGCTTTATTAGAATGTAACTTTCTGTAGCATTTTTAAAAATAACATTTCTGTAAAGCAGTACATTTCTTTTGCTCTTACACTTAAATGCAAGTTTGACGGGGCATAAGATTCCTGTGTCAAAATATTGTTATGTTTGAACTTCAAGGATATTGTTCTATTGTCTTCTAGCACCCAGTGTTGTCAACAAGAAGTTTGATGCCAATCTGATTATTTTGGCTGTGCAGGTGATACTTTTCTCTTCAAAGGATTTTGTGATGTGATTTTTCTCATTTTCTTTTTGAAATTCTACCAAAGAGTGCTAGGATAGCGAGTTTCTCATTCCCTTGGGGAATGAGTCTCAATACGGAACCTTATCTTTTGTCCTGGATAGATTTCTTCCATTACTTATTAGCTTATCCCCCTTCATTCTCCTCATTTTTCCTGGTCTCTGTAGGACTCTCTGAAGAAGGTGTTGGCCTTTGAGGCATAGTTTTAATGTGTCTTTATTTTTTATTTGATTACTTTCATCTCTTTGTCTTTTAGTGATTATTCTGGGAGAATTCTTTGATTCTCTGCTTGTTATTCTCTAGCTCTCCTCCTGTTTTGTCCATTCTTTTGTTTACTCCACGGTATTTTAGTACATATGTTTAAAATTTTCAGAATCACTTATTTAGTGGGAGGGGCAGAATATATCACTGGCACAAGTATGCCAGTAGTTTATCTTCTGGGTAAAGTGTTTTCTTCTTCCTTCTAGAGCTCACTAACTCCCTGTGGTGCTTCTGTTCTCCCCTGTCCTGAGTGTTCAGACTCAGTGCTTTAGCTAGGGGTTAAATACTGTGCTCCAGGCTAGTTTGACAAGCTGCGGAGAGATGGAAGCCAGGTTGCCCAGTGCCCTAAATGGATTTCTAAAATCACTAAATAATGGCTCTGATGGTTGCCAAAGGGTCTTCTTTTCTGCACCTTGCCTCTGTTGACTCAAGAGTGAAGCCTTCCCGGAACCACTTCCATTTTTGTAGACATGCTTTGGTGAATATTTTGGTAGTGTCTTCTTCTAACAGTTCAATCCCATCTTCTTTCAATATTTGATGATTTTTTTTTTTAGAATTTCGTACTTATAAATGCCATGCTTTCTTATTTCCTTCATTGTTGTAAGTGGATAGATTTCTCTAGGTCTTTCTGTTATTATCTTTATGTCTATCAACATATCCATGACAACTATACCTATAAGAATTTTCGTAAATAAATCCCTATTTAATATTTATAATTTGAAGTCTTTTTGGCTACATCCTGGGGTTTGGAGTAGTCAAGGAGGTGGGCACCTGGGTTCAGGTCTGTTATCTTGTTTTATTCTCCAGCAATAGTCTTTCATGTACCTTTATTCAATGGTTTTATAACAATGGAAGGCATCACAGATTAAGTTAATGAAATTCTTTCTGCAAATGCCTAAGATAATAATGCTGAATAACATTGTTTCTGATGATTGCTATGATGTAGCTATGGATCTGGGAGACTGATGTGGTTTGGCTGTGTCCCCACCCAAATCTCACCTTGAATTGTAACTCCCACAATTCCCATGTGTCATGGGAGGAACCTGGTGAGAGGTGATTGAATCATGGGGGCGGGTCTTTCCCATGCTGTTCTTGTGATGGTGGGGTGAGTCTGACGAGATCTGATGGTTTTAAAAACGGGAATTTCCTTGCACAATTCTCTCTCTTTGCCTGCTGCCATCCATGTAAGACATGACTTGGTCCTCCTTGCCTTCTACCATGATTGTGAGGCCTCCCCAGCCATGTGGAACTGTAAAGTCATTAAACCCTTTTTCCTGTATAAATTACCCAGTCTTGGGTATGTCTTTAACAGCAGCATGAAAATGGACTCACAGAGATCCTTACAGGAAAAGAGTGCTAATATGTTACCTATTGGGTATCTCCAAACAAGGTTGTAGCCAGTATAGGACCAAAGGCAATTAAAGTTTGAATTTCCTGCAAAATGCCTGAAGTGTCTATATTCTGGATCATTGATTAAAGAAAGATCCATATGCTAGAGATACCAGATGTGCAAGCAGGAGTTGACATTCTATTATGAAAATGTAAGGACATAACTCTTACACTTACTCAGATGGGAGGCTGTCCTTTATCTGTATGGAGGTTCACCTAAAGCTTTTTTTTTTAAAGTTTTATTTTTACTTCAAACAACAAGCTAGTAATTATCTAGAAAGGAGGCAAGTATTCACTTGAAAAGTCATATATCTTTTTTTTATTATTATACTTTAAGTTCTGGGGTACATGTGCAGAACGTGCAGTTTTGTTCCATAGGTATACACGTGCCAAGGTGGTTTGCTGCACCCATCAACCTGTCATCTACATTAGGTATTTCTCCTAATGCTATCCCTAATCCCAACCCCCCACCCCCTGACAGGCCCTGGTGTGTGATGTTCCCCTCCCTGTGTCCATGTGTTCTCATTGTTCAAATCCCACTTATGAGTGAGAACATGAAGTGTTTGGTTTTCTGTTCTTGTGATAGTTTGCTGAGAATGATGGTTTCTAGCTTCATCTATGTCCCTGGAAAGGACATGAACTCATCCTTTTTTATGGCTGCATGGTATTCCATGTTGTATATGTGCCACATTTTCTTTATCCCGTCTATTATTGATGGACATTTGGGTTGGTTCCAAGTCTTTGCTATTGTGAATAGTCATATATCTTGACTGTAAAATATGAAAGGCAAAACAGACCAAGCTGCATGTTGGGGCTTTTCTGGTCCCTTCTCTATTCCTATAATGTAAGAATCTCAACATAATTCCTAATAACTCTTGTGAAAGAAAGGTCAAGAATGTTTTAAAAGATTTATATCACAAAAAATCAATAAAGATTTTATTCTACCTTAGTTTTCTCATTTTCATAAGCCTAATGCTTACATAAAATATCAAGCACAAACATTTTTAGATCAGTTGGACAATGAAGTGATCATTTTCAATGTAGTCTAAATGTCCATATCAAGAAGGCAGTTGGGGCATAAGCAATAATTCTGACTCTGACTAGAACCATAATGAAATGATCTCTTACTTATTTCATAGAGTGATTTTTACTCTTACCAGATCCTGCTATGAAAAAGACTACCAAGATGTTTTCCTCATTGAATAATTTAGAGATTTCCAGAAGGCAATAATCCCAATCGAGATTTCCTGTGGAAGAAGTTCCTCAATATTTACTGCTGCTCCTGGCTCTTTGGTGTTTTATAAAAACTGATAGCTCATTAATGCCTAGTGTTGGCAAATTAGCTTCATCCTCTAAGACAGTCAGAGTTTGAAAGCTAAAACAGAATAAGAAAAAATATGAATTTTTATATGTGGTAGGTACCTCAGGAACTGATATACTGATGTTAAACTGAGTTTAGTGGGACTAGCTCACCCTTATTTCTTTTGAGTTTGTTTTTCTAGGGGGTTGGTTGTGAGAAGAACCTAACATGAGCACAAAGTGAGACATCTTGAGAACAGATAAACTATCTTAGAGATAAAACTAGTAGGGCCACTCTTCTTTCTTGTATTGTATTCTAAAAGAAGGGTTTTATGGTAGAAGGTGCTCTTTGCTTGTTTTTACAATTTGTAAGCAACCAAACTGTTTTATGATTATAAAAATGAAATAATTTGTTTTTTTCCTAAGACAATTTTGTGTCTTATCAATTTCAAGAATATATAGCTACATCTAGATAGGTCAGACTCCAGAATGGATTTTTAGCTTTTATCCATGTTTTGCCTTTTTTCATCAATGAATCTTTTCTCTTCTTAAGTGCTATACATCTCCTTCACGTGATATTAGATATAAGCATTTCAAAAATAATTTTAGACTAAACTGTTCTTTATGTTTGCTCTAAACCAGGAATTAGAGGAACACACAGACCCATGCACGTGCATACTCACTTACATTCACTTGATAGTCTTAGTTTCATCATAGAAACATAGTTGCTTGGGTGTGCAAAGGCATGAAAGCCAAGTTACTGTTGAGTTTAAGGCATGCAAATAAAAAGAGAAAGGGGCAATGGAAATCGAATCACATGAATAATTTATTGGAAGATGTTTTCCCCCTACAATTAGCAGCACACACCTCACAACTTCTTGTGGGGTCATTGTAGGCTTGAAGAATAAATATTCCTTGGCAATCACTTTATATTTTCTCCTAGATGGATTGTTTTTAATGGTTAAAGCAGTAGAGTGCAGCTGATATAAAGAAAAAGTGACAGGTGCCAGTTTTGTTATTAAATCCCAGCCTCAGAGACTCTGAATTTCAAATGAGGTCCCTTATTGGCTGCATGTGTGAGGGGTCAGAGGATGGGAAAACATGACCGGAGCAGAATGGGTTTCACTTCACTGAGCTACTCCAAAGTCTTCATTAAACATGGACATAACATTTGCACTTGTTTTGTTTGTTCTAGACAGTTTGGATAATTACCCTCTGAAATGGTGTGCACCCATGTAGATTTGTGTATTTACCAAGGGGAGGGGCTGTTGAGGCACGGGAGAAGGAGGACGAAGGTTCATTGCACTATTTATTTTAATCCTTCAGTGATGATTGCATTTCTCAACCTCCATACAGAACCACATCAATTGCTCCTTAAAACTGCTAGTTCAGATCATTCAATTGAAATTGTATTTGATTTTAAAGGTAGCATTTTGCAGTTCTTATTCCTCCTCCTCCCCCTCCCGGCGGATCTGAGGACCCCAATTGGCTCCAGAAGGAACTCTGCCCTCTACCAGAAAAGGATGAAGAGAAGAACTCAACCTCACAGAAAAATAACAACCAGCCTATGAACTCTCTTTCCCCCAAATAAAAGAGGTCAGACAGAGAGAAGTGGCAGGCAGCAGAGACCGTTGTCATTACCTTGACATTCCCTTAAAAGAGGGGATTGGGTGGGTCAGCAATTCTGAGAAAGTCATTGTCTAGTGATCTAAACACAGGGTTCAAGATCAAGCACAACTAGGTACTGTGTGGCAACATTTCTGCATAAATTTTGCTGGGAATGTAGCTTGTCGCTGAGTAGTGCTGTATTTATTTACTTGATTCTCAGATTACTGGTTCTCTTTCTGCTTGAAAAGGTGAATAATCTCAGTTTCTTTGCAGTGAAGGGAAAAAACCTAGTCAGCCAGTCCTTAATGCCACCTAACAAAAAATCCTAATCATGATGACAGTCACCCTGAGGATAAGAGAATTTATTTCTGCAGACAGGTTTTCTTCGTTAGAACTATGGCATAAGAGAGGAACCAATCAGAACATCTTACATTAAGAGCACTTTTAATTCTTTCACGTACATTATCAAAGGTAGCTACAGTTAACACTATTAAGAGCTTACATGACAGGTGCTGTTCTAAGTGATTGACACATATTAACTCATTCAATTCTCATAACAACTTCATGAAAAAATTGTTGTTGTAATTATTTTTATTTTTTTAATTGATAAAATTGTATATATTTTTGGTTTACATCATGATGTTTTGATATATGTATATATTGTAGAATGGCTAAATTAAGCTAATTAACATATGCATTACCTCATATGTAATTACTTTTAAAATAAAGATTCTGTTGTAATGAGAAATTGAGTAACTTGCCTAAGTCACAAAGCTAGTAAGCAGCTGAGCTGGGATTTGAGCCCAGACACCATCTGGCACAAGAGTGGGCGATCTTAGCCTCCATGCTTCTCATGAAAGGTAGGTGGAGCAGGCATAACACCCAGTGAAAGAGTGGATCAGATGAATGTTCATGGGTGGCATGAACAAGGGTTTAGGAATACCTCTTTATTGTCCAAGGAATTAAAGTTGAAAGAAGGGCCTAGTGTCCTAGCATCTTGCTCTAGATTTCCCTCACAGGGGACATCTACTAATTGTGTATCTCTGGAAATGGCACTTGAAGGGCCAGTCCTACCAGGTGGCTGGGCAGGGAAAGCAATTCTCCTTCACGGAATTGCTATACTTGGGATGTGAAGGGTGGCACTCACCAAGGGCCCATGTGTACATCATGCTCCATTAGATACTGTGTGCAATTAAACCAAGAAACAGTTTTTGAACTTAGGAATCTTACAGTTTACTAGGAAACCAAGATATGGAACAAATGGACAGAAAAGTTAATGGAGTTTTCTTTATTTCAGGATGTGCCTACCTGGTACTTGAAAAAAAGATCAACCAACTGATTATTTCGTCTAACAATTTAAAGCAACATTTGATCGCTTAAGATAAATGAATTAATTATATTGTTGAGATCAGGACAATTTCAGAGTGAAGGGGAGTCAGTATATGTTAGTCAGTATTTTTTGAGCACATACTGGGGCCCAGAATTGCAACTGACACATTAAGATACAAGGACTATTGGAGGCGGAATAGTTAACAGGTGGTGAATATGCATTACTTTTCAGACTGTGATTCAATCGTGTTCCCTCTAGCATTCAGTTGGTTGGGAATATTGCTTAAAGGATGTGGCAAACTCCACCCACAAATAAATATGGGCACAACTAGTAGTAAAACAAAAAACTGTAAAGGAAAGTGTCGTAGGTATTAGAAGAAAGAGACAAGTTGCTATTTATAAGGTGCTCCAGTGTGAAAATCCTTTCAACAACACTCTGCCCTTTTTTCTGCTTGAGTGTGTGCTGACAAGCAGCTAACCAACTTTTCAGGCACCCATTCTTTATATCAAGTTGAAATGTGTCTTTCCATAAGAGTTTTTTTTTACCTTGTTCTTCTTTATAAAGCAGCATACATTAAATAGTTTTATTCAGATTTTTCCATATACCAAATTGAACTCACTTCTATTAACTAGATGGCATATGGGCAGCCTCCAGATCTTTTATCTGTTGAGTTACTCTGCTTTGAAACTCTCTGTTTTGTAAGGATGTCTAAAAATTTGTGACTTGGAGTTAGAATTAACTCAAGGGATATGTTGCAACAAGAACTAAGACCTTTGCCTTTCTTGAGCAGGACACCATTTTTTCTAATGCAACCCAAGATTATGTTAACTTGTTAGAAATTCTGTATACTCTAAACTAGTGGTCGTAACTGGGCAATTTTGCCCTGAGTGGACAATGCCTAGAGACATTTTTGGTTGTCACACCTGGCAGGTACTAGTGGCATAAAGACCTGGAATGCTGCTCAATATCTTACAATTCACAGAATAGTCCCTCACAGCAAATAAATATCTGACTCTAAATGTTATTAATAATAGAGATTGAGAATTCCTGATCTGGACCACAAATATCCTGAAGCCAAGCTTCTCCTGAACATGAAAGCTAGTACTAAAAGGAATAAGGGGGTAAGAAAAGCAATTGATCTTACAGTAAGGAGGAAGTCTAAGAGTGTAGAAGGTTCTGAACTTCAAGATGGCACTGTTTCTGCAACATTAGTCAGAAGGAATGCTTTGGCCATTATTAAGAAAAATAGACTGGGCAGAAAATTCAGTTTATCACAAGAACATCAGATACGTATGGGAAGTCACTAAAAGAGTCAAGTCAGAATGCAGAAATGTTTGTATACTAAAAAGGAAGCTATAGTAATAACACTTGCAGATTAAATAGTTGTCAGAAAAAAAAACCTTGGTATATTTAGCAGTTCAAACATTTGTTAATGTCAGTATAATTATGGTAAACAGGGATTCACAACTAATAATTCTCCAGGATGGAGAAGAATGAGGTAGCAGCAAAAATTTGTTATGAATCAATAGGAAGCAGTTAGAAAGTTAAAACAGAGAAAATTTATTAATTCTCTCTAATTAAGAAAATGCAATTTAAAATGACATAAAAAATTTGCAAAAATGAAAATAATACCTGAATTTTCCTATCATATGGAGAAATATACACTTACATAGCAGATATGGGAGTGCAAATTGATATGCCTTTCTAAAAAGTTAGGAAGTAGGTAAGAAAAGCCCTAAAAACACACAGCCTAGTAACCCAGTTCTCTGAAATTGGCTTAAAGGGATAATTAGGGCTTGGAAAAAATATTTAACCATAAAAATTCTTATTAATATCCTGTTTTCATAACATATGTAGTGAATAACCTACATATTTAACAACTGGAGATTGGCTAAATATATTATGGCATATCTGTGTAATAGAATATTTGTTATTATTAAAATTATGTGGGATACGTTTACTAACATGAAGTGAAAAAAGAAAGTTTGTATTTTTTAGTTCTAGTGAGGTATGAATAAAATTGTATATATTTAAAGTATATAATGTGATGATTTGATATGTATATGTTGTGAAATGATTACCACAATCAAGTTAATTAACACACCCATTACCTCAGTTACCTCTTTTTTGTTGTTGCTGAGAACACTTACGATCTACTCTCTTAGCAAATTTCAAATACACAATACAGTATTATTATATTATATATACTATACATTTCATCCTCAGAATTTATTCATCATAAATAGAAAGTTTGTACCTTTTGACCAAAATCTCTACTTCTCCCCCAACCTCCTAGCCCCTGGCAACCACTGTTATACTCTCTGTTTCTATAGGTTCAACTTTATTTTTTTAAAAAAATATTCCACACAAAAGTATTATACTATATTCATGGGCCACATAATGATATTTCAGTCAATGATGGACTGCATATGTAACAGTGGTCCCATAACATTATAAGGGAGCATATACAGAAACCTGATATATGGGAGTTAATATTGGCATTGCAGATCATGCAGGGCTTAAAATCACAATTCCCAAGAGCCTATAAACAAAGTTGAGTGAGGACTTACTGTACACTCTGTGATGCTCACACAATGACAAAATCCCTAACAATACATTTCTCAGAACGTATCCCTGTCATTAAGCACTACACTACATGGCTCTATTTGTCTTTCTCCATATGGATTATTTCACTTACCTTAATATCCTCCAGGTTTAGGCCTGGCTCAGTGTCTCATGCCAGTAATCCCAGCACTTTGGGAGGCCAAGGTGGAAGTAGTGCTTGAGCCTAGGAGTTTGAGACCAACCTGAGAAACATGATGAGACCTCATCTCTACAAAAAATAATAATAATAAATTAGCTAGGAATGGTGGTACATGCCAGTAGACCCAGCTACTTGGGAAGCTAAGGCGGGAGGATTTTTTTTAAATTATTATTATTATACTTCAAGTTTTGGGGTACATGTGCACAATCTGCAGGTTAGTTACATATGTATACATGTGCCATGCTGGTGTGCTGCACCCATTAACTCATCATTTAGCATTAGGTATAACTCCTAATGCTATCCCTCCCCCCTCCCCCCACCCCACAACTGTCCCCAGAGTGTGATGTTCCCCTTCCTGTGTCCATGTGTTCTCACTGTTCAATTACCACCTATGAGTGAGAATATGCAGTGTTTGGTTTTTCATCCATGCGATACTTTACTGAGAATGATGATTTCCAATTTCATCCATGTCCCTACAAAGGACATGAACTCATCATTTTTTATGGCTGCATAGTATTCCATGGTATATATGTGCCACATTTTCTTAATCCAGTCTATCATTGTTGGACATTTGGTTTCATTCCAAGTCTTTGCTATTGTGAATAGTGCCACAATAAACATACGTGTGCATGTGTCTTTATAGCAGCATGATTTATAATACTTTGGGTATATACCCAGTAATGGGATGGCTGGGTCAAATGGTATTTCTAGTTCTAGATCTCTGAGGAATCACCACACTGACTTCCACAATGGTTGAACTAGTTTACAGTCCCACCAACAGTGTAAAAGTGATCTTATTCTCCACATCCTCTCCAGCACCTGTTGTTTCCTGACTTTTTAATGATTGCCATTCTAACTGGGGTGAGATAGTATCTCATTGCGGTTTTGATTTGCATTTCTCTGATGGCCACTGATGGTTAGCATCTTTTTCATGTGTTTTTTGGCTGCATAAATGTCTTCTTTTGAGAAGTGTCTGTTCATGTCCTTCGCCCACTTTTTGATGGGGTTGTTTGTTTTTTTCTTGTAAATTTGTTTGAGTTCATTGTAGATTCTGGATATTAGCCCTTTGTCAGATGAGTAGGTTGCGAAAATTTTCTCCCATTCTGTAGGTTGCCCGTTCACTCTGATGGTAGTTTCTTTTGCTGTGCAGAAGCTCTTTAGTTTAATTAGATCCCATTTGTCAATTTTGGCTTTTGTTGCCTTTGCTTTTGGTGTTTTAGACATGAAGTCCTTGCCCATGCCTATGTCCTGAATGGAAATGCCTAGGTTTTCTTCTAGGGTTTTTATGGTTTTAGGTCTAATGTTTAAGTCTTTCATCCATCTTGAATTAATTTTTGTAAAAGGTGTAAGGAAGGGGTCCAGTTTCAGCTTTCTACATATGACTAGCCAGTTTTCCCAGCACCATTTATTAAATAGGGAATCCTTTCCCCATTGCTTGTTTTTCTCAGGTTTGTCAAGGATCAGATAGTTGTAGATATGCGGCGTTATTTCTGAGGGCTCTGTTCTGTTCCATTGGTCTATTTCTCTGTTTTGGTACCAGTACCATGCTGTTTTGGTTACTGTAGCCTTGTAGTGTAGTTTGAAGTCAGGTAGCGTGATGCCTCCAGCTTTGTTCTTTTGGCTTAGGATTGACTTGGTGATGCGGGCTCTTTTTTGGTTCCATATGAACTTTAAAGTAGTTTTTTCCAATTCTGTGAAGAAAGTCGTTGGTAGCTTGATGGGGATGGCGTTGAATCTATAAATTACCTTGGGCATTATGGCCATTTTCATGATATTGATTCTTCCTACCCATGAGCATAGAATGTTCTTCCATTTGTTTGTACCCTCTTTTATTTCATTGAGCAGTGGTTTGTAGTTCTCCTTGAAGAGATCCTTCACGTCCCTTGTAAGTTGGATTCCTAGGTATTTTATTCTCTTTGAAGCAATTGTGAATGGGAGTTCACTCATGATTTGGCTCTCTGTTTGTCTGTTATTGGTGTATAAGAATGCCTGTGATTTTTGTACATTGATTTTGTATCCTGAGACTTTGCTAAAGTTGCCTATCAGCTTAAGGAGATTTTGGCCTGAGACGATGGGGTTTTCTAGATATACAATCATGTCATAAGCAAACAGGGACAATTTGGCATCCTCTTTTCCTAATTGAATACCCTTTATTTCCTTCTCCTGCCTAATTGCCCTGGCCAGAACTTCCAACACTATGTTGAATAGGAGTGGTGAGAGAGGGCATCCCTGTCTTGTGCCAGTTTTCAAAGGGAATGCTTCCAGTTTTTGCCCATTCAGTATGATATTGGCTGTGGGTTTGTCATAGATAGCTCTTATTATTTTGAGATACGTCCCATCAATACCTAATTTATTCAGAGTTTTTAGCATGAAGCGTTGTTGAATTTTGTCAAAGGGCTTTTCTGCATCTATTGAGATAGTCATGTGGTTTTTGTCTTTGGTTCTTTTTAAATGCTGGATTACATTTATTGATTTGCATATATTGAACCAGCCTTGCATCCCAGGGATGAAGCCCACTCGATCATGGTGGATAAGCTTTTTGATGTGCTGCTGGATTCGGTTTGCCAGTATTTTATTGAGGATTTTTGCATCAATGTTCACCAAGGATATTGGTCTAAAATTCTCTTTTTTGGTTGTGTCTCTGCCCGGCTTTGGTATCAGGATGATGCTGGCCTCATAAAATGAGTTAGGGAGGATTCCCCTTTTTCTATTGATTGGAATAGTTTCAGAAGGAATCGTACCAGTTCCTCCTTGTACCTCTGGTAGAATTCGGCTGTGAATCCATCTGGTCCTGGACTCTTTTTGGTTGATAAGCTATTGATTATTGCCACAGTTTCAGAGCCTGTTATTGGTCTATTCAGAGATTCAACTTCTTCCTGGTTTAGTCTTGGGAGGGTGTATGTGTCGAGGAATTTATCCATTTCTTCTAGATTTTCTAGTTTATTTGCATAGAGGTGTTTGTAGTATTCTCTGATGGTAGTTTGTATTTCTGTGGGATCGGTGGTGATATATCCTTTATCATTTTTTGTTATGTCTATTTGATTCTTCTTTTTTCTTTATTAGACTTGCTAGCGGTCTATCAATTTTGTTGATCCTTTCAAAAAATCAGCTCCTGGATTCATTAATTTTTTGAAGGGTTTTTGTGTCTCTATTTCCTTCAGTTCTGTTCTGATTTTAGTTATTTCGTGCCTTCTGCTAGCTTTTGAATGTGTTTGCTCTTGCTTTTCTAGTTCTTTTAATTGTGATGTTAGGGTGTCAATTTTGGATCTTTCCTGCTTTCTCTTGTGGGCATTTAGTGCTTTAAATTTCCCTCTACACACTGCTTTGAATGTGTCCCAGAGATTCTGGTATGTTGTGTCTTTGTTCACATTGGTTTCAAAGAACATCTTTATTTCTGTCTTCATTTCATTATGTACCCAGTAGTCATTCAGGAGCAGGTTGTTCAGTTTCCATGTAGTTGAGTGGTTTTGAGTGAGTTTCTTAATCCTGAGTTCTAGTTTGATTGCACTGTGGTCTGAGAGACAGTTTGTTATAATTTCTGTTCTTTTACATTTGCTGAGGAGAGCTTGACTTCCAACTATGTGGTCAATTTTGGAACAGGTGTGGTGCAGTGCTGAAAAAAATATATATTCTGTTGATTTGGGGTGGAGAGTTCTGTAGATGTCTATTAGGTCTGCTTGGTGCAGAGCTGAGTTCAATTCCTGGGTACCCTTGTTAACTTTCTGCCTCGTTGATCTGTCTAATGTTGACAGTGGGGTGTTAAAGTCTCCCATTATTATTCTGTGGGAGTCTTAAGTCTCTTTGTAGGTCACTCAGGACTTGCTTTATGAATCTGGGTGCTCCTGTATTGGGTGCATATGTATTTAGGATAGTCAGCTCTTCTTGTTGAATTGATCCCTTTACCATTATGTAATGGCCTTCTTTGTCTCTTTTGATCTTTGTTGGTTTAAAGTCTGTTTTATCAGAGACTAGGATTGCAACCCCTGCCTTTTTCTGTTTTCCATTTGCTTGGTAGATCTTCCTCCATCCTTTTATTTTGAGCCTATATGTGTCTCTGCACGTGAGATGGGTTTCCTGAATACAGCACACTGATGGGTCTTGACTCTTTATCCAATTTGCCAGTCTGTGTCTTTTAATTGGAGCATTTAGTCCATTTACATTTAAAGTTAATATAGTTATGTTTGAATTTGATCCTGTCATTATGATGTTAGCTGGTTATTTTGCTCGTTAGTTGATGCAGTTTCTTCCTAGTCTCGATGGTCTTTACAATTTGGCATGATTTTGCAGTGGCTGGTACTGGTTGTTCCTTTCCATGTTTAGTGCTTCCTTCAGGAGCTCTTTTAGGGCAGGCCTGGTGGTGACAAAATCTCTTAGCATTTGCTTGTCTGTAAAGTATTTTATTTCTGCTTCACTTATGAAGCTTAGTTTGGCTGGATATGAAATTCTGCACTGAAAATTCTTTTCTTTAAGAATGTTGAATATTGGCCCCCACTCTCTTCTGGCTTGTAGAGTTTTTGCCAAGAGATCAGCTGTTAGTCTGATGGTCTTCCCTTTGTGGGTAACCGGACCTTTCTCTCTGGCTGCCCTTAACATTTTTTCCTTCATTTCAACTTTGGTGAATCTGACAATTATGTTTCTTGGAGTTGCTCTTCTCGAGGAGTATCTTTGTGGTGTTCTCTGTATTTCCTGAATCTGAATGTTGGCCTGCCTTGCTAGATTGGGGAAGTTCTCCTGGATAATATCCTGCAGAGTGTTTTCCAACTTGGTTCCATTCTCCCCGTCACTTTAAGGTACACCAATCAGACGTAGATTGGTCTTTTCACATAGTCCCATATTTCTTGGAGGCTTTGTTCATTTCTTTTTATTCTTTTTTCTCTAAACTTCCCTTCTTGCTTCATTTCATTCATTTGATCTTCCATCACTGATACCCTTTCTTCCAGTGGATCGCATCGGCTCCTGAGGCTTCTGCATTCTTCACGTACTTCTCGAGCCTTGGCTTTCAGCTCCATCAGGTCCTTTAGGGACTTCTCTGAATTGGTTATTCTAGTTATACATTCGTCTAAATTTTTTTCAAAGTTTTTAACTCTTTGCCTTTAGTTTGAATTTCCTCCTGTAGCTTGGAGTAGTTTGATTGTCTGAAGCCTTCTTCTCTCAACTTGTCAAAGTCATTCTCCGTCCAGCTTTGTTCCATTGCTGGTGAGGAACTGCGTTCCTTTGGAGGAGGAGAGGCACTCTGCTTTTTAGAGTTTCCAGTTTTTCTGCTCTGTTTTTTCGCCATCTTTGTGGTTTTATCTACTTTTGGTCTTTGATGATGGTGATGTACAGATGGGTTTTTGGTGTGGATGTCCTTTCTGTTTGTTAGTTTTCCTTCTAACAGTCAGGACCCTCAGCTGCAGGTCTGTTGGAGTTTGCTAGAGGTGCACTCCAGACCCTGTTTGCCTGGGTATCAGCAGTGGTGGCTGCAGAACAGCGGGTTTTCATGAACCAGGAATGCTGCTGTCTGATCATTCCTCTGGAGGTTTTGTCTCAGAGGAGTACCCGGCCGTGTGAGTTGTCAGTCTGCCCCTACTGGGGGGTGCCTCCCAGTTAGGCTGCTCAGGTATCAGGGGTCAGGGACCCACTTGAGGAAGCAGTCTGCCCGTTCTCAGATCTGCAGCTGCGTGCTGTGAGTACCACTGCTTTCTTCAAAGCTGTCAGACAGGGACATTTAAGTCTGCAGAGGTTACTGCTGTCTTTTTGTTTGTCTGTGCCCTGCTCCGAGAGGTGGAGCCTACAGAGGCAGGCAGGCCTCCTTGAGCTGTGGTGGGCTCCACCCAGTTCAAGCTTCCCAGCTGCTTTGTTTACCTAAGCAAGGCTGGGCAATGGCGGGCGCCCCTCCCACAGCCTCACTGCTGCCTTGCAGTTTGATCTCAGACTGCTGTGCTAGCAATCAGCCAGACTCTGTGGGCATAGGACCCTCCAAGCCAGGTGTAGGATATCATCTCCTGGTGCGCCGTTTTTTAAGCCCATCAGAAAAGCTCAGTATTGGGGTGGGAGTGACACGATTTTCCAGGTGCCATCTGTCGCCCCTTTCTTTGACTAGGAAAGGGAACTCCCTGACCCCTTGCACTTCCCAAGTGAGGCTATGCCTCGCCCTGCTTCGGCTCGCGCAGGGTGCACTGCACCCACTGTCCTGCGCCCACTGTCTGGCACTCCCTAGTGAGATGAACCCGGTACCTCCGATGGAAATGCAGAAATCACCTGTCTTCTGTGTCGCTCACGCTGGGAGCTGTAGACCGGAGCTGTTCCTATTCGGCCATCTTGGCTGCCCTCCCCTTAGCTGGGAGGATCTTTTGAGACTAGAAGTTTGAGGCTACAGTGAGCTGCGATTGTGCCGTTGCACTCCAACCTGTGTGGCAGAGTGAGATCCTGTCTCAAAAAGAGCAAAAACTGTGTCCTCCAGGTTCATCCAAAGTATCACAACAGGGGTGTGTGTGTGTGTGTGTGTGTGTGTATATATACAATTTTTTAAAATTCATTCACCCATCCATGAACAGATTGTTTTCATATTTTGGCTATTGTGAATAACCCTGCAATGAATAGGAATTTATTTCCTCAAGACATTCATTTCCTCAAGACATTGATTTCTTTCCCTTCATATATACACCAAATAGTGGGATTACTAGATCACATGCTAGTTCTATTTTTATTTTTTTTTTTTGAGAAACTTTCATAGTGTTTACTATATTGGCTGTATCAAATTACATTCCCATCAATAGTGTACAATGTTTTTTTTTCCTCCACATCCTTACCAGCATTTGTTACTTCCTGTCTATTTCATAGCCATCCTAACAGGTGTGAGATGATCCTGTGGTTTTGATTTGCAAATTCCTGATGATTAATGACATTGAGCACCTTTTCATGTACCTGCTGGAATTTTGAAAAAAAGGTCTGTTCAGGCTCTTTGCCCATTTTTAAAGTGAATTACTGGTTAAGCAACCCAAATTTGAAAATCTAAAATCTGAAATGTTCCAAAATTCTAAACTCTTTGAGCACCACCAAGATGCTCGAAGGAAATGCTCACTGGAGCACTTGCTTTCAAATTTTTAGATTTGAGATGCTCAACAGATAAGCGCAATGCAAATATTCCAAAATCTGAAAAAAAAATCACAAATTCAAAGCACTACTCTTTCCAAGCATTTTGAATAAGGGATATTCAAATTGTATTTGTTTTTCCTATTGAATTGAATGAGTTTCTTAGATATTATAGATATTAACCTCATCAGATGTATGGTTTACAAATATTTCCTCCCATAAAGAGTGCATGTTTTTGTATGTGATATTAAATGGGCTCTGGTGGGGAACAATCTAGGTTAAAAATTTTTGTTTTCATGTTTGTACTTTCTTATGTTTTGATAGTGTATTGATACTGCCTTTAAACAAAAAGAAAAAAATGTTATTTTTTAAATATAAGACTAATCATAGAAAAAAGAAAGGCCATAAGGCATAAAAAGAATTTAATGCCACTTTAATAAATAATTAGCAAAAGGTATGTAAAATAGACCGAAGAATCTGAGAAAAACAGCATTTAAAAATTCTGGGAAAGCAGTAAAATTAGGCCAAAAATAATAATGATTGTCTTTGATTTCCCAAACTTAGATGGAATTAATATTATAAAAGTTGGAGGTGAGGTTTTCACAAAGAACAAAGGACTGTTTCCTAAAATAGCAGTTCACAAGCAAAAGATGCATTCTTTTGACTCTTGCATTAAAGAGCTGATTCAGAAGGTAATGGTAAATGAGTCTGAAACCAATTAAAAAGAATCTTTGTAAGAGAGAAGAAGCCATTCTGATTGTTTGCACTTCCAAGTATTTAAATAGTGTGGAGGAGAAATATAAATTCAGTGATAAAAACAACAACAACAATGTATGACCCACTGAAGAAATACTTTGCTAAGAGCCCTACTCTTAGCAAATTGCTCAGGGCAGTCTCTGTGTTTGGGAGCTTCTCTCACTACCCACATGGCTAATGGTGGGGTTCAGACCAACTACCTAAAAAACGTATGCATTGAGCAAGCAAGTGAGACATGGCAGGAAGGAAGAGCATTAAGTCTCTAGAATACACACGTTGGTGATTCTGTGCTGTTAGTTAAAATTCAGAGAAAAAAATCCAAGTCTAACTGTGCATGTCTTTATATGGCAAAGAGGGCCAATCCAAAGATTGGAAACCAAGAGGCAGTTAAAACAAACCAGGAAAAATTAGCTTTCATTTGCCTAACTGTCTGAGATTTCTGCGTCTGATACTCTTTGTATGGTTCAGGTGTCACAACATCTAGAGCAGCATACTGAAGTTAGGGCAAATCCAGAGAAAGTCTGCTAAGTGGATTGGAGAAATAGCTGCAAAGAGTAAGAGGAAGAGTAGGAAATGAGGAAGAAAAGGTGGCAAAAGTGGATGTTAATAAATGTTCGTTTTCCTTCCAGGAAACGGAAACTGTGCTAGACCTTCTCATCAGTTACCTAATCCTCATAGCTCATTTATTTGGAAAGATGAACTTGACCTATTAGTCCAATTTTTATTATTTCTCCACTTATTGAGAGAGTATAGTGTATCCCAGCCCCTTCCTTTCCAGCTGTGTGTCTTTAGCGAGTTATTTGACTTCCTTGTGGTTTCCTCATTTGTTTAATAGGTCTCACAATCAGCATACAAGGAGTTGTTTTGAGAATAAAATGAGTTAAATTGGGGAAAGCGGTTAGGACAGTGTCTGGCTGATAGGAAGCACTCAATAAATGTGAATAATTATAGTGACTAAATAACTTGCCCAAGGTCATATAATTTGTAGGTGTGTCTAACTTTAGGCTTTTTCTATTCTACCATTCTACCATTCAGACAAGGTGCCTGTTTGAATTCTGTGGCCTTGTTTGCTAAAATCCGAATAATCTAGAATGAGGAGGCCATTTGAAATTTGAGTTTTGGCCAAGCCTACTTCCCTTTTACCCAGAAAAGACTACTTACCATAGCTAGTTAATGAGCTTAGAGAAGTCCTTTAGGTTGGATCTTTTGTGGTCACTCTTGGACATGAATGGGGGCTGCTGTTTACAGCAGGCCTGACTCAGATATGTTTCCCATGTTCTTGTGTTGCCACATGTGAGAGAATCTGTTAGATTCATGAAAATGAAAACATTTCCTCTCTCTGAGCTTCAGCTAGCACAAAAGCAAGAACTGAGTGAAGTTGCTCTCATCAGCACTTGTTTTTAAATTAAGAGAACGCATTTTCAAAGGGAGTGGCTAACTACAAGAACCCTTGGCTAAGGTACACTTCAAGGCTTATCATCAGAGGCTCAAAATGTAATTTTATTAAGAGAAAATGTGAACCTAATGTCTCCAAATGTTTTAATTATTTATCCACTGCTGTTTCAACTTGTCCTCTGATGTTAGCCATAAGTCAGACATAGTTTAAGCAGCATTTTAGCAATTAGTATACCAGCATTAACTTTTCTTCTGTATTAGAAATTAAATCAAGACTTTTTTTCTTGCTTTTAATTTATCTTTGGTTAATAATAAGGATGAAAAAATTAATGTTTAATGAGGGAAAATAAAAGCCTAAAATAACTCAGTCAAAAAAGCCTAAAATAATCTCTGTCAACAGAGTCTCAGAACAAATATATATATATGCATATTATATTATAACATATAATGTATTATATATAATATTATATATCTGTGCCCAGAAAACATAGACTTCAGAAACAAAACCTACTTTGGAAGAAAGCAAGCCTCATTAGGCTAAAGAGGTTGAACATGTGCCTCGAAGAGTGACCCTTGCTAAGTCACTCAAGACATTCTATGACTCAGTTTCCTTATTAAAATAGGGCATACAAAATCCTGTTGCGCCTTGTGGAATCCATTTAATTTGACTTAAATGAATATGCTTCGAGGTTTCAAAATATGCTTGGCAGTTCAATGTACTGCATTAATATATAACAATGTTTTAAGGTAGCAGACAAAATTACTCATTTAACAGAGACCAATTAAATTTTTGCCATTCTTTGTTTGAACTAAGGATTAAACATGGACACATCTGCTTCTATCTTAAATTCCATATTTCTCTAGGGGAAGAAAATATAAGAGAAGTGGCTGTATCATTTGATATGTGGAACAGGAGAATTTACCTTTTTTTTTTTTTTTTTGCTAGACAATTATAGCCTCTGAAGTTTGGAAGAGGCCTTAGAAGACAGAGAGTTCACCTATGGTGTCTTTCATTTAAGTAAGATGAAAATTGATTCCTGGTTCTAGGGAAGGAAACCAAGTTGGCCTAGCCTGCATCTTTCAAAACTTTTAGATCGACAGTTATTTTAAAACATGTTTTAAAATGAGTCCCATTGACGTTACTTCTGCCTAAGTTACAGCATTTTAACCATAAACTCATCCATAAACTAAGTTAGGTGAGTGGTGATAAAAACCATGAGGAAAATATTTATTATACTTTAGATTTCCATTAATCTAGATATAGGTAAACAAAAAACAATTCAGTAATTCAGGATAGAAAGCCATGAAAGACACTTACCCTGGTGCTAATTCAATAAAATATATATTAAATATTTACGGATCAAGGCATAGTGCTGGGTGCTTCAGAGAAAAAAAGAAAGAAGTATGATGTGCACTTTCCCTAGGAAGACTTTCCCAGTTAGTTTTAGATGGTATTTCGTAGAGACCAAGGACATTTTGTAGAAAGTTAAAGAGTCATCCATGGGCATAGGGAAGTCCAAGGATACTACACAACCAGGACCCTCATATGGGGTGGGAGGTGGTCTTTCTACTTTTTCAATTGAACAAGGATTTCACAGCTTTAAAAGAAAGTTTGAATATCAGCTAATGACTTTATTTCAGATAAGAGAAAGTTTATTATAAAATATTATCTTATGTACATTAATTTGCTTTCATTTTCTCTGTTCCCATTTTATGTAAGATCATCATGTCTTTCTTTTTGGATTCATCTTGGACTTCAAGTCTAAAAAATTTAAATTTCTCATTTCTAACTAAAATTAGATTTTTTTCAACTGACAAAAATTTGCTAAATCCCTAATACGAATTCAGAATAGAAGGTCATACCAAGAACCAACAAAAATATTAGGGTATGAAATAAGTTTAAAACATGGCCCCATTCATGAGGAGTTTATAGTCTAGGTGGGGGAAAAAGATGAAACCCCAGAAAGTCCCAATGAATAAGAGAGGTTTTCTTCATGCAAAGATTTTGTTTCTCTAGCTAACATTCCTGAGGTAAGGGTGGTTAAATCGAAAGAGTGCGGACTAGGTAAGCAGTTGAGGGAAATAAGTCATGTGAAAGACAAATAATAGTGCCAACTCTTTAGAGTCTTCCCAACATCGCAAATAAAATGTTAACTAAGGAGAAAAACTGGTACCTTCGAAGGACTTCGCTGCCAAGGGGATTGGCATTTCCATAATGGTGGGGAAGGAGAGACAACTCTGATTTCCATAGTATTTTGTAATTAATTTGGTGCTCTTATGGAAAATTAATTGGTTTTTTGATAATGAAATAGAAAGAAAGATTCAGGCTCTGGCATATTAAAAGAAATTCTCTTTAATAGAGGCAATGTCAGCCTGATAATGTGGTCTTGCTCCCTCAGGTGCTCAGATGCAGTTCCAGGGTAGCCTGAGAGAGCCTTGGTGGCTTAACACTTAAGCAAGCTTCTCCCTTGCAACTAAAGCTAAGCAGATTAATTAAAACTTAAAAGCATTATGATTTAGTTATGAATAACAGTTTTCAGTGACAGAGCTCTCCGTCTATAATTCACCATAACAAAATGACACTTGGGCTCGCTGCTGCTATAATTAGCTTTTGATATACTATTCTTTGGAAATTTCTTGCCAGCCACAGCCTGTGTGTTTCCAGATGTCTTGCACATACTTAAAAATGGTAAACATTAATTTATGGGGATGACAGCTGTGGGTCAAGTTTGAGGTTGATTGATAATTCCTTATTCAAATGTGTGCCTATGCTGCTTCATTTGTCATCTCTTAGTGAAACAGAAAGCTATTCTACCACATTCCTAGTTAATATTTCATTTTTTTCATAAATTATCTGTAAAAGCAATAGAATTTAGACCTTTCCTACCGTATGGCATGGAATATTAACGTAGCTGAGGATTTTTAAAAAATTATTTTGCAGCCAGAAGCGTTGTGATTTGTTAACCTGACACCTTGTATTTGCACAGTGCTAAGCACACAGTGGGCACTCAATAAATGCCGCCTGGTGACTATGAGGAGCTCAAAATGCTTTCCACATGACAGACGATAATTCCTTCAAAAAGTCTCCCCATTTTATAAATTAGGAAATAGCAGACTTGGGGAGTTTTCCTAAGGGGTGATAAAGTGATTCATCTCTAGGTCACACTGGACTCGAGAGTACAGAAAATGACACGTGCTCACAGAAATGTGTTCTCCCTGATTTATTCAGTTAGACCCAAAGCACACATCTTGCCAAGCCTCCTTTCTCTCTAACTCTCTGTATGGAGCCAAAAGAGATTCCTAAAATATGAAGAGAAATTCATTCCCCTGGCAAATTGTCTTGAAATGACTATTTGTGCAGTATTTTGGTACTTTGGGCACATAGCCATGTTCGGAACATCTGAGTCCCTGTTATGAAAATGTAGACTGAAGTTACATGACAACAAATGATCTCATCTGTGCAATAAAATATAAAATGCAACCAGATATTGGGTCTCATGCAGATTAATATCCAGTAAATGACCAATTTTGACCAATCTAAGTGTTTTAACACTATTCAACCAGCTGCTTAAGCTATTTACTTTAACCTAAGTCATCAAAACAAGATATTAATCCTTTTCTTGAGCTACTAGAAACTGAGGTTTAAAAACTATCTGGACACAAGATATGCTTGTCATTCACATTTCATGGTTACTTAACAATCATAAATGTATGTTATTCTACAAAGCATCCCTGTAAGCCAGAATATGTCATTTCAATGGATCCATATACAAAATGAAAAAAAAATAAGACAAAAAATTTTGGTGACTGACTTAAGGTCAAACACAAATTTGCAAATGAACAAATAATACAGTGAGTTTTTTTTTTTTTTTGAAGATAACTTTTAGATTTTCAGCAAAGGTGTTGACTTATAATTAAATTTGTATCCTTCTATTTGTGTTAAATGTTTATAGAACTTTGAATCCTTGTGCCATATAATAGGTATTCATTCGATCTTGGCAGGACAAGTGGGCAAAACAGGTTGTAATAAACCTGCAAGGTAAAATTTGGATTTGTTTTTGTTTATGTACATTTAGATAGGTAGTAACCTCTGAAAACATGGTTAATGATATTGTCTGCAATGTTGAGACAGAATTAGGATTGACAGTGGCAGCAACTGAGAGCCTCTCAGGCTGGGTGGTGACTGGAACAAAAGGACAAGAACAGCATTTAAGGGTTTTTAATGTGTAATATAGAAATATTGGTAATAATTACAGTTTTTTCTATCTAAAATATTCAAGATTTACAAAAGAATCAGTGATAGGAAATTCTTAAGGCAAATCAAAATTTTGAAAACATGGAAACATTTTTAAGTAAAATTAAAAATTTATGAAAACTTAAATGTTAAATCTATCATCATTCTCATAAAAATATTAGTTGCTGAAATTAAAAAATGTATTTCATATAAAAATAAACATAAATTTGAAAAAATCCTGGACATGGAAAATAAGATTACATTTGGTCATGTTAACTAAATATTGCAGTTCTAAAAACCAAAAGGTTATTACTGATATTTTCAAGTCGTAGATGTATTTTTGAGAACATTTTTTCAGCTGTAGAAGCAGTTTTTCTCAATCTACTCTGGTTATAACTACGTAAGTAATAAACTACATTAGTAATAAAATGCATCAGTAATAAATACATTATGTACCATATATAGTGTATATGTATGGTATATATATAATATATATGGTATATAATGTATTTATATACCATAAATACATTATGGTATATAAATACCATATGGTATATAATGTATATTATTATAATATATAATGTATATTATTATTATATACTGTATGTATTATATATAATAAATATATTATATATATTTATTATATATTTTATATATATTATATATATTTATATATAATATATATATATATATATATATATATATATATATATATATATATGGTTTGTTTCTTTGTTTTAGACAAAGTTTCACTCTACCACCCAGGCTGTAGTGCAGTGGCACAATCTCGGATCACTGCAGTCTCAACTTCCTGGACTCAAGCGATCTTCCTGCCTCAGCCTCCTAAGTAGCTGGGACTACAGGTGTGCACAACCACGCTCCACTAATTTTTGTATTTTTTGTAGAGATGAGGTTTTGAGGTTTTGCCATGTTGCCCAGGCTGGTCTCAAGCTCCTGGGATCAAGCAATCTACCTGCCTCAGCCTTACAAAGTGGTGGGTTTACAGCTGTAAGCTGCTGCCATATGTGTGTGTGTGTGTGTGTGTGTGTGTGTGTGTGTGTGTGTCTGTCTGTGTATATATATATATATATATATATATGCCGTGTGTGTGTACATATATGTATATATACATACTCTCCTTCTCTCTCTCTCTCTCTATATATATATAGATAGATAGATAGATATATCTATATATATATAGAGGGAGCATATATATATATATAGAGAGAGAGAATATATATATATACAGAGAGAGGGAGTATATATATATATGAGTGTATATATATGTTATACATATATTATATATACATATATTATATATGTTATACATATATTATATATACATATATTATATATGTTATACATATATTATCTGTTATACGTATATTATATATACATATATTATCTGTTATACGTATATTATATATACATATATTATCTGTTATACGTATATTATATATACATATATTATCTGTTATACGTATATTATATATACATATATTATCTGTTATACGTATATTATATATACATATATTATCTGTTATACGTATATTATATATACATATTATATATACATGCATATACACGTATATACATATATACATATACATACATATATATGCATGTATACATATACATACATATATATGCATGTATACATATACATACATATATATGCATGTATACATATACATACATATACATATATACGTATATATGAATATACATACGTATACATATATACGTATATATGAATATACATACGTATACATATATACGTATATATGAATATACATGTATATATACATATATACGTATATATGAATATACATACGTATACATATATACGTATATATGAATATACATGTATATATACATATATACGTATATATGAATATACATGTATATATACATATATACGTATATATGAATATACATATATACGTATATATGAATATACATGTATATATACATATATACGTATATATGAATATACATATATACATGCACATATATGTATACATATATAATATATAATATATGTGTATATATACACGTATATGTATATATACACTATATATGTATATATACCCATATATGTATATATAATATATACATATATATGTAGACTATATATTATATATACATATATGCATATATAATATATATTATGTATACATATAATATATATACATATATGTATATATAATATAGATTATGTATACAATATATTATATATAATATATGTATTATATATAATATAATACATATATTATATATACTATATATAATATATATTATATATACACATATACTATATATACTTATATACATATATTATATATATAATATGAATCATGTACATCATGAGATCTCTCCATATATATGTATATATATACATATATAATATACATGTATGTATAATATACACATATATAATATACATATACGTATAATATACATATATACATATATATGGAGAGATCTCATAATGTACATGATTCAGATTTCAGAGATTTTAAAACCCTCCGTAGTTGTATTATACCAATAAAAATCTCTGAAATTTCATAATCAAAAACTTCAATCTGCCAGGTAATGGGGTACTGTAAAGGATACTGTCTACTACTGTACACAACATCTTCTTGATGAGTGAACTCAAGAAGAAAGTTCTCTCCAGCTTCACACAGGGAGAAGTTGTGCTGCTTCTTATCAGCTGCTGAAATGCTGCAGTGAATTATATCTCCCTTATCTTTCACCACTAGAGAACTCAGAGTCCATTTGCCATCCACGCTTAACAATTATTCACAGGAGTTTCTGCAGTGTACTGGGGTGTACTAAATTTATCCTATTTAAATTTACTAGTCTACTTTAATATTTCTTTGGCATTTTTTCCTGTGACACTGTATGCAAATTGTGCTGCTTTGAGTTTGTTTTGTTAAACAAACCAAAATAGAGAAGAAAAGATGAAAGAACTAAAGGGACTAGAGGAAGAAAATTTAAAAAGGAGGCAGGTGGAAAGAGGAGAAAAAAAACAAAAGCTAAAATGAGTTGAACAATGATACAATTAATTTAGACTGCATAAATATCTAAGCAAATGGCTTATGTATCACCAATACTTCTTTAGCAAATTAAATCTTGGAATGCCTTCTTAATGTTCTTTTTTGTTTAACCTTTTATGAACTTACTCTGATATGAGTTCCTGACAGGCAGGCACCATGTCTCGTTTATCTTTGATTCTCCCAGCCCAATGTCTAGGATTTGCCTAGAACATAGATTCTTAGTAAGTAGGTACTGATTGAAATATATTATGCATTCCTCAGATTTTCATGATGGTATTAAATATTTTGGTATTTATTTAATTTTGCTTTTTTGATTATTTCACCAGTAACACAATAATCAGGTGAAAAAGAAACATAAAGTCCTCCAGTGCCTTCAGTAGGGGTGGAAGAGGGTTATGTCGATGATTTTTCTTCTGCATGAAAAGGACACAGCTCTTTCAAATTCAGCAGCTGAGTGGATTCATATGCCTTCAGGCAGAATGTAGCCAGGGTAATGCTACAGATAATGTAATTAATTAACCCGTTTCTAGTCTCAGGATTTCAAACTTCTAGGTAATGGCATTTGTATAGTAATTTTCCTTGGTTCTATATAAGATCTTTAGTAGAATCACAAAATAAGATTTGCATTTAAATGTAAATGGTGGAATTAAGGTAATGAAAGTTATTAAAATGAACACGATAAATTTGGATAAAAGTGGCTTAGTACAAT
The DNA here is from genome assembly GCF_000001405.40 of Homo sapiens. NCBI lineage: Eukaryota > Metazoa > Chordata > Mammalia > Primates > Hominidae > Homo > Homo sapiens. The sequence goes on from NC_000006.12 coordinate 51,204,732, forward strand.
GAAGTATATCTTACATGATCATTTGTATTCAGGAAATCATTGGTGAATGTCCATGGTTGTTTAATCTTTGCTTTGTAACTTCTGTTCTGGTTTGGTTTGATAATCAGCATTGCTTTTTAGATGAATAAAAGTTTCGAATTCTTGGACAGAAATAACCTTACTTTATAAAAGCCAGTAAGTCCAAAAATGATTTAATTTAATTATTTTAGAATGTGCTCAAGGTAAATCTGTAGCAGGATATGGATGTATAGAGGAACCAAGTGAATCAGTGACTTGTTGAGATGAAGGTCATTATGTCAGTGAGTCATCTTAGTATCTTTCCACAGGCCAAAGTGAAGCAGAATTCTCAATACCCAGCAAATGAAAGGGACAGAATCAGAAAATAGTACAAAACCAACTTAAGTAAATTTATTAAATTATAGGTATTCTTAAAGTGCATTAGTCTTAAAAATACCAACTAAATTTGATATATACCACTAAGAAATGTCACATAATAAAAAGTCCCCCATATTTGAAAAAAACAAAAACTTTTTTCATATGCTCAGTTTCTCCTTCCACTCCCTCCCCCCTCTTTCCTTTGTCCTCCCTCCATGTATTCACATCTAGAAAGTTGAACAGGACCTATATCTAAATAATTATCTGGCTGTTGTACTAGAATTCTACACATTCTGAGAGTTTACTTCTTTTTTCCTTTACAAAAATATTGTTTACCCCAATTTTCTTCTTATTTATTGAAATCAGTCATATTAATATGTTCAGTATTCATTTACATTGTTGGCATTAATAGTAGCTATTTAATTGTGATCCTTTAAACAACCATATTAAAAAATAAAGTTCTGCAATATAATCTTGCCCAAATGTTTTCTCAATGCCAATAAAACCCAATAAATAGACTAAACACTGTAGTAAATAAAACATTGTTATTTTACTTCTGGGGCCATAATCCTTGCCTAACCTGAGGTCTTTTGCTAAAAATGAGATTGTTTACTCCAGATTAGCTTTAAAGGATAATTTGTAAGAAAAACAGTTCAGGATAGTCACATTAGTAAACAAGGACAGAAAGAGTATACTAAGTGGGGGTGACTGAGGAAAAGGGACTGAATCGAGACCATGGCAGGGGGTGTGTAGAAAGAGGAAGGATGCTCTGTCAAGTTGCAGTACATGTTTCATGCTAGGGGAACTGGATGCATGAAACAAATAAACTTAGTTTTAGACTAGTATCAGATACATGCTCGGATGTAAGTTAATTTTTCTACATTAATGAATCTTTCAAATTGACCATAGAACAGGGGTTTGAGTTTCTGTATTGATTGTGAAGGCATATTGATGAGATATTCAGAATTGGGGAATTTAAGGTCTTTAAGAACATGGCCCAAGTCCAGACATTGTGAGGTAATTGCCTACCTGAGCTAGAACTTGTAATCACTTTTTGATTGTGTGTCATTTGATCAGATTGTACATCCTGTAAGTTTAGGGTTTTGGATAGCTAGAGGAAAACTGTCTATAAATAGAAAAGAAAATTGTTTTATAACATAATTTTTGACATGGATTTATTTGACTTGGGTCATACTCTGTCACTCTTGATATAACACATATGCTACCCGCTTTATAACCATATCTTCAAAGCTATAGATATCTCTGCAGATAAATCTATAAATTAAACATTTTGATTGTTTTGTTCTTTCCTTTGGGCATCCTGTTGTATGTACCACTGTCTGTATCAAAACAGGAGCTCAGGAAGCACTTGGTCTGAGTGCAAGGTACTGCTCCACTTTTCTCCCCAGGTGTCTTGTATCAAGCCACAAGCCCAAGAGACTTACAATAAATAGAAATTTACTGCTACAACTACAACTACCAGATATAAAGATCAATAGAATAAAAAACTGAGTCCTACCCCAGGCTGCATGGTAATTCTGTTTTGATAAAACCCCAGGGCCAGGAAGGAGAAATATTTGAAAAGAAATGGCTGGAGAAAGAAAATTTACCTGTTTTTTTTTTTATATAATGGCAAAACAAACAAACATGGGAAAGCTCTCCTATGTATCTTTTGTGGACCAAGTGGGAAGGAATGAGAAAGAGAGATTAAATTTCTCTAAAAATACACATGAGCTTAAAAAATGAAAGGGAGGCTGGGTGCGGTGGCTTATGCCTACAGGCGTTTTGGGAGGCCAAGACAGGTGAATCACCGGAGGTCAGGAGTTCAAAACCAGCCTGACCAACATGGTGAAACCCTGTCTCTACTAAAAATACAAAAATTAACAGGGCATGGTGACACATACCTGTAATTCCAGCTACTTGGGAGGCTGAGGCACGAGAATTGCTTGAACCCAGGAGGTGGAGGTTGCAGTGAGCCGAGATCCCACCATTGCACTCCAGCCTGGGCAACGAGAGTGAAACTCTGTCTCAAAAAGAAAAAGAAAAAAGAGAGGGAAATGTGTTAAGTAGATATGTGCAAATATTTCAAATTCCTTCCTCCCACAGCAGCCAAGAAAATAAATGTAGTGTATTATCTACTCCAGAATATGGTCTGTACACCTACCCTGTTCATCACATTTGAATCGTTAGAAATGCTTTGTCATTCAGAGGTACACCTAAATTAAAAGTTCAAAACTTATGATCCAAACTGCTTGGTGTCATTCCCATTATATATTTTTGCCAGTTTAGTTTACATTTAGAAACAAGAGGCCTCTTTTATCAAAGGGAACAGAGGCATGGTGATTTGAAGTTCTCATTCACAATCTCTATCTACATGTAATTCCAATGCTTTTTTTGTTTTACATTTTAACTATATATTTTTATATGGAAATCTAGCTAATTTATATCAGTATCAGAAGGAAAAATACACTGCGGGGTTTTTAAACTACGAATTCTGTTAGACAAGCTTGTTAGTAATTTTAGGGTAGAATTAAAAATCAAGAAAGTGGGGACACCCTTGAAAGTCTTACCTGTATTTCTGGGGGACTTCAGAGGTATGCCTAATTTTCGGTTTTATAAACAGATAATGTTCTTTAGACCCTCCTCAAATGTGTATAAAATTGCAGCATTTGAACTACTGACGGGATGGCCTGCAGATCTGACCTAAGGAATTAGGTTTTGATATGTGAAGTTTCCATGGGACATCAGAAATTCTCTAGTCAGTACTATTTTTCAAAGTATAAATTCAGCAAACTATAGGTCCTTTGTAGAGGAGGTCTCCATGTTGCATTTTTCTAGTTTCCGTCTTCCTTTTTATTATGCACTGTAACAATATTGAGTTTTCCTTTGACTTTCTTTCATTGCTTCTGGGAAAATTAATCCTCCTTTGTATTTCGTTCCCAAATCTCTCCCAACTCAATGTATCTCTCGGCACAGGGCTACAGATACACACTTCAGAAACCAGAGCTAAACAAAAATATTCAGAAATGTCGTTGGTATCCTATTTATAATAGCAAAATTATAATTTAATTAAACACATTATATTATTCCCCAACATTTGATATTATGCTGTTATTGAAATCATGATTATATTAGTCAGGGTTCCCCAGAAAAACAGAACCAATAGGATATCTATATAGATGTAGACATATAAGAGATTAATTATGAGAATTGGTTTATGTGATTATGGAGTCTGTAGGCCTAAGAAATAGAAGCTCTGATGTCTGAGCATAAGAGAAGAGGGATGTCCTAGGTCAAAAGGAGAAAGAATTTGCCCTTCCTCTGCCTTTTTGTTCTATGCAGGCCCTTCAGAAGATTGGATGATGCCTGCTCACATTGGTAAGAGTAATTCTTCTTTATTCAGTTTACTGATTTAAATGTCAATCTCTTCTGGTGTATGCAGACGTGATGTTTTACCAGCTATCTGGGAATTCTTCAGCCCAGTCAAGTTGGCACATAACATTAAACATCATAAATAATTACAAAGAATTTGTAATGATACAGGGAAATGTTTATTATGTAATAAGTTATTTTAGCAATTAGAAAACTATGGATAAGAGAATCTCAACATCATATAAAAGTATATACATAGAAAAAGATTGGAAGATGGTACACAAAAATATACAAATATTGCCTCTGTTAGAAGTATTTTTCATATATTCTGACATGAGTATGTATTTCTAGTATGAATTACTGACAACTGATTTATTCAGCACCTACTGTGTGCTAGGTATTCTTCTAGGTTCTGTAGTTATTTATCACATTTAATCTTTGATATCACTCTATAAAGTAGATATTCATTTCATTTTACATAGAAGAATCCCACATCTCAGAAATGTCGAGTAAATTATATTGGGTCATATAGCTAGTAATAATAACTACTATCCTCAATTTACAGGTGAAAAACACTGAGGTTAAGAGAGGCTAATTAACTTTCTCAAGGTTATCCTGCAAACAAGTAGCAGAACAGACTGAAACAAGATCTTTTTGACTTTAAATGTCCTCGTCCTTTCTATCATATGACACTGCTTCCTCAAAATCAAATGAGCAAAGACAATGATAACAACAAACTGCATAAAAAAATTGTGATAGAGAGAGAGAAGAATGTTTAATAAAAAAGAGAAGTGTTTTATTCCTGCATAGATATATCAGTTGTTCTTGCTGAGCCTTCTGATTGTTGAATTTAGATCTGTGCAATATCTGTGAAAACAAAATATGCATAATATTTGCATCATATCTATTTTCTGAGAATTTCAAAATTCTCATAGCAAGTGTTTTCTGGTATCTCACTTAGCAAATGCTTTTTGTTGTTCTGTTTAGTAATAATTCTTGTTTATAGAAGGTATAATTGAAGAGGAGAGTGGAAAAGTTTGTATCCATTCTCAATCTGCAAATAATGCATGTTTTGGGATTATAGTCATATAATGTATTTTTCTTTATTAATGGTTTTCTGTCCATGATTGGGCTCAGAAATTGCATATAAAAAGTGCAAACATTACTGGCATAAATATGGTATGTCACCAAAAACTGCTGTGGAAATTCAAAGATAGATAAGAAATAATGAGGTTTATAGATTCATTAGCATTTGAATGATGAAACATGTATATGTGTTACTCCTTTGATCAATACTGCCCTGGAGGGAAAGTACTGTATTTAATTGTCTTTTCCAGACCTTCCACTGTGGACATCTGGTTGCTATGCAGTCCTGTAGCAGGACATTTTATTGCCTCAGTGTTGTAGAATTCAAGTTCCAATTTTATTACTAGTGATGGCATGTGTTATGAGAAAATGTATGGAAAGGCATGTTCAGAAGGGGATCGCCTCTATTCTATCTGATTGTCTGGACTTCACTAGCAGGCATCATATGGGTGAATATGGCATATCATTCTATGTAGTTGTTAAGTTTCAGTGATTTTATTACATACATTGCATTATATACATCTGTGAGCTGTTTTACTAAAATAGTTTCACTTACTAGGAATGCTTCATTTTTGTAGATGCCTTTTATTTTGCAATTACCCAAACCATTTGAAAACTTTGCATGTGCATACAAGGCCAAGACAATGTTTTACTGTGGAAAAATCAAATGCATTAGAATCGGAGACACCTGGCTTCAAGTGCTGGCTCAATTATTTTCTAGCTATGTGATATTCAGAAAATTATTTAATCTATGTATGCTTTAGTTTCTTCACTGTGAAGTGGGGACATTGATACATATCACCTGGAATCTTGAAAAGAATTAAATGAGTTACACAAATAAAAAAGCCTGACTTGTGTAAAATTCTCCCTTTTTCATCTCTTCTCAATTATCTTAACTGACAAAACAGTCAGAATAAATTTGATATGTAATAATACAGTCTTCCTTTGGTATCCACAGGACATTTGTTCCAGGAACACTGCAGATATGAAAATTCATGGATGTTCAAGTCTTTTATATAAAATGGCATAGTATTTTCATATAACCTACATACATTCTCCTGTATACTTTATCTCTAAATTACCTGTAATAATAAGGCATTCAATAAGACCAATATTGAATACAACATAAATACCTAAAACAATATAAAGACTGTGTAAATAGTTATTATACTGTATTTTTAAAATTGTTGTGTCATTATTATTATTTTTTCCCAAATATTTTTGATCCAAGGTTGACTGAATGTGAATGTGGAACCCATGGATATGGAGGGTTAACTGTGATCTAAAACAAGATATGCCACAAAAGATTATTTTTTAACTAGATATGTATTGTGTGGCATTTCCAGGTGGAGAGGTTTGCCTACTTTATGCTTGGATTAAAATTATTTGCCAAAGTGCTATCCAATTGACATGGAGGAACAGTGTTGCAGAAGCAAGCAGGTGGATGACAGTAGCTAGTGTGCGATATCAAGTGAGCCTTGAATAAAATAGAAAGTTCATATTCAATAAGTGAATAATTAATTTCTTATACTCAGTTTCCATGCTTATGACCTGGTGGCATACATCTGAGGGACAGGGTAATCCAGGAGTTAATGGAGGGCAAATTCTAAAATGCCCTGAAACTTATCTTGCGATAGAGAATGATGCCAATGTCTACTAGGTTTCTGCTTGTTAATTTCTATGGTTGCTGCTACTGGGGAAATTGTCTTCATTTGCATTGTCTTTCAGTGACCTACCTGGAGGCAAACACCTGCAGACACTTTATGTTCACAGAAGTATCACTTGGGACAGAGACCCACATCCATTCAGTGCAACCAACTATACTAAAATAACATTATGGGCAAATATTTCAAAGCTTAACATTTCAAATGATTGTTTCACATATGATTTTACCCCTTCTTATTGCTCCTGAGTAATATATATCACTGCCAACATAACTTCTTGGCCTATCCTTTGCCCTGTGTGTTTTTAAACTTCTCAGATGGAATTCTTAAAGCGTTTTAATTGTAGAGATTAAATTAACTGCATTCAATTTTTTTTAGAGGGAGGAAAAATTCTCTGGTGAAAAAAAATGATTAGATTTCAGTGGAAAATAAAGAATAAATAAAATAATAAAAAAGAAATGCATTTGGAAATGTGCATCAGTATATATTGCTTATAAATTATGTGTGTGAGTGCATGATTACATATTAAAGAAAATTTGTTAGTCATAATAGAACTATTTTCATATTGTACCACACATGTGTTTATTCTAAGTACAAGTGTACCTGGATATATAAAGAAAAATACATATTGTTCACATTATTGTAATTCATAAATTTTACATTTAAAAAATACTCTGAGAAAAAAATTCTGAATGTGTATTGGTATGTTTCTTAAAAGGTGTATAAGTGCCTTTAAACAGACTTCTTAAAAATAATAATTTAGGGTCAAAATGTTTCTTTTCTTGAACAAATATGCAGTCTCTTTTTATTTATCTTGTTTGTATGTATGTGCATGTGTGTGTGTGTACTTATTAATTATGGTAAAATGAATTAAGCTGATTTGGGATTTCAAGAAACTAAAAAAAACAAAACACAGCTCCTGTCTGCCCCAACCACAGCCAAATGGTCAAGATTCTATTTGCACCAAACCTATACTCTTTATATTTGGCTTAGTTACAGAGCCCACTGAAGGAGGAAAACCAAACCAAATTTAAAGAAAATTGCTTAAGCATTTTCAAAGTGATCATGACTTAAAGTAATACATTTGCACATGTGCAGTAAAAATGTAGTTGGTTATTGCTATATATATATATATATATGGATGAAACAATTTAAAATTCTGCACTTAAAGTCTTCTTTCCCTTAGGCAGCCATATTTAAACGTGCTTGTGTTGAGAATTTGGCCACTAACTTGGGGCTTTCTCAACTACAGAAATAAACAATAAAATTTTCGATAATTTATATCACATAAATTCATCAGTTAATCTTTTTATTAGAATCAAGAAGCATCAGGTAAAGCCTCTAACAACTACTTATGCAGATTGTGTATATCTGTATATTGAAAATGAAGAAACTGAGAGACAGAAAAGAAATACTTTGCTGCATACAAATGGAGAGATAGGATGTGGCCATAAATACATTTTGCTAAATGACTTAGGGTTCAGGTTTGAAGAGCAACCAACAGAGGAGCTCCCATCTCCAGTGAGGCTGCAACACCTCTGACCAAATCACCTTCACTCATTTGTTAATCTATTTATTGTCATGGAATTGTCATCATGCTGCTTAAGCATGTGTCTTTCCTCCTCAACTAGATTGCAAGCTTCATGAGGATTTATACTTTCCTGTTACTTTCTGTATCTATTCTGTCCAACATTATACTTTTGATAAGAACAGGTTTATTAGATATTTGGATGAAAAGAACTTCTTTTCATAGTACAATTCTGTATCATAGTGCAACTTGAATGATCTACGGTATAGAGTTAAAATATTTAAAAAAATGGAAGAAATGCAGTAGATACTAAAATAATTGAGACTTTTTAGAAATAATTATTGATTTTTATGGATGTGACTCACACATCTCAGGACTAAAGCATCACAGATTGTGGCTTTTAATAATGGTCACTTCCTATTTTCTTCAAAGAGGTCATCACGTGTCTCTTGGGCCCACATAACAGAATCTGTCTTCTCTTCATGAGCAGAAATTGAGATTCATTATTATCACAGGATATGCCTATTAAATGGGAAGTTGAGGCATTTCTACTTCTTAGATCAGGTAATAAACACTACCTTTAAGAAAAGAGCAATTTGGTTTTGTCTGAATCTGAAATTTCCATCCTAGAGAATTATAATAATCACATATTGAATATCGTTGTTCTTATTTTCATTTCACTTATTTGGAATAATCAAGAGAGGTTGAAATTTTAAAAAAATCAAAACTGTATGGACCTACCAGGAAAAGATTCGCTCACCCCTCCATCAGAAATTGAGACCTGCTCAACTCATTCGTGGATAGACTTGATCCCTCCCTCTCATGGAGTTAATACTAATTTTGAAAATCTGAAATCAAAGACTCATTGATCACTGAGGGTGTATTCTAAGAAAACAAGGAGGCAAATGTACTTTCATTGGCATACAGCGGAGTTAGAAGTTGGGAGGATAAATCTCTCCCAAAACAGTCTGACGAAAAAACCTCACGCAAATCCGGAAATATTAATAGACTAATTACCAGTGCTTTCATTTGCAAGTCCCATTCCTTTTCCCTTCTTAGCTTCCCCGCCCACCTCCTCTAACCCTTCATATAGTTCAGCAAGGGAAGAGCGAAGAAAGGAGGGGGCGGGGGGGACAGTGAACTTAGCCACAAAATAAGTCAAGGGAGAAATGAAGTACTAATTAAGAAAGCCGGGGTGTTATGCAAATGGCTCTTGCACCGAAGGCAGCCTAATGAATGTGCCCGGAGTGGATGGGGCGCCTTCGCGGCGCCGACAGCTGGCTCCCAGGAAGGTCAGGAGCAGGCAGGCGCGCGGGAGCATAATCCTTCAGATTGGCAGCTCTGCCCCCTGGTCACCGTTTGATTATCTCCCAAATTGCTGTATTTCACAGAGATAATGATTTTTTATGGTCACAGATTTGAAGACAACTGCTGTATCCTCAGGGTTGTCGTTCTGCAAGGAGACACTGCTGCTTCCTTCAGAAGAGAGAGAGAGGGGGAGAGAGAGAGTTTCTTCTCCCTTTCTCTCCCTGGCAACTTACTCCCTAGAATGTTTTATTATCATAATGAAAGCAATATGTATTAGTGAAGGAACTGCCTCTGTTCCGATTAATCCCCAGCTTTCTCCTGTTCTTTAGCCACCGTGGAGTTCTCTTTCTCTGAGCTTCCCAGAGTTCCAGTACTTTCTCATACTCATGAAGAGATGTGGTCCTCTCTGCAAAACTTAAAATAGTCTGTTCTTAAAAAGAGAAGGTGACAGTTCACGCTGGTGACTCTCAAGAAGTGTGTGTGTGTGTGTGTGTGTGTGTGTTGTGTTTACCACGCCTTTTTACTTGGGACCCTTCCTCGGAGGGCTCAAGACAGTGAAGGTGGGAAACTTGCAGTTAACCTCCTTTAATCCCACTTGGCATTTGCCAAGCACAGTTGGTGGGGTATGAGGCTTTGACCTATGGTCTCTTTTGTGTCTTTTGAAAGAATTTTAAGGTGGGAGCTTTGACTAGGGCTCCCAAGCAGCATATTCATTTAATTCCAATGTCAAAGCAATCAGAGAAAAAAGAGAAAAGTGTATGCGGTTGTGCCCCTTGAAGACTGGGCATTTATAGTTAGCATGAGTTATATGACTTTGGGTGTATTCAAGGCTTTTAGGAACATGTTTATTTTTCTTTAAGAAATTGACCACTGAAGCTCTCGTAGAAATATGATTTTCCATTGATACTGGGAACATCTTTGTAGTAATTGAACTTCAATTCCTGAGAGAATGCTCTTTGACGACTGGGCATCTGACCTGCTAAGGGAACATCAAGGTTTTGCCAAGTACTGTAACTCGAAATTATTTCTATTTCAGTTCAGCTTTAATTATTCCAACATTGCTGGAATTTTCATATTTATGAAGCAAAGGTTTGCTAGGAATTTATATTTGAAATCACTTGTCTCTTCATAATTTAAGAGAAAGGTAAATAGTGTAAATGAATCCCAGTTGGCTTGAGGTCTTGCTGGTGTTTATCGAGAAAACATGAATTCAAAAGTGGCTTGCTTATATCCTGTTTCCCATCAAATATTAATTTACTCATTTTTAATTATTTCTACTGTATTTAATGTGCATTTTATTTGAAAATATACAATTTATTTCTATGTGGAGTTCTGTGTGTTTATCTACAGAGCTGTCTTCCAAAATAAAAAAGGAAAGGTTCTGATTATTACTTACCTTCCCATGTCTGTAGCAAAAAAAAAAAAAAAAAGATGCAAAACAGAGTGCTTCTGCAAGCCAATTACCATGCATCAGTAGCCCTTTTTTTTCTTTAATCTGAAAGGCCTCTCTCTACTCCCAGATGAGTTTACATTGAGAAATAAGTTACCAGCCTCACTACAAAGATGAGATTCTTCTCTGCCAATGGTGGTATACCTATATTTTGAGTAGCAAAGCCTGTTTTTAAAAAACATGTCAATCTTCCAGTAGTTTCAATGATTATTACCAAGTGTTGCTCTAGAAAAAAAGAGTCCAGCAGGGTGAAGAAGTGGTGTTGCTGTTTTAAGTGGGGTAGCCAAGCCTTTTGAGCCACTTATAGTTGAGATGAGACATGCAGTGAAGGAGAGAGAGAGCCACGTTCATATGGAGGGGAAGAGTGTCCAGGCAGAAGGAATGGCAAGTTCAAAGGTTTTGAGATTATGTCATGCATGGCTTGTTTGAGAAATAACAAGGAAAACCGTGCATTTGGAACAAAGTAAGCCAGAGGAAAAAGGTGGGTGATTAAGTCTGAGATGAGGCTTGGGGGCAAATCATATAAGTTTTATAGATGATGAGAATGAGCATGGATTGTAATCTAAGTGGAAAGGACAGCCTCAAACAATCTTCTGCAGATGAACACTGAGGATTTACATTGTTCACAATTAAAAAAAACACTGAAGTGAACATCCTTGTATATAGAACTTTGCTTTTGTGTTTATTCATTTGATAAATGTTATTCAGTGCCTTCTCTGAACCAGCTGCCATGCTAGGCACAGATAATCAAACTGTGGAAAGAACAGTCTTGTCCCACACAGAGCTTACAATATATGGGGCATGTGATCACAGTTATATTTGATAAATTTCAACTATTTTTTAAGAAAATAACTTTAGAAATGGAATTACTCCATCAAAAAGAATGCAGATTTCGAATTAAATACATGTGAGTTTTATATGGAAAGATAAATATCCACACTACCCACCTGAAAAGTTGTACCAATGCATATGTCAACTACCAGTGGATGAAAGTGACTATCTCCTCCCCTCCACAGAGGTTGCTTCCAGTAGGAGACATTGATAAGAGAAAAAATGTATTTCTTTTTTTAAAAAATGTTTCTCTAATTATTAGTTGATTATTTTTACATTTTTCATTTTCATTGTCTTACTAAATTCAGAGGACTTCCCTTTGTTGCTAATTTTCAACACAAAGGCTAGCTATTACTTGTGTTTTATTCATAGAATTAGCTAACTACAACCACAAAAACTCACATTTATAAGGGATGTGTTAAATGCCAGCACAGTGAGCATCATTTCATCTAATCCTTACCAAATCAAGGGAAAAAGCACAATTGTTTTTATTTCAGCCCACTAAACCATAAGCTCCCTGAGACATGGACCATATTTATCTTGCTTACCACATTTGCCTCTAAGTCTAGCACAGGAATTACCCTAGATAAGAGGCCATATATATTTGTTGGATATTATATATACATATAAAATTGAGGCATAGGAACTTTAAATAACAAAGCCCCATAGCTCATAAATGGTGGAGCTGAAATTTTATTCTGACCAGTCTTAGTCCACAGGCTGTGTTCTTGGCCTAGGTGATCTTATTATTCATTAATAAAATTCTCAGCAACTAAAATGTGTGCACACTGCCACTTCCTGCCCTCCAGGTTCTTATGGTCTGATTGTGCTGCAAATCTACCATCTTAGATTTTCCAAGGGACATTCTGATTTTATGTAACCTTATTCTTTTCAGTAGAGACAATATGATCAACATATAGTCCAAAATTTACTTCTCCAGCCATGACCTCCCTGTAAGCTCCACATTTCCTAACTGCCTATTAATTACTCTATCTACATGTTTTCTGAGCAGCCCAAACTTAACATATCCAATGCAGAACTCTTTATTTCAACTCCACCTTCCCAATCTGCTCTTCCCCTTCGGTCCCCAGTTTCATTAAAGGGCACAACCATTTATTCAGGTGCTCAGGTCAAAAACTGAGCAGTCATCTTTGATTTCCATTCTTCTCTCACACCTCAACACATTTCTAAGAAAGTCTGCCTTCAAAATATTTCTCAGACCTGGCAGCCTTCACCTCAATTTCTGCTCCCACCTTAGGCTAGGCTACCATCAATTCTGTCTTGACTTTCTGGAATAGCCTCCTAATTGATGTGCTTCTACCTTTGCCTGCTTATAGTCTATTATCAGGGTGATATTCCAAAATATAAATCAATTCCCTACTCAAAACTTGCAATGAGTTCTCATCATATTTGGAATATCTGCAATCCCAAATCCTTTGAAATCTGCCCCCCTGCTTTTCTCTCCTGCCTTATGTCTGCCTTAGTCTCTGCACACCACCTACATGTTTGTTTGTTTGTTTGTTTGTTTGTTTGTTTTTGCTGGTACTTGAGCCTATCAAATTGATTGTCACCTCAGGGCCTTTGTACTTTCTGTTCCTGCTGCCTGGAGTTCCTCTCTCTGCTTCATTCAGGTGTCTGCTCCAATGTCTTCTTTTTAGAGAGCCTTTCCCTGACCACTTGACCCCAAGTAGTGTCTCCCCTAGCCTGACTCCCCTTCACTGTCTGTCTTCTCATGCTGCTATATTATTCTTCATAGCACTAATTCCCACCTGACACTTATTACTTATTTATGACTCTGCTTGTTTATTGATTATATTTTCTATTAACATGTGAATTCCAGGAGGGTGGAGACTTTGGGTTGTTCAGAACAAGAACAGTACCTGACGTCTGTTGGACAATCAGTAAACATATTTGAATAAGGGAATGAAAGTAATTGAATTTTATGCCTTTGCCAGATCCTCTTCTAATAAATGATATGAATCCGTTATAAAAAAAACAACAAAAGCATCAAATCACGTGATCTGATTGACTTTGGAAAATCTAGTTATTATTTCTACCTTGTGAGGCAAATTAATGGATGACCAGTAAGGAAACTACTATTTGGAAATCTGAGGTTAATTGAATTATGTTTTAATAATGGCAGCCAATGCTTGGATAGAAGTTGTGAGATGTTGAGTTCAGAATGGTCAGATTCTATTAGTGAATCTGAAATGCCTTTGTTGTCCCTAGAAATAATGGATGAGCTCAGGTGCTTTAGGTAGTCAGGTACTGATGGCAGACTCTAGGAACAAGATAGAGAGAAGTGACCAGTTATAACTGGTGTGTGTGTGTGTGTGTGTATGTGTGTGTGTGTGTTATGGCTTAGATGAATGCTAGGATAGAAAAGCACACTGTCACTGTCGTAAGTGCTCTAAACTGAGGGCCTTCCCTAGATACAGACCTGTCTCAGATTCCCCCTGGGGCTTGCTGAGTTAGGATAAGCTGGTTGGTGTTTTGTTTCAGGTAAAAATGCATTCAGACAGCACTGTTACCCCAATTTTGGGTACTCTCCTATATCACAAGAAGATAGTACTCTCACTCTCTTCCCATTGTAGACATTTCCTGCTTAGTATGTAGTACAGGTTTCCTGCTGAAGAGTCAAGTAAAGATCAAGCTCATAGCTGTCTGTTGAGGTGAATTAAGGGTACACATAGGCTAAAAGAGATGATATCTCTGAGATGTAAGTTTTGCCATATCAAAGTAAAAAAAAAAACAAAAAACAAACAAACAAAAAACAAGCTGTTTGTTAGATAAAGTGTATTATTTTCTCAAAACATTTCAAATTCAAATGGTATAAAAGGTTACATGGTAAAAAGTCTTCCTTCTATTCCTGTCCCCTAGATACCTGGTTTCCCTCCTCAGGCAATCAACTGTGCCAGTTTCTCATATATCCTTCTAGAAAGAGTTTATTCTTATATAAGAAAATATGTACATATGATGCGTGTGTGTATATGGTGTCATTTCCACCATTTTCCATTTAACATTTTTAAATGATAGAAAATGATATTATTCAGCACCTTGCTTTTTTAGTTGGAAAAACCATACAGTGTACTTAAAAAAAAGAGGCAGACACTGGAGCTGGACTATCTGAGTTCAAATCTTGACCAAACCAATACTATCTAAGTGAGTTTATACAAGTTAGTTAACCTTTCTGCACCACAGTTTGTTTTTTTTTTCATCTGTAAAGTGGGAAATCTAATAGTGTGTGCCCTATCAGGTTGTTGTGGATAATTTGATATGCATGGAAAGCACTGAGCACTGTTTCTGTCACATCAAAACCACCTAGTGTTGCTAGCTATTGTTACTGTAATTGCTTTCATTATTTTTGGATCTTGTAGATCTTTCCATGTTGGCATGTTAAAAGGCTCCTCATTTTATGTACCTGAATAGCATTCCAGTGTATGGCTGTTTTTACACATATTTAACCATACCATATTTAGGATTTTACCCAAGTATTTTGTATTGCAAATAAGGCTACAATGAATAACTTTTCACATTGATCATTCTAGAATGTCAAGTTTATCTCCAACATAAATTCCTCAAAATAAAATTGCTTGACCACATAGAATGTACATTCCTATATTTTTAAATATTGCCAAACTTCCCTCCATAAAGGTTGTAACAAGTTATGCTCTCACCAGCAGTGTACAAAAATGGTATTTCCCACATATCCATCACCTCCTTGATAAATGAAAATTTGTATCTATATATTAAACTTACATTCTCCTGATTAGGAATGAGTTTGAGCATAGCTCTATATGCTTACGGGACATTTATATTTCTTTTTTGGTAAACTCTCTGTTAATGCATCTTCTACATTTTTTTCCATTGTGGTGTTTGTATACTTGTATGTATTTATATAAGCTGCTTATGTTTTAGAGAAGAATATATTACAAATAGTTTCCCTGTCGGTAATTATTTTTCTTTTGGCTTTACATGTAGAAGTTTTTGCCATGCACACAGTTTTTATTTTTATATAATTGAATTACTATATCTTTTTTATGAGTTTGTTGTTTTATCTTTTAGGGAAAAGTTTAATGAATTGCAGTTGATGTCTATAGATTCAAGGGACTCAATTTTGAGTTTATAATTACATCTGGCTTCATCTCTTCCCTATTAATTTTTTTTCTTTTTTTTTTTTTGAGATGGAGTTTTGTTCTTTCACCCAGGCTGGAGTGCAGTGGCTCCATCTCAGCCCACTGCAACCTCTACCTCCTGGGTTCAAGTGATTCTCATGCTTCAGCCTCCTGAGTAGCTGGGACTACAGGAACATGCCACCATGCTTAGCTAAGTTTTGTATTTTTTTAGCAGGGCCGGGTTTCACCATGTTTGCCAGACTGCTCTTAAATTCCTGACCTCAAGTTATCTGCCCGCCTCAGCCTCCCAAAGTGCTGGGATGACAGGCATAATCCACCGCACCTGGCCACTTCCTTATTTAAATTTAAGTTGTGTGAGGGCACGATCTGTGAAAATTAACTCATATAAATTGCTTTACATTAAGTAATCCATTTAATCCCTGTAATATCCCAAAGAAGTTGGTACAACTATCATTCCCATCTTACAGAGGAGTAAACTGAGACTCAGAGAGGTTGAGTCACTTGCTTAATATTAAACAGCTACTAAGTGCCAGAATTCCAGCCCATGCGCTAGGTTGCATGGAAACAGAATCAATGAAAAGTAATGATTTTTTTCTATAGAACAGATTCATTTGTTGTAATGTGTGACTAAAGGACTCCAGGCCTCACCATATTCACCCTCTCTCAAACCGCAACTCTAACCCAACATAGATACACTGTCCTGGGAAAGCATATATTTTGAGAGTATATTTTCTCAAAATCATATGCACAGAAGTCTCAAGCTGAGCTTGTTGAACAATGTTTCTCCTTCTCATATAGTGATATAAAAAAAAGGGCAGGGGCGGGGGATGGGGGGCAGGGAATGTCTTCCCTTTCTCTCCCTATACCAAGAAGAGTTTGCATGTCAACCCTCTTCTACACTTATCTATGGAATTGAGTTTAAGCCATCAGTAAATAAGAAATCTAATGATGACCTAAAACTGGACAGCAGTGGGCTTAGGCTTGGGCACCACCAAGATTTATGAAACACTGCGTCTTTAAGGTCTTATTTGCCACACCTTTTGGGATTGCAGGACAAAATCCTGGTGTTACATTTGATTGGCAATGACATCTGTGCAGACGGAGAAAGTAAAAGAGGTCCTTGAAGTAGCAACATGTTGACACTGCCCTCTTAAACTGGTTAACAAATTGATCAATTGGGCTATTTTATTCCAACTGAATACTCATACTAAACAAAGCTAAAAATACTTGGCACATTTTACAAAACAAATGTATCTTGGAAGTTCATCTTTGTAGCATCCTCTATGTTCCTATTCCAAAGAGCATCATTAAGCATTTCATTCAATATTTAATAAGTTTATTTTTTTAACCTCAGAAACATTTTAAATTATTTTTAAGTGATTAATTCTAACACTAAGCATTAAAATGAAATCATTCAGACTTGACTCTGGGCTTGATTTTTCTGGGTGTAAGCGTTCACTTTCCTATGCACAGCACTACTGATAAAAATAAAGGAAATTAACCCAAATTTATTAAGCATAATAAACCTGCTATTTATCAAGATGCCTAAACCCTGAACTCTAGCACTTGGCTTTGTCTGGGCATCACACAGAGCTTTAAATAGCTTATCAGCTATAATCACCTTATGAGATCTTATGGAGAGCTAGAAGAGGGACCAAAGGATGTAAGGTAGAAATTGGAATCATGTTTTATATAATTATGTTACAGACTTAAAATACGGAGTATTTTGCTCTTTCACATAGAAATACTACTTTTTATTACCATGTTTTTGATAAGCCAATTTGTGATGTGCTTTTTAAAGCAACTTTATTGAGATAAAGTTCACATATACACAATTCACCTATTTAAAGTGTACAATTAGTGTATTCAAAGATATGTGCAACCATCACCATGGTCAATTTTAGAATATTTTTAGCACCCTCAAAATAAATCTCATACACTTTAGCTATCAGCCCCTACATTCCCAACCCCCAGCCCCCAGCCCTAGGCAACCCCTAACCTACTTTGTGTCGTATAGATTTCCCTGCTCTAGAGATTTCAAATGAATGGAATTATATAATATGTGATCTTTTGTGACTAGCTTTTTTTCCTTAGCATAATGTTTTCAAGGTTCATCTATGTTGTGGCCCTTACCAGTAATTCATTGTTTCATGGCCAAATAATATTCTACTGCATGTATATGCCATATTTTGTTTATCCTTTCATCAGTTGATGAACATTTGGATTTTTTTCTACCTTTTGGCTATTACAAATGATGCCGCTGTAAACATTCACATATCAGTTTCTGTGTTGGCATATGTTTTAATTTCTCTTGTATATATATCTAGGAGTGGAATTTCTGGGTTATATGATAATTCTGTGTTTACTCTTTTAAAAAACTGCCAGACTGTTTCCCAAAGTGGCTTCACCATTTTACATTTCCACTAGCATTGTGTGCAGTTGTAACTTCTCTACACTCTTACCAACAGTTATCTATTTTTGTTTTGTTTTGTTTTTTAATTATAGCCAAGCTAGTGGACATGAAATAGTATGTCATTGTGGTTTTCATTTGCTTTTCCCTGATGGCTAATGATGTCCATCCCCTGTACCATTTGTGTGTATTCCTTGGAGAAAAGTCCTTTTCATCTTCTTTGCCCATTTTTGAACTGAGTTATTTTTCTTATTACTATTGAGATGGCATGGTTCTTTCTATGGCATGGTTCTTTCTATATTCTGGATACAAGTTCTTTATCACATATATGATTTGAAAATATTTTCTCCCTTTCTGTACGTTGTCATTTCACTTACTTGATAATGTCCTTTGAAGCAGAAAAGTCAATTTTTTATAAATTTAAAATATTTAATGAATTTAAAATAGCAAGGATAATCTCATTGCATATCAATGTAATACTATTTTCTATAAAATTTACTATATATCCCAACCCGACCCCCCACAAAGTTATTGGGAAGAGTGACATTGTTCTACATGTTTGCAAATGTCTTGAACATCCAGGTTTGTAGAAGCCACCCAGATTCTATCTGCTTCCTCATTCAGTCTTTTGAGATATGTTATTTTGGTTGAAGCATATGGAAAAAAATCTGCTCTCACAATATGTAGTTAGCAAAAGGAGGAATATTTTAGTAGCCTTTTAAAGATAATTGTAGATATTCTTTTCTGATACCACAACAAAACTTGGTAAGTGATAGTTTCTTTTATTCTCAAAAGTTATTGATATTGATGAGTTCAGTATATGTTTTTCTTTTGCTGCTTGTGCTTTTGGTGTCATACCTAAGAATTTTTGTCAAATCTAAGTTTATGAAGTTTTACTACTATGTTTTCTTTTAAGATTGTATAGCTTTAACTCATATTTAGAACTTTTGAGTTAGTTTTTGTAAATGGTATGAAGCAAGAGTCTATTTTTATGCACGTGGCTATTCAACTATCCCATTACCATTTGTTGAAATGACTGTTGTTTTCTAATTGGAAAATCTTGACACCCTTATTAAAAAACAGTTCACCAATTATGAGGGTTATTTCTGGATGTTCAATTCTATTTCACTGATCTATATGTTTCTCCTCATGCCAGTACCACAGTCTTGATCACTGCTGCTCTGTAGTAAGTTTTAGAATGTGAATGCATGAGTCCTTCTACTTTGTTCTCCTTTCTCAAGATTGTTCTGGCTATTCTGAGTCCCTTGCAATTCCAGATAAATTTTAGGATCAGTTTGTAAACTTCTACGTAGAAGAAATGGAAAGCTGATAGGAATTCTGTGATATTGTCACAAATTTAAATGTCCTCAGGACAAGGACAATTCAGATTGCATAAGCAATAGAGAATGGCAGGACCTGTGGCTGAAATGGAGAAGACAAAATTTTAATTTTAGGCCTGGAGCCAAGATGGCGGAATAGGAACAGCTCCAGTCTGCAGCTCCCAGCGTGAGCGACGCAGAAGACAGGTGATTTCTGCATTTCCAACTGAGGTACCGGGTTCATTTCACTGGGAGTGTCGGAAAGTGGTTGCAGGACAGTGGGTGCAGCACACCCAGCGTGACCCAAAGCAGGGCGAGGCATCGCCTCACCTGGGAAGCGCAAGGGGTCAGGGAATTCCCTTTCCTAGTCAAAGAAAGGGGTGACAGACGGCACCTGGAAAATCGGGTCACTCCCACCCTAATACTGTGCTTTTCCAATGGTCTTAGCAAAAGGCACACCAGGAGATTATATCCTGCGACTGGCCCTGAAGGTCCTACGCCCATGGAGCCTCGCTCATTGCTAGCACAGCAGTCTGAGATCAAACTACAAGGCTACAGCAAGGCTGGGGGAAGGGCGCCCGCCATTGCCCAAGCTTGAGTAGGTAAACAAAGCAGCCGGGAAACTCGAACTGGGTGGAGCCCACCGCAGCTCAAGGAGGCCTGCCTGCCTCTGTAGACTCTACCTCTGGGGGCAGGGCATTGCCAAACAAAAGGCAGCAGAATCATCTGCAGACTTAAATGTCCCTGTCTGACAGCTTTGAAGAGAGTAGTGGTTCTCCCGGCACGCAGCTGCAGATCTGAGAACGGGCAGACTGCCTCCTCAAGTGGGTCCCTGACTCCCGAGTAGCCTAACTGGGAGGCACCCGCCAGTAGGGGCAGACTGACAACTCACACGGCCGGGTACTCCTCTGAGACAAAACTTCCAGAGGAACGATCAAGCAGCAACATTTGCTGTTCACCAATATCCACTGTTCTGCAGGATCCGCTGCTGATACCCAGGCAAACAGGGTCTGGAGTGGACCTCCAGCAAACTCCAACAGGCGTGCAGCTGAGGGTCCTGACTGTTAAAAGAAAAACTAGCAAACAGAAAGGACATCCACACCAAAACCCCATCTGTACGTCACTATCATCAAAGACCAAAGGTAGATAAAACCACAAAGATGGGGAAAAAACAGAGCAGAAAAACTGGAAACTCTAAAAAGCAGAGCGCCTCTCCTCCTCCAAAGGAACGCAGCTCCTCACCAGCAATGGCACAAAGCTGGACAGAGAATGACTTTGACGAGTTGAGAGAAGAAGCCTTCAGACAATCAAACTACTCCGAGCTAAAGGAGGAAGTTCGAACCCATGGCAAAGAAGTTAAAAACCTTGAAAAAAAATTAGACGAATGGCTAACTAGAATAACCAATGCAGAGAAGTCCTTAAAGGACCTGATGGAGCTGAAAACCATGGCACAAGAACTATATGACAAATGCACAAGCCTCAGTACCCAATTCGATCAACTGGAAGAAAGGGTACCAGTGATGGAAGATCAAATGAATGAAATGAAGTGAGAAGAGAAGTTTAGAGAAAAAAGAATAAAAAGAAATGAACAAAGCCTCCAAGAAATATGGGACTATGTGAAAAGACCAAATCTACGTCTGATTGGTGTACCTGAAAGTGACGGGGAGAATGGAACCAAGCTGGAAAACACTCTGCAGGATATTATCCAGGAGAACTTCTCCAATCTAGCAAGGCGGGCCAACATTCAAATTCAGGAAATACAGAGAAAGCCACAAAGATACTCCTCGAGAAGAGCAACTCCAAGACACATAATTGTCAGATTCACGAAAGTTGAAATGAAGGAAAAAATGTTAAGGGCAGCCAGAGAGAAAGGTCGGGTTACCCACAAAGGGAAGCCCATCAGACTCACAGCTGATCTCTTGGCAGAAACTCTAAAAGCCAGAAGAGAGTGGGGGCCAATATTCAACATTCTTAAAGAAAAGAATTTTCAGTGCAGAATTTCATATCCAGCCAAACTAAGCTTCATAAGTGAAGGAGAAATAAAATCCTTTACAGACAAGCAAATGCTGAGAGATTTTGTCACCACCAGGCCTGCCCTACAAGAGCTCCTGAAGGAAGCACTAAACATGGAAAGGAACAACCGGTACCAGCCACTGCAAAAACATGCCAAATTGTAAAGACCTTCGAGGCTAGGAAGAAACTGCATCAACTAACGAGCAAAATAACCAACTAACATCATAATGACAGGATCAAATTCACACATTCACACATAATAATATTAACCTTAAATGTAAAGGGGCTAAATGCTCCACTTAAAAGACACAGACTGGTAAGTTGGATAGAGTCAAGACCCATCACTGTACTGTATTCAGGAAACCCATCTCACATGCAGAGACACATATAGGCTCAAAATAAAGGGATGGAGGAAGATCTACCAAGCAAATGGAAAACAAAAAACGGCAGGAGTTGCAATCCTAGTCTCTGATAAAACAGACTTTAAACCAACAAAGATCAAAAAAGACAAAGAAGGCCATTACATAATGGTAAAGGGATCAATTCAACAAGAAGAGCTAACTATCCTAAATATATATGCACCCAATACAGGAGGACCCAGATTCACAAAGCAAGTCCTTAGAGACCTACAAAGAGATTTAGACTCCCATACAATAATAATGGGAGACTTTAACACCACACTGTCAACATTAGACAGATCAACAAGACAGAAAGTTAACAAGGATATCCAGGAATTGAACTCAGCTCTGCACCAAGCGGACCTAATAGACTTCTACAGAACTCTCCACCCCAAATCAACAGAATATACATTCTTTTCAGCACCACACCACACGTATTCCAAAATTGACCACACAGTTGGAAGTAAAGCACTCCTCAGCAAATGTAAAAGAACAGAAATTATGACAAACTGTCTCTCAGACCACAGTGCAATCAAACTAGAACTCAGGATTAAGAAACTCACTCAAAACCCCTCAACTACATGGAAACTGAACAACCTGCTCCTGAATGACTACTGGGTACAAAACGAAATGAAGGCAGAAATAAAGATGTTCTTTGAAATCAATGAGAACAAAGGCACAACATAGCAGAATCTCTGGGGCACATTCAAAGCAGTGTGTAGAGGGAAATTTATAGCACTAAATGCCCACAGGAGAAAGCAGGAAAGATCTAAAATTGACATCCGAACATCACAATTAAAAGAACTAGAGAAGCAAGAGCAAACACATTCAAAACCTAGCAGAAGGCAAGAAATAACTAAGATCAGAGCAAAACTGAAGGAAATAGAGACACAAAGGAGGAAACCCTTCAAAAATCAATGAATCCAGGAGCTGGTTTTTTTAAAAGATCAACAAAATTGATAGACCAATGGCAGGACTAATAAAGAAGAAAAGAGAGAAGAATCAAATAGACGCAATAAAAAATGATAAAGGGGACATCACCACCGATCCCATAGAAATACAAACTACCATCAGAAAATACTATAAACACCTCTACACAAATAAACTAGAAAACCTAGAAGAAATGGATAAATTCCTCGACAGATAGACCCTCCCAAGACTAAACCAGGAAGAAGTTGAGTCTCTGAATAGACCAGTAACAGGCTCTGAAATTGAGGCAATAATTAATAGCCTACCAACCAAAAAAAGTCCAGGACCAGATGGATTCACAGCCGAATTCTACCAGAGGTACAAGGAGGAACTGGTACCATTCCTTCTGAAACTATTCCAATCAATAGAAAAAGAGGGAATCCTCCCCAACTCATTTTATGAGGCCAGCATCATCCTGATACCAAAGCCTGGCAGAGACACAAACAAAAAGGGAATTTTAGACCAATATCCATGATGAACATCAATGCAAAAATCTTCAATAAAATACTGGCAAACCGAATCCAGCAGTACATCAAAAAGCTTATCCACCATAATCAAGTGGGCTTCATCCCTGGGATGCAAGGCTGGTTCAACATACACAAATCAATAAACATAATCCAGCATATAAACAGAACCAATGACAAAAACCATATGATTATCTCAATAGATGCAGAAAAGGCCTTTGACAAAATTCAACAACGCTTCATGCTAAAAACTCTCAATAAATTAGGTATTGATGGGATGTATCTCAAAATAATAAGAGCTATCTATGAGAAACCCACAGCCAATATCATACTGAATGGGCAAAAACTGGAAGCATTCCCTTTGAAAACTGGCACAAGACAGGGATGCCCTCTCTCACCACTCCTATTCAACATAGTGTTGGAATTTCTGGCCAGGGCAATCATGCAAGAAAAAGGAATAAAGCGTATTCAATTAGGAAAAGAGGAAGTCAAATTGTCCCTATTTGCAGATGACATGATTGTATATCTAGAAAACCCCATCGTCTCAGCCCAAAATCTCCTTAAGCTGATAGGCAACTTCAGCAGCCTCAGGATACAAATCAATGTACAAAAATCACAAGCATTCTTATACACCAATAACAGACAAACAGAGAGCCAAATCATGAGTGAACTCCCATTCACAATTGCTTCAAAGAGAATAAAATACCTAGGAATCCAACTTACAAGGGACGTAAAGGATCTCTTCAAGGAGAACTACAAACCACTGCTCAATGAAATAAAAGAGGATACAAAGAAATGGAAGAACATTCCATGCTCATGGGTAGGAAGAATCAATATCATGAAAATGGCCATACTGCCCAAGGTAATTTACAGCTTCAATGCCATCCTCATCAAGCTACCAATGACTTTCTTCACAGAATTGGAAAAAACTACTTTAAAGTTCATATGGAACCAAAAAAGAGCCCACATTGCCAAGTCAATCCTAAGCCAAAAGAACAAAGCTGGAGGCATCACGCGACCTGACTTCAAACTATACTACAAGGCTACAGTAACCAAAACAGCGTGGTACTGGTACCAAAACAGAGAAATAGACCAATGGAACAGAACAGAAACCTCAGAAATAATGCCGCATATCTACAGCCATCTGATCTTTGACAAACCTGACGAAAACAGGAAATGGGGAAAGGATTCCCTATTTAATAAATGGTGCTAGGAAAACTGGCTAGTCATATGTAGAAAGCTGAAACTGGATCCCTTCCTTACACCTTATACAAAAATTAATTCAAGATGGATTAAAGACTTAAACATTAGACCTAAAACCATAAAAACCCTAGAAGAAAACCTAGGCAATACCATTCAGGATGTAGGCATGGGCAAGGACTTCATGACTAAAACACCAAAAGCAAAGGCAACAAAAGCCAAAATTGACAAATGGGATCTAATTAAACTAAAGAGCTTCTGCACAGCAAAAGAAACTACCGTCAGAGTGAACAGGCAACCTACAGAATGGGGGAAAATTTTTGCAACCTACTCATCTGATAAAGGGCTAATATCCAGAATCTACAATGAACTCAAACAAATTTACAAGAAAAAAACAAACAATCCCATCAACAAGTGGGCAAAGGATATGAACAGACACTTCTCATAAGAAGACATTTATGCAGCCAAAAGACACATGAAAAAATGCTCATCATCACTGGCCATCAGAGAAATGCAAATCAATACCACAATAAGATACCATCTCACACCAGTTAGAATGGCAATCATTAAAAAGTCAGGAAACAACAGGTGCTGGAGAGGATGTGGAGAAATAGGAACACTTTTACACTGTTGGTGGGACTGTAAATTAGTTCAACCATTGTGGAAGTCAGTGTGGTGATTCCTCAGGGATCTAGAACTAGAAATACCATTTGATCCAGCAATGCCATTTCTGAGTATATACCCAAAGGATTATAAATCATGCTGCTATAAAGACACATGCACACATATGTTTATTGCAGCACTATTCACAATAGCAAAGACTTGGAACCAACCCAAATGTCCAACAATGATAGACTGGATTAAGAAAATATGGCACATATACACCATGGAATACTATGCAGCCATAAAAAAATGAAGGGTTCATGCCCTTTGTAGGGACCTGGATGAAGTTGGAAACGTCATTCTCAGCAAACTATCACAAGGACAAAAAACCAAACACCGCATGTTCTCACTCATTGGTGGGAATTGAACAATGAGAACACATGGACACAGGAAGGGGAACATCACACACTGGGGCCTGTTGTGGGGTGGGGGGAGGGGGGAGGGTTAGCATTAGGAGATATACCTAATGCTAGATGACGAGTTAATGGGTGCAGCACACCAGCATGGCACATGTATACATATGTAACTAACCTGCACGTTGCACACATGTACCCTAAAACTTAAAGTATAATAAAAAAAGTTTAAATTTTTAAAAAATGCTGTGCTGATCAGAAAAAACTGTCAGCTCTTGAATGCCATATAAAACTGGCACTCTGCTAACATCATTATGTGAATTATCTCTTCTACTCATTATAATAAAATGTACAAGGTAGATAGTATTATCATATCCTCTTTCCCACTGAGAAAACTGGGGTTCAGATAAGTAATTTGCTAATAAGAAGCAGATTCAGAATGTGGAGACAGGCATTCTGGTTACATACTCTGTGATCTTAATCACAATAACATGCAAATTATATATATCATATAAGCAACTAGCAATTTTTTCCCTATAGATTGGAAATCATGTAACATTTGGAAACATCTAGAGCAACATTATCCTATAGATATTCAATGTGGGCTGCATATATAAATTTAAACTTTCTTGTAGCCTTATTTAAAAAAAGTAAAAAGAAACAGATTAATTTTAATAATATGTATTATTTAACCCAACATTTAAAAATATTATTGTAACTTATAATTAGTGTAAAAATTACTAATGAGATATTTTAAATTTTTTAATACTAAGTCTTAGGAATCTGGTGTTGGTTTACACTGAAATCACATCTCAATTAAGAGTAGCCACATTTAAAGGGCTCAGTAGCCACTTGTGGATTATAGCTACCATATTGTTTATTAAAGATGCAGATGATTGGCTACTTTTTAATATTTAATTTTTCCTTGGTATCCTATAGCATTATGATTTAATTAAACTTCCATTCTCTTCTGTGTAAAGCAGAAACTCGCCCAATATGATAATTACAGGGGTGGGGCTGCCAGCAGGTGCCTCTCTTCTGATCTCATTAAGAAGTTTGTATGAACTCTCAGCACAAAGAGTTTGAGGTTCTGTGGATTTATGACCTAAGTTATATAGGGTTTACACATATGTACTGATGTTACCTAAAATATCCCTTCCTATAACATTCTCTTTATGAACCAGTTTTGTGGATGGAATATTTATATGTTTTTGCTATGAACATAAGCATTATAAAAGAACTATGCTTTGTGCTGCTAGCTTAAATGAATTTGGAAAGCAAAGTGGAAAAACTATAACTTTATGATAAACGTTACCACCTTCCTTTAACACATGATTATATTTTATAGTTCAAATTGAATGAAACATTGAGGCACTTGTGCAGAATATATAAAAGCACAGAGGCAGTGAAGAAAAGCAAAAATTACATTTAAGCTTATTATTTATGATAAAACAAACAAAATATTCTCAGACAGCTGCAGCATCAGCTCAAGTGAAAAATATGCTAACCTGTCAGCAACCTCCACCCAATAATCCTGCCAGGACAAAATTAAACAAAATAATCTCCTCAAATTATTAAAGTCTAAGTCTTTAGGGGAATGCCCTACATTATAACTTAAATGACTAAATTGTAAGCATAACTTTGTAGCCACATGTCTTTTTACTTCTATACTGTATAATTGTATACACATGTATCCAGTGTTATGCAATAGACTTGCTCCTTTAAAAATAGAGTGCAAATTCTATATTAAAACTCCTTTACATGCTATGAGGGAGCTTACTATTTTAAAGGTTCTTTTATAATACAATTAATTATCCCCTAATTCTCCTCTTTGGCAAGGTAAAGTTTTAACATAGGCTTTTTCTAGTTTTGAAAAATAATGTCCCAGAAAGTATGGAGAAGAGAGAAAACTATTACTGTGGGCACATAATCAAGGCTGCCACTCTTGCACTGCACACTATCCCCTCTCATGTACACAAACAGGTCACTCATGCGATTTTCTTTTTCCTGCCACTGGATGTCCTGTGAGCATACAAACATACTGTTATTTTTCCAATCTCAACAGCAAAAACAAAAAAAAGAAGCCCTCTCATAAACCCATTTTGACTTCCACTTACTACTTTTTTTCTCCCCTTGACAACAAAATGCCTTGAAGAGCATTGAACTTGGTATACTGTACTTTGAGTTTCAAAGTCCTTTCTTTAGGACTGATGAGTTCTATACTTTGTACCATTGTCAGAAAGCTTCTAATTATTACTATTAGTTTTCTTTAAAAGGAATAGGAATTAAGTGATCAAGAGTCTTTCCCAGAGTAGGGAAAACTGGCACAGATGAATGTTTAAATGTTTGTCTTCCTCTGTCAAAAATATCTTGTGGGCTGGGCATGGTGCCTCACAACTGCAATCCCAGCATTTTAGGAGGCTCAAGTGAAAGAATCACCTGAGGCTAGGAACTTGAGACCAGATGGGGCAACATAGCAAGACCCTTCTCTAAAAAAAATAATAATAATTAGCTGGGCACGATGACACATGCCTGTAGTCCTAGCTACTTGTGAGTCTAAGGCAAGAGGATTGCTTGAGCCCATGATTTAGAGGCTGCAGTGAACTGTGATCACACTATTACACTCCAGCCTTCCCGACAGAGCGAGACCCCATCTCTAAAAAAAAAAAAAAATTGCCACTTTGCCACTGTATTAGTTTGTTATGGCTGCTATGAAAAAGCACCACAAACTGGATGGCTTAGAAATGTATTTTCTCACAGTTTTTGATTCTGGAAGTCCAAAGTCACATTGTTGGTGTGGCGATGCTGTCTGTGAAGGTGCTAGGGAAAGATCTGTTTCATGCCCGTCTCTTTCCTTCTGGTGGCCTCAGACAATTCTTGGCTTGTAGTTGGCTGTCTTCCTCCTGTGTCTCTTCACATGACTGTGTCCAAATTTTTTGTTTTCATAAGGACACCAATCATTGAATCAGAGGCCACTATAACAACCTCGTTTTAAATTGTTTCCCTCTCCAAAGACCCTATTTCCAAATAAGGTCACACTTTGAGGTACTGAGTGTTGGGACTTCAACATATCTTTTTGGGGACACAATTCAACTCATAACAACTGCAATACAAAATCCGGTTTTCCTTTGACTCATATCTAGGGATATGGACCTCAAATACGTTGGAGAAGTTTGGTCAGTTCTTCATAAGAGGGTCTGCAAATTCATGAGGACTTTAACTAGATAAAGTAATTGTTCAAAATTGTCTAACTTACCCTAATGTCCCTTATGAAAAAAATGCAGAGATTCTATGGAATTTTTTTTATCCATCTATCTATCCATCTATCTTCATCTATCTATGCATTCATCTAAACATCCACGTTTATTTCATAAAAATGTTTTGGGCACCTACTGTGTATTTACTATCGTGCAAGGCACTGAGGATAGAGACATATGCTGGCAAAATTCAGTAGTCTTTGCTTTCAGGGAATTATAATGTAGATGGTAAAACAAGCTATAACATGAAAAGTGAAGTAATACATTAAGAGATGTTATATGTCATTTCGTAGTTTAAGTCGTTAATGGCTGTGTATTCTGAGTGGGAATATCACTGAACAATGGTGGCAGCAAAATTCTTGAGAAAAGTATGACATATTGGCTCAAATCAACTTTTTGCTTTTCTTGAATTCTCCTTATGACAATCTTTTTTCCAAATTGACACCCTGGTTTTGAAGCCCCTGGTATAGCTTGGTCAAGTTCTACATAATCTCAAATTCCACATTGCTCCTTTCTCCCATTGGGGGTAAGGGCAAGGTGGTCACAGTGCCACTTGTAAGCCCAGCCCAGTCTAAGTTCTAGGCCCAATTCCCACGTGAACAGCATCAAGACACTTAAGCTCTAAACTGGCTCTGCCCATCCATGACACTTTCATCAACTGGTATATTCCCTCCTTATCACAGCAGCTGTTGCAGGAAGCACAGATGATCTAGAAAGTATAGGGTCAGCCTCTTCCGTATAATTTTTGGGAGTTCAGTGGTCTGTGGGCATATGGGAATATCTACTGTCTTACTCACCTAATTCTCCACACTCCATGGCAATTCTATAGGTTGCTCTTCATCCTTTTAGTGCATATAGTTTCCATTTAAATTATCAGAGTTAGTTTCTGTTACTTTTAAAAAGAATTCTGATTAATACACTCCCTTCCTCTGAATCTGAAGCTTGAGAAAGTTTCAAGCCCTTCACAATTCCTAAGGGGATAACATGATATGATTTATTGCCTCCTCCACATTTCCAGAAGGACTACCTAAATAATTACCCAGTGTCATGAAAACTGCTGACTTTTTCCAATTAATGCCTGCCAGGATCTCTGATACTCTATATTCCCATCCTTGTCTATCATTCATCCCCTCTGATATGTTTAGAGTATCCTTTGAATAGTATCATGGCCTTTCTTCCTAGGTGCATTCCCTTCCAATTCTGTTAGCTGAGCCCAGCATCTCCCACTTCTCTTATCTTTATGTCACCAATTATTTTGTGTCTATCAATGCAACATTTCACATCTCCTTTTCTTTCTCTTGTGATTATGGCTGTGCTTCCATATTACATTTGCTACTTGCATTATTCTTGCCACTATCCTCATCCTTTCAACATTAATCCAAAACTAAGCTTCAGAATCCTCTAGGAGAAATCCCACTCACATCTATTTAATCTGAATCTTTGTCAGTGGAGCCCTGTGAAGGGAATATATATTTTTATACATCCTCCAAATCATTTATTCATAGCCATTTAGAATATATCACCTCAGATCATAGCATTCTTCTCAATAGGCCTCCCTTCTCTTTTCATTTAGAGCTCTGTGTACTCAGTTTTGATTGCTAACATCCACAGTCACTCCAGAGCCAAGGGATTTGGACCTTCACTGCCTCCAAAGAAGAAATGAATTCTAATCTGTTTTATGACACCATTGACTTGTTCATATCCCCATGGAATGGAACCACATAGACCAACCAGAGTTGTATGGGCTTTTTTTAAGGCGCAGGAATGGCTCCTGTCTTCTTATCATCTACCCATTCTCAGTTCCAGAATAACAAGCCCAAGAGTTTTCTTTGTATCATGTCCCCTGTAATATCCTTCTGTATCATCATCCTTTGTAAATACTGATACATAACATTATACCTATTTATATAATTATTTGATATGCATTAGTCTTTTTCATGATAGGTTTCTGGAAAACAGGGGCTGCATTTTGTAGTATGCATAGAATAGTTCCTGGCATATAGTAAACATTCAATAAATATGTATTAAATAAGTGAATAAATATCTCTGCCTAAGTATTTCATGGATCCCTCAAATATACCATTTTTGCATGTTTAAAAATGAAATATTATCTTTTCTCCAAAGTTATCATCTCCTTCTTTATGAGTTGTCTTTTTTCCATAAATTTTTAATTTAAGAATAGTTTTAAATTTATAGTCATTCATGTTTACTGTCTCTATGGTTTTGCCTCTTCCACAATGTCATATACATAGAATAGTACAGTATGTCATTTTTCAGACTGACTTTGTTCACATGGAATATGCCTTTATATTCATCCATGTTTTTGTATGACTTGTTAGCCCATTCTTTTTTTTTTTTTTTGCAGAATATTCTATGTATGTAGCACAGTCTGTATACCATTCACCCGCTGGAGGACATTTCAGTAACTTCTAAATTTTAGCAATTATGATCAACAGTTATCTGTAATTTTTGTGTGGACCTAAGTTTTCAAATCAGTTGGAATAAATTTTCTAGGATACAATGACCCGATAAGATTGCTTAGTCCCTGAAACTGCAAACTATCATTCAAAGTGACTGTACTATTTTACAGTCCCACCAGCAGTGAATGAGAGTCCTTGTTTCACATCCTCACCAACAATTGGTATTGTCATATTTTTTCCCTGGATTTTGCCATTCTAATATATGTGCAGTGGTATCTCTGTTGTTTTAATTTGCATTTCTGTAATGACAAATGATGAGCTTTGGATTGTGTTTGACTTTTTGACTAGCTACATCTTATTCAGCTCTGTCTTCTCAGTTCCTAGACTACCTGGTACAGAACACATATTCCTTAAATTTGTCAGCTAGCTGACTGACTGGGGATCTAGGGCCAAAATTGGTGGTTATGGTCTTCAGAATGGAATTCGTGCCATATTTTGCCATTTCAAGGCTTAAAGCAGTGCCAGGAGTATAGTAGCCTGATGATAGGCTTGCAGATATTAACTGTGGAAAGCCCAAAATTAAATATGAGCCTCATTCATTTGCTTATTCTCTAGTATTTGCTGAACACTATAGACTAAATGCTTTCTCCCCCCTGCCCCACTCCCCTGTCCATCTCCTATTCTACAGGTTAAGATGAGAGCTGGAAAACATTTGCTTATTCCGCCTAGCATGAGACTATTTGTATTTTCAAAAATGAAATGAAAATAAAATCCATCTCTTTTTTTCATTAATGGACTTCACATTTGGTCTCAGTGGAATACTGTTTATAGCTGTCTCAAACATTAATGCATACCCTCTCCAAGGATTTTATTCTTTTCTAAAATGTAAGTCCATAAGAGCTTAAGAGTGAGTTCTCGAGAAGAAATAAACAGCGAGGAAAAAAAATAAATCCAAAAGGCACACAATTAAGAAACTATACCAGGCATCCTTCCACATGCTCACAAATCCAATGATTTGCTTACTGAAAGTGTATTGACTCGTGTGCCTCTCACATCATTTGCTCGACTCTAGTATTACACAGAAGGACACATACACACACAACCTCAAAGCTCTGCTATTTTAAAATCCCAAAAGGCCACTGGATTTGAATTGGTGGATATTGAATAAATTTGGGTGAAGGGGAGGCAGAGAGCAAGTGAAAGGATTTTAACTGTTCAGCAAGCCACACATATGAGGCACTGAGACTGGGCTGGACACCTTCCAGGGGTATCAGGATTGCAATCTTAGAGGACACATTGTGAGCCAAGCTTAGTGTCCTAATGAAGGGGTGGAGCTTTCGCTCTTGGTTCCTGTCCAGAATTACCTCAGTTACAGGTTTGCTTATGTCTTAAGATTTTAATCCCTTTAAAAATTACTATGAGACCTTTGTGGTACACTGGGATGGGATTCTTCTAAGAATGGTGTTCATGAGGACATCAGATGACTAAACATTAGGAAAGGGGTACAGGGAAGGGAGAAGGTGGGAGGAAGAGGAAAAGAATTTAATTTCTAGGGGTAGCTTTGCTTTCCCATAAGCAAATATTATATATCACAACACTACATTTAAAATAGTTTCTCAGGAATAACTTATTTCTTTTATTCTGTGGTAATCATGATAATGCAAACTCCAATAATTTACTGTTTTTATCTAAACTAATACTGGATCCAGAAGCCTCGCCATCTCCTCGTTGCCCTAATTCTTGTAAATGATCTTTAGTTGGCATAAGTGAAAATGGAAGTCTCATGAAAAATACCTAATGTGAATATTATGCATTTTGGCATCTTCTTTTTCTATTCACCTAACTTTGAAGTCCTCCTTATTTTGATCCCGTGAGCTTTTTGTGCTGTTCTCCTGTCATACTGTACCGTCAGATTCTCCTGCTCATGTCTATATATTCTTAGGACTTTTCTTCTTTCCTTTGTTTACCTGTTCCTCTACCAAGAATGTTCTCCTCCCAAATGTTTGAATGTTCTGATATACCTGTGTGTTCCTGCTGGGCACACTCTCTTTCTCCTCTAGGCAAGCTTAGTGATAGAAAAAGCAAGCATCAGTGCTTGCCAAGGCATGTTAATCTTTTAAGGCTGTTAATAGTTTCTGTGTTATTTTATACTTAATTGTTTTTTTTGTTTCTCCATGATTACATTAGATTATGTATGTGTGTATGATTCATCTCTGCTTCTGCCAGAGCTCCTAGCCTAAATTCTATGTGCAGATTTGGACCCAGCAAAGGTATAGCATAAACATTCATATGGTCATTTGTTTGTGCATTCATTTATTTATGTATTCATCCAATGGATAATACATACCTAAGGGACTTAGTCTTAATGGATAATGTCCATTGGATGAATACGTAAATAAATGAAAGCACAAACAAATGAAGATATGAATGTTTATGCTATACCTTTGCTGGGTCTAATTCTACTTTTCTATCCAGCTACTTTTGAAGCCAGCTCACAAGTTTGTTTTTACTTGTGGAAAATCACTATGTTCTTTTTATTTCCTACAAATAGTTCCAGAAGGTACACAGAGGAACTCTTTTTGAGACCTTAATGAAGCAAGTGGCTATGTTGGAGAAGGCTATGTGGCAAAAGAACAACAGAATAGCTCTAGGGACTGTGGGCATCCTATAAAACCCAAGGGTGGCCTCTAGCCAACAGCCAGAAAAAAATTGGGGATATTCAGTCATATGGCTGCAAAGAAATGAATTCTGCCAACATCTTTAATTAGCTTGCAAGTGAATTCTTCCCCTGTTGAGTTTTCAGTTGAAATTGCATCCTATCTATAAAAATTGAAAATAAAATAAATTAAAAGAAGAAAATGTATCCTGACCAACACCTTGATTACAGAGTTGTGAGATCCTGAGCAGGAGACCCAGCTAGCTTTACATGGAATAAACTGATAATATTTCTTCATTGTTTTAAACAGCTAAGATTGGGGGAATTTGTTATACAGTAATAGAAAAATTAATATAATGCTTTTGGTCATCTACATGATATAGGAATTGTGTCTTCAGACTTGTATTTTGTAGCTGACAACATCCTAACCCACGGATTACAGTGTCCCAAGGCAGGAAGAAGAGGAGGGACTGTATCTTCTCACATGTCTCTTTTTCTAAAACAAAGAAATCGTTTTCCAGAGCTACTCCTTCCTAACTAGCAGTTTTGACCTTCCTTCTATTGCCCAGAATTGTACCTCATTCTCATTCCTGAACTGGCCACTACTAAAAGGAATGCTAATATCCTGATCATCTTGGACTCATCCAGATTTTTCTCCTGGGCCTAGAGAGAGCCCAGCTACTTCTGTTACATGTTACTACTTGCAAGTTGAACAAAACTAGGGTTTTGGTGGCAAGAAAAAAGGAGTAGGTGATGATGTGGGTAGGCAATTACAATGTCTGCATCAGCAAGAACAATGTGGTTCCAGTTTTCCATTCGTAAAAGTAGGTACCTAGATTAGTTCAAGGTCTGTAGAAAGATCTGAACATTGATGGTTGCTTCCTGGAGCAACTATCAATGATAGACACATGGAATCCTCTGTGGATCCCAAAATCAAGCCCACCCTATTAAGCCTTGACACCAAACTGACCCCTGTGGCCCCAGGCTCTAATAGACCCTGGATCCAGGCCAATTCCAATAGACCCCAGTACCAGTATGGCCTCTTATGTGCTCAGGCTCCAGGACTACACCTGAAAATTGCAGACCCATGCACCCCTGCGAATCTGGACTCAGATTGGTCCCCATGGCTCCAGGCAACAGACCTACCTTCTTGGATGCAGGATCAAAGTCTGCCCCAATACCAGATCAGCTCCTATGAACCTAGGCCTTAGACAGGGCCCCACAGATACAGTCTCCAATACCCCTCTCCTCCAGTGACCCAGCACCCAGTCCCACCACCATAAACTACAGTACTGGTCCTGCCTGTGTAGACCCAAACTCCAGGCATGTCTCAGTGGAACCAGGCAGTCTATTGATGATAAAAATTATAAATTATACAGTCTTATATGTATGTCAATTCTACTCAATAAAGCTGGAAGATAAATAAAACAGGAAAAATAATTTTAAAAATTTAAAAATAAAAGAACGCTTTCTGCACTAAGGTAAGATTCAGGGATAATTGTCAAAAGAACAGTTTCACTCAGGGCAAAGTTTCACTACTGACAACACTAGCATTGTTGATGGGATTGGTTTCCCTAGGACAGTCCTGGTTTTTCCCTTATGTTCTAGTGCAATTATAATTACTTCCTCTTACACACTTTTTATTCTGATTTGGATGATAAGCTATATGATAATCCTAACTCTTGCTCCTGATAAGGTGTGATCATAGATTGCCTAGGACTACTTCTCTTTTTAAAAGACATTTCAGGTTCTAGGCTGCTTCCATGTGAACTACATAGTCCACACATTAGTCCTGGACTGCTACATAGAAATTTTTGTTTTTCTTTTTGTTTTTTGGTGGAATATTATGACCATGTAGAAAATTTTATTGTTACCAGCTATAATCTTCATTAATAACTGCAATTCTACATTTAGATATACATTAACTTTTTTCCCCCAAATTAAAATGCAGATACCCTTGCCCCAGAAAAAGTTAATTAGAATTAAAATTAGGTTAGAGAGGAACTTCAAGTCAGTTAGACCTATTGAATAAAAAATGATTCCTT
The DNA here is from genome assembly GCF_000001405.40 of Homo sapiens. NCBI lineage: Eukaryota > Metazoa > Chordata > Mammalia > Primates > Hominidae > Homo > Homo sapiens. Next base: position 51,240,649 of record NC_000006.12, read on the forward strand.
ATTTTTAGATATTTATCATTCTTTCTCAGTTATGAAATGATTTATATGGGGTACAGGCCATTCATGTGAAATCTTTCATGAAATCTAGGAAAATTCTATATCACTGATGCAATTCAAATGAACGTAAATAAAAGTGAATTTATAGTATCATTGAAAGTATAAATGCAAACAAGGTGATTTATCATCTTTCCACAAATAATTTGGGCTGGATCTGTTGATATATTAACCTAGACATTATCTTGCATTTCCTGAGAACTGACATTGACTAAGGATCCTTTGATCAGAGTATATAAGAAAGGAACGATAAAAGAAAAACATATTTCAATAAAGCAAAAAGCAATATGGACATTATTTATTTCACAGTAAAATACAGTATAACTGGCAAAGTGTTGAAGCTGATAACTATTCATCATTAGGTAACTGATTTATCCCATTACAGACCAACACAAGCTTCTGCTCTCCTGTCATTAATTACATTTTACTATAATTATATTATGATGCATATAAACTTAGAAATTATCATACTACAAAAATGATATAACAGCACATTTTATGCATCTTAATAAGCACAGACTCAGACTCTTAATCTTTTCAAAAACAGGGATGTTAATTCTACCCTTGTTCTGAACTTCATAATGCTTTTCATAGAAGACTACCATCTCTTTGTCTCCAACATTTCACATGCCTCAAAAATCTATTTATGGAATGGAAGGTGGACATTTAGGGGTACTGTAGGACATAAAATTTGCTTCAATTCTTCTTAATCCTAAATAAGCCTTATTTTCCCAGTCTCAGTTTTAAGAGGTAAAAATATATCATCTTCTGCTTACTAAAGTACTAAAACTAGCAATTTTTCTTAAAAGATATTTTAAATATAGAATGATTGCAAAACATTAGGCTTTCCCTTTTGTGTAAATGCTATAGGCAGCACATGACCCTGTGCCTGCTCTGACCTCTGTGCATTTCCTGAATAAACATCTAGAGTTTGATGTTCTATCATCAGCATGTAACTCATCACCTTAAAGGCATGATTAAACTAGAGAATCACAAAAGCCATTGGTACAAAATACAGGCATATAAGCACAACAAAGGGAAATTTTCTGTCAAAGCAGTACCAAATTAATTTGCCCCTCCATACTTAATCATGCATGATAGGTTTTATTGCTGCTTCTGTCATCTTACTTTTATTAAGACTGCTATCAAATTCAAAATCCAATGATTTTATTAGCACAGGTGCCTAACAAATAAAAAGCAAAACATATTTTTGCATAGAAATTTAGAGTCATAGTTAATGACTTAATTTTTATTTTTGTCATTAAAGTTAGACTACAAAGGTAGGAAATTCTTATGGAAAATATCTTAATGTCTTTAAAAAGCAAATATTATTAACATTGGTATATGTTCCTACTATTACTCTGTTCCACAATAGCTCTTTTAAAAAAAGTCCCCAAAAGCCTCATTTGACATAAGTTTTAGAGAACCACCTGTGTGAAAACACAAAGACCAAGTATGCATAATACATACATTTAAAGTGACAATAATCAGAAGGTTAAAATGACCATGGAGCGAAGCCAAACAACACAGAGAACATTGCTCAATTTGCTCTTTTGTGCTCAGAAATTCAGTGGCTTAAGACAGACTCCCAAAGCACAAAGAGGTGTCTTGGAAGAATTTTTCCCCACCTGTGTGATCTCCACCAGCATTTCCCCTAAGTGACCATAAATAACTATATGTTAAAAAACAAAAATAAAAATGAATAAAACAAAAAAGTGCTTCTTATGCAAAAGCAACTTTAAGACAAGATCTCAAAGATACAACCACAGAACACATAGGGGGAACCTAAATTAGAAAAGCCTCAAAAAATATACTATAAGAAGGGGTTTTCTGGTGTTGTCTTCTAGAATTTTTATAGTTTCAGGTCTTAGATTTAAGTCCTTGATCCACCTTGAGTTGACTTTTGTATAAGGTGAGAGATGAGGATCCAGTTTCATTCTCCTACATGTGGCTAGCCAATTATCCCAGCATCATTTGTTGAATAGGGTGTCCTTTCCCCACTTTATGTTTTTGTTTGCTTTGTCAAACATCAGTTGGGTGTAAGTATTTGGGTTTATTTCTGGGTTCTCTATTCTGCTCCATCAGTATATTAGCCTATTTTTATATAAGTACCATGCTGTTTTGGTGACTAGGGGCTTATAGTATAGCTTGAAATCAGGCAATGTGATACCTGTAGATTTGTTGTTATTGTTTAGTCTTGCTTTGGCTACCCAGGCTTTTTTTTGGTTTCATATAAATTTTAGGATTGTTTTTTCTAGTTCTGTGAAGAATGATGGTGGTATTTTGATGGAAATTGCACTAAATTGCATGCTGCTTTTGGAAATATAGTCACATTCACAATATTGATTCTACCCATCTATGAGCATAGAATGTGTTTCCATTTGTTTGTGTCATCTATGATTTCATTCACCTGTGTTTTATAGTTTTCCTTGTAGAGGTCTTTCACCTCATGGTTAGGCAAGGATTTCCTGACCAAGAACCCAAAAGTAAATGCAAATAAAAGGAGAGATAATTAGCTGGGACTCAAGTAAGCTAAAGAGCTTTTGCACAGCAAATGTAACAGTCAGCACAGTAAACAGACAACCCACAAAATGGGAGAAAATCTTCATTCACAATCTATACATCTGACAAAAAGCTAATATCCAGAATCTACAAATAACTCAAACAAATAAGCAAGAAAAAAACAAACAAACTCACCAAAAAGTGGACTAAGGGCATGAAAACATTTCTCAAAAGAAAATGTACAAATGGCCAACAAACATGAAAAAATGCTCAGCATCACTAATGATCAGAGAAATGTAAATCAAAACCACAATGTGATACCACCTTACTCCTGCAAGAATGGCCATAATAAAAAAATTTTAAAAAATGGATGTTGGCATGGATTCGGTGAACAGGGAACACTTCTACGCTGCTGGTGGGAATGTAAACTAGTACAATCACTGTGAAAAACAGTGTGGAGATTCCTTAAAGAAATAAAAGTAGAACTACCATTTGATCTAGCAATCCCACTACTGGGTATTTACTCAGAGGAAAAGAAGTCATTATACGAAAAAGATATTTGTGCACGCATGTTTGTAGCAGCACAATTCAGAATTGCAAAAATGTGGAACCAACCCAAATGCCCATCAATAAACAAATGGATAAAGAAACAGTTGTATATATATATATGATGGAATATTGCTCAGCCATAAAAAGGAATGAATTATTGTCATTCACAGCAACCTGGATGAGATTGGAGACTATTATTCTAAGTGAAGTAACTCAGGAATGGAAAACCAAACATTCTATGTTCTCACTCATAAGTGGGAGCTAAGCTATGAGGATGCAAAGGCATAAGAATGATACAATGGACTTTGTGGACTCAGGGGGGAAAGGGTGGGAAGGGGGTGAGGGATAAAAAAGTACAAATTGGGTGCAGTGTATACTGCTCAGGTGATGGGTGCACCAAAATCTCAAAAATCGCCACTAAAGAACTTAATCATGTAACCAAACACCACCTGTTCCCTAATAACCTATGAAAATAAAAAATTTATATATATATATATATATGTATATACTATATGAATGAAAGTCTAAGATCCTATCGAAGGACATAACTGGAAAATGGAAAGTTATATTTTGTTCCAAATATTCTGGAGATTACTAAGAAATATCATCTGAGGCAACTGTTCTCCTCTTCTCCCTCATTTTTTACTTTTACCCTCACCCAATTCCATATCCTTCATTGCTCTTTTTCTCCATCATGGCTGGTGATTACTTACAATCTCACTTAGAAATAAAGCAAAAGCACACAAAGCCATAGAAACAATGGAATAGAATAGTGTCATAGAAACAATAGAATAGAATAGTGTCACAGGATCTTAGGCCAAACCCCTATCTTCTCATCAGGACCAGAGCAGAACCTAACTTGTCTTCCAGGCTCAAATGTTGCCATCGTCTCTTTACCCACTTCTCTTCCTCACACAATTGATAATTCAAAAATGTCTACTACGTCATCAACCTTTCCTGTTTCAGCTTTCCAATGAGTTACCTTTACTTCTAGAATAAAATTTAAAAATTGTAACTGCTCTTACCTCTGCCTCTTTTTCTGACTTCATGTTTTATTCATCTTCCCAGCCCTGGGCTGGGAAGCCCATCACTGGGCTTTAGCCATCCTGGCTTCCTTGATGTTCTTGAATACACTGTGCATATAAACATATAAGGGCTCTTCTCTCTGCTTTGAACACTCTTCACCCATACATTTGCATGAATTAACTTTATTTAGGTCTTGGCTCAAATGGTATTTCTTTACAGAGGACTTTCCTGACCACTCTCCAAAATGGTACTCTCTCCCCATAAATCTTTGTGCCTTTACCCAGTTTTATTTTTCTCCTTAGCATTACCTGACATTTCTAAATATTTATGTATTTATTGTCTGCCTCTTCCATTAGAGTGTAAATTCCAGGAAGGCAGAGATTTTATCTCACTTAGTTTTGCATACACAGCATCTAGAACAGTGTCTGGCATAAAGTTGGTGTTCAATTAATACATATTGAATGAATAATGTCCAAGGCAACTACATAACTGCACATGGGATGACCAGTGCTAGCACCCAGGCAGTCACTGTGCACTTGGAATTGCCAGAGAAGACCTCAAAGGAGGAATCACACTTAGAGTTGGATGGGAAGGATGGGTAGGTAACCTTTACCAATCAACTGATCTCTAATAACAGATTAATACCCTGAAGTTGTGGGACATTACTGAAATGAAAAATCATTAGGCATGTCATAGACTACCCTTTTGAAGGGTTCTACACCTTAGCACCTATTTTGGCCAAGTTCAGGCCAACACACTTAAGTAAAAAAAGCAAAATGAAATGAGTGTTTGGGAACACATGATGTCTTAAATTTGTAAATTATTTGCTGGCTGGAGCCACTGATGGCTAAGCTTGTACATGAGGATGCTGGCAGTGCAGTAGGCTGTACTTGAAATGTTTCAGGGACCAGGCCCTGACAAAACAAAGCCTGTGGCAGGGGCAAGTGTTGTTCTTTGAATGACAAGTTTAGAGGGAATTTGGATTACTTTAAAAAAAAACAGTTCTAATACCAAACCAACCAAATTGGAAAGGGCCCATGATGTCCCTTGGCTTTTTTATGGAAGGGCTAGAAAACTGGCCTGGCATCCATGGACAGTGTCTCTGGGGGCATGGCAGGGTGGGCTCCTTGGAAGTTAAGCTAAGGTGGAGTATGTTTGTATTCTAGACTTTATATTCACTCTCATTGTAGAAGTCAAGCTTCGAGTTCTGCTGGTCATTGCAGGAATATGTACCTTCATTATGCTCAATACTCCATTGAAAACAAACACTTTTGGAGGAATGTGCATTGAGTTTGGGAGAGAAAGTAATAGAGCAGAAAGTGCACAGATGCCAGGGTCAGGCTGGCCTTCCTTCATACTTCAACTTAAATGTAATGGCTGTGTGATCTTGGGGAAGTTGCTTAAATTTGGTATTCTCAAATTTAATATTTTATTCAAAAAAGGGGACTATTGTAAGAATTAAATACCTAGCAGAGTACTTGACCCATGGTAGAAATTCATGATATATAGTAGTAAAATTATCAGTAGCCATTTTTATTAAGCAATTACTATGAACAAGATACTAAAGTGTATTTTATAATTTATTACCTCAGTTAACCCTAATGATGGTGCTATAAAATAAGTACAACTATTAGCTTCACTTAACAGACCTAACAGGTCTGAGATTTCAAAAAGGTTAGTTTTTCCAAGTTCACAAAGATTATAAGTGGTAAAACCTGGGTCTAAATCCAAGAAGTATGACTGAGATTAAAACTGCTTTCAATCACTCTCAAACTTCCTTTCAAAATAATAGGAAATTGGTAATAATAATAATAATAATAATGTGGTAAAACATTATTCTTTAAGCACATTGGTTTGATCATATAACAAAATAAAAGGAAAAGAATTCATTTAACAACTGGAATTTATTGAGTTGCTTCTATGCTCCAGGTGCTATGTGCTTGCTCTTTCTCTCTTTTGCTCTCTCTCTCTCTCTTTCTCTCTCTCCATGTATACATATATGTATATATATTCTCAATCTTCACAACACTGAGGTGGATGTTATTATTCTGCATTTTACAAATGATGAAACTGGGGCTTATAAAGAGGTTGAAAGCATTTGCTTCAAGTCATTATGCAACTAACAGCCAGCATTAGAGTCCAAAGCTAATGAGAAGCAGTGGGACAGAGGGAACAGCAGAGTTGAGACCTGAAGAGGAGAGAGACATGGCTAGATGTGTGGGAAGAAAAGTAGTTAAGGTTGGTGATCAAGGGTATTGAATACTTTGTGATGAACCTTAGTCTTTGTCTTAAGTAATAGTTTGGAAACAGGGAATTAGCCTGATCAAATCAGACATTTTACAAAGATCTCTCTGACATCAAGGTAATAGATTGACTTAGGTAGCTCATGTGGCCCAGAAATATGGCAGAAACTGTCTTGATTCCTACCAATGCCATTTCCTCCTTCTGGGCACTAGGGAAGACCAAATTTCCCAGCTTCCCTTGTGGTTAGGTTGAGCCCGTGTGACTGAGGGACTACTTCCAAGCCTGACCATACACCACCCTGGACAATCTTCTACACTCTTGCTTCTCTTTTCCAATGACAATGGTAAATCCCTGATTCATCACTTGAGAAGAGACTCAGCAGAACCACCAACCTTCACTGCTCTTTGCAATATTAATTAAAACAAAGAAAACAAAAAAATGTATCATATTAAGACACTAAAATCTGTTGGTTTATTTGTTGTATCCAATCCTTTTCTTTTCTAGCCTATCCTGACTAATATTCTGTATTCTCCCCATTGGAGGGAAAGTAGATTCTATAGAGTACATGGGCAATAGAATTGGGAAATGGGAAAGGATTATCTCCCTTGGAAAACTATTTTTTTCAGGATAGGCAGTTTTTGTTTCTAGAAATTTTGTAGGTGTTTCCTAAGAGCAAAGTTCTTTGATTCTGCCAATGTGACAGCCAGCATTCAGGATGGCCTTCATTAATGCTTGCTTCCTGGTATTCATGCCTTTGTGAAGCTGTCTTTCACATAGAATCAGAGCTGACCTGTGTGACCAAGGAAATACTGTGAAAATGATAGTATGTGACTCCAGATAATACTATGTATTGCAGCTTCTACTTTGGTTTCTTATTTATGTTAGGAAAAACTAGTACTATCCCAATGAAGTCATTCCAGCAATCCCATGGGGAAGCCCATGTAAAAATGAAGGCCTTCTGCCAATATCCAGCACCAGCTTACCAGCCTCACAGTGAGCTACATTGGAAGAGGATCCTCCAGCCCCAGCCACACCTTCAATTCACTCTAGCCTCCAGCCTCTTGAGGTGTCCAGCTGAGCTCCTAGATGTTAAGGAGCAGAGATAGCCATCTCCATTGTCCATTTTGAATTCATGACATATGGAAACCAAGAGAAATAATAACTGAATATTGTTGTTATAGATAACTAAGTTTTGGGGCAGTTTTTCATGCTGCAGTAGACTAATACAGCCACCAAAGAAGCTCAGGATGGAATTAGAGAAGACCCACAGTAAAATTCCCATGCACAAAGTGACTGTGGAGTAGGCCTGTCTGTTCCCTTGCATGGCCTTCTCTATTCTATGGTAGTTCTGTGGCAGAGCTGTGGCTACTTTTCCTCTTGTTACAGTGCCTGGATCTAGGAGCAACCACAATAGTTACTGCTCATGCCCTTTAACTGGGGAAAGAACCTAGGGGCACCTTCTCCCTTTGAATGATGAGATATCCAAGTAGAATGGCAAGACATTTCTTTTAAGATGTGATGTCATTTCATTCCTAATTTGAATGATCTTCAAAGTCAAATGGAATTAGATAGTGTTATCCTGGTTTAGACATGTGTTTCTTGTAACTGATTGAACTAACATTCCTTTCTATGGGGGCAGGTTGACAATTATCCTGGTCAGTCCATTTTTTTCTCTTTTAAAAACTGCAATTAACCAGTTTTACAGTGAAAACATTACTGGATCCAAAGTTAAACGACCTGGCCTCAAGCTGTGACTCTGTCTCTAAGTAGCTGGATGGCCTTGGAGAAATAACAAATATTTTTCTATCCACAAAATTCAGTTGATGCTGATGATGCCTAAATACAAAACAACAAGAATGTCATAAGAGTAAAAGTTGATAATATACTGAGACTGTTTTGGTAAAGTATAAAATGTTATATCAATATTGCATTCAAAGGTTACATACTAAGTGTTTCTACTGGCTCAAACACTATTCTAAGCTTGGGAAATACAGCAGCAAATAAGTCAGAGGCCATGCCCTCATAGAGATTACATTCTACTGGAGGTAAAGTATATTAGTTTTCTATTGTCACCATAAGAGACTATTACAAGCTTAGATGCTTAAGACATATACATTTATTATTTTACAGTTTGGTATGTTAAAAATTCAACACGGGTCTCACCTGGCTAAAATCAAGGTGTCAGCAAAGCTGCATTCCTTTCAGGAGGTTCCAGGTGAAAATCATTTTTCTTGCTTTTTTCAGCTTCTAAGTGGCTGCCTACATTCCTCAGATCGTGGCCTCCTTCATCCATCTTCAAAGCTAGCATCATTGCCTCTCTCTAATCAGACTTCCATTGTCACATTTCTCTTTGGTTCTTCTCTTCTGCCTCTCTCTTCTACTTTTTGTGATTACATTGGGCACACCTGCATAATCACGGCAATCTTCCCATCTTAAGATCCTTAAATTAATTACACCTGCAAAGGTGTAATTTTGCTACACCTTTTGCTATGTAAGGGAACATACGCACAGGTTCTGGGAATCAGGGTATGGACGTCTTTAGGGGTCATTATTCTGTCTACCACATAAAGTACACTTTATTTTGAATGGAAATGCTCTAAATGATTACTTGCTTCTCAGTTTATATTAGTATAGCCCAAACCATATGCCATATCTCATGATTTTATTCTTGTCATTTTGTTTTTGTACCCTAGGCTTATGCCTGACTTACAAGGCAAGTTAGATTTTGACTAAGAAATTTATTCCTTCTCAATTCTGTCTAGGATTTTGCAGTTGTTTTTCTCCTTAAACTATTGGGAGGTGGGATTGAAAAAGAGCCTGATAGCCAGAGGAGAAAACCCCAATCAATTTATTATTTCTCTATAAGTCCTGTGTGCATGAGATCTCCTTCATTAACCTGGCTCAGGACTGGTGTTGAAATGTCATTGCTGAGATGTGATTCTATGACCCTGAGGAATGAATTCAGTTTTGAGTTGGCAAGACCATCAGTGGCACTCACTGTCTATTTCTGGCATATTAAATCAAGATTTTCAGTGTGTCAGAATCTGTTATAACTTGGATTGAAATATGACAACCTGTCAAAAAATTTCCACAACTGATAACAGCCCCTTGAGGTTAATAGATAAAATTATATGATGGCATAATTTGTGTAACAGAATTCCTAAATTATTTGTCATAGATTCACAGGGGTGGGAGGGATTTTATAAATTTATAGTCCAGTATGACTGCACTGCTGTGTAATACTTGGTCTCTTACACTTGAAACATAATTACAAAAATATATTAAGACACTTTTCAAATAAATTCAATCTGATGAGAGTTTTTAGATAATCAACAATATGTGACATATACTGCTAGGTGCTATGGTGGGTATATTAGAGAAATAAGATATGGCTCCTACTCACAGTGAGTTTAAACGCTCGTTGCTGTAACATGATGTAAACACAGAAAATAACTGAAGAACGTAAGTCAATAGACTTTAGCCTGTTAGAGACCAGTGAACTCTGAAACTCAGTGGACTCTGAATACTGTGGGAAAGGCTGAAGCAATGTGTAGGGACGCAAATAAGGCACTGAAAAATAAGAAGCAAGACATTGTATGTGGATGGAGCTTTATGAGTAAAGTCCCCAAGATCAGAATGAGAATGTGATGCACAAAATACATTAAGGTTACTGAGCTGGAATAAAGGGGAGGAAGGTGTGAAATATAAGTCTGGGTAGCATTTGGGCATATCTATTTGTGCCTATAATCGTGTGTGTGTGTGTGCTTGTGTGTCTTTGCAACATACACAGCTCAGTGCTGTGGCATAGCCACAGAAAGTGTATAGTGCTAATGGAGACCGTAATAATGGGAGCTTTTATTGAGTGTGTGCTAGGCATTTACATGCAGTATCTTCTTTCATCCTCACAGCAACCATATGAAGTATTTTATTTTTATTTTATTTTTATTTTTTATTTATTTATTTATTTTGAGTCTCACTCTGTCGCCCAGGCTGGAGTGCAGTGGCGCGATCTCAGGTCACTGCAAGCTCTGCCTCCCGGGTTCTGGCCATTCTCCTGCCTCAGCCCCCTGAGTAGCTGGAACTACAGGTGCCCACCACCATGTCCTGCTAATTTTTTTGAATTTTTAGTAGAGATGGGGTTTCACCGTGTTAGCCAGGATGGTCTTGATCTCCTGACCTCGTGATCCTCCAGCCTTGGCCTCCCAAAGAGCTAGGATTAGTGAGCCACTAATCCTAGTGAGCCACTGAGCCTGGCCGAAGTATTTTTAATATCTTAGTTTTACAGGTGAAAAAGCTGAAGCTCAGAAATGAAGGAGCCCATGGTCACATGATCACACAGCCACTAACAAAGCTGGGCTTCAAATTCACTTTATTGGCCTTAGGAGAACCCATTTCCTCAAAACAGTGCTAATTATTGGCAATACAGCAATATAGTCTGCAGTGCTTTTTTGTTTGGTTGGTTCAGAGGCTTTTGGTAAAAGGGAATAATATCAACAAACTCAGGAAATGTTGTTGGTTCTTATATAATTTTCCTCAGAATGTTATTGGCTGGTAGCAATTAGGGGCAAACTCTCATAATTAAAGAGAAAACATTTTCCATATCTGATTATTTGAGTAAAAATTTGAAAATTCATCATAGATACCCTCCTTTAGTGCAAGAAGTGTCTCACTTTGCAGTTTCAAGAACAACTTCCTTTTTTACTAAGTTAAACTATCTTAAAAGATAGCATAGTGTAAATACCCTTTTGTACTTGGCGTTTTTAAAATTTTAACTCAACCATATATCTTAGAAATCACATTATATAAATTCATAGAGATCTTCCTCCTCCTCCTTTTCTTTTTTAAACAGATAGTGCTCCATTGTGTGAATAATGCATGGTGGTTGTTTTTAACCACTATTCTATATTTGGGCATCTATATTGTATCCAGTATTATGCAATTCAAAACCATGATGAAAGAAATAGCCTTCTGCATTCACATTTTTATATTGGGAGAGGTGTATCATTAGTGTAATTTCCTAGTTTTGATAGACATTGCCAATTCATCCTCCATAGAGTTGTATCAATTTGCATTTCCTCATATGTAAAAGTGTCTGTTTCCTAACTCACTAATAGAATGTGTTGTCAAGTTTTTAAACTTTGCCAATCTGATAAGTGATAAATAGTATCTCAGAGGAGCTTTATATTGCATTGCTCTTACCATGAGTGATATGAAACATCTTTTTCAAATGATTAAGATCTAATTTCTATCTTTTGGGGTAAATTATCTATTCATGTATTTTGCCCATGATTTGGATCTTTGTTCCTTCAATTTTTAAGATACACGCACACATACAGACACCTACACACACCTATATATAGGATGTATTCACATATATATAAATACATGCATATATATATGCAAGATTAGCTCTTTGTGATAAATGTCCCCAATATTTTCTACTAGTTTATTATAGGATCTGGATTTGTTTATGGTGTTTTCTGTCATGCAAAGCTATTTTCTAATGTTTATTTAATCAAATGAATCACTCTTTTATTGGCTCTTTTCTTTTATCTGGATTTTGAACTACCAAATAAGTTTTTATCTAAATATATCTTTGCCCCAGTGATTTGAGGTGCCACCTGAAATATATTCCACATTCCCACAGGTACTTGTCTGTTTCTGGAATTTCTTTTCTCTTCTACTGTTTTATCTGACTACTCATGTGCCAATGCCATGCTGTTTCAATAATAGATACTTTAATATGTATTTAATAACAGGTAAAATCCATCCTCATGCAGTTTTTATTTCACAGTGTTTTCCTAGCTATCTGTGCATGTTCATTTTTCCATATAAAATTTTATATCAACATATCTAGCTACAAAATAAAGATTGTTAAGGTTTTTTATACTAAATATTTTTACATTAAACTTATAAATTAGCTTAGGAGAACTAACATCTTTATACTATGGAATCTTCCTGCACAAGATAAAGAAATGTCTTTCCAATTGTTTATGTCTACTTCTATGGCCTTCAGGATGTATTTTAAAGTTTTTATAATATAGGTTTTGCATATTTCTTGTTAAGTATGTTCTTAAATTATTGAAAATGTGGTTTTCTCCACTACTATGTCCTCTACTTATTATTCGTGTATATGTAGGCTGTTAATTTCTGTATGTTTATTTTTTATCCTTTTACCTTACTTAATTCTTTCACTGTTATATGTCATTCTTTTATTATTTGATACACTAGGCTTTTCCACTTATTATCATATCATCCTTAAAAAGTGATACTCTTCTTTTTACCTGCATCTCTAATTCTTATGTCTCCAGTTGATTTCTTTTTTCTAAATGCATTGGCAAATGCCTCCCATAAAATGTTAAACAGTAGTGAAGATGGTGAGCATCTTTAACCTCTTCCTAATTTTGATAGAAATGCATCTCAGATCTTCCCATTAAGTAAGTTGCTGGTCTTAGGACTGAGGTATGTGATATATGCATGTATATATATTAGTGTTTTTTTCTTAAGGATGAAAGATGAATTTCATTAAAAGCTCTTTCAGCATGTAAACATATTATTATATGATGTTTCTCCTTGTGCTAATTTTTTATTTAGATTGTTATTTGTTGGGGCTCTGTTACAAAGTTCTATAGTAGAACTGAATTTTGAGCTTTGTATTAGAACAGAATCAATTCAAAATTCTTTCAATAAAGTAGTCTGGCCAATCCCAGGTTTTTCTATAAGTCCTCTATATTTTTAATGCATGTTTTTGCAGAGTGCTATAGTTTTCATAGGAGCCTTCAATTGATTCAGGGAAATTTTATGGAACATATAGGTATAGTTAATCTTAACTTTCAAATCTTATATGTATCTATGAACACTAGTTTTGCTTTACCTCTTGTCAAGGATTTTATTTTCCAGATTAGTAGCACCCAGAGAATTTGGTTATACAGCTATTCTTCAGAGTAAGTTATTTTCATTGATATTCCTGAAGTTGATCCAGGGCCTAATTCGTTAACTAAAATGGTGATGCTTTGCCAGGTAATATTGCACATAATGAGAGAAAGAGACAAAGGGACAGAGAGAGGGAGAGAGAGAAGCAAAGGTGTATAAAGCAAAGGTGTTTAAAATGTAATTAACATAAAAATTTCCCAACTATTGATCTTCTAGTGGATTAGGACCAATGTACCATTTTTGAGGTGAATTGCTTTTGTCTGTGACATATATAAATACTTTTAGATACTTGTTAGCAAGCTTTTTCCATGTACCGGGGATACTCAATACCCAGAAATTCACTCATTTTTAGCTATGATGAGATTACTGCTTTTCACCCTTGGCCCATGATCAACTCTCAATTTCAGAGAAAGAGTGGGAAGCACAAACATCCCTCAACATTGCGGTCCACTGTGGTCTAGCATTTCTCAGGTCCTGGGAGCTAGTCCTGCTCCATTCCTCTGGAAGTGGAGGGACCTGAACATGAGAATATGAGGAGGTCACCTCTCTCTTGGCATCATTATGGGCATTTTCTCTTCCCCCAATGAAAAGAATGGAAAATCAATCAGAGGACCTGGGCATTATAATAGTTTACCTGTAGCATGTTTTAGAGGTTATCAACTACTCACAAATGCATTATCTCATTAAGTAGAATGCTTCAACACTTCTGGCGGCAGTCAGGACAGGTAGTTTCATGTACACTTCTGAAAATAAATAGCTGTATCTTAAAGAGGTGAAGGACGGAGATAGGATGAGAAACTGTGTGAAGTGACTAAGCTTTTTTTTCTCACTAACGCTTTCTGTCTCTTGAGGCTTTTGCAATATTTGACTTCAGTTCTTCAATTTATAAAGTTGACTGATTGGGAGGGTGGGGAAGATTCGATGATTTATACTGTTTTACCACCTCTAAAACTCTGTGTTTCTCATAATCACATAAACACGCAATACACACACACTTCTCATGAATTCCCCATCCTCTCTATTTGAGCTATAGTCATCCTTTGGTATCCTCCAGGGATTGGTTCCAGGACCCCCATACCAAAATTTAAGACTGCTCAAGTCCCTGATATAAAATGACATAGTATTTGCATATAACTTATGCACATCCTCCCCTGTACTTTAAATCATCTCTGGATTACATATAATGCCTAGTACAATGTAAATGCTACGGAAATACTTCTTATACTGTATTGTTTCAAAATTTGTATTACTATTATTGTTGTTATTTTATTTATTTATTTTAGAATATTTTTGCTCCTCAGTTTGTTAAATTCAAGGATGTAGAACTTGCGGATATGGAGGGCTGACTGTACTATCCTTGAGCTCAAACTCTTATAATTTCTCACTTCAAATACTTTAATGATCTCCCAATTAACCCCTGTAATCTCTACTTTAGCCCCATATAATCTGTCTTCCTTGCTTACAGCCAAAATATTGGCTTTTAAAAGCCTAGATATGATCATGTCATTCTGAAGCCCAACCCCTAACTGGCTCATTGTCTTCTGTGCAAACCCAAGTTCTTTAGCTTGGTGAACCAGGCTGTCCTTGTCTTACTTCTCCTCTTCTCTGAAACTCTAGCTCTGCAGATCACTGTGCGTTTCCTTAGCAGGACAACCTGTGTGTAATGTCTCCATGCCTCTGCTGTGCCACCTCCCTGAGACTAGCACCTACCTGTGCACTGTGCGATGTTCACTCATCTTAAAGACTCAGCTGGTGCCCCTTCTTAGAAGTTTTTTCTTCTGCTCCCCTATTCAGGTAGAATAGATTATTCAACCTCTATGCTTCCATTCTGCCCCAACCAGAATTTGAATTCACTTATAGTATTTTATAGCATGTATTTCTTAATATGTTTCTCTTTAGGACTAGTTTATTTTTTTCTTTATCCTTAAAGTCTAGCACTGTCCCTGACATGTAAAATTGGAGCTCAAAAATTTCCTTAAAATAAATTCAGCCTTTGTTACCTGGTCTCCCTTTATATCAAAGGTAGGCATTTCTGAATGGACTTGCCAGAACAAGAAATAAAATCTTCAGTTTGGGAGTAAGAGAGAGGGTTGGATCAGAGTGTTTGAGCCCATGATGAGTCTGATCTCACTGTACACTTAATAGTAACACTTTTTGATTGGTTCATAGATATTAGACTATTCCATGAGTATGTGAAATGCTAGCTTTAACTCTATATTCAAGAATATTATTAGGGTTAACAATAGAAAAATAATAGTAAATAGTTATATAGCGATTGCTATATACCAGGTGTTTTTCTTAGTACTTTGCATATTTTGGATTATTTTATCCGTGTAACAACCCCATGATATTATTTACTGGCTATTATTATGCTGGTTTTTGTGGATAAGAAAAACAAAGCACAGAGAAATTAAGTACCTTGCCAATGGTCACACAGCCAGTGAGCAGCAGAGCTGAGATGTGAATGCTGGTGATTTGGCCCCAGAGTCTGTGCATTCCCCACTGCATTCTATGCCTTTCCAGTAGGCCACATATACACCAAAGGCAAATAATGACAATGATAATTGACTCACAGAGTCCTGAGAATTAAATAAGAGAGCATTTGTGCAAATTCCAGAGCAGGGCTTGTTATGCTGTTGGTGCTCAGTAAACTACTGATGAATTTTAAGGAAGACACTAAACTCACAGTTCTGTAGATCAATCACAGATATGACAATGCACTTAATTATGACGAACAGCACTTAATCATGAAATCTTAATTTCCTTAACTTTAGCCAATCTGAATACTAACTTATTTAGTCCAACACTCTCACGAAATTCGTGGATTTGTTAGATCAGTCTAAATAAATAAGTTTATTTTGCCCCAATACATGTTGCAGTTACATAACTGCAACATTTATTTTAAATTATTTACTGCATTTGAAACTCATTATTGTTCAGCAAGAAATGGAGCAAAGGTAAGTATGTAAAGGGTCTAAGAAGAATCTTAATGGCAATATAAAGCTGAATAGCAGAGGAACAGAGAGTAGCAAGGGAGAGATACAGACAAATATAGCCCTGGCCCATGTTATTCTTCAAACCAAGGGGAGGAATGGAGGAAGATGGACCCACTATTAACCTCACAACTCCGTGGATCCTCTCTACTAGGCCCTTCAGTCACAATTGGATGTCATTAAAATCAGAGAGCTCACCCAGCCGGCATAGGGCAGAATAACAATCATTTGCTTATATTCAGAAATTTCTGGAATATAGAGAATCTCCTTTCTTGTTACTGAAGTTCTCATCTTTTAGAAATAAGAAGAATAGAAAATGAATTCTTGCTTATCCAATCTGTAACTGAAGAAATAGATAAAGGGAGGGAATAAGTCAGGGAGGTTTCCCTTCCTCACCCTAGGTGCACATTTACTGAAAAATTTATCTCTGACCATGAGCCAGTGCTGCAGATCCCCATGTGGGAGATGCCTTCAATTCATTTAAATTTGTCAGGCTGAAGAATCTTAGTGGTTTTTATAGCTGTGGAGGAAAAGCAATGGATCTTTATTTTTCTGCTACTCTAAGTAGGCTTATATATGGAGAAAAACAGATTTGAGGGAAAAAAATCCAAAGTGCACAAATTTTATTTATTTTGGACAGAGTACAGATGCCTTAAGATTAAAATATAATCTCAATGTTTGACAGTGTGTATATGTGTAACAATCATTCACTCTGTGAATGAAAAGTAGAATTTTATTTGAAGGGCTGTTAGAAATTGTTCATAGATGTCCTGCTTAGCATATGTTCTTGTAAAATCAAATTAGGAGAAGCAATAAGTTTCCATTTTTTGACATCAGGGCACTTAAAAATAAATGAGACTTTATTTCATCATTTTTACACAACTTTTGCCTGTCTGAGGTTGTCCTCATCTGTGTTTCGTCCTTGGTAGTTTTTGGTCTAGTTTGAAGCATCCGTGGCTTTTTCCTACCACCTTCCATTAGAGCCAATTCCACAGCCCAATAGACTGTTAAGAAAGTTTGAGGGGTTTTTTATGTATGGTTTGTTTCCCTGAAATTCTTCTTTTTTTTTTTAACTTAACAGTATTTCTCCATCCAGTTATATCTCCCTTTAGTTATGCTTTAGTTATGCCTAAATAATTCTTTCTCCACTTAAGTTTTCATGCCCTTAGGATATTTTAAGCAATCATCATGTCTCTCATCAGCTATGCTTTTAAGCTCGAAATGGCAGCCTTATTTACAGATGATGCTATTTGAAATCTAGTGTTTGTAAATAGAAGTTGGTGATGGTAAGGCTGCTAAAGCACTGGGGAAAGAAAGCTTTTATTTATTTTCATTTACTTATTTGCTCTGCGGAAGGAAAAAAGGACAGAAAAAGTATTTGCTCTGAAAACTGAAGAAGAAAATGTTTGGCTCAGTTCATTCTTTCTGTAATTCCATGGGAATTTTATCACAGAGGAAGAAACTAGCCCTGTCGTATTTCTTTATGAAACACTATTCTATGTGTATTTTTAAATAATAACTAAAAATACTCTTCAGAGAATGTTAGAAATAATTCATAAAAAGATCTTAGTGCATCTGAGAGGTGTACGAATTAAGAAAAAAGAAATAGCTGTGTATGTGTGTGTGTATATATGTACGTGTATATTTCTGTAAAGTTAAATTTCATATCAGATTAAATTACTTACATGACTGTTACAATAAACTTTGAGTGATTTACATGTGTTAAGCACTGAAGTGAAAGAAATATGAAAGTCCGGGACCCTGACCTTCAAAAGGATACTGCATAAGAAATGAAAACAGGTAAAGAGATAATAAGGATGCAAATATAATAAGTTCTAAAATAAATGCTTATTTATTGCACAAAAATTTCATTATCCTATAGGTAAAATTAAAAATTCCAAGGAAATAGAATAATTATCAGTCCCACTAATCTACTTTTAAAATTTGGATAGTTACACATTAGGCTTTCTTAAAGAGGGAAGGTAATGAATTTGTTCAGAGGCATTCAGTTGCAGTTTGTGCAACAATCTCATGTTGCATTAAACTGAGTTTGGTGTTATGACAACCAAGTAACCTATATATAGAAACAACCCATTGAAAATGTGAGCAATATTTAGGATTATGTTTACCATACTCCATTCAGATAATCCTGTTTTTAAAGGCTAGATGTTTAAGATACCTATGCCCACTCCAATTACTTTTTTCAATGTCCGACCAAAATCTGGTTGTTTTGCCTCTGGCTTGAGCTGACAATTTGTAGGTAAATTATTAATTGATTGACTGGATTATCACAAGATGAATAGGACTCAGCATTAAGTTAATTAAAAATAATAGGAAGAAAAAATAGTTGGCCTACTTACTTTGACATCTATGCATCTAAATCAAAATAATATTTAAATGAACAGTACTTAGTCACTATGCCGTTTACCAAATTGAAAAAATATATACATTTTATATGATATAATAGAACCATAATTTCAGCCCAGTTCAGTCCAAAATAATAGCAAACTAAATATCAGCTTTCAAGATGTTTTTACAGATAATATTTTCACAGGCTCAGAGCACTATTTAAGCACTAAGACATCTAGGAAAAAAGTTAGATTCACTTTAATCTGTTTTTCCAAAAATAAGGGAAATTTCCAATCAAATTATTTAATTAAAGGTCTTCATGATTAAGAGCATTTGGAACATATAAAGTTAAAAAATAAATTTAAAGCTTTGGAAGAGGATGTTTAAGACTAGGTTAGGCTATTGCTATCCTTGGACTGATTCTTTAGAATATAGTAAGGAAGTGTTCTAAGGTCAGTTTGGGGAATCAAGAACAATGTAAATAGGTTTTGTGTCTAAGTTTCTCATCTTAAATAATGAGAATAGCAGTTCACATTTGCAGGATTGGGCCAAGGATATAAAGTATAATATGTATGCGGATGCTAGCACATAATAAACTCTCAATAAACAGTAGCTATAATAATCAGAAATATTTTTCTCAGGTACAATTGTTTGCTTGTTTCTGTAGCCCAGTTTCCTGCTCCACATCATAAAACTCAGTGCCATATAAAAATGACTGTAAATTCATATGAGAGGGGAAAGCCTGTAGGAAAACTGCTGAGAGGTGGACTCTCCTACTGTCAGCATTTACAGTCACCCTAATCCATACAGAAAACCCAGATACAAGTACCAAGAATGGGCAGAAAATGGAGTGAGGGAGGCAGACACCAGGGGGCTTGTAGTGCTTCTCCCTACCTGGTGCACTTGCCTGGCTCTAACAGAAACCTTTATGGTGCCTCACACACATCTTCCCTGCCATCGCCGGAAGCTCTACTGTGAGGACAAAAGTGTCCTGTGGTAGCTAGACCATCACTCAGCTGCTGCCATAATTAGTCACCTACAGCAGATTCCAGAATTCTCTGCTCCAGGATTCGGGGGATATGTTGTTAGACTCTTTGAGCCTGGAGGCAATTAGCAGGAGACCAGAAAAAATGAAGAGGATCGCAATCAAATTGTAAAAGCTGAAACCAGCCAGAAATGTGAGGTTGAACGTGATATTTTTGAAAGAGAAAAATATATAATATAATAAGAAACTGTCTCACTTGTCTCCTTTTTCTCAAAAATTATGAATAAGTGTGTAATAAAAAGTATTGGTTTTTACTTCACCATTCAGTCCTGTTACAGACTGTGTAGCCCCCTTGCACTATTTAAAAAATAACAACAACTTATCACTGAATTTCTGGATATAAAAATAATAAATATTTAATAAAAAGGGCTAGTAACTGACTAGTCCTGAAGTTAGATTTTGTGCAAAAATAATAATAATCTTTTCTTGGTTTTGATCTCTTAAATTTTACTTTAATTTTCTCAATGAAATGAAGATAGACAATAAGAGAAGAAAATAATTATAATTGAAGAAAAAATATTATATTTTATTTTTTGAGTTAAAGTATGTTACTTTCACTTACAATTCCATATGAACCTTCTTCCACACCCAATCCATTTACATATTTTTTTTCTATAGTAAAAAGAAAGTGATAAATACAACTGAAAGGTGGGCTAATTATCTCACATGGAAGATGGGTGGGAGTACACAGGTAGGCACAACACACAACAGTACACACAGAGCATCCATTATAACGCTGGCTTCTTTTGAAAAAGTACTAGTCACGAAAAGAGTAAATAGCATAGAGTGGGTTCTGCCCTTCGTGGCTGTGATTAGAGTCCTAATGCTGTGTTGCCTTAAAGCGTGCCAATTTCATTTCTACATTGAAATACGCTTTAGAGGACAGAAAGAAAGCTGATTATTTAATCAAAGGAAGGGGGAAAGCCAAAATAATCCACTGTATCTCATGAAGGGGTGGGAGAGGGGGGAGGAAAACCTTCTGAAAGCATTATACTAAAGACGCTTCTTTATTTTAAGTAACAAATAAAATAGCAAAACATTTTTTCCCATCATAAAAACTGACTTTGGTCCCCAGTACAGCCATTGAGTGGAAAATTGAACCACAATATAATTGCTTTCCCTGTGACCGATAAAGTGGTGTAACAAATTTTGTGTTTGAATGATAAAATCAGCAATCGGCCCCTAGCATTTCCCTCTGCCATTCCTCCAAGGACACTCAAGTCCCATCAGGCTTCAGGGCAAGAGAAAGGGTGGAGGAACTAACTGTAAATCTACTCCAAGTTGTTGCTGTATTTCTCTTGCTTGCTTGCTTGCTTAAAAAATTTAAAAAAAAAAAGCAATAAAAATGTCTATGTTTGCCTTTAAATACCTAATATAAATCACTTCCGAACGTGGGGAAAAATCCACCCTTCAATGAAAACTGATTACTGATGTAGAAAAAATCTGAAGCCATACTGAGAAAAATTATTTTACTCAAGAGTAAAATCTTGTTAGAATGGGGAAATTGTCTTAACAGTCCCAGCGACAAATGACACAGCTGTTTGATACAGAGGCAGCAGCCAGAAAGATGCTGTCCATAGGAAGGAAAACAGGCTGCATTTGTGTGCTCATTATGACAGGATTTAACTGCAAAAAGATCCAGCATGTTCAGTGGAGAAGCACGCAGAGCTTGTCCATCACAGCAGCTGACTTTCTCAGACCATTTGGGATAATGGTCTTAAATGGCAGTGACGATGGTAAAGTTCTGCATAACTCCCCTCAATTTTTTCTTTTTTGGCCTATTCTCTAAAGGAGGGTAAATTCCAAGTTTCAGGCAGAGCTGCTTGATTATGGTATTATTGTACCTGGTATAAGGAAAGATAAGAGGAAAAAAGGAGCAAGATCCCACTGAAGTGATGCTAAGTCCAGCAGGTGTTTATATGGGAGCTCATGCTGCACTAAAACATTTGGTTTGCAAACCTGGACCCAGGTTTGGTCCTCTGCAGCTACTCACTGAAGTTCATTTAGGAGAGTTTATTTCTTGGGTAGTGCTTCTGTTTTGACCTGGAGATATGGGAACATGCAGAGACTTTGATAATGAGAAATATTTTGAAATAATGTTTAATCACATAAATAATGAAAAATATTTTGAAAGATCAACTTCTTCAAACTTTGCAGAAGCTCTTAGTTCTATTTGGTGAGGAATATCTATCTGCCACTCATATAAGAATACAGTCCCTGAAAGCAGGCAGCCAGCCTCCAAAGCGTTTGGTGCCTGATCTAACAGGGAATCATAAATAGGCAACAATATGAGTAGTTTTGGAAAAATTATTTTATAGTTTTCTGTGCTTTACAAATTTCTTCAATGAGTAAAACTTTTGTTTCATCTCTTACATAATCTTAAGGACTTCTTAAGGTGATTTCTTAACTTTAATGTTGGAAATTTTTAACATGAATAAAAATAGAACAGTATCATGATCCTGATGTGCCAATTACCCACTTCAACAGTTGGAACTCATGTCTGGGCTTGTTTCAGGAACACCCCCACTCCTCAGATTATTTTGAAGGAAAACCAAGACACACTATTGCTTCATATGTAAATATTCCCAAATGTATATTTCTAAGAGGCAAGGACTAAAAATATGAACATAGTTTTATTGTTACACATAAAATAATTGACAATAAATAATTTCTTCTTTTCACCAATATTTAGTCATGGTATTATTTAATATGTTCTCTGTCCCTTATAGTTTCTGTAAATTTGTAATTGTATAATACAACTCATTAACAGTCTGTTTGCTTGCCATATATTATTGTTGGTTGGTATATCTCTTCACTCTTTTAAAAGTTCCTTTTTAATTTTTTAGAGTTTTCAATAAATTTAATAAATTGTTTTGTGAGTTTCTTGCCATTTGGAGTTTGTTGAGTGCATGCTCACAGTATTGTTGAATATGCCTTGTATTTCCTATAAATCCATGATTAGATCTAGAAGCTTGATCATTTTAGATTGGATTGTTTGGAGGGCAGGAGGAGCAACATGACTTCCCGGGTGTATTTCCATCAGGAGATACTTAGTCTATTTTTGTGGGATCAAAATAGCCACTAATGATCATCACTTCTCTAAGTGTTACCAAATTTGATATTTTAAATATATTAAAAATAGAAATATAGCAGTGAATCTCCATTAACTGATTTCCACTAAAAGAGTGGTAATGCTAAGAGAAGGCCAAACTGGGGAGGATTCAGGAGAAACTGGTTTAGGGTCAGTCTGGTCTTTGTTCCTCTAATCTGTAAAATGAGAAGATTCTTTTCTAAGGACTGTCTAGAACCTAAAACTGTAAAAGTACTTGTTTTACTGTAAGAGGTACATATGGCACACCTGGCACCCTCTCATATTGGAGAGGACCACTTACCTCTGAAATATGATAAACCATTAGGAAGCAGACTGGGCTTTTACCCAAGTTCTCTTAGTGGATGAGGGGAAACAGCCACATCTACATGGTTATTGTTTAAGTGAGCAGATTGAATTGTGAACTGAATCCAGACTCTGGTGAAATCCAGTATTTAAAATGTGCAATTCAATACTGATACTAAATTAGAATTTTCAAAAAGAATTATTGATAATGATGCAGGTTAGTGGTTAGAGCCCAAACTGTAGCTCATAATAACTCCAGATTTGAATATCCAAACTGTAAGACCCTACAAGCTAAATAGAATTGATGATATCTGCCTCGCTGAATGTTATGACCTGAATGTTTGTGTCCTTGGAAAATGCATGTTAAAATTCTAGCCATCAAATTGATACTTTTCAGAGGTGGGGCCTTTGGACAGTTATTAGGCCATGATGATAGAGCCCTCAGGAATAGGATAATGTCCCTATAAAAAAGGTGCAGGAGAGACCCCGCCTCCCTTCTACCATGTGAAGACACAACAAGAAGATGCCATCTATGAGCCAGAAAGCAAGCCTTCATCAGATACCAAATCTTCTTCTTGGTCTCCAGACTGTGAGAAATGAATGTCTGTTGTTTATGAGCCACCCAGTCTAAGCTATTCTGTTATAAAAGTCCGAATGTACTAAGACATGAATATTGCAAAAATTCGATGCAAAAGAATGTGGCTGAAGCAACTACATCAGTGAGTGCCTGGCACTTAGAAAGTACTTCATAAATAGTCATTATTATTGATAATTATAAGCATAGTAGTCTACAACATGATTGCATGAACATTTTGCAATATAGGTGGTCAACCTTGAGCTTTTCTAACTGAAAGTTTGGTGAATATACAATATTGCCTGTCATATTAGAATATTCATAATTACCCTCCTGTGTGTGAAAAAGAAATCTGTTGTTTTCTATTCTTACTTTAGTTCTGCAATTAGGCTGTCCCAAAGCCTTGCTATCCCCAAACAAAAGGGCAGATGAAAAGCAGTGTAATCCGTGGGAAAGCATGTGTCATCTGCCTTTCGTTAGGTGTCCAGGCTTTCACCCTTGTCGCCTCCAGACTATACAGTAGACAGAATGATTCTTTAAAACATATCAGATTATGTTGACTCTCTGTTCAAATCCTCTACTGGCCCACTGTAGTGGTCCCTCCAAAAACATGTCCATATACTGATGCCTGGAACATGTTACTGTGACCTCATTTGGAAAACAGATCTTCATGGATGTAATTAAGGACTACATGATGAGATCACTGTGGGTTTAGAGTGAACTCTGAATCTAATGACAGATGTTCTTAGAAAAGCAAAGAAAGATTTGGAAGATGCAGAGAAGAAGGTGATGTAAAGACAAAGGCAGAGATCTGAGTGATGGAATGCATCTGCTGGTTTCTCTGAACATCGTAGAAAGTGACTTTTTGGCTCATAGTATCCCTAGTTCCATTTCCCTCCTTTCACAACATTGTCAAACACCAACTGCAAACCTTCTCTACTGGCCTTTCCCCAGAGACTCACCCACACCCCCCTGAGGCAAGTATGCCAAGGAATACCAAGGATTGCCAGCAGCCCCCAGAGGCTTAGAGAGAAGCATGGAACAGATTTGCCCTCACAGCCTCCAGAGGAAACCAACCCTGCTGACAACTTCAGTTAAGATTTCTGGCCTCCAGAACTGTGAGGGAATATATTTCTGTCATTTCAAGCCACTGGCTTGTGATAATTTGTTACAACAACCATAGGAAACTAATATGTACCTACACAGTTCTTTCCACAAGGATCCACGTGGTCTGGCTCAGTCTGTCTGTTGGCCGCTGTTTCTCTCTGGCTCTGCACCAGTCACTCTGACCTTGCTGTTATTTGGCCGTGCTGGATTTGTTGCCATCTCAAGCCTCTGAACTTCCCCTCTAGAATGCACTGCACCCAGATCTTCACCGGACTGGCTTCCTCTTTTCATTCAGATCCCTGTTAAATACTAGGCCTCAGGGAGATCCTCCCTCATCATCCTCCTTAAAACAGCCACTTTATTTCCTTATACCATCACTTGCTATTACTTGCACTGCTTTAGTTTTCTTAACAGTGCTTACAACCTCCTGTCGATATACCAGCATTTCCTCATTTCTTAGTTTATCTCATCCCATTAGAATTTTAGACTCCATGGAAACAGGAAGTTTTTCTCTTGTTCAGCACTCCATCTTCAACACATAGAGTAATGTTGGAGCCATAGTAGGCATGTAATTAATATCTGTTGAATAAATTATTTAACCTGAAATCTAGAAAAATAGGTAATGATTGACATGGGCATAATTACATTTTGTAGGAAATGCATCTGTGGGCCGTATCTCAAGGCTCACATTGTCAAAGATCTCAGAACTACATTGAAATAATTGTCATTGGAAAATAACCTGATTCTCTAAAACTGGGTTTGGGAAACCAGTTTTCAAAAGGAAAATCTGACAAGTTTGCATGCAGGACTAGAGTGGTGTGGAAAGGCTCCTTGCAAAGAATGCCTTGATTTTTTTCCATCAGGTTCCCTCCTGGGCAGTCTCACAGAACACTGGGTAGCTGTGGTTTACCTGCCTCACATGTATCTGAGGGATCCTCTGAGGAAAGATGAGTAGAGAAGGTTTGCAGTTGATGTTTGACAACATGGTAGAAGGAAAGAGATGGGACTAGGGATACTATGAGCCACAAAGTCACTTTCTGTGGTATCCAAAGAACCATGCAGATGCTTTGACAGTTTAGTCACCTCTGATTTAAGTTTACAAAGGATATAGTGCTTTGAGAGTCACCTTACAGACCGACCACTCAATGCTTGGAGTATTGGAGAACAGTATTGCACAGTTTGAGTTGCTAAACCCCCACTAAGGTTTTAGCCACCAAGAAAAGACAATGGAAGTATTTAGAAATATAGTTAACTTTAAAGATGCTGACAACTGCTATTAGAAACCGCATTACCTTTTAAGTAATTAAGAACTTGAGCCAAGAAACTGGAGGCAAAGTTAAGATAAATGGCAGTGCACCCAGCTGGGCAAGGTGCCTGGTGGGGGACCACAGGGAACAGGCAGAGCTGTGGTTAGTGCTATTTAACATTTTTATTTATAGTCCTGTTGAGGGAACTACAAACACATGTTATACACATGCAGATGCTACTGAATTCAGAGTCATTATAAATCAAAGGGAGGACAGAGAAATGAGAGCAATGGGCAGGCAAAGAGAAAATGAAGGTCCCTCTTGGAAGATCTACAAGAGGAAACAGACGAAACACTGGAAGCAGTAGTGCTGAAAAGAAAGTCCAAGAAGTAATTCAAGAATGAAGGATTTACATTTCATGTCAAGTTCTAAAAAGGCTAATATGGGCTACCAGGAGCTCTAAAATCCCCATGTCACATAGAATATGAGTCTTAAAATGCAAGACAGTGGAGAGAAATGGAAAACTTTCTGAATTTGTCTCCAGCCCACGGATGAGGGTAAGAGGAGGCCAGCTGGCTTTTTCCAGGTTTCTCACCCTATTAGGATCCTCAAAAGACAAAAACTTGTAGGATTCTTTGATGTCAGGTTAGCCCAATTCCAAAGGGTTTGACAAAGTCACATTTATCAAATTCTCCCTTTGATCAACTCAGTTGCCCCAATTCAGAGTTGTCTAACATGGTTTTTATGGAGGCGAAAAGAAACAGACCCTTTTATTATTATTACAACAGAAGCATGGAACTTTCTACCTCACAATTGAATTTTTAAAAAACTAAGTTTGGTACTTACCAGACGGAAGAAAAAGAGGGACAGGAGAAATAATAAAATAAAATAAAGAAGGGGTGCAAAGGAGTACAAGTGTATGAGCCCCAGATCACAATTTCAGGATAGTGATGAGAAGATTCGAGGGGTTTTTTCATGTCTGGTGAGGGTATTCCAATCCCAATTAATGAGAGTTTCTCAGCTTTAGCACTGCTAACATTTTCAGGCATATAATTGGGGTGTGCATGCCCTGTGCATTGTAGAATGTTTAGCAGCATCCCCAGCTTCTACCCAGGGGATGCCAGTAGCATATCCCACCCCTGGTCATGGCAACCCAAAATATCTTCAGACATTGCTAAATGTCCCTTGGGGGCAACCACCCTGTACCTCTCCAATTCAGAACCACTGAACTAGATGGATGGATTCAGGAGGAGAAACATCCTCCAAATTGGGAAGTATTTTTATGGATTTCTAACAGAAAGATCATACCTTTTCTCTACATCTCTATGTAGACTCTATACAGACTTGGGTTGCATAGCCTTTGAAGTTTCAGAAAGGATATAAAGATATTTGGCTAAGTCACTGAGTTTGAGATGTTCCTTTCATTTTATCCCAGACAGGCACTGAAATCTGGGACACTCAATTTACCATACAAGATTTCAGGATCCACTCACAGCTTTAAGGCTTCTAAACTTCTGGCCCTGGGTTGACCCATATTAGGGGGTTGACATATAAGAGGAGGCACATGATGACTTCCATTGATCCATCCTTCTCAGGGCAGACTGTTTCTCTGTCCCCTGAGACTTGCTTCTGCTGAGCCCATGCCTGATTTTGAAAAGTAAGGTGGCTGGGTTGTAGCCTGACCAGCTTTATGTAAAACCAGCAAATCCCTAAAGCAGGGAACACGTCACCATTAGTGAGCTCCCATGGTCTAAGTTTGGAAGCTCCCGACCTGTGCTGTTAGAAAACATGATCAGATGGAATCAGAATCACTGCAGGTACTAACTTTATAAAGCAGGCTTACAAAAGCACATTGGAGGGTTTTATATATTGATTAAGCAGAATAATATTAATATGATTTTTGCCTCTAGCCCACATCTTTCTTCTGAATATTTCCACCTAGAATTGAGAAAGTTTCTCTGATTCCAGCTGAATACTAATGCCATAAATTTCGTGATGACCATTTGACCTATGTCTTTTCTTTCTTTCTCTCTTCTGCACCTCCCCTCTTCCCCCTGTTCCTCCAGAGAAAACAGCTTTCCAGGTTTCACTGTGGGGCTCACGTGTCTCCTCGGCTCACCATTGAGGCAGTGACTGATGGTTTGCAGTGCTGCCTCCCTTGACCTCGTCAACATCAGAAACTGCTCTCAAATCTCAGTCATCTCTGACAGCCTTTGAGCAGAGAAATGAGACAGTCTCCCTGACACAAAGGCTTCTGGCCTGGGGTAAAAAATTCCTTTTGGAAAAAAAAATTCGAACACTCTACAGACCACACTGCTTTCCATTTATCTTGCAGTCTGGCCCATCCATCCCCAACTCCACATTAGCTTTCAGACATTATAGACTTTTTCTATTTCTTGGAGGCTAGCCACAGTAGGTGAGATATTTTTACATAGTAATAGGTTTATTCCTGGCATCGCTTTCAGAGCCAAGAAGAAAGCTGGTCAGTTTATGTAATAGCAGTTGGTTAATTTTAACTTTTGATTAGCAAAACAAGGGTTAATCTTATTTCTCAGTATAACAACTAGTAGTTAATCCAAATAATATGAAGAAAATGGAATGACAGAACTGAGAATTAATACAAAGAACAACCAGTCTCATTCAATCAGAATGACATTCTAGAATCTTTTGAGTGAGGATAGAATATGTAAATAGAGGCAATGTATGTGATCTGAAAATTAAAGCAAATGAAAAAGAAGTAAATATTGATTCTAATTTTTTCTCAGAGTGGTAGTAAACTGTCTTGATATATTTAGGCTCCATTTTCTTAACCTCAGAATGGAATAAAATACCTGTTTCCTCCAGTATTCAGCCTCAGTGCATTCATGTTAAGAATGCCAAGTCTTTCAGATCATAAGAAAAAAGGATACGTAAACATAATTTATTTTCCTTTGGGTTCTTCCTCAGTCAGCCAGGCTTATATAATACTATGCAGTGGCATAGGTGGCTAGCTGCCCTCTAGGGCAAATAAAACTATAGGTGTAGAGTTGTTTCCAGGAAGCAGTTGCCCTGCAAGGGTATCACTTGTGCCTAGGTGGGATCAAGTGACTAATTTCTGATTAATAGAAGGTTAGTGGCAGTGATGAACACCATTTTAAGGCTTGACACATAAAAACTTTCTGGCAGGGTTGTCAAATGTAGCAAATATAAAACATGGGATGTCCAGTTAACTTACATTTCAGGTAATTAAATACCACACAAATCTACTATAAATTATTCATTGTTTATTTGAAAATCAAATTTAAGTGGGCACCCTGTATTTCATCTGGAAACTCTACTTCCTATGCAAGAACCTCTCTCCCCTCTCCTGATGTCTGTTCCCAGGGAGATTTTGGAAGCCTTGTTGAATTTGAAGAGCCTCCATCTGTCTGGGCCCCTGACTGGTTGTGTGGAGCACAGCCCAGCTCCTGCCACAGATTAGATTTTATGCAAGCAAGAAATCCACTCATATTGTGTTAAGTCACAAAGATTTCAGCATCATCTCTTTTAGCATATGTTAACCAATAAGCATGCCACTCTCAAACAGAGAAACTTTCTTTTCATGTTACTGACTTATGGGTGGATCTCAGAGTAAAGTTCAAAGGGACTGAGAGGCCATCTTGT
This sequence comes from Homo sapiens, assembly GCF_000001405.40. Lineage (NCBI taxonomy): Eukaryota > Metazoa > Chordata > Mammalia > Primates > Hominidae > Homo > Homo sapiens. The sequence continues at coordinate 51,270,308 of NC_000006.12, forward strand.
CTAAGCCAACATTTTTATAGAAAAGGAAACTGAGTTCTAGACACAGGAAATGACATGGCCACAGTCTATTCATTATGACAGAGCCAGGACTGGAACCCCCTTTTCTGTCTCTCCATTTGATCTTATTCTTACCTGACTACAATGACTTTCTTGTGTATGATCTGTTTACTACTAAATAACAGACATGCACCAAGCCCACAATTATTAGTGATAGTATAAATTTTCAGATGGTTCTCTGTTCCTCATATGGCTTGTTATTTATGTGGGAAGAAGGGTGTCTATGACGGCAATTAACCATGACACATGTTATATTTTTAAAAAATGGCCGATGGAGACAATATCTAGAGCAAATGTTGCTAGTATTCAGAAGACAACAGCATTTTGGAGAGGAATGCTTGGTGGAGATTATTGAACTAGAATGATGCCTTACAAGAAGCACAACATTTAGACCAGTGGAGAGGTCTGGTTACAGAGGGCATTCCAGGCATAGGGAATGGAGAAAGTTAATAGCTTAGGAGGAGATATTCACAAAATGAGACATGAGCAATTAATGTCCCAGTGTTTTGTCCCTTAGATGGCAAGTGGCCAAGTAAGGCTATACAAATGAATATGATCTCCTTGGAATTACTGGGACAGACATTTGAACTGAAAAACTAGGAGGTTTTTGCACTCTCAGGCTCAAAACATCTCGGCTAAAAACCCTTTAATAAATCATTTGCTAATGATTTATTAGCATGTGTGCTATAGTCCCAGCTACTTTAGAGTCTGAGGCAGGAGGATTACTTGAGCCTAGGAGTCCGAGTCTGTAGTGTGCCGTAATTGCACCTATAAATAGCCACTGCATTCCAGCCTATGCAACATAGTGAGTCTGAAAATGTATCCATGCCAAATCTCATGTTGAATTGTAATCCCCAGTGTTGGAGGTGGAGCTTGTGAGAAGTGTTTGGGTCATGGGGGTGGATCACTTATGGCTTGGTGCTGTCCTAGAGATAGTAGTGAGTTCTTGCAAGATCTGGTTGTTTAAGTGTGTGGCACCTTCCTACCACACTCTCTCTGTTGCTTCTGCTCCAGCCATGTGATGTGCCTGCTCCCATTCGTCTTCTGCTGTGAATAAAAGTTCCCCAAAGCATTCCCAGAAGCTGAGCAGATGCTGGTGCCATGCTTGTACAGCCTGCTAAACGACGAGCCAATTAAACCTCTTTTCTTTATAAATTATCAAGTCTCAGGTATTTCTTTATAGGAATGTAAGAACAGCCTAATACAGTCTCCATCTCTTAAAAAAAAAGTAGAGAGAGAGACAGAAGGAAAGAAAGGGAAGAAAGAAAAAAGAAGAAAGAAAGAAAAAGGGAAGCAAAAAAGAAAGAAGAAAGAGGAAAGAAGAAAGGAAGGAAGGAGGGAGGGAAGAAGGGAGGGAGGGAAGGAGGGAGGAAGGAAGGAAGGAAAGAAGGGAGGGAGGGAGGAAGGAAGAGAGGAATGAAGGAAGGAAGGAAGGAAAGAAGAGAGGAAGAAAGGAAGGAAGGAAGGAAGGGAGGGAAGGAAGGACGGAAAGGGAAAGGGAAGCAGAAAGGGAAGGAAGGAATGAATGAAGGAAGCAAGGAAGGAAGGAGGGAAGGGAGGGGGGAAGGGAAGGGGGAAGGGAGGAAGGGAGGGAAGGAAAGAAAGGAAAGGAAGTCATTAGCATGAAGGTTCCTCTGGACTTTGGGGATGCATCTTAGTGATGATACATTATCATAGGTTTTCCTGTTCTTCTTTAACTTGCAGAGAACACATACAACTCAGTGTTTTCTGTGAGGGTCAGGCAAATCAGCACCTATTGTGATATGGATTCTCCCACTTGTTAATGGGAAGCCAACAAACCATGAATGTCAGTGGGCTGAAAAAGTAAAGGGAATCGAGGGTGCTATTTTTTTCCCTTTTCAGGTTATGAGAATGTATTGATGTTTGTTGCTGAACTGCAATAGGGACAATCAGATTCCAGACTCTAAGCACTTCAGTAATAATATTGGCTTATATGGGACCAAGGCTTACCCTGACCTCATGACCAATTAACATGGTTAGTTTGTACTATGGTTCTCTGTTCCTGAGGTAGAATAGGGATTCCACGCTTTAAAAAAATAATAAAATGAGATGGGTTATTGTTGAATTTTGTTCAAAAAGAAAGGACACTCATAGAGAGAAGTTTGGATTTGGGGTTAAACACTAGCCTGAACTTGAACTTGGCAAGGTAATATGTGAAAGCTTTTGTCCATCTAGATATGGTTGTCAAAGCAGTCACAGGCCCTCTTAGATTCAAGGGCAGGAGACCTGAGCTTCATCTCTTGTAGTGATGTTGAAAACTTCCACCATTTTTTCAAATGGGGATGGTAATAATAGTACTTCTTTCATCCCTCATGTGATGTTTTCAGGCTTACATGAGCTAATGTTCAAAAAGTGCCAAGAATGGAATATGGTACACAATATGGCATTCAAGAAAGGGCAGCTCTTATTATTCCAGGTACTAGGCTAAATGCTGAGGCTTCATAGATGAAGGAGACTCGTCTGTGTAAAGTGAGAACCTCACAGTGAGGTGGTCATGAGCTTATTGTGGTCCTATGTGTGCAACCTCACCCTCCCCTAAAAGTCTAGTAGTGAAATATTACCTAGTGCCATTGCTGAGCTTACTTCAGTCTCAAATGGTCCTTTGAGGTGAGCAAGTTTGAACATTAGTCTTATCCTATTTAACCAAAGAGAAAATTAAGGCTCAGAGAGGTTAAAGGAATTGCCTAAGGTCACAGGGAGTCAGTGGTGAAAGGCAGGGCTGGAGGCAATTTAACAGGCCCCCAATCTTTGGTTTCTGTGAGCTCCCCAATGGAAACTGCTCTCTTCCATGTGCCCTTTCCTGTGAGGAGAGGGGCTTAACTACCACCACAAGGGACACTCAGGCTGGAGGCACAGGAGCCCAAGGGCTTTATCTTGCTCTTTGGCCTAATGAAACTGTTGTCACACTTCCTCCCTCTCTGCCCTGCAGGAAAACACTACAATACTGGGGTACCTCATTAAAAGAGACACTTAGCAAGAAGCAAAGTGCAGAGGATAGAAGAGGGAACTGCTCCTCATACCCACAACCCTTTCTGTGGTTACTTCCCTCCAGCAGTTCCCTTGTTTACTCTCCATGCAACTCCTTCCCATCCTCCCCACTTCCACTTTCACTAAATCTAAATCTCCCATTAGCTCCACCACTGACTTCTGAAGGGGCACAGCAATAAATTGAGTTTCCAATTTAAACTGAAGCTCAGCAAGTGGAGAACAAATTTCACAAGGGCTGCTGTCTCTGCTCCTGAAACGGTAGCGATTGTTCCCAACAATGCAGAAGAGAGGCGACTGCTACCCTGATGCCTTGTGTTTTCTTCCTAGTGGAGTCAGATTTGCATTCTCTTCTAATCCAGTCTGACTGCCAGGGCCAGGCCCTGAGGGCTTGCATTCGGCCTGGGTTCTGTATGGTTTGTGCCTGGGAGAGTTGCTGGTATAAAACATGCAGGGGCCTGGGAGGCTTGACTTTAATCCCCAGCTGTGCCTTGGTATTTCTTTCTCATTAAGGGCGTCAGGGTTATTGAAGCTGGGAGAATGGTTACAGATAAGTTCTGCAATTCATTTTCCCCCATCCTTGTACAACCCTTGAATGTCTTTGTTATTTATTTTTTTCTCCTGAGAGCAAACTGATTATTGTGGCAATCATCACCGACCACCTGGAATTTAGCATCCCAGATGAACTAGGACAAGGCCCTAGAATAGGACCATTACTAGTAACAATGGACACAGATTGTGTTTACATTTTTAAAAGCTTCACTGGTGGGTGTATCAAGTGTTGATGACTGGTGTTCTAGTTGATTCTTTTGCACAAGAACCTTGAGAATTATTGATGAGGACCTACAAAATTAAAATACCCTTATTACAGATAATAATAGAACTAGAAGGCACTCCAAAAGGAGATCTTTTGGGGGGAAGAAGTGCTCCTTCATATTAACCTAGCAAATGTAGGTAATGCATCACTTCTGAGACTTAAGCTCCTATACTCCAGTGAATTATCAGATTGATTGGTGAAATCTTTGGTGAGCACCATTGTTCATGATCCACTGAGCTGTGTGCTAGGATTCAAAGGTGATTAACACATCATATTCATGTTTAGGGACAGCTGTTCTCAACCAGAAAAGGTCTTTTATTTACCTTCCACCCCAAGAAACATTTGTCAATGTGCAGAGACATTTTTAGTTGTTACAACTTGGTGGTGGTGTGGTGCGGTGCTACTGGCATCCAGTGGGTAGAGACCTGGGCAGCTGCTAAACATCCTGCAATGCACAGGACCATCACATAACAAAGAATCATTCAACCCCAATGTCAACAGTGCCACAGTCATGAAACCATTCTTAGGAAGCTGGGAATCTTGTTGGGTGACAAGCATCTAGACAATTATAATAAATACATATTAATAAGAGCTATCATGGAGATAGGTACAGGGCTTAATTTAAGCAATCAAAACCAGAAAGGCATGGAACTAGGGCTGAAGCTTTCTCTCTCGCCAGCCACCAACCACTCCCTTCTGTTCAAGGCCAACAATTGTCCTTCTGTTGAGGGGAGGAGGTCGTTTAAAAAACTATATTTCCCTGTTGGAGGTACCTGACAATTGTGTTCACTAATGAAACTCCATATAGGTCTGAACAAAAAAGCTGGAAAATGAGAGGAAGTTGGGGTGCTTTCCCAATATGTGGGTGGAGTTCTGGGTTATTTGGAGAACCAGGGATCCCTTAACCATTTCAATCTTCCTTCCTAGTTTTTCTTCTCTGATCTTCAAAAAGAACCACAGTGATTGGATTCATTCAGCTCTTGGGCTCCGAACATTATTGGAAAAAGCACGAGTTTCAAAGCTCTTACTTTTGTCACTCACATACTGAGTGGCCTTCAGAAATTATTCCACTCTTTAGGTCTCAGTTTTATCACATGCTAAATTAAGTGAATAGATGATTGTCTAGTTCTCTTATGACTTATTGGGCAAATGAGCAGCTTTTTCCTTTTTCAGCTCCTAATGCCCACTAGACCTTAGATCTCTTCTGTAAAAACTCAAGAGTTAAAAAAAAAACATAGTGTGACTCCTATTCCACCATTCTGTTTCTCCAGTGGGATGAAAAGGAGACTCTTGCAAGAGACTAATTGTACACTAGCTCCTGAAAGGAGAAGAAACTGCTTTTTCTTGCAGGCTACACTTGATCATTAACGTATCTGGCAGGGTGATGAAGGATGGCAAGAAAAGAACAGAATGAGTGTCTGAGAGAATATATCCCTTCAGTAAAGGAATGGCTACCTGTTAATCCACCAGGCCTTTTCTTCCTCTACCCTAAGGACAAAATGATTTTGGAAAGGAACTTTTTTCCTTTTAGCTATTTCACTTAACCCCAAAATATATTTCTAAGTGTGAAAGAATAATAAGGCATAGGACATAAGTCAAAATATTGACAATGATCAATAATAGAACATGTATTCAGAGTTATTGGTTTTCTTATTGAGGTATATATGCCCTTTCCCTGCTTTCAGAATTCAGTTGCACAAAAAGTCTAAATGTTATCACATGTTTTAGCAGTTAAATAGTCTGTCATAATATTTTGCATCATTCATTTATTGCTCCAACTAGACTACTAAGTCTTTAAGATCAGGGGCTGACTCTCAAGCTTCCTTTATAAATTCCACAGGATGCACACCAGTGCTAGGCACAGAGAAAACATCATTCAGTAAACAGCCAAGTGGCTGCAACTCTATTTCAATAAATACCTTTCCTGCTTAATAAAATGTCTTTACATTTATTTTATGGGACTACGTATTTTTGAACACCAATTGATATTGCAAAATGTTGGACCAGTGTCATTTGGATTTATATCCTTTGGATATATTGAAATAGTACTTAGATTTTAGGGGTCTGGATCAGGGTTTCTCAACTTTGGCACTGTTGACATGTTGGTATAATTTGGGACATTTGCACTAAGTCTGTTGTGGGGTTCTGCTTTATGCATTATAAGATATTTAACAGAATCTCTGGTCTTTATCTACTAGATGCCAATAACACCCCTTCCAATTACAATAAACAAAAATATCTCTGGAGATTGCCAAATATCCCCTAAGGGACAAAATTTCCCCCCAAACGGAAGTGCTTACCTAGAAGAAAACACAAGAAGACTACCCATAAAACATGTATCCTTTGGTGATCACCTAGTGATTCCTGAAAGATTCATTACCCAATGACATTTCATGTACTTCTTCAAAACACATCAAATTTACTTATTTACATTCATTTATTTTCCACTTACTGAACATCTGCTGTTTTCCAGACAATGTGGAAAAATCTATGATGAATAAAATATAATTCCAGATGCAAAGTATGTACAATCTAGCAGTGAAGATAAGACATAAGTCAAATGTAAGCTAATAGACAACCATTCCTGCTCTAAAACAGAGCTACTCAAAAATCCAGTTTCCATACTACTGGAAGTTTATAAACTTTTTGTTACTGATTCATGAGAATAGAAGAATATAAATCAAACACATCACTGAGCACACATTTAGATCAGCTGACTTTTTTTTCTCTTTTTATAACAACATTTTACCAGTGAGGTAAGCATCACCTTGATTTACATTCTGGTGCATGTTTTTTATTTCATTGTAGACTAGAAACAGAGTTTATGGAACAGCTCTTTCATAAAACTACTCAGAACAACTTACAAGGAAAAGTACTGTACTTCACATAGGGAAGGTGTGAGGACCAGTTTGAAGGAACAATTGGGAATGACCAGTTTGAAGAAATAATTGGGGAATTAATAAGGGAGATATGGGGACCAGTTTGAAGACACAATTAGAGTTGAGCAAGCAATTTATCTAAGTTTTGGAAGATAGGTAGGTATTTTTGTCAGAGTAAGCTAGTTACTAGAATACTCTCTTGATCTTGGTGGCTTAACATAGTAAAGTGTTAATTCTTGTTAAGTTGCCAGTCGTCATAGGTCAATAGAGAGGTTCTGCTCTTGCATTCATCTGAGAAGCAGGCTTCCCTTCCATCTAGTGGCTCAATATCTTGTATGGTCTTAGGAATCCTCCACTGAATTTTGTTGGATAAGAAAAGAGAAAGTGTAGAGAGAAACAACCAACCCAAAAAACCTCATATATAATTTTTGATCACATATTTACCATATATTTTACTTCTGCTCACATTTCATTGTAAGACTGAGTTATACACCACCACCCTCATACACAGGTCCTGGACATGTAGTCTCAAAGTATGTCAAGAAAGTATACAAGAACATGGAAATTGTTGAGCACTAGTTGTATCCGTCACAGAAACTGCTAAGTAGGCATTTTAGGAGACAGAATAATGAAAGTGAAAAAATTGGCAGGAGGATTCAGGGCACAAAAGGGGAAGAATCATTAGTTAACTGATGTATAGAGTGTATGTGGAGGGAAATTGTAGTATATGTGACTAAAGTGTCTTGCATAGAGTGCAATGATATTTTCAGTGTAATGGACATCTGTTAGGAACCATTGCTCTTTTAAAGTCTTCCCAAAACTTGAGTTAGTAAATAACATTTTTGATCATAAAATAGTACACTTAGAGTAGAAATTTTAGATATTATGGAAACTAGGAAGACTAAATTTCATACGCCATGCATATGAAAAAGAAATATATAAAATATAAATATATTTTATATATTTATATATAATATATAATATATAAAATTATATAAAATATCTCTTTTCTTTGGTGTTACCTTTCAATTCGCTTTGTTAGTGTTGTACATACGCAAACCCACATATATCATTTTTAGAAGAACCAAATTGGACTGATAGTTTCAGTATTGTTTGGCATTCTTTTTTTTTTTTATGTATTTGTAGTATGAGCAAGAACAAGGACTGTGTTCAAACTCTCTGGTTTGTAGGACTCCTTTACCACTTACCACTTGAGTAATCCTGGGAAAGTTACTTTGCCTTTATGCTTTTGTTTATTCATCTGGCAATTATTGTAAGGATGAAATTAGAAAATGCACATAAAGGATTTAAGGAGACATTGATGGTAGGGATGTTGGTTTGTGAGTGTTACAACTACCTCCTATCAAAGCACCACGTGGTTTATTTTACTTCCTGGGTATGATCCAATAATGCAATTCAGGAAAGTTGCAAATTCCTCTTGGCAATTCGTATTAGAACTGCCAAAACCTTAAACCAGGTGTTACACATAAATCCTTGTAAATTACTCAGACATCAGACTATCTCTTTCAGAGAAATGAGAGGGATCTAGTAACAGTGAATTTCACCCATGTTATCTTCAAATAAAAAAACTGGACCACACACCTAAAACCATAATAATAAGAATATATCTCTATGAAACCTAAATAGTCATTTTGAAAGAGAATGATTTAGTCTGTTTAAAAATTGTTCGGAGTACCTTTTACTGACTTTAAAAAAAAAAGCATACTGCATTTTCTGAAAAACCAGCTGCTTGACATCATAGAATTACAACATATCCCAAGGATCACTAATTTTTAATTGTGAAAAGAGAATATATAAAATGTACTATTTCTAGTACCATGAGAGTTATTTATTTTTATTATTACTTGTTAATTGTAGTTTTTTTTCTTTTTTTTTCTTTTTTTTTTTTTTTTTACTGTTAGGCTTAAGGCATAGTTTTCTTTAAAGAAGAAAAAAAGTGAAAAGAAGAGAAAATGAAATGTAGAATCAGGGATTGGCAGGTGTGGAGAAGAGGAAAAGGCGGAAGAAAGAAAAGAAGGAATAAAGTGAAGGGGAGGGGGGGGAAATGTAGCATTCCTGCTTTACCGTGACCTTTGAATTAGGAATGGAGTGATTTTGTATCTACACTCTTCCTTTCCTAATTCCTCTGCGACAGGCTCCTCCAAGTCACAGTTGCCATCCAAAGGCGCATTTCTCATTGAAAGGAGCATTCGGCATTCAGTAGTAATGAGAGTGGACAGAGCAATGACACGAGTTATCTACCTTCACTGCAGGAGTTCTCAGGAGAAGTCATTTATCTTTTCTCAAATGGTCATAAATAACACTATGCTCCAGGTGTTTAAAGACCCTGAAACAATTACCTCTTATTCTCTTCTAACCCCAAATCATAGAAAATTATCAACTTGAAATGACTTTTAGCTTGGAGTGTCTATTTTTATCTACACCATTTTTAATTAATGATAGTGTTGTAGGAAAAGTAGCTGTGAAGTTATGGGCAGAAAAATAAAAACTAGTACTTGCTTTCTTAAAGGAAGGGGAATTAGTGGAGAAGATATGAATTAAGTGGGACTGATTAAGTTGGAACATTCTATTCAAGATTTTGCAAGCTCTATTAAGGCCATTTCAAAATAGCTGAGTGAATTCCTCTTGTTTTCTGAGTACAATCACATAGACTGTACAAGTTAATTTTCCCAATAGATTACTTATAGCAATTACCTACTCATGATAAGAAATAAAAACGAAAATATCTCAGTAAATGGCATCACTATATCAACCAAATCACCCCAATCAGAAGCATAGAAACTACACCTGATATATCCCTCTCCTTCACATAATCTAGTCCATTCCTCCAGCAGCATCTTGTATCTATACACCATATCAGACACTGTTCAAGCTACTGCCATCTCTGGCCTATTGTACTGCTACAACCTTCTTACTAGTCTTTGTAACCTCCAATTGAGGGCTGCCAGCACGCTGTCACCTCTCAAACACACCAGTCAGCACCCTGTGTCTAGCTCAGGGTTTGTGAATGCACCAATCGACACTCTGTATCTAGCTACTCTGGTGGGGACTTGGAGAACCTTTGTGTCGGCACTCTATATCTAGCTACTCTGGTGGGGACTTGGAGAACCTTTATGTCTAGCTAGGGGATTGTAAATACACCAATCGGCACTCTGTATCTAGCTCAAGGTTTGTAAACACACCAATCAGCACCCTGTGTCTAGCTCAGGGTTTGTGAATGCACCAATAGACACTCTGTATCTAGCTACTCTGGTGGGGACTTGGAGAACCTTTGTGTCCACCCTCTGTACCTAGCTAATCTAGTGGGGACTTGGAGAACCTTTGTGTCTAGCTCAGGGATTGTAAATGCACCAATCAGCGCCCTGTCAAAACAGACCACTCGGCTCTCTGTAAAATGGACCAATCAGCAGGATGTGGGTGGGGCCAAATAAGAGAATAAAAGCAGGCTGCCCGAGCCAGCAGTGGCAACCCGCTTGGGTTCCCTACCACACTGTGGAAGCTTTGTTCTTTCACTCTTTGCAATAAATCTAGCTGCTGCTCACTCTTTGGGTCCAAACTGCCTTTATGAGCCGTAACACTCACCACGAAGGTCTGCAGCTTCACTCCTGAGCCAGCAAGACAATGAACCCACCAGAAGGAAGAAACTCCGAACACATTCGAACATCAGAAGGAACGAACTCCGGACACGCCACCTTTAAGAACTGTAACACTCACCGCGAGGGTCCGTGGCTTCATTCTTAAAGTCAGTGAGACAAAGAACATACCAATTCCGAACACACAATCAATTTTCTTTATTGAAGCCAGAATGATCTTTTGAAAACATTAAACTGAATCTTACTTTTCAGTTTATATTTAAAGTTACTTGTGCTTGAAACAACTTTCCACTGTTTTTTAAGATTAAGACCTAAATCTAAAATAACTACAAAATCTTGTCTGATCAAACTCTAGCTCCCTCTTTAACTCCGTTTATGTCACTGTTCATCTTATCTGCTAAATTCTCAGGGAAGTTATTTCTCTACACTGTTAATTTTATTTATGGCACATATCTCACATAGTAATTGTGTATATATTATGTATTGATCACTGCATTTTTTCCAGTTTTTGACAATTGTAAATAATGCTGCTGTCCACCTTTGTGTACAGGTTTTTGTGTGAACATGAACTCATTTCTCTAGAGTAAATACTCAGGAGTATGATTGCAGGATCCCATGATGAGTATATATTAAATTTTATAAGAAACTACCAATCTATTTTCCGGAGTGGTTGTACCATTCTGTATTCCTACCAGAAATGTGTGAAAGATCCAGTTGCTTGCCATTCTCATCAGCACTTGATTCAATACATCTTATTTTAGCCATTCCAATAGGTTTGCCACTACTTGATTTATACAGAAAACCAGACCGAAGTGTCCAAAAACGTGTTCAAAGTCATACAATTGATTCACCAAAGAGTCTAGGCTCCACTCACTTTCCATTATTGAATGATTAATGGCATGCTCACTAACTTTCGAAGGGTAAATAAACTAGTTGACAGAGTTTAATTAATTTATTTAATGGAGAATTAATGAATCAACTTCTATTTATACTTTAGCACGGAAGGGGAATTATTGATTATTTCAGCTTTCATACTTTGATTATGGGCCAGTGTATTAGCATTGACTTAATCTGAGTTCCTGAGATCAAATGCAAGATGCATTACTTTCGAACAATGATGTAAAGTTTAAATTTACTGCACTCTACTAAGTAAGGTAATGAGAAAGTGTTGCCTGAAAGTCAGAAGGCTGGGTTCCAGTTTTTCAGTTAGTTGTATGATACTAGTTTTTGAGCATTTTTCTGACCATGAGTTTTTTCATCTGCAAATTAAGGAAATAATGGCCAGTGATCTTGGAGCTCCTTTCCAGCTCACTTGCACATACTTTGATTTTGGTGACAGGCACTTGTGACTCATGAAACAACAAAAAAAAAAAGTTTAAAAAATGGTTTTACATTCACTAATAATGAAGATAAGGCTTTAATTATATTTAATTTTTTTCATTCTATTGATAGGGTCTTAAGTTCTTTTGATTGAATCATATGTATTAGTTATTTGATTGCATAACATATCTAGGGAATTTTTTTCATGTAGACAATTTACATAACCTATGATTCAGTATTTCCATAGTAGTTCTCTTTCCCATTTGAAGATGCCATTGCTAACATCGTTATTTCCTACAAAATTATGTTTTCCTCAAAAAGCAGACCTTGCCTATAGAATATTTAGGGGAATATCATAGTTATGGTTATATGATTTCATCTCCTATTACCCTGTCCTTCTCGAACTCTTTAGTTAGAGACCAGCCTGGGCAACACAGGAGACCTTGTGTCTAAAAACAATTTGAAAAAAGTTTTTTAATAACAAATAGTAGGGTTGAGTAGATTCCTCCTCAAGGTTTCAAATGTCTCTCCAAGGCTTCCTTGACTTAAAATAATGTATATGCTTAATTTATTATTTATTTTTTATATCTGAATTGAATGGATCCTTTCCTCTGAAAAGTATCATGAAAATGGAAAATATCACATTTTATATGGAAAAAATACCACAAACCAATGATGCCAGTATTTATATTTGAGTATTCACATGTATATGTATTATTGCTAGGACTTGGTTACTGCAGCACACTCATTACACATAAAATACACAGTAAAAGGTAAACTATGAAGAATTATATATATCTAAGGTCTAAAATTCTATTTATCTATCTATCTATCTATCTATCTCTATGTAATCTATCTATGTGTCTATTGAATTTGTCCATTGGGAGCTGGGGCAATGAGGGAGACTTATACTCAATTAAATAACCCTTTTTAAAAACCCAACTTAATTCAGTGAATTGACTGTGACCTTTTAGAAATAGCTGTATATCTGAGTAATTTTAGAACTTTCACTTCCAAACCAGTATGAGCCTCTAATACATGTATATTTAAATACAATGATGTGCATATGTTCTCTGTATCCACAGGCAAAACCTTGCAATTCTTATTTCTCAAATTACAAGCCTTATGCCTTAGTCCCCTGCTCATCCTTGCCATCACCTCTCCCCTTATTAGAAAAGTCCCATTTTGTTGGTCCAGATTTACTGGCAGAGAAATGAGGAATGCTCTCCTGTTATTAAAACTTTATTACTTTTCAAAGATGGGACAGGTGATTTCCAGCTCCCTTCGAAGTATCATCATAAATAATTAAATACAAATATTACACCTGTTAAAATAAATGAGTAAAGGTCAATTCTGTTCCTGACACTTTCTTGATTTTTCATGAGTGTTTATTCACTTAAAAGTAACTGTCTGTGATGGATCTTCTGGTCATAAAGATTAATTTCAATGGGTTTACATGTAAATGCATATAGATAAATACAACTCATACAGTGTTCAGATTTATTCATATAATAGCATATATTATTCATATTTATGCATATATGTTGTATATATTCACCTATATAGTTCATGAATATGTTATTGCACCAATACACATATATACCTATGAATATTTATGTGTACATGTTCTACTATTTATTCATGCTAGGAATTCAAAAGCATAGGAGTTTAGGTCTATAAAGTATGTCATTTTATTAAACTATATGGGAAAGTCTAATATAAATTTGTCGAACATGTAAAATTGTACTGTCCTTTTTAATCTAAAACTTTTACCATTATCTGAAAAGTTGGCTGATGAAGAGATTACAATTTGGAAACAGATTCATTGCCTGCCTAATCAGCAAATAGGTTGAAGGAAAAAGGGAAGTCCTAGGCACAGTGAAATGCAGGCTAAGTGAGTTGGAGAGATGCGGGCAAGCTTGCCAGAAATAGATTGCATTGCGCTTTCCTGGAAAGGAGGAAGAACAAAAACACAAATGGCAAACTATCACCCTGTTTAAACAGTTCAGAAAGAAAGAGGGAGAAGGGAGGGATGAAGGAGGTGGGGGAAGAGGGTTAGGAGGTAGAGTTAGGGGAGGGAGGAGAGAAACTTCAGAGTGGGGGGAAAAACCTCAGCAGACAATTAGACTAATCTTCAGCCAGCCAGGCTTGTGGGTTCATTGTTTGGTATTTGCAGGGGCCCAAGCTGTGTGCCCTGGAGGGGCGACCTTCTAATCATTATCTGTCTGTTTTATTACCCAGCCAAACTGGGCCCAGTTTTAAATAAAATATGCAAAGGTTTCTTAAATTATCACCTGGGGCAAGGCGGATCGCCTTTCTTGCTGTACATGTTGTTAATCTGTGAAATGCAAATTCCCTTCATCTTATAGTTGGGCTTTATTAACTTTTTTGAATTTAAAATTTCTCGAACAATGAGTTCTGTCAGCTTCTGAAATTATATTTTCTCTTTTTTTTCCCTCCTCTAACACGGAAGCGAGTTTAAAGCATAAAATCACCAGGGGAAATAAGAAGAGTTTCATCTCGCTTTCAGAATTTAATTGGCTCCTTAGCAATTATTAGTTTTTGCTGTTAAAGTCATTTTTTATTACTATAAGTATTTTCTTAAAGAAACCACATTACCTTTCTTGGTGAGGAGTGAAATGTCATAGGCAAAAAAGATGAAGGGAGGGTGGAAGAGAGAAGAAAAAGTACACACTTCAGAAGGGATCCGAGTAACTTATGCTATTGATCTTCCTGGCTCAGAAGTTGTAAAATTTAACCCTTACTTCATTGATCTCCTAAGGCTCGGGAATTCAACAAGCTAAATTTTATTTTTTTAAGTTTTTTTTTTTCTGATTTATATTTCAAGCTCCAAGTGAGAACTCTTTTTTATGCCTTGTTCTCCACTCCCTCCTCCACTGCCTTCTCTTGCTCCTTCATTTTCCAATCATTCTGATTCAGCACTCATCATTAATTCATAAATGAGGATGTACAATCTGGATTGCTCGCTTTGTGTTGACAGTTTATCTTAGAGCTCGTGAATCTCTACAGTCTTGTCCATCTACTTGCTATGTAAGGGTGCTTAAGAAGGGTCGTGTGTCAAACCCGTTTCATAATGAGGGGTGCTGGCGGTGGACTTGCTGATGAAGAAAGGATCCTACACTTTCTTCATTTTAACTATGTACTACCACACCTACAGATGGCATGACTTTTCCTTGTAGGTAGTTCTAGAGAAAAGAAACGCAAAAATGCTGTCATCAAGAAGACCTAGATTAAGCAAAAAATATAAAATACACGAAATATCATTTTCTGTTGTGTAACAATGAAACCTCCTAGGGAAGAATATTTGAGGATCCAATTTAACCTGTTTAAAAACACACGGTTTATGCTGAGCACAGTGGTCCACGCCTGTAATCCTAGCACTTTGGGAGGCCGAAGCTGGTGGATTACCTGAGCTCAGGAGTTTGAGACCAGCCTGGGCAACATGGTGAAATCCCATCTATACTAAAAATACAAAAAATTAGCTGGACATGGTGGAGGGGGCCTGTAGTCCCAGCTACTCAGGAGACTGAGGCAGGAGAATTGCTTGAACCCAGGAGGCAGAAGTTGCAGTGAGCCAAGATCATACCACTGCACTCCAGCCTGGGCAACAGAGCAAGACTCTGTCTCCAAAAAACAAACAAACAAACAAACAAAACCCACACAGTTTAATACTAGGTATTGATCAGGAATCCTAACTTACCTTAAGGAGAAATAAACAATATCTTGGAGGATGCCATAATGTTAGTTTTCCTTGTCCAATAACTATCTTAAGGGAATTTAATTCTGCCAAAAACTGTAACTCCATGATTGTGCTTGGCTGTTTGTCCATTTTTGAATTTCAATTATAGCTACAGAGAGCACACTAACAAGAAGCTTTCTTTAATTTCTTAGTATTTGGGGCTTATATCATATGGCATTGAAATAGTCTTTCAAGTTTATCCTTCCCTTTAAAAAAAATCTTCTTTTCCAATAAGCTCTCAAAACAAACAATCTGAAGTAAACATAAAAGGAATTGGGCTGGTATTGTATTTCTGGCACACTGATTTCTGGCTCCTCTTCTGATTTTCACCACATATGGTTTGAGCAGCTTTATGAAACATTTATGCTGATTCTCAAGATATAGAAATTCTTGCTGAAGAAAATATGGGGAAATTAGATAACTATGGTGAGGACACTTTGAAACTTAGTTGAAATTCATTTATGGTACTCAGAAGTGATGAATGATACACTAACTAAACTTCTTTCAGAAAAAAAAAAAAACTTACAGGGTGAGTTACTTTCTAATAGTGCCAAATATTAACATGACTGGATTTAGACAGTTTGATCAATGAAATAAAAATCAGCCAACACATATTTTCGAAAAAGTGATGATCTTCAAAGCGTTACTAAGATCTTTAGGAATAAAAAGATAGTAACAATAATAATAGCTATTGTGTTAAGTGCTTTATTACATTATTTCATTTAAAATTAAGTAACTTCGCAAGGTCACAGAGCTGGAAGATGAAGAGTTGGACTTCCAAGCCATGGCTGTTTGACTCCAGTGCAAACATATTTCCACTGCTTCATGTACCTCTCGAGGAATTTGCAGTCTTGTGATTCACTGTGACTCCCTTGATTATTCTTTAGAGTTATAGAAAGTGTATATCTTGCTCTCTGCCACATCCAAAGGTGGTAGTTCTGCTGTGAACCAGACCCATGCCACTCTGGACACCTTCAACACACCTGCAATAACAGAAAGAACAATAGTATTGCATTGTTCGCCAGAGCTATTTATTGATCAAATCAATTAGATAAATATTAACCTTTTTTTTTTGGTATGTGTATCATGGGTCTTAGGAATATTTGGAAAGGTTGGCAGTATTGATTCAAGGAAGCAATTTTGTTGACTTAGAGCAAACTCATTTTCTTGGATTTTCAAATGGTGATCTCTGATGTTGCAGCTATGTTTTCACTGGATGTCATATGGGAAAACATGGATGAACTGGAAAAAAATATAAAATTGATATAGAATATGAAATACTCTAAGAAGCAAGTACTTTGATAATATTATGTTATTGAAAGCATGTTTTGTTTTCTGTGTCATCAATATGCATGAGTTTGAGAAAGAAAAAAGAGAGGAAGGAAGGAGAAAGGGGAGAGAGGGAAGAAATTTGCTGCAGATAATAAACAAGTATGTTTCCAAAATGTCCTTAACCCACCAAACTACTTTCACATGCATAATATCCTTTCATTTTTAAAAACAACATATAAGTTGGCAAACATAGGTATTGTTATCCTTAGTAGCAGATAAAAAAGTTGGAAAGTCATGGATTTGGTAATTATATAGACCTTGCTTTAGTAATTGGGACTTTGGATAATTTACTTAAGCTTCTTAGATTTTACATTTTTCATTTGTGAATGTGGAATACAAATCCCTATGTATAGGATTTTAGTGAAAATAAAATGAGATAAAGAAAGCGAAGTGTCAGATAATATAGCAGGTGGTTAATAAATGCTGGTTCTCTTACTTATCCATTATCCCTCAGCTGGAATAGAACTGATTATACTTTAGGACACTTCTGCTTTTAAGCAGGCAAGTAGAGAGATGTTAAACTATGAATACTTCATTCACAGACTATAACATATTCAAGCAAGAAAAGTTATTTTCCAGCTCGTAATGAAGGCTTGCCATTTTGGTAAGAGTGAGTATACAGGAAGTGAATGCATTAACGTAGTTTTTATACAGCTTCACATACCTTCTTTGGTGGCTACTGATGATCTCTTTCTTTTCAACATTTAAGTTTTGGTTTTAATTCCTTCTGGAACTTCTTATTGGGCAGGGATGTGTTCATCAGAAGCTTCTTTAAGTGCTGAGCCTGAGAGCAGGTCACTTCCACTTGGTATCAGATCAGTTCATGTGAGCAATCGCTGCAAGCTGACACAGAAAGCAGTGTTAAGGAGACTCGCAAATACTTTATTTTAAAATTCTTTTTTATCATTTATCTTGAAAGATGAAAGAAGTTAAAAAGAAAAAAATAAGAAACTAAGAAAACAACCCAAACAAACACTGAGCAAGAAACACAATGTTTTTATTTTCCCAAGGGTTGTTTTCTACAGAGAGAAGTGCTTCATGAAACTGTAAGCACCTTTTGTGGTGTGGTTCAGATAAGCCTTGTATCTGAATTCACAGTTCCCAGTGCTCTTCCCAGAGTTGTCAGTGGTACATACCTGACTATTTGTGTGAGACTTATTGAAACATTCCAGGCCTGAGAAATGATGCACCACTGCCTGGGTCCTGAAAGTTGCGGACACTGTTCTCTGATGCTGCAGCTCTCACTGCCCTTTCAGACACGAGATCCCAAATATGTGTAACCATGACCTACCTATTTTACTTGCCAGTGCTTAATAGACTTGGGGAAAAATGATTTTTTTTTTAAAAAAGGAAACAGTAGCAACATAGAATTATCTAGAAACAAGTGATAAACAGAGGTAAAAATCTAGGAGTAAAGCTATGAAATTTTTGATGGCTATAAGAACAGCTGCAATTGAAAACTTTGTCTGCTCAAAATTTCACTGATGTGCTGCTAACAAACTGTTTTCCCCGCCAGTCTTGTGGCCTTGTCATGTGTAGCGGAGCCAAGCAATGGGTGGTGGTCAGATGTTTTAGCAGCATGCCGAATTAGGGGAGTTAGTAAACTCTAGTCACACACTAATTCAAGTTTTTAAAGAGCACATTTTTAACAACACTTAGTAGGTTATTACTAATTCACCTTTAACCATATATAAAAGTTAAAACCTGTGAAATTGAACTGTCAGCAAAAATTATTAAAGAATTCCAGTTTGTTTGTTTGTTTGTTTGTTTGAGATGGAGTCGTGCTCTGTCGCCCAGGCTGGAGTGCAGTGGCGCGATCTCGGCTCACTGCAACCTCTGCCTCCCAGGTTCAAGCAACTCTCCTGCCTCAGCCTCCCGAGAAGCTGGGACAGGAGAGTGCCACTACACCCGACTAATTTTTTGTATTTTTAGTAGAGACGGGGTTTCACCGTGTTAGCCAGGATGGTCTCGATCTCTTGATCCCATGATCCGTAAATAATTCCAGTTTTAAAGAATCAAATAATCTATCTGGAGAGCCTTAGCAATCCCCTACTGGGCCATGGATCACACTCAATAATGTTGACCATGACAATATTAAAATGGAATGTGTGTATTAGCATGGTTTGCATAACAAGATTGCTTAATGTGTCAATGTTTTATTTAAATACAGTGTGTGCATATTTCAAGACCACAGACCTCACCACAGCAATACTTCTACAGCAGGAAAGAGCAAGGGATACTGTGATTAACATACAGCTTATTTATACTTCTTTGGTGAAAGCTAATCATTTTTTAATTTAAGGTAGATATTCTCTATAAATTAACAATCCAGTTGGGGAAAAAAAAACATGAAAATCTTAAAAAATACCCTGCAATATACAGTGTCAAAATGATTAGTACAAATGGACATTAGTACACTATAGACATTTGTGAAGAAATGATATTATAGCTAGGTAAATTAATATCTTTGAAAAAAGGTACATAAGAAACAGTGCAGAAGGTTTAAGAAACATATTAAAAAGAGGAGAGGTTGGAAAATTAGGGCAGTGTAGGGTCAGAGGAAGGACAAAAGAGTGGAAAATGTTCCCACTGGATGCTTCTGAGAAGCTAAAAATAATGAGGAAAGCCCATTCTGAGATTAAGCGGCAAGGAGTGAGAACTGGGGGTGAGGAAAAGGGAGGGAAAAATCCAGATTGCTGGAGTTTAAGAACAGAAGAGATGGTCAGATTACTGCAGACGACAACATTCATTAGAGAAGTGCGGCACTCTAAGATGAGAAAAAGAATGACATATATTATTAAGTCTTTCTTGATGCTCCCCTCTCACATTGAACTCGACTTTCTGTAAATTATTTTCCTCTTAATGAAGCAGTGATTTATTATTTTAGAAAAGTATTTCCCAGCTTGCCTGATCAAAGATTCACTGGGCACTTAACAAAAATGTAAGTTCACAAGCTACACCTCAATGTATATTAGAAACTCCAGTGACGGGACCTGAAAATACATACTTTTTACAAAAGAAACCCAGGTCATTCTTATAAGAGGGCAAGTCTGGGAGACACTTGGTTAACACATGAAGTTTTAGGGGAGAAAGAATAATTTTTCCTCTACTCTTCTGTGTTCTTGGCTGGGATCCCTCTAACAACAACAACAAAAAGATGAAAAAGTGAAAGAAGTATATTAACATGTTACTTCATATATACATGAGAGAAAACTCAGAAAGAGTAATTATCAAAGATGAGACCTAGAACTTCAGCCTATGTAGCATCTCCAACTAAAACAAAGAAAGAAGAAGGCAGGGAGGTGACATGGAAAAGCAAGGTAAACAAGAGTAAGGCTTCTTATGCAGGCCTAAGTCCATGCCCTCTTCATTGATAAGAGCTTTGTGATTCAGTCATCTTTGTCTTTCTGTTACTTAGAAGGAGACACCCTTACAAATAGAAATGTTTGTTATGCGTGTAAATTTCCCTTACAGAACAGTAACTTCTACTCTGTTTTCAGTACTTCTCTTGTGTTTGCTATTTCTTAAAATAATCAGCTCAAAATAATTCTTATTCCAACAAGCCGTATTTTGGAGTGGCATATTCTGCTTTTCTACAAAGTTGTATCATAAAGTTGCTTTTTCTGCTAATTAATTTACATTTTGCTTAGCCAAGAATTATGTATTCCTTGTGCACATAGATTGTGCCTTATATTTCTTTTGTATTCCATAGAACAACAATGAAAATGTCATGTTGAAGTGGAAGTGAGGGGAAAAAAAACTATGTTAATTAGCTAAGTTTTATCTCTTAGAAGCCTATGTTATTAATCATACCAGCCCATGATGGAGATTTGTGAGCATTTCTATAGCATCGTTTCCTTATAAACTCAGTGTCATAAGGACTATGTTGCTTTCTGGTGGTTTGACATATTCTACGTGAAAAGCTTTATGTGAATTATGTGGAGGGATTCTAAAAATAAACTAGAAGAGGAGACCTCTCAAAGTCAGGAGCTGAAACAATTTTGCCAACAAATCAGTCCCTGAATGTTTTGGGGAGAAAAAAGGTTAAGTTTAGAAGTATGTTTTTTCATATTATTTAGGTACACTGTTTATATTGACCAAAATACATTAGGCAATTATTTAATTGTGCATAAACCTACTTCTGGTATTTTTGTCTATTTGTTCAGGTAAGGGACAGCATTATTATTATTAGCACCTCTTACCCTGGAGCAAATGTTCAATTCCCTGTGAATGCTCAGTTTTTATTCACTCAGCACGTGTTTTCTTAGCAACTATTATGTTCCAGGCATTTTTCTAAGCACTAGGGAATACAGCCAAGAATAAAATCGACAAAATACTTGCTCTTATAGAACTCACATTCTAGGAGGAAAGACAGATAGTATAATAAATGCATATCTAAGTTAGCATATGTCAGTGCACAGAAGAAACAAAATAGGTTAAGGGGGGTTGTTATAGATGAGGCAGTCAGAGAAGACTTCTGCAAGCAGACACCTGAGTGAGTGGAGTTGGGGAGCCCTGAGGAACCCTGGGTGAAGAACATCGGGCAGAATGAATAGAAGTACAAATGTCTTGGACTGAGAGTGTGCAAGGATTGGAGTGGAGTGAGCAATGTGGAGACAGGAGGGGGATGGTGCCAGGAAGGCAACACAGTGGGAAGGCAATATTAAAGATCTTAAAATAATAGATGATATTTATACAGCAATTGCTATATTCCAGGTACTGTCTGAAGAATCTTATAGATGTTAACTTATTTAATACTTGCAATAACTCTATGAGTGTGTGCTACTATTATTCCTATTTTTAAAAATGAGGTAATAGAGAGAAGTTCATTCACTTGTTTGAGGTTCTCCATAGATACATCCACACAGCCTATAAGTGTTCCAATTTGAACCCACTGCTGCATTCTTATGTATTCTGCTGGCCTTTGAATGAATTTTATTTGTTTTATCCTCCTTTCTACACCCTACATTTTGCTTATAGAAGGGAAATAGGTATAATGGACATAAAGGAATAAGACTGTAGGTATTGTTTACAGAATCTCCATCCCCCTTCTCAACCTTTACCCTTGCTGGGAAAGATTGGGAAGATCAAGGAAATTGGATTTTTGTGATGTGTCCCAAGATCAAGTTTCAGGCAGTAAAAATTATTTTTGTTGTTGTTGTTGTTCATTTTCCTTGTGAATCTCCCACTTATTTTCCATTTGATTGTTGATCTAGGGTCCATGACCTAGGTGCTCTATATACCAAATTTATGTATTGATTTAGCCTGAAAGACACATAGTTTCAGCACATCATTTGTAAGAGGGGGTTATTGTGGTCAAGCAGGCATGCGGGCTTCACCTACGGCCATTCCTTTGATCCCTTTGAGAATGATCCATGCTCCCTTGACAGTCTGGGCCTTTCAGTGGAGATGATAGCAGTTACAGATGCACGTACAGACAGCTGCAAGGACCCCATCTCTTATCCCATGAGGCTCCCACTGTTTATATTTTCAAGAAGAAAACAGAATGTGTTGTAGATATTTGTGTGTTTATATGTATTTCTTATTGATTCAAATATTATTTAGAGAGAATCTGGAGTGCTTCGTGCTGTCTCTGAAGGTAACCAGAATCTACTCATTGGAATGAAAATATGAGAATATTACTGAGGGCAGTGGATTAGAGAGCATGGGTTTGGAAGACAGAGGTGGTGACAAAGATCAAGCATTCTTCTATGACACATAAAACCAAGGAGGCAGAGGAAAGAATTTGAAAGTGAATCATCACAAAAAAATGTCTGAGAATAGAAGAAAGAATAAGAGAGGAACATTTCTCTGCTTCTTAGTATCATGTAGTGGAAAGAGAAGTGGAATGGGAATTGGGAGATTTGGCTTCTAGTTCCAGTATGTTTCTTGGCCACTGGATGACCTTAGACAAATCATGTAGGTGTGTGGGCTCAATATAGTTATGACCATAGGCAAATTACTTCACCTCTCTGTGCCTTAATTTTCTCATCTGTTAAAATGTCCACAATAATAGTATCAAACTCATGGAGTTGTTGCAAAATTAACCAGTGAATGCAAGTGAAGCCTTAATGTAGAGTCTGACGCATAGTAAACACTCAAAAATGTCAGTTGTTATTATTATTAATTTCTTAAAGCCTGATTTTCTCATATAAAGGGATGAACATCTAATTTTATAAATACACAGTCTTTGCATTATTTTCAAACTCTGAAGAACCTCTGCATTTGAAGAACTTGCTTTTCTTCCCTGCTCCCAGACGATGGTTAAGAAAAGTATGAGGACTCATTACCTGGAGCAAAAAGCCCCAGCTTCTTAGCCATGCATTTAAAAGCCTTTGGAATCCTGACCTACTTACACTTCTAGACCTTATTTCCAGTCACTTCTGTTCACACAGCCTACTCATAGGGAAGCTGGAGCCACCTCCCTTTCTTATGTGTGCCATGAGAGAGCCTAACACTTTCACTTGACTCTGACTACCCCCTGCCTTCACCTCAACTCAGTATCTCAAAATAGGTTTTAACCATCATTCAAGACTCAACTCCATATCAACTTTTTTTGGAAAACATTTATCACTCTCTTACATGCTCTTGTCCTTCTTAAAACTTTCCTAGTACTCATTTGTGTATCTTTTATAAAACTGATTGTTTTCTATTGTGTATTACAGTCAAGCTTACGTTATAACCTTCTGTGGTATATTAAAGATAACCACAAACTGTCAATATTGCCATTCAGTGGTGAGGTTTGTGTTCCTTCTCTATAAAACAGCATAGGCTCAGTGACTGCTTGACCCATAGAACATGTGGGAAATGATCCATAATCCCATGTTAGCTTTTAGATCCAGCCTTAAGAAACACGTGGTTTCCACTTCATGTCTCTTGAACACTTTCTCTAGGGAAAGGCAGACACCATGTGCAAAGTCTTATTCTGTGGCTACCATGCTGAAGGGGACTTATAGACAATCTGTTGACAGTCCTCACTGACTCCCTGACTTCCAGCCATCCCTATGTGGACATGCCAGCCAATTCACCAACTGAATACCATGCCAGCCCATCCACCTGCTGAATACCATGCCAGCCCAACTACCTGCTGAATACCATGCCAGCCCATCACCTGCTAAATACCATGCTAGCCCATCCACCTGCTGATTTTCACTTAATGTCTCTGTCAATACCATGCATAAATAGAATCATCTGGCTGAGACCTATCTGAATTAATGGCTAAGAAGATTTGAGTCATAAAAAAACAATTGCTGTTTTAAGCCAGTTGTATCTCCCAAAATTCATATGTTGTGTCTCCCAAAATTCATATATTGAAACTTAATTGCCAATGTGACAATGTTAAGAGGAGGGGCCTTTAAGAGATGATTAAGTCATGAGGGCAGAGGTCTCATGGATGGGATTAGGGTCCTTATAAAAGGGCTTAAGGGAGTGGGTTTACTCTCTTATTCTCCTCTTCTACTTGAATAAACATTATTTGTACCCCTACTTTTGCCCTTCCATTCCTTCTGCCATGTGAGGAGACATAGATGGTGTCATCTATGAGGAAGAGACCTTCACTAGCCACTGAACCTGTTGGTATCTTGATCTGGTACTTCCCAGCTTCCAGAATTGTGAGAAATAAATTTCTGTTTCTTTTTTAATCAATTATCTAGTCTCAGGTATTTTGTTATAGCAGCACAAATAGACTAAGACAAGGTGGTTTGTTATGCTGCCATAGATTTTTCTGGGTTCTGAATTCTTTAATATCAGAAACTCTATGGCATTCATCTTTATTTCTCGACAGCAGCCACCAGTAGGCCCAGGCATTTGCACAAGGGTGGGTTCTTTTCTAGAAGTGTCTCCAGACATTCAAATGTGTTTCTGAATCAGAGATTTTCATCCTTGACTGTACATTAGAAACAGGGAGATTGTTCAGTCCTGGCATATGACCCAATCACATGTGACATATGTTATAGTTACTCCTTTATAAAATAGAAGAACATGGTAAAATGAAAAAGCAAATACTTCTTTAATTTCTGTTTAAGAGATAGGCAAATGGATGAATTAAAACATTTCTATTTGATTTTATTAAGGTATGAGTGTTTCTTTTAAATTAGAAATTACTGAAAAATCTTGTTTTTCTCTGAGCTGTGGCTTTCCTCATTACAGGGGATAATGGGAACTGCATTTAAATCTAATAGATGTAAATTCATCATTGGTAGACATTTATGGACTACTGGTTATGCATTTTACCCGGTTCTGAGTGGAGATAGAGGCTAGAGAAAAATATATAAAATACTGATCCTGTCCTCAAGTTGTTTATGTCTTATCAATTATGTTGAGCAATACAAGGAAAGGAGATAACTAAAGGATGTAATGATCAAAGATATAAATAATAAACATAATTTGGCCAAGGAAAGGGGATGCCAGGCAAAAAGAAAAACACATGTGAAACCATAGAGACAAAATAAGGTTAGTCAGCAGAGACCAGCCTGGAGAGTGGACATGCTGGGGAGAAGAGAGGAATAAAGTCAAGCTGGTTGCATGGGAGAAAATTATGAAAGAGATTCCTTAAAATCCATCAAGTCTTTTCCAAAAGAACACAATTCTATTATATTATGATTTTGAGTGGCACACAAACCATTTGATCTCCAGATACTTGAGTAAAGGTAATATTTTGTAGAGGTAAACTAGCCATACCTTAGCATCATTTTTAAAGTTCCTCTGCTCAATCATTAACATAACCTTTTGCCCCAAGGAGGTGAGTCTCTCACACAGGTACCACCTCTGCCCATGACTGAGGAGGGGGAAAGATGCAAAATGCAATTGTCCCATTTGAGCAGTTGGATATCAGTTGTCAGTCCAGCCTCTGGAAAAATTTATGAATTTGGTGCAAGGAACTAGCTTTTCTAATGCTTTGGGACCCTGTACACCAGAATGATAACCTAGGAATACAGGAGGCAGTAGGGGAAAATTATTCTTACCCCTGTGAAAATCTCCCAGATGCTAAGGAGAAAATTGAGAAGTCTGTTCATCTTTAAATTCACATCTCCATTTTTCTATGGCTCTTTCTTTGACTAAATAGCAATTAGCGTACATACATCAATTGTTCAACCACTGTTAAAAATTCTAGCATAAATCAATGATCACATCTGTAAATATACTTACGTATACAGTACTTGGTTGTGTTTATGTGTGTTAATGACTTCATATTTGCTAAAGATAGAACAATGAGCAAAACAGACAGGGGTTCGTTCTGCCCTTCTGGTGCTTGAAGTCTATTGGGAAATAAGACATTTAGCAATGAGTTATTTAATTATAAATTTAATTAATGCATTAAAGAAGTATGGACTATTACTAAGATTTGCCAAAATGGAGAGAATATCCTGGCCACAACAACTCAGCAATCCTACTTCATATGGGAAGTCATTTATAATTATATATAAATGGGTATTTTGATTTCATACCTCAGTGTCAGGAACATGTTTATGAACTGGTCTCTGGAAGAAGGAACTGCTATAGGAAGCTGCAGATGCAATTGCAGGTAACAGAAATACATAAGGCCTCTGCCTTTAAGGCCACCTGGGAAGTGGCCATGCCACATTCTTTAGGTACCAACCTCTGCATTGTAACAGATGAATGAGCCCTGTTCCTAGATGGCTACACTTATCAAGGAGGAAAGAGAGCTAATATGTTTTCAATAAACTCCTGAGAACAAGGTTTAAATCCGAAAAGTGTTTCTGGTCAAATAAGTTAATTTAAAAATTCAATTAACAAAAATCTACTGTTCTTTTAACATCATAGCTGATGTTTGACTGAATCTCTTTTAAGATATTGGTCCTCTGGAGAATGAGGGTAGTGACTGAAAAATTCCCAGATTAAGGAAAGATAATTTTTTTCTCTTAATTAAAATATAGTCATCTAGTTTTTAAGAAGAGCCATATTTCACATAAAGAAGTTGAAGAGTTTTACAATTATAGTTATTTGTCTATAAAATTAATACCCAGTTGGCATTAGGATATCTGCTAAAATGACCAGGGAGGATTAAGTTCTAGTTTTGAACATTACCTGTGAATATTATCACTAAAAACACTAAAGTATGTTCCCTTCCTTCATAGCAAAGTGTCATCTCTTCAGAGACAACAGGGTCATTTGACAAAGGCTCTTGCTAAAGTATAATTTTATCTGACTTAACCTGAAGGTTAGTTGAAAGACTTAGTATTACAAACCACATATTTTTTTAAAGGTTTGGGAATAATGTATAGGTAGAGGAAAATGCAAATCCTAAAAGTAAATATTAATACTGACTGCTGCCCCCCAAGGCACAACTCTTATAACTTGGATCATATTAACCATAATTTGGAAACGAAATTAACATTTGAATTGTTTTTGTTCTCTTCAGCCACCCTTTCTCCCCTTTGCATTCCCCCATCCCTACCCTGGACTCCATTTCCTTAAGCATTGAAAAGGAGAACTTCTCTTTTCCCGCTACATTAGTTTCCGTGGCTGCCATAACAAATTACCACGAACTTGGTGGATGGAAACAACAGAAATGTATTCTCTCATAATTCTGGAGGCCACAAGTCTGAAATCAAGGTGTCAGCAGTGCTATACTCCCCTTGGAGGCTCTAGGAGAGAGTCCTTCCTTGCCTCTTCCAGTTTCCTCTGGTTGCTGGCATTCCTTGACTTAAGGTTGCATACTTCCAATCTGTATTTTCATCATTACATTGCTTTCCCCCCCTGTGTTTTCTCCTCTTCCCTCTCATAATGATGCTTGTAATGGCATGTAAGACCGACCTAAAAATAACTCAAGATTATCACCTTCTTTCAAGATCCTTAATTTAATCACATCACAAAAATCCTCCAAATAAGGTAACAGGCACAGGTTCCAGGGACTTCATGTGGGTAGCTTCTGGAGGGGGGCATTTTTTGCTTACAACACCCACCATTAGGAAGTGACACTCTTTCATGTGAGTAAGGCTGTATTTCCTACAAGAATGTATGCTTCTGGATGACAGGGAGTAATACCTTTTGAATCCTTTACAGTACCTTGTATAGACTGAGGACATAATAGAGGCTTTATTAATTCTTAGCAAATGGTAGAAAATATATAAACTAACCTTAGATAACATATAAAAAAGTGAACTTCTTGGAGAAAAAATGTTATGTATGACCACAAGTTCAAGAACAAGTTGCCAGAATTAACCATTTAACCTACTACATCTTCACCAACCCATAGTAAAAATGATTTTCAGGGACCCTAAAACCCACCTCCAGTTAAGTTATCCTCACTTCAGTCATGTTGCCTTTCCAAGTTCTCCAGCTGCTGCTCCTCATTCTCTTCCTCTCAAAGATACCTTCTACTTTGGGCTTGTCACTATTATATCCCCCACTGATGAAATTTACCTAACCTGATGCTTAGATGCGTAGATCTCAACTAGCTAATGCAATAGCTAATCTTTCAGAACATCTCATTGACCAACTAGCCAACATCAGTAATAACAGCTTCCAAGTAAGATGCTTTTTAAATGCAGCCACCTTGGAGTAATGGTGCTCTTCTGTTGAAATGGGAGTTGAAAGGCTCGTGACACTGGAATGTTTGCTATGGATTTCCTAAAATCATACCTAATAAGTGGAAGAACTGGGGCTTGGGTTTTAGGTGTCAAATCTCATTCTTTGTCCATTTTACAACAACCACTTCTGATCTATCACCAGCTGAGAAGGTGCTCTTAATCATGTCCCAAATCTGGCCATGTTTACCTCCAGGCTAGAAGATAGCCCTGCTCCCAAATTTGGTCCTACTTAACTTTTAATTTTTTGTAACTCAAATCTATTTTCTCATTTCTTTTTATTTATGTATTTATTTTTTGAGATGGAGTTTTGCTCTTGTTGCCAAGGCTGGAGTTCAATGGCACAATCTCAGCTTAGTGCAACCTCCACCTCCCAGGTTCAAGTGATTCTCCTGCCTCAGCCTCCCGAGCATTATAGGCATGTGCCACCATGCCTGGCTAATTCTGTATTTTTAGTAGAGACAGGGTTTCTCCATATTGGTCAGGCTGATCTCGAACTCCCGACTTCAGGTGATCCACCCACCTCGGCCTCCCAAAGTGCTGGATTACAGGCATGAGCCACCGTGCCCAGCTATTTCCTCATTTCTTCAGTGAATTTTTAAATTTGAATTGGGCAGGGCTCCATTTTTTTCCTTTGGCTTCTCAAAGATAGAGTGATAGGAACTGAGCTGGCCTCCCACGCCAGTGGTAAGGGCCTTTATTACCACACCCACTTTTGAATCCTGGAATTTACTAGCACAAAAGGGAAGCTTTTCAAAGTCCATTTTATGCCATTTCTCTCTTTTCAATCATATAACTTTAAAAATGCCTATATATATATATATATGTGTGTGTGTGTGTGTGTGTGTGTGTGTGTGTGTGTGTTTTTACAAAGAGTAGAAAATTCCCTTCTGGACTTATTTTCCATGTGCTGAGTTTAAGCCTGGAGCACACTTTTACTGCTGGAAATAGGGGGTTATAATGAAAATGCTGACACAACCTCAACCATAGAGGTGCTAGCAGGCATTGCTGTAATAAATAATGTGGGAAATATTTTACACTTCAAGGCAATTACATGTTCAGCCATCTTTAGGATAGCTGGCCCATGAAGGGTAGGGATTAGGTTTCTGTGACAAGTGTAAAAGACCCATGACTCATGAATGCCGGGAGGTACGAATGAATTACAAGAGCTGAGTGAAAGCCACATAATTACCTATCATAGGTAAAAAATATTCTGTTTATTTGCAGGAGAGAAAGATGGCAACATCCTGCCAAGGCACTTCTGCCAGTTTGGGATTTGACCAAGAAGGCTGGAGGTGGTGATTGTTGGGCAATGCTCTCTGTGAACTGCCTCATGAGCATAGAAGCTGATTTTTATTCTTGACCTTTTCTTCATATAAATATGTTTTCAGTGGACAGTAAAGTGATGACTTGTGTTTCCTGAAGGATGAGAGTGTCTGTGCATCCACAGACAGTAATGCAGAGAGAGGGGCACTGGAGATAGTGACGGAGCATTCACTAACTCAGTTCTGCTCAGTCTGTGTGTTCATTGGCATGCCCTGTCTTGTCTTTTGATTGCTACATTCATTCTCTCCTTTGTAGCTGAGGAAAACAGCAGTGGCTGTTCAGGTGCCTTCTCCCAGGGGCTATTCACCTGTAGGTATGGGAAGTTTACTTTTACTTCTCTTCCTCCCCAAGTGTCTAGAACAAACTTGGTATGGCAATGAATTTGGTTGTATGAGTTACAGATTCCCCTGTGTGGGTTAGATACTCCATAGCAGTCTCTAATTCCTGAAACATAGCACTTACAGTATTTTATTCCTTCTACTTCGTGACTGAATTCTCCCTTCCTTTAGACTGTAAGCTTCATGAGTATAGAAACTGTATCTGTCTTATTTGGAGTTGTACTTTCAAAGCCTAGCATGCTGTCTGGCACATGGCTGAAACTCTGTAAATAAATTAAAGAGTGGCCTTATTGGTTAAAACATCTTATATGTCCTTTCATTTCACAGACAATATTGTGCCTGATCCTATGTGCAGGCATTGCTTTAGTCATTTCAATACAAATGAGTGACATTCTCTACCCTAGAGGAGCTTTCACTATAGTAGAGAACTTAACTGAGTGAATAATCACAATATAGTCTGACAAAGGCTGTAAACAGTGGCATGAACCAGACAGAATGTTGGTAAAGGGGAGGAGTGATCAATTCAGTGTATGTCACTTATTAACTATAGATGCTTATAATATTTAGCCTTGTATTATTAGTTATCAGTTCATTTATGCATCCTATCACCCCCATCAATCATCAGCCATATGTTCTACATCTTCATTTCTTCTGCAACACCTAGCTCAGAGTATATCTAGATAGTTACTGAAGAGGACATTATGATGAAAGTAGGCATGTGTTTTAGTCCATCTGGGCTACTCTAACAGAATGCTGTAGACTGGGTGGCTTATACATAATTTCTTATTTACACTTCTGGAGGTTGGGATATTCAAGATCAAGGTGCTGGCAGATCTGGTGTATGATGAGGGCTTGCTTTCTGATTCATAGTTGTCTTTCAGCCTGGCTCTCATGTAGAAGAAGGGGCAAGGTTGCTCTCTACAGCCTTTTTTCGAAGGGCACCAATCCCATTTGTGAAAGCACTATCTGCATGACCTAATTACCTACCAAAAAACCGCACCTCTTACTACCATCACATTGGGGGTTAAGATTTCAACACATGAATTTTTGTTCACTGGGGAGCAAACATTGAGTCTTTAGCAATGGGAAATATAACTTAAAGTTAGATTACTTGGAAATAAATACCAATCTGGCTCCTTACTGACTTGTGACCTTTAGTTCACTGTTAAACCTTCCCTAAACCTTCTGAGCATTAGTTTTTTAGTCTATAAAACTATGATATTTATCTCACAGTTCTATTTTGGCAATTAGACAAATAGCAATTAAATGAATTCTATGAACTCAGTAAGTATTTTTGTTTATTTATTTTTTGCTTTTGTTCTGTATCTAAATAAATATCAGTTTGTTCATCATGAGATAAATTACATGTTGAACTAGAAATATAGGTGGTTGGAAATTGTGAAGCTGACATTTCCCTTGAAATGGCTTGGTGTTTTATAGCATTTAACAGTTTGGTGGTCCTAAGTTTAGGATAAGTTATGTGATAGAATAGAATTTGTTCAGATCACTATTCACAGACTTATCTGGGTAAGTATCTTCATATCACTGTGCCTAAACTTATTCACCTGTAATTCATTCATCAAAAATTTCCATTCAAGTTATAATTTGAAAATCCACTAATGAAGATGGTAATAGTGGGAAGTAAGCACCACCACTTCTCACTGTACTTTCCTCACTTTTTTTTTTCTTAACTTGTAGGAAACTATAGACAATGCCAAGTCAGAGAAGAGAAACATTTCATTAACTAAATTCTTTGAAGTTTCAGATAGAATTTCAGCTGTAGTTTCCATACTCCTGATGAAAGAACACGTGGGAACTGTGACTTTCACGTGTGTGGGTGTG
Organism: Homo sapiens; assembly: GCF_000001405.40. NCBI lineage: Eukaryota > Metazoa > Chordata > Mammalia > Primates > Hominidae > Homo > Homo sapiens. Next base: position 51,302,148 of record NC_000006.12, read on the forward strand.
TGTGTGGTGTGTTTTGCATAACTGCCAGTAGGCAGAAGACTTAGGAAAAACCAGAAGCCATGTATCATTAACAAGAAAAACTTTACTCCGATTATCACTTTGGGTCACACAGCTTCTGGGACTTCTTCCTTCTGAGCCATGAAGGTTGAAGTGAAACTGGCTGATCCCTGAGAGCCATTTTGTGTTCAAGCTTGTTCACTCTGGAAAATAATAAAAGAAAGCCTGGGGACCACAAATTTGTATTTATTATATTTTAGATTTTAACATGAATAAGTGCAATCTTCTAGTTGAACTATTATTTGATTAAATAATTGACAAGTATTTGCTTTGACATACGCATTTCCTGAAATGTTCTATTTTTGATAACAGAGAACCTAGTGAATTAAATTATCTTAAACCCATCCTCCTGCTGTCAGAGGTATGAGTAGATACCTTTATAAATGCTGTATTTAATTGTTGCTTAATAAAATTGTGAAAGTGAGACACTGTATTTCAGAGTTCCTCTTTAAATATTTGCAAGGCTGTATTAAGTAATGCATTAAAGTACATGTATTATAGTATGTGTATATATTTTCATTCCCAGAAAAAGCCATGATTATTAAAGAGGTTTAAAATAATGTGCACTAATTTATTATCACTGGTTATAAAGACTTTGGAAGGGTGCGCTGAACATTATGTTAGCATTGATGTGTCAATCTTTTAGTTGAAGGATGGCACGTCTGAATCCCAGAACAGCCTTAATTAACAGAAAATAATTAGCATCATTTCCCCAGCAGAGAATATGAAGCTTTTTTTTTTTTCCAACAGAATCCATTGATTGATAATTAAGGAGGAGTTAGTTGTAATAAAACTCCCAGTATTGCAATTTCTAATTGGCCTTTCAGGACATTTTACAGTTACAGTTACTTTGTTCCAGGCATTTTCTGCCTTTTGAAGAGTTTTAATAAGAATCTTTCCTCTCCAAAGCCAAGACTCTGCAGGTGATGAAGGAAGAGGAGGTGGCAGCGCATAGGAGTGCATTAATATCAGGTGGGCAGAGCAGCAGCTGGAGAGCTTTTCATTTCCTTTTAAGTTTTTGTGGTCACCATATTTTGTTCCTTCAGGGCTAAACTTGTTCGTGGAACAAGTAGGAGCTGCCTGAGGGTCTCTCTCTGCAGGAAGCATTCTACAATCTGGGGACCCTTTCTGTTGTAGAAGGCCCTTTAATAACTTTTCATTAAGGGATTTATTTTTTCTTTTCTTTTTTTTTTTTAAATAGAGTCTTGCCTTCCTCTATACAATGTACAAATCCCTGATCATCCCTTTAACAATGTAAGAATATGCTTCTTTTCTTGAAGACCTATGTTTCCGCCACTTTCAACACTTCCTTTCTGTCTTAATTTCTAACTTTCTCTGGTCTGCTCTTTTGTATGCAAGGCAAAAAGAGGAACATATTTTATATGCATATTGTAGAAAAAATGAGTAACAGTAAACTGAAGAAGAAAGTAAAAATACATTCTACTGATTATGCTATTGAAATTTTATATTTTGGTGTATTTCCTTCTGGTCATATTTTCTATGTATTTTCTACGTATTTTCTACATAATTGAGTTCAAATTTTTAATGAAACATGAACTTCCAGAAATTTTGTTTCATTATTCTTTAAAGCTAGAAAACTACCAATTTTTTTGACTTAAATGAAGTAGCTGTTTGCTGTTTTGATTTGCTCTTTGATGACTCATTTGGTTGAGTGTAAGAATTCTGTTATTCTTACCAACAAGATGTTTATATTTGATGGGTTTTGTTTACAATATGAGAATGAAATTTCCCTTCCATTTTTTATAAATGTAGTTTTTAATTTAGAAAGATAAATTAGGTCCAGCCTTGTCAACAGAGTGAAACTCCCTGTTTCAAAAAATAAAAAAGATAAGTTAGGTAGATGAGATAAACTAAATAACTAAATTATAGGAAAAAACTGTACAAGCCATGGATCATTGTATTGATTTTTGAAAAGATCATAATCCTCCCATACAGAGTAGCTCAAAAGAAAGAAAAAACTAAATTTAGGCTTTTGATGGTCTGTTTGAAGATATATCTATTCATAAAGTTTCCCATAGATTACAACAGATGTTCAATTTAAAGGAAACAAAAGAATAGGAACTTTTAAAATCAGAAGAAAAATGCACAAAACAGACAAATGTAATAAATATATTCACTCAATACAAGTTATTAAGATTGCATTGCCTTTTATCAACAAATATTAACACACTTTGAGGAAATATTAAATAAAAATAAAATGGAAAATTTCTGTATAATGGGACACATAAGTACAGTAGATGCTTAATATATTTTTTAGGTTATGTAAGGAAAATATAGTTTAACAAAACATTGATTAGAATACATTTGATAGATAAAATATCACAAAAAATTTAAATGTCTACTAAATAAAAAATGCACATGTATTATTTGAATCACAACCAACTACCTATCTCCATTTTTCTCATGTGGATATAAGGTCTCCCTCTTCCCCAACATGAATAAATAGCCGATTACCTCCCTGGAAATATACACAAAAGAACAGAAGGCCATGGTTTGATTTGAGTCAATATTTATTGGAGGATGTTAGTAGTTGCCCTCCAGGACCATAGAGATATCTGAGTAATCTCCTTCTATAATGCTAGCTCTGAGCAACATAGCTTCCTGCTGAATCTACAGGATGAATTAATCACAAAATGTATCCCTATGTAATTGAATGAATCTGCTGACCATCACTATATATAAACTAATCACATTTTAGAGAGGACATCTAACCCCAGATACCAGATCATTGTAGATTCATTTCTATTGACCTATATTTTTGGGTCTTAGTTAACTTCCTATTTTAGTTATTTAGAATTAAAAAAAACTAAAGCCTGAGTATTAGTTTCACCATTAAATTAGCAAGAAGTAAAAAACTTAAAAGTAGAAAAAATGTATAAAGCTTTTTAACATTAGTGTATATGAAAATTTATTTTAAATTATTTTTTAAAAATTACTTATTCAGTATGTGAATACACACACACACACACACACACACACACACCACATTGCAGAACACTATTCAATCTCCCAATATGTGAGTTTAAGCCAACCTGTGGAGAGTTGGCCTGTTAGAACACACAATTCTCAGATCACAGTTGGATATTTCCATATAGTAACCTCTTTCTGTTAGCGAGTGCTAGATCCTACTATCTTGAGTTCTGAATGATCCACAGTATGTGTTGTTTATTTTTCTGTGGTGTCCTCTTTTTTACTAGTTTGTTTCAGTTATGCCAAATATTTTGAACCCATAAGGGCTGACAAAATTTTGGATGTGACAATCCTGGACTTGCCATATATATATATATATATATATATATATATGTTAGGGTTAGATTATACAGTATTAGGAAACCAAAAAGTATACTTCTTTAAACAAGACAGAGTTTTATTTTCTCTCAGATAAAATTCTGGAGGTGTTCAGTTCAAAGGTGATGTGTTGCTCTGTTTTACAAAGTCCATGTAGAACTAGATTTCATTTATCACACCACTTTGCTGTCTCTGAGGTGTGGTATCCATCCTCATGACCCAAGATGATGGTGTCTCATTCTAAGCAGCATGACGGTTAAATGAATGAAGAACAAGGGTCAAACTGTGCACACGAGATAGTTAATTCCCTGAACCTACCAAAGGATACCATTTATTTCTTCTTAGACAAAACTCAGTTCCACAGCCTTATCATGCTGCAAGGGAGCCTGGGAAATGTAACTGTTTAGGGAGCCTTGTGCCAAGAAAAAAGTCTAATATGATGGAAGAAAAGGCAGAGTGAGTAAGTAGGGCAATGAAAGGCTTCAAAGAAACAAAAGAAGAGGCTTGTGTTAGATTAATTTCCCTAGAAGCACACAAGCGGCCAGAGCATATAATCACTATTGAGAGTACTCTCAGGAGAGACAGGTGACAGGTGCGTTGAACAGACAGGGAAAGGGAAGGAACTACAGATGAATGAGGTTTTATTTTATCCTGATCACGAAGGGAGTTCTGGAGCAAGAATGGGTTGCAACACTATGTCCTACCTCAGACAAGGAAAGAGACTTTTAGAATTGCAGTCATTCAATAATCATGGACAACTGCTTATTTCTCTCTCGCTCTCATTAATAACAAATTTATTAGCGTTTCCACGATTGATGATGCTGTAGAGGAGGAGAGGCAGGAAGATTGGGAGACACCCCCTGTGTGTGTGCTACGGGGTGGTTCTTTGTTCTATAGAATCATAGTGCCTGATATCAGAAATTTGTGATCACATACCTCAGTTATTTGATTATATAATGTAGACAAATAATCTATTTAGTATAGCACCTCTACACACTGAACTTCAGTATGAACAAATAAACAACCTTCTATAAGAGTTTTAAATGCTGCTTCTGACAAGAAGATTCTAAAACTACTAGGTGATCCCTTGGGAAAAGTAAATACATCTGGGTATATGGAGTGTTTGGTATCTTTTCTTTTTCCTCCTCCTCTCCCTCTTCCTCCTCCTGCCCTTCTCCTCTTTTTTCTTTCCTTTGTGCTTGTTGTTTTGCCTCATCTTTGATGCCAACTTAAAAGGAAGAACTCAAATGAATTATAACTGTAAGATTGTTTTTTCCTCAAAACAAAATAAAAGAATAGTGCTCTTGTCCATAAGGCCATCAAAAACCAGTAGGAACATTTGGTGCAATCAATCTATTACAAACCAATTTTATAGCTATATAATGAGATCTAATTGCTGCTTTATTAGTCTGGCTAATATTAAAAGTGTCAGTAATTGCTTTGCATTTAAGTTGGTTTTCCAATTTAAATTGCATGTCCAATACATTACCATTAACTTATGTACTGCTTTTATTTAATAGATTTTTCTCTTTCTGGTCTGCATTTATAGAATTTTCCCTTTCTGACTGGCTGAAATGGGAAAAAGAGAGAAATAGGATAAATAAAAATTTATATTATAAATGCTTGCATTTCTGGGTTGCTATAATGTATCTTCAATACTAAAGAATTCATGTGACCTGAGATCTTTATCTGGCTATTACTCCAACTACATGTAAAAGAAAAGTTGAGCAAGTGAAATGTTTTGTCAGAGTATACAAAATATTATTAATAATTGAAATAACTGGATTAGCCATTTCCAATTCATTTCATTCAACCATATTAATTAATAGATCAATGTAATGTCTAATGAAGTAACTCAGTGATTGGCAATTGGGGAAATCAAAGAGATTAGAAGGAATCAAATAGATCATTTATACAATTATTTTAAACTGCTGTAGAAATATGGCCCATGTCTTGCATGCTAATGACCAGGTTCCATGATCACATCCTCTGGAAAAAAAACTTTGTTTTCCAAAAACAATGTATATCTAATTTTTATTAGTCCATTCCACCTTGAGGTAAACTAAATCAGGTTTCTATGGAAATCAGTAGGAGCCAAGTAACTGTGGGAAACATTCTGTATTTTATGGGTGATTTACTAAACCTGAATTTTCACATGAAGGGCTAAAAAAACCAATTTGTATTTCAAGTCAATCTCTCTATCTTCGAGACATATATGATGTTTTTTACATTTTTATAATAACTTTAAAGGGATAACGCTCTTGACAACATTTTTCTCGTACTTGGTACTTAAAATTTCAAAGCTTCTTCATGCTTTATTGCAGTTCACCTTGTCAGTATAGCTACAGTGGCTAGACCATGAGCTCTGGAGTTGGACAGCCTAGATCAACATCCTGGATCCTCTTCCTACCTGTGTGTCCTTGGGTAAGTTACTTAATCATTCTGTGCTTCAATTTCCTCATTTGTAAAATGGGGATAATAATAAAAACTGCTTCTTAGGATTGTTTTGAAGTTTGAATAAAATAAAAACTAAGCACCCTCTCTATAAAAGAAGCTTTTATTAATATTACTATTATCTTAAAACCAATGGTAGCAAATTAAAAATTCATAAGATATTTAAATAATATTTCTGCCAACACATGGCAGAATAGTTCTGATCTAGCATTTGGTGACCATTATAGTTGTACCATGTATTTTGCCAGGTACATAGAAAGACTTTTATGAATACTTCTTGAATGAATGAGTGTTCAGGCCCTAGATAATGTTTGTTAAAAGAAGCCTGGCATACATACTTTCAGATTACCCTGATGCAATAGTCTGTTCAAGTCAGAAGTCATCTTTGACATGTAATCTCATTTTAGTAGCCCTCCCTTCTTATTCCATCACTAAGAATTTTTGATGTGAGCAGAAATTGTTACTCTAATCTAGAAGTTACCAATTCATATATAATATAAAGAGGGAAGGTATAAGACCATAAGAAGGGAAGAGTTCTAAGTTGAAGTAAAACAAATATGTGCCTTCTATAAAAAGAGCAGTTGTTTTGTGGCTCTTACCAATTTTACTGTGAAGAAATTTGAACACAATGTCGCCATGATTTCTAGTGATTCAAGAAAAGCTAGAAATCTGATGAAGCATTAAAATTTCCTCAGTTTTTATTGTGTGGGCCAGAAACCAAAAAAATTAAAATGCGCAAAGAACAAAACAGGCTCTTGTGAGATGTAGGTTTGCAACTTCTGGTTAATTATTTCTGCTCTCCTCTCCAATTCCCAAGCATCTGTCTGTGCAGTACCTGTTTCCTGCCCCACCATCCTCACTCATCATGCTCACTGCATTTACCTCCAGAAGTTCTTCTTACAGCTCCTTTTGCCTCCACATTGCAGCCTGAATGCCTTCTTACCACATTGATTCAGTCACACCATTTCCTTCTTTAAACCCTTGGGTGGCTGTCTATTTTTCTCAGGATGAAGACCAAATCTTCAACATGTTCTACAAGGCCTGCCCACCTGGCCCATGCCCCTCACTCTGCACTCTAGACATGCTGCTTCATTTCCAGCGTATGGGGTACCCTTTTTCTTCCTGTTTCATGTACTTTGCACATGCTAATTCTAAGAACTCTGCTTATTCCCTGTACTGGGTTAAATAATGTCCTCCCTCAAATTTATGTTCATCCAGAAACTGTGAATGTGACCTTATTTGGAAATAAAGTCTTTGCATATATAGTAAAGTTAAAATGAGGTCTTATTGTGTTAGGATTAAGGTCCTAAATCCAATGACTGGTGTCTTTATAGGAAAAGGGATATTTGGACACAAAGACACACACAGGTAGGATCTCATGTGATAATAGAGGCAGAGATTAGAGTTATGTGTCACAAACTAAGGAACATCAAAGAGTGCCTGCAACCACCTGAAGCTAGGAGAGAGACATGGAACAGATTTTTTCTCTAAGCCTTCAAATGGAACCAGCCCTGCTGACATACTGATTTCAGAGTATTGGCCTTTAGAACTGTGAGATAATAAGTTCCTACAGTTTTAATCCTCCAAGTTGTAGCAAATTTTTATGGCAGCCACAGGAATCTCATACCCTCTCCCCATGTGTCCACATCCTTCAATTCTCTGCTCATTTCCTTAGAGAAGCCTTTTTAGATTCTCACTTAGATTATGTGTAGGTTTCATACAATCAGTGAAGCAAAATTGCAGAGTGATATGCAATATATTTATTTACTTGTTTATCTGGGAGAATGTTTGATTACTATTTGTCTCAATGGTTATCAGGTTTTGAACTCCAAAGGGCAGGCAACAATCTTTCTTTTTTTGCCCACCTTTTATTCCCCTGACCATTAAATGAGATGAATGGATGAATAAAATGGATGGCTTTTGATGATTTAAGAAGAATCAAAAAGTATTAATAGTTAATTTCTCAGTTACAGTTTTTTAATTGTTGTTTATCTTTGAACAAGTCACTTCATCTCTCTGGGAATCTGTTTTCTCACTTATGAAGCAAAGCAAGAGGACTAGGTTATTTCTGAGGCTTGGTTCAACTCTAACATTCCATGGGTCTGTGATTCCTTCTGCTAAAAATTCTTCCTGAGACATTGGCCACATGGGTGGGCTCACACACCTGCGGAAAATAGATCAGTTTCAAGAATATTTTATATAATTTTATAGTCACTATTAACATACCATTTACTGTGACTTGAATGTGATGAACAGTAAAAATATGTTTACGTGTTATATTCCCAAAGTCTAGCATTGTTCCTGGTAATTTTAGCCACTCAAAAACATTTGTTGCAATAATTAATTAAGGCAAGGACTAAATGTGTGTTTGGAATGGAGAATCTTTGGAACACCACAGTGTACTCAAATTGTACCATCAAGGTTCTCTCTTGCCCCAAATAGTGGTGACTGAAACCAATATGAGAGTTTAGAAGATCAATATTTTTCATTTTTTTCTTATTCTGGTCTCCTAAATGCCTTTATCATTGAAAAGGCCACAGGGAAAAAAATCAAGAAAAGTTAAGACATAAAACCAGATATCTGAGGTAATTAGATTCATTTCACTTCACTTCCATCATCAGCTGGGTCCTTGGGGTCTGTCAACAAAGAAAATCTAGAAAGAAAATGGAGATTTTTTTAAAAGTTACTTGACTTCATGTAGGATTTGGAAAGCAACCACTTTGAGGCTTTTTCTTTTCTTTTTTTCCCTGCCTGGTCTTGTCCTGAATCTTCATCCAACATGCTGTGATGCTGGTAATTTGTTAAATATCACGCAGATCCTCAGTGCTGAGTGAGGCTTTATATGCTTTATATTTTGCACATGCTGGGTAGTAATTGGGGATTTGTATTTTCCATGGGGAAATTTATCTGAGTAGTGAGGTTTGTTTCTCTTTTATAAAAGGATTGCTTTTTTTTTTTTTCTCATGGCTTGGCTGTTGTGATCTCTGATTATTTTTTTTAAAGGATGACCTATGCCACCCCAGTATGGTGATTATGATTTCTAATGCTGATTATTTATTGCCTCAGGCAAGGGATACCAGGGTCCCACTCTGTAGAAAGAAGCATCTCAGGAACCACTAAGAAGTGAAGTGCTGGCTTTTATATACTCCCAAACTGAAATAATACTTATTCTTTATAATACTGATTAGAAGAAATATTAAATATTTATATAACTATTTGTGTAATGGTCATCCTTCTTGCTGAAATTTTAACTCCTTGAAAGAACTATGGCTTGTTAAGAATCCTATATGTGACCAGATACTTGGAAAAAGAAAGAATCCTTATCTCATTCTTGATTCAAACTTAGGCATTCTTGCCTTGGGTATGGGAGGCTGTCAAAGAGGGGAGGTCTTAGCCCACATTGCCTTCAAAAGCAGAGTCAGAGCTAAAGGCTCATGTGCAGGTGGTTTATTTCAAAACTGGCACCAGGAAGCAGGGGAGAAAAACAGGGAAAGAATAGAATCAGGGAAGGAAAAAAAGCCAATATAAAGATTCAGTATTGAGTTGACAATTCCTGTGGATATCTGGTGCTCATTGCCACTGGGACCTCCTGAGTAGTATCAAACACATTTCACATTTGTCTGCCCAGGTTCAAATGGATAAAGCATTTACCACTTGCTATCATCTGTTGTTGGAGAGTTGTCCCAAGTTTAAGTGTCCTATAAATTAGAATTGTACCATGTGAAATGCCAAGTGGGCTCTAACAAGCATCCACACTGTGGTGTCCAAGTAGCACTCGGACAGGAGTGAGAATCACTCTGTTTGTGCCAGAGATAGACACTGCCAATGTGCATCTGGTAAAAGTTTGTACAGAACCATTGGGGTTGAAAGGAAGTGAGGTAGTGTCCAAGAACTTGCTTGATGACAATAGTAACTCTTTTAATCTAGACAGGTGTCATGTCGACATAGACATAACACCATACATAATCTGTAAGTTAGTACATAAGTCTGTAAGTTAGTTCTCAAGTCTGTATGGTACACATTAAGCTAACCTGCTTCTCTATTCAACAAAAACATCTAACAAATGATTAAGTCAATCTAGTAATCCAGCTTGTTAAGATTGTCTTGTCAGCCAACCATGGGACTGGAATTTCCTAGTTTTATAAATTCCATGGACCCCAAAAGTAGAAAGATGGTGTCCAGTGATGTGCTGATAAATACTTATCAACACTTAAAACCCAGCGACCTAGGAGAAAAATAAATCCTTGATTTCTAGTTTGAAAATTTCTATGGGACAAATATTCCCATCATGGCCAGTTTCAAGCAACTAGTGTGATGTCACTTAATGCAAAGCTGGGAAGAGATGTGCACAATTTGCTCTTGAGAGCTAGGATTAGTCAACCCCAGTGCACCAATGGGGGTGCCATAGGTACACAGTTAATTAGAACAAGAGGTTCTACAGCAAGATCGTTAGGATTTAGCATCTGAATACCAAAGTTTAAATTCTAACCCTATTACTTGTACAACTTTGGTAAATTTCCTACCTCCTCTATGCCACAATTTTTCTTCTCTAAAATGAGCATAATGAAAGTACCATCTTATAGGGTTTCTGTGAAAATTGAGATCATTCATGCAAAGCATTACCCATTTATTATATGGTATCTGGCATATGATAAGTACAGGAGGGTGGGCCAGGTGGTGAAAGAGGCAGTGCTGGGGCATATATGAGTTGGGAAGTAATAAAAGGAGTTTAACTGAAATTTTGTACTTTAAAATATGTACAAAAAGCAATTGTGAATAGCTTAGGAATATTCAAACTCTGCTCATCCATTCTACCTGCACTGGACATATCATAATATCAATAATTTGTTTTAAAAGATGATTCTTATAAAGGAGCAAATAAAGTTCTTAGTCAATTGATAGGAATATTAATAGTAGAGAATATGATATAATCAAATCAAAATATAATTTTTCTATGAGCCATCATCTTCAAGTGGCATGGATATTATTTTGTTATGAGGAAATTTAGAAAGGATTTTAGGATGTGTTAGCAAAATTTTGTCAAGAAAACAGAATAAAGAAAGAAAGCAAAAATAAAAAAGCCTATTTAGTAGTAAAACTATTTGGTGGCCACATTTCCATTTAAACAGTGGATTTACTAATTTTAACATGTATAGTTATTAATATTTTTCTAAGAATCCTTAATACAGATTAAGAGCCTAGCACTTACCACCTGTTTTACTATGTGAACTTGAATTAATGAGATTATATTTTCTTCAAAATGTTCTTCTCTATTGAAATTTTCTTGTAATTCAGAATGGCCTCACCATACCCTAGTGCTTCTAATTAGGTCAAATTAATGAGGTCTTACTATGGTATATGTCAAAAAAGGGATAATAACATCGATTCTTATAATTGAGTAATCATTTTACAAAAATGACAGCCCTAACAGTCTATTATCTCTGTCATATAAACTTGGAACCCCAATTCAATGTCTGATTTTTCCCTCACCCTCCACATTTAATCTCTATAACCAATTCTTTTGATATTAAATATTACTTGCCCTATAAGCTTGTTGTAAGTGTTAAGCAAAAAATACATATCAGGTTTTAGAACAATGCCTGACCCATTGTAAGCTAATTTGCTCTTTATTTGTCTACCTCATCTATCTATCCATCCATCCATCCATCCATCCATCATCCATCCATTCATCCATCTCTGTTATTATAATTCCACCATTATAATGCCTCTTGCATGCAGCTCTCTATTTGTGCTTTCAAAGAGTTTCAGCCCCTCACTTTTCAGTCTGAAGTACTGCATGAACCTTACAACTTACACACCTGGCTACAATTCTTCTCCTACTCCAGACTTTGAGTGAAATATAAGAATTCACCATTTTCTGCAATCTAACCCCAAACTGACATTTTGTCTCATCTCCCATGATGTAACTTGTCAACTAATTCTCAAGATCATTACTTTCAGCTTTTGTAATTTTTTTTTCTCTGAGTGGTTTTAACATGACACCATAAAAAAAAAGATACAGGAAACGTACAGATTAACCAGAGAGGGAGAAAATAAAGATGAAAGAAACAGTAAAGAATGCGGCATTTTTAGTCCTTAAAGTTCACTTTGCTGAATGGTTGTGAAATATTGAGGGGAATCTAATATCTATGGGAACCAATTTCTTTTGGTTGAATCTTTTTTCAAGACATGAAGCATGATGCACATTAGGAGAAGAAAAGCAAACTTGTGCACTGATTGGAGCAAGGGCCTGGAAGTCCAAATGCCAGACTTCCCTGCCTCATCTGCTCCAAATGCAGAGAAGGAGACTGGAAAAATGAGTTGCCATCAGTTGAAAATACTTTGGCTATATTTGATAATCAAATGTAAACTTATTCAGTCCATTTACTTACCCAAAAATGAAGACTTAGCAAAGATTAAAAAGGATGCCTAATTAAAAAAAAAAAAAAAAAGATTGAGTGTTGCTTTGAGTCATTCTTCACCTGAAAGCATTGCATTCCAATATTCTGGAAGTGGTATAGATTTCAATATTGTACCATATAAGAAAGTAAGCCAGATTATCATTACTCTATATAAGGTAAACAAACCTTCTGATATTCTCAACCGAGCAAGTTACTTCAATATTTGAAAGAGAATTGGAGTGACCTTACTCCTTGTTATGTACATTCTATATAGATAATTATATCTTATAAAAATAATGTTGAATATGCCTAAATTTTGAGGCAGGCTGAGAAATTTAGTGAATGCACTTCAGTGCTTAGAAATTCTTGAGTAGAGTAAAAATAATGTTATGAAGGCACTAACAAACAACTATATATATATAGACCAATTTCTTAGTCTATATATGTGTATGTGTGTATATATGCCTATATGTGTATGTGTGTATGTGTGTCTATGTATGTGTGTGTACACATATGCACACACATACACACATACCCATATACACATATATAGACTAAGAAATTGGAGAAACTGACAGGATTATTTAGATTCATAGGAATTTACATATTGCAGTAGGTTTTTTGGTTTTCTGAGAGAAAAAAAATGTTTCTTTTATTCATGTATGGAGGAGCATTTTGTGTTTTGGTAGCAGGCACTTGGCATTTGGTTAGTCCCAGTTTCTGCTCCAGAGCAAAACCATATTGAGTAAGATGACCCTTCTACCTTAAAGGTTACTATTGCTTAACAGATTGCAGATTTTTAACCTGGGGCCACAGCATGAGTTGGAAGAAGGATTTCGGAACCCGTGCCCAACAATACAATCAGTTCCATTATGTGACTTGTTTCATGTTACATTCATGCTTTATTTAGTCCTGCTTCTGACACATTTGTTTTAAAGGGGTTTGTGTGTTTGCTTGGTTTATTCCCTTTCAGAGGATATGTATGTTTCTGAGAAATACTTGGTTTTCATCCTCACTTTTGAAAACATAGATCAATTTGGAGAAGTTTGTTTTGTGGATATCAACATAGTATAATAGTGACTTTGAATAGCTGAACTCCAAATACATAGAGCTCATAATATTTAAAAAACTAAGAGCCTAAAGAGCCATTCTCACTTTAGGAAAGGATGTAGGTGTTTTGGGATAAGGATGGAACTGACATAATTGACCAAGAGAGTTTTGCTCATAAGTCTATGCGAGTGCTTATGTCACGATATTAAATTATCTACTTATGTGCCTGTCTCCCACATCTGACTATGAGCTCCTTCCCAGCAGAATCCATTTATTATTCATCTTTGTATCTTGAGGCCTGAGGATATAGGACCTCACCTGGTACATAGTGGGTCCTCAATAAATGCGTGACAGGATGAGATAAATTTAAATGACTTGACCATTCCTTTGAGTTCTCAGCAGTATGCAGCAGATGTGTTCACAGGTGGAATCCTTTCCTATTTAACAATATCCACCCCAGTGTGTTATAGCAAGAATATTATCCCTAAGCAAGGCTCCCTTTTATAGGCATTAAAAGGTGAATCCCAAGCCCTTGAACATAAAAAACCGTGCAGAAGCTAAAGCCCATAGTGTTATAAGAACAGGGTATGTGGCCTCCTAGAAAATGCCACCATTGTCTTGCCAGGAACATAAGCTAGGAACGAAGTGAGGCAGTCTTACAACAAGGAACACCTAATCCACATCTAGTGTAAGAGATGATCTGGGGCTACTTGTGTGGGTGCCTGGAAGTTATTTGAGAAGTAACTATTTATTTACTCATTCATTGAACAAATGAGTACAAATGAGTCCATACTGGGTACTAGGCATTGTATCAGGAACTGGAAAAAATAAAGAAAAATAAAGATGTGGCCCCTGCCCTTAGGAGGTCCACAGTTCAGTACAAAACATAATAATACTTTGGTTTCACCAATGTTGTAAAATAATATTAATTAATGTTATTGTTAACACAAATTGGGCATGACACATAATGTGCATGGAGTTTGCATCAGACTTTTAAACATTCAGTGTTTGTGCTTGTTTTGCTCTTTTATTTATTTTGTTTATGATCTTTTATTTTGTTTATGCTCTTGTTTATGCTCTTTTATTCAGTATCTATGATGCACTTGGCACTATGGGTATATAAATGAAGATGTGATATCTTCCTGCAAGCACTTATGATGCAGCAGTATTGCTAGAGGAACACACCCAAGTATGCCTAATGCCAATATGGAAAGTTGTCTGAGTACAGAGGCTGTCAAAAGACACAAGGAATGAGACTTTCTAAAATACTATGGACCAAGTACTTCGACTGGTTCAATGTGCTTCCTAAACAAAGACAAAAATAATTTTTCGTTCAAAAGATGCTACATTTGGGAAGAGAAAACTTTTTCAACATTATCAGTCACTGGCTGTATGATCTTGGATAAAATCTCCTGAGCCTCAAGTTTTTTTCACTTGAGCTAGAGAAGCTCTAAGACATCTTGGAATTCTAATAATAGTCAAATGTATTAGTCAGGGTTCTCCAGAGAAACAGAAGCAATAGGATATATATAGATATAGAAGAGAGGGTTTATGATGGGAATTGGCTCATAGTGTGCCACCTGCAAGCTGAAGAGGCCAGAAAGTTGGTGGGGTAATTCAGCCTGAGCACAAAGGCCTGAAAATCAGGGGAGCCACAGGTTTAAGTCCCAGAGTTCCATGGCCCAAGAACCAGAAATTCTGATGTCCACAGGCAGGAGGAGATGGATGCACCATCTCCAGAAGACAGTGAATTTACCCTTCCTCTGACTTTTTGTTATGTCAAGGCCCTGTTCTACAGATTAGATAATGCTGGCACACATGGGTGCGGGCAGATCTTTACTCGGTCTACTGATTCAAATGCCAACCTCTTCCAAAAACATCCTTACAGACACACCCAGAAATAATGTTTTACCAACTCTGTGGCCAGTCAAGTTGATACATAAAATTAACCATCTCAGCTACTATAAAGGTACACACCATAAAATAACTCTAGCACCATACAGAACAAAACACAATCAAATCTTAGAGTGAAGCTCAAATGCTGTAGTGAAGCCAGACCCAGAATCTGAGTACATTTCTGATGTAAGCCAAGTTGAACTTTAAATTTAAAAAGAACAATTCAAGTGTATTACTCTTTGCAATTCCCCAATAACATGCCATTCAGAGAAAACATACGTAATGTTAGGATATCACATTTTGCAAATTTTCTTCAGATATGAATCAACATTTAATGATTTCCATTGGGAAGTTTTAGAAAGCATGAGAACATGGATGTTACTAAATTGTGTGGGGAATCACATTTTGTACACACATGCTCTCTTATCTCTTTTATAGTCATAACCTGGTGAACTGTTAGTGTCATGCATTAATCTGTAGGTAACTGACCTACTGGGTAAAGGCAGTCAGCAGTGCCAAGCCTGGGGCATGTTTCTTTCCTGATAATTGTCTGTTACCCTCTTGTCCGCTCCATGTAGTACGGGGTTTTTTTTCCCTTTGCTTTCAGCAACAAAGGTTTGGTGTATTACTTAGTACAAAGTTTGAATGTTCTAAATAACCTCTGATTTATTGAACCCCACCTCTCAAATACTGGGTCCTTATTTTGCTATCTGGAGGCTTCTCGGATTACTATCATCCACTGAAAAAAATGCTTAGTCTACTCTCAGCCTTTCTACTTTAAACCTTCTCTACCCTTCACCTCAAAGAATAAGAAAAAAAGTAGTAAATTATTATTTTAGCAAGATATATGAAAATATTTCCCACATTTTCCTGTCCTAACAACGCTAACTTAGCTGGTAAGTGTGTCTCAGAGGACACTGAGGTTGGTTGGGTAGTATCTGCACTTGATGAAACTCTGCTTACTTGCGTTTCTTTAGTTTGTTGCTCCGGAATTTTGCCAAAGATTAAGGTAAATTTACTACTTTCACACTCCAGAATAATATTTAACTTCTTTGTGAAAATTGGGTCAATATATGGCCATTTCAAGGTTATGAATATCACAGTTATCATATAGTTTTTATATGATTCACAAATATTTTTAGGCATTGAAATAAAAATGATGGTGTTTGGACATTCTGTCCTTAGACTCTAAATGTTAGAGGGTGAGTGTGAAAAATGCCTGTAGTTGATAATTGGCAAATTTAGTGCTTGACTCTGGGCATCTTTCATCATTCTGAGCCTGGGCCCTCATTTTCTTCCTCTCCTTTACTCACTGCCCTCCCTTCTCACCTCCCACTCCGTTGTGCATGTGTCTGATGAAAGTTACTCACCTTGTAAATTTCTGCTTAAGCATCTTCTTTTCATTTATTACAAGGATAAGTTGCTCAATCCACCACATGTGCTCTGTTATGTGCTACATATTGACAGCATAGGATGCTTAACATCTTTTCAGCCCAGTTTGTGTATACGTCTAATGCCTCAGCCCACTGCCAAGCTCGCAATGTGCGTGAACTTGATGAAGTCAGCAAATTGTGTCTTCCTAAACTCTGTTTTCTCTACGAAGAGCTACAGTGTCTAACACATAGGGACAATAAAACTTATTGAAAGAAATAGAGTTCAGCCTCAACTTTCACGCCTCAAAGATTCAGAAAATATTGTGATATACATGCTGCTTGTTCCTTCTTTCTCTTTGCCTTAATATAGAAGTAACATAACTTTCTAAAGGTGTTGGAGAGATAAATTATATAATTTCTGATATCTGACAATAAATTAATGAGGTTGTATTTTAAACAATGGCAGGATATTTGCTCAAATGAACATCGTCTTCTTCCACGCAGTCATCTTGGAAGGTTAAATATTTAGCATGAAATTGTTGCCATTGCTCAAAACTACAGTTTCAGAACTTCTTTGCAAAATTGCTTTTCCAGTCCTTTTTGAATATCCTCCACATGGCAAATCTTTATTTTTTAAGGTTGAATTAGATTTCTTAAAACAGCCAAAACTTTTTGGGAGCCAAGGTTGGCAGAAATGAATGCTTAAACTGTATAATGTTATTGTTAGCTATTTTGGTACACTATGCCTCAGGAGAATGGTGCCTTATATAATTGTAAATTGCTTCCATTGGGAGAATAATGAGAATAATAATGCAACAGCTGGCCTGCTTCCTCTCATCCTCAGAGTTCCACCTTGTGTGGTCTGCTGTGCGTTGACCTATTTCTACACAGTTAATAAACGATTTATTTTCTAGTTTTTTTTTAATAATTAGAATGTACACACACACACACACACACACACACACACACACACACAGCCTCTCCAGGTCTTATTTGCCTAAGTCTGCTTTTCATAATGTCCAGTATAAAATACTAGAAAGAGCCTTGTTCTTATAAGTCATGAGGGTGGACTCTGGAACCAGCTTAGCCAGTTACAAGCTGTGAGCCTTTGGACAAGTGACTGAGTCTCATTCTCCCTAACTGTAGAATATACATCGTTATATCAGGACTACAACCCTCAGAGAAAGGTTGGAGGGTTATATGAGAAAGTGAATGTGAAGGTACTTCCTTTTAGTCACCCACTTTACTACACACATTATTCCAACAGAGTGTCTCTAGCCATATATGGCACTAGGTTTGTTTGTTTGTTTGTTTGTTTGTTTGTTTGTTTTGCTTCTCTCCCTCCCCTGACAAAGAGTTTGAACTCCTTAAGATAAAGAATCATGGTAGACTTGTATCAGTATTCCCTATTCAGATTTCGGCACCTAGTAAGCACTCAATAAGTGAGTTTTGTACATAAATTTATAAATGTATTAAGTCTTGATTTCTGTGGAATAAAAATTTCACTTCCAGGGAAATATGCCCATTACCACTTTGCCATTATTCTTAGGAACTTTAACATTTGTGGGAGAGATGCTATTTGTCCCACAGTGTCCTTTCTTTCTTCCTTCCCTTTAGTAATAGAAACCTATTAGATTTAGCAAAGCATGAGTCCAGTCAACTGCAGACTATTAAGTGATAGTTGGGACCATATCACTATGATATGGTTAGTGACGATTGAGCAGAAGTGACATGTTCAATGCCCTTAAAATAAAGTAGCTTTCCCCCGGATAGGGTAATGTTGAACCAGCTTTGAGCATGTGGATGAGGGCTACATCCAGCTGCTGCAGTAATAAGACAGGGTCCCTGAATCTCTGAATGACCTCATGGAGCGCAGCAATCTACCTCCCTAAACTTGCTACCTACATCTGGGCCGTTATGAGAGAGAGAAATAGATTTGCATCTTACCAAAGCCACTGTGTTTTGTGGTATTTCTTATTACAGTAGCATAAATTATACTGTGATAAATATTTTTAGATAGTATAAAATCCCTTTGTAGATTTCATCCAATTCATGGCCATCTGTTCTTTTGCCTTCTTCCTTTCATCATTCTTTCCCTCGCTGCACCTTAGATGCCCTTTGTCTTAGTCTCCCCCTTATTCTTGTTGACAATGGTAAGCACATCAGACTCCAAGGCCTTGTCTTCAGAATCTTATCTATAACCACAGAATTTGTTTTACTGCATCTAACCATCTGATTTATTGACACTGCTAATTTCTTCTTATCAATTCTTCTGCTGATTCTCACTAACTTCCTTACCTAGATAAAATCTCATGTTCATCTCTAAAATCACTTCCTTATAGATACTTTTGCCCAGGAAAGCTGAAATTATGATGCTTCCCAACACCCCACATCCTGTACTCATGCAGCTGGACATTGCTGGAGGAAAGCACAAGACAAAAAGACTATGCTTATGCTTTTTCATATCCCCCCTTTCCCTTCCTCAGCTCTCTTAACCTCCATGCCACATCCCTTAGATAAAAACATTTCTTCTAAATTCATTAAAAAAAGGAAACCAACAGATCACATATCTGTTCTCCTTTGAAGCTACCAATCTGTGCATGTCTCTACTCAAATGCCACTCCTTGCTTTGCTTACTACAAATAAGGTGTGCCTGCATCCATCAAAGGCCAACCCCATTCTGGTGCTTAGAGTCCCACCCCATCTTACAGTCTCAGGGCCTGTCTTCTAGTAATCATTATCAGTTTCTCTCCCACTCTACTGTATTTTATCTATCAGCAAACGAGTTTGCCGTTTTATCTCTGATATTTTGTGGCTGTGTCCCCACCCAAAACTCATCTTGAATTCCCACATGTTGGGGGAGGAACCCAGTGGGAGGTAATTGAATCATGGGAGCAGGTCTTCCCTGTGCTGTTCTGGCGATAGTGAATAAGTCTCATGAGATCGGATGCTTTTATAAGGGTGAGTTACCCTGCACAAGCTCTCTCTTTGCCTGCTGCCATCCATGTAAGACATGACTTGCTCCTTGCCTTCTGCCATGATTGTGAGGCCTCCTCAGCCACTTGGACTTTTAAGTCCATTAAACCTCTTTCTTTTGTAAATTGCCCAGTCTTTGGTATGTCTTTATCAGCAGCTTGAAAATGGACTAATACAATCTCCAACTTAAAAAAAAAAAACTAGATGTCTACATCTCCTCCCAATTACCTCTCATTCCTTTACTTTTCATTCACTACAAAACTTAGTGAGGAAATTGTCTATGTCACCACACACATTTCCTTACATGATATTTTCTTCTCAATCCACTCAAATTGGGTTTCTTTCACTACATGCCCATTGAGGCTGAGCATATTCATCAGAGTCATGAATCACATCACTGTTGCCAAATCCAATAGCTTTGCTTTTGGTTTTACTCCATCCCAGCAGCTTTCTAATTAATTAACATTCCTTCTTTTTTGATGCCTTTTATTTTCTTTGATTCTGTAACTCAATACTTTCCTAATTGTGCTCTTTTTTCATGAGCTACTTCATTTTTTAATGTTTTTTAAATTTTCTATTTCCATAGGTTTTTGAGGAACAGGTGGTATTTGGTTACTTGAGCAAGTTCTTTAGAGGTGATTTGTGAGATTTTGGTACACTCATCACCTGAGCAGTATACTCTGAACCTTGCGGCTACTGCATTTTTAACTCCTTTGCTGCTTCCTCCTCCTATCCTCACCTTCTAAATATTGGCATACTCTAGGTTGTGACTTGAGCTTTAATTTTTCCAAATTCTTTAGGAATCTTCTCTTTTTGTCCACTGTTATATCCCCAATACCTAAAACAGTATATGTCACATAGTAGGACCTCAGTTAATATTTTTAAAGTGAATACATATACATTATCTAGCTTCTTGGGAAAGTGACAATAAATAATGTCCCTCTCTTTTGCTCCACACATCCATTTTGACATGTTTCTGGACTTTGGTCTACTTATGTCTTCCTCATGTGTTGGAATTTAATCATTGCTCCCTGAGTAGGATGACTCAGCAACTGTTTTTACATGAGCTTATGGAATTGTGCATACAATAAAATAAACTTAATAAACTATGCACACATAGACAAAAACAATGTAGTGTTAAACAATTACCATGTGAATTTGCTTTAACTAGACAACTAATATAGATAACTCAGTTTTAATCTTATTTCCCTTAGCACAGTATTTTTTCTTTTATAACTTGAATTATACAAGCAACAATTCTAATTATAAGGTTCCTCTAAAAGAACTGTAAATTCCAGTTTGCATTTTACTATGTTGTGCTACACCCTTTCTGTCTTTACAAAATGGAGAAAGCGTTTTGTTTGCAGCATGCTTTGAGGTCAGGAATGAAAGATCTGGTAAGTCCATGGCATTATGAGTACAATGTGTTTAAAGTGGCCTAAGCCATTTGCACAGGAAAATAACACGTTCTAATCCATTTAAGGGCCTTTGTAAGTAGTCAGGTCTCCAAGCTTTAATCCACTTCATTATACCTAGGTAGTGAAGCATAGAGGTTTTTAGATTCCTACAATTACTGGCTGATAAGGTATGGTGACTACCAAAGATGCATTAGGCAATGATATTCTAAAGAAAGCACTTACAGCCTGTGACCACATGACACAGAGAGGTTTGGGTTGGGCTGGGTGTATGCTGAGGTAGCACATCTTCTTATATAACCTGGTCTAAAATTGCCTAAAATATATCTTAGACCAAGCTACCTGGTAAGGGTTTGTTATCACCATCCTCTTTGAGAGCCAGTGTCAGGCATTACTGATGCCTCCAGAAACTCAGGCCATAAATTGAGTATTCCTAGGTGTTAATCACACATCTAGTAAGCTGTTTTTTTCTCACATTTATAACCCCCAAATAATTGCACCAAATATTTTATGTCTCAGGCATAGCTCCCTGGTTTCTAGCATTCATTCTTATATGCTCTAGCTAATTAAAAAATAAAGCCCTGCTGATGACATCCTGCCACAAGAGATGAATTGTTTAGTGTCTGATGACTAAATTGACACTGTAGTCAGCAACTCCACAGTAACAGTCCCACCTGGATGCATCAGTAGTACAGATATGCAATGAAACAAACTCAGTCCCTCTATGTTCAACACTTTCCTGAACTTTCCATCTAAATAATAGACTGTGATTTTCTTTTATAAACTTCAAACCAAACAGGAAAACTTCGGATTTAGCTAATCTATTATGGGCCAATAATATTATCCTTTTGCAAAAAAATCTATCAAGAAAAATATAAGATTGTTTACTGGTCTTCTTGACATTTTCCTTTGTGTTTTACTTTGTGAAATAATTTGTTATAGCCTAATCTGCATGACATCAGTGGTCAGTATAGACCCCCTGGCTATGTTTTTTAAGAAATAAATATTTGAGGGTGTTCATTAAAACTTTATTTAGTAGTCAAATATGTTATCCAATATTTATTAGCTGGTTTTTTTCCCTCATATATCATGAAATATTACTCATTATTTAACTATCAGAGTTTACTAAAATTAGGATTAAATTTCTCCATGTCTTGGAATCTGAGGAAAGAATGAGTATGTTCTGTACTATATCACAAATAGAAATTTATAAGACCTTTTGAATTGTTTTGCTGATTTGGTATCTCTTATAATTCAACATTTCTGATTCTGAAGTTTGCATTTGTTCATATTTTCCATCTCTTAAGTGTTTTCTTATCAAAACAGGTACATAAATAAGATTGTAGTACAGGCGCAGTGGCTCACGCCTGTAATCCCAGCACTTTGGAAGGCTAAGGTGGGCAGATCACGAAGTCAGGAGTTCGAGACCAGCCTTGCCAATATGGTGAAACCCCATCTCTACTAAAAATATATTTTAAAAATTAGCTGGGAGTGGTTGCACGTGCCTGTAGTCCCAGCTACTCTAGAGGCTGAGTCAGGAGAATCCCTTGAACCCAGAAGGCAGAGGTTGCAGTGAGCAGAGATCGTGCCACTGCACTCCAGCCTGGGTGACAGAGTGAGACTCCGTCTCAAAAATAAATAAATAAATAAATAAATAAATAAATAAATAAATAAATAAATAAAATTGTAAGTAAATAATATTGCTAATTATCATGTGGTTGTCTATTGGTTACCCTGGGCTTCAGAATGTCACTTCTTGGGAGGTAAACAATGTTCAATTTTATCTCCTCTATCTTATGTATTTGAATGTAATGCAATACAACATGATGCACACTTTTTATTAAATCAAACTAACTTTCCTCCTCTCTATACATGCATGTAATATGAACACTCTTAAAGATTTTGTTGCTACAAAAGCTGCTCAGGCATAGTCACCTAGGATGTTCAAGTCCTCAGGATTGAGGGCAAAGGGGATTTCAGGTAAGAGTATAAGGAATACAACAAAGTGTTTTTTGTTTCATTTAGTGGGTTTCTATTGGTGTTTTTGAAATCCTTTCAGCAAAGGCTCCAGCCTGGTGAAGCTGAATTTGAAAGTTTTTTCTGGTTTTCACCTATACCTCCTAGAAGCTGATAACCCACATAGGAGAGATTTTCTCAGCTCTTAAAACTTCCCATCGTTGCTCTTGGGGCATCTCATCCTTGTAAGGCAAGTGCACTCTTACATGTAAAAACGTAAATGGGTAGTGCAATCGGATATGTTAGTATTCCACTCCATCTTTAGGAGTCTCCTGTCTACTCCACCACACTTTTCAAGGCTCTCATATATACCTATATTTCCCATGTTTGTCAGGAGCCTCCCTAGAGACAAAGTTAATGTGAGAAATACCATTTGCTCCAGAGTCCCTATTTCTCATTCCTACCAAAATGTCTGCTTACCATTAAGAAAATTCATAATCACATCCAAGCACATGTTAAGAAGTTCTATGCAGTGATACTCCTTCTCCTCCTCCTGATAATGTACAGATTAACAAGGACCTTATGGAGGCAATGATGGAAGATTCACATAACCTGGTATCTGGTAAAAGAAACCTATTTGATCAGTCCAGTTTCATGGTAGCTCTCGTTGCACACCATGAGGGAATGAGATAACACAGTTTAAAATCTGGCCTGTGAAAAGTCACTATTCTGTCCTGAATAAGTGCCATTAAAAGAGAGATGGCTTATGTGTTATTAAAAATAAGTTAATGTGTTCTTTTCTTGGTGAATTTGAAAAATATCTGAAAATACACACATTTCTGGTTGTGGATGTGTAATTGTAAATCTGCTATTAAAAGCAGGTTGACATCTAGAAATGTTAAAAATATCGGTATTATTAAGACCTCCCAAAATTATTCCTCTTCAAATTATATACATATATATAGTGTATATATTGTTATACATACATATATATAGTGTATATATTGTTAAATGTACATATATAACCTAAAGTGGAATATATAAAACCTACAATGATTTTTTTCTCAAACTTTAATGCTCCATCAAATCACTTGGGGATCTTGTTAAAATTACAATTCTAATTCAGTTAGTGTGAGATGGAGTCTGAAATTGTCTATTTCTGGCAATCTCCTAGGTGATAAATATGAGGTTGGTCTAATTTATTTAATCAGACTAATCAATTTATTTAGTTGATTAAATTATAGTTATTTATACAATGAAATGCTATACAGAAATGGAAATAAACAAATGACAGTTACCTACAAAAATATGGATAAACTTGTGAACAGTATTGAGTATATAAAGTAAAACAAAAGAATATATATATGTGTGTATGTGTATGTGTGTGTATACACATAAAATTTCACCTAGATAAAATTTTAAAACAGCTAACATATTTTTAGAGAGGCCTACATCAGTAGTAAAACTATGGCGAAAGTGAAAAAGCCACCTCTATTTAAAAGATCACCTTCATTTAAAGTGAAAGGGTTGTAATGTTATAGAAGGGGGAACCTGGGGGATCCTGGAGGAATGACCTGAGTAGTGGTTATATTGGTAGTTATATGAATCATTGCTTTGAAAATATTAATCTACTGTTAATTTATGTTTTATGTCATAAAACATAAAGGTTGCAAAAATATAAGAGAATAATAAAGCACATTTCTAGCAGACCTATTTTATTGTGATTTTTTCTTTGTTAATAACTGAAGAATTATTCTGATGAAAATTACTTTGATGTCCACAGAAAGTTATTTCTGAAACAAATAGAAATTCAGTCTAGTGTCTCATGGCATAGTAGCTTTAAGATGGAATATTTATGGATGAACAAACTTATCTGTAACATTTTACTATATGGTATATGTTGTTTGATATTGACGGATTTCAATACTTTTCCCTATGTAATGATATTCTTGGTTAAAAAAACCAGGGAATTGGAGTACAATTTACATACCATGGTAGATGTATATTTGCCTACATTGCTTCTCTTCTGTTTATGAGCCGTGCTGTTCTGTTAGGTGGCTCTAATGGGACTGTCACTCACATGCCAGCCTGCCTTTAATACCAAAGAGGTCATATGATCCAGGCCTGGCCAACCATGGTACCCTACATTTCTGTCCACAATGATAAATCCCAAAGCAGGCCTAGCCCTTCTGTTAGATGTGCTATAAAGGTGCTGGAAGTGAAGGGTTCCTTCTAAGTCTCAGGGAGAAATTTTTTGGGGACCATGGAAGGAAGAATACCTAGTAACCATTTTTCTTCTACTTGGTAAGAAGGGGTTTGAAAAGGTAACAAATAAAACAATAAAAATGTAACAATAAAAAACACAAAGTGTTTGGAAAAAGGATGACAAAATTTTTGGGGCACCTGGATCAAATGGATGAGCCAATATATTATTGTTGGTTTTTGTTTTGTGTTATTGCCTGAGCTATTTTGAATTCAGTTCCTAATACTACTGAAAGTCCTGGTTAATTTATAAACACAGTCTAATATAATTCCAGCATTCACAGTCTAAACTTGCTAATTTCTTTGTGTACATTGTCCTTTTAATCAATTTTTTGGAAAAATAAAATTAATTCATAATTAATTACTTATAATTAATTGCTAATGAAGGACCTAAAATGTAAAGGATAACACATTTATTGATAACTGATTACCGTAAAACTTTGCTGTATTTCTCTGTTTACAGGGATTGCTTTCTTAAGGTGAATATAGAATTGGACAGAGACTAAAATTAAAAAAAAGTTTGCTGCCAAATGAAATGAGGTGATGTCCTGGTCAGGTTTCCATCTTCCACTCTCATTCCATAAATGTTGAAATTTTGACTCTCAGTTTCACAGCCTCGCTAAAAGGAAATGACACAGGAAATGTATACGCTTAGTTCATGGGTGAAATCTAAATAAGAGTATTAATGTCTAGAGGTTTCAGCCATACTGGGAGGAAAGTTTCACCAAAAAGGGCTGTAAAGCGGTGGCTACACATTGAATCACCTAAGGAGCTTTATAAAGCTACTGTTAACTGGTCTGGGATATGGCTAAGGTATCAGGATTTTAAAAATATCCTCAAAGCGATTCTACTGTGCAGCCAAATTTAAGAAATGTGGCATAAAGGAGCTACTGAGCCTATACAATTCCTTAGCCTCAGTTCCAACTCAGAGGTTTTCCATGGTCCCAACTCATAGGTTTTGAAGGACTTGGACTAGTTAGTGCCAGTGAAGGTGGTATATGGAGGAGCAGAGAGCCCTGTCTTCTGGGAGGATCTGGGGGTTATTTTCAGATTGGACTATACCACAGTGCCCCTGGGCTACTTACTGTGCCTCACCTAAACCTTGCTCCTTGCAAGGTTCCAGGCGACTTCTCAGCTGAATAACAGGAAAGCACTCCTAGGTCTACAGCTTGCATCTGAAATCATTCTCCATATATTTCAACTGCTTTCTGCCAGAGCTTCCTCTTCCTCTCTCCTCATTAGAACAACAACAGCGAAAACAACAAAAACGCAAAAGCAGAAAGCAAGAAAAAACTGCAATGAAATGTTCTTAACCAAAGATTCAGGAACCCCAGTGGGTACACATGATCATTTTGGAGTAAGCAAAGCTCACCTGTAAAGATTTTTTTTAAAATACCACCCTGTCTCCTTTCCTCTTTACCTAATCTCTATTGCAGGGGTGTCCAATTTTTGGCTTCTCTGGGCCACATTGGAAGAAGAAGAATTGTCTTGGGCCACACATAAAATACACTAACACTAATGATAGGTGATGAGCTAAAAAAAAAAAAAAATTCAAAAGAATCTTACAATGTTTTAAGAAAGTTTAAAAATTTGTGTTGGGCTGCATTCAAAGCCGTCATGGGCCACATGTAGCTCTCAGGCTGTGGGATGGACAAGCTTAATCTATTGCTTCAAACTCAGGTAAATTTCACAGGTAATCCTGATAAGCATATCCGGTATAATAATTCATTGCTAGGTTGGACCCTGGATAGGTTTCAAGAAGTCCATGGATTGTTTCCTCCTGCAAATGATAAGCAACACTTTATGCTTGTGACTTTGGTTGGTATACAGAAATAGATCATTAAAAAAAATTATTAATCGGGCCTGTAAGTTCTCTCCTATTTAAAATCACTTCGGTACATTGAAAGTATAAATCCTTACTGGAAGATATTCACTTTTCTCATAAAAAGACTGTTATTCTCCTAGCTGTTATTAATAAGACTTTCTAACAAGACTTTCTAGCTAGATGAAACTTGAGAGTTACCTTTTTGAAAAGATTACTTTAGTTCAGTTATTAAACACTAATTAATACTAACCATTAGTCACACAATTTTCTCTGGTCCTGGGAAGATGAGGCTAACATGCTCTTTAGGATATGTTTACTACTGTGAGAGAATTGTAAGTTTACTTCAGTGTAACCATAATTCCTTCACTGTTTTATTAGAATCTCTAGTTTTTTAATTATAAAAAAGTGTACTAGTGAAATAATTTATAGTTCATATAGTTCGGCTATTTGTCTCTCTCCTCCGCCCCCCAAATCTCATGCTGAAATTTGATCTGCAATGTTGGAGGAGGGGCCTAGTGGGAGGTGTTTGGGTCGTGGGTGGATGTCTCATGAAGACCTTGGTGCCATCTTCGCGGTAATGAATGAGTTCTCTATTAGTTCCTCTGAGGGCTGACTGTTGAAAAGAGGTTGGCTCCTGCCTCCCCTGTCTCACCTCCTCTCTCACCATGTGATCTGCACACACTGGCTCCCCTTCACCTTCCACCATGAGTGGAAGCTTCCTGAGGCCCTCATCTGACGCAGATGTTGACACCATGCTTCTTCCATAGTTTGCTGAACCATGAGCCAAACGAAACTTTGTTTTCTTTATAAATTACCCAGCCTTAGGTATTCCTTTATTCCTTTACAGGAACACAAATGGACTAAGACAATTAATTATTCTCACCACTCCCTTTCCTCCATTCCCTAGAGATGGCCAATACAAACAGTGTCCTATGTATCAGGCAAGTACAAATACATACTCTGTGTGTGTGTGTGTGTGTGTGTGTCTGTGTGTGTGTGTGACTTTAAAAACAAAAATGCAACCACATAATTCAATTTGCTTTTCTCACTTAACAACATATCTTAAATATTTTCCAGGATACAAAACTGCTTTTGAAAGCATATACAGTATTATTTTCTGAAAGCATCAGATTTTTCAAAATGAGCATGCTTTCTGTGAAATGGAAATGGAAATATAGTCTTGGAATATCAAAGTCAGCTACGTTTATCAAAGCTGGCATTCTCTTCTCCCCTGTGTCCTTCACCCATGCATGCTACGTAGTCCTCCACCCTCTGCCTTCCTTCATTCACCCTAGGAAAGGACGGTGCCCTGCTCTCAGTCTGTGCAGTCCTTTCAGAAGACATTTGCAGGGCTCTGAAGTTGCTTCATACATAGGCTTGCTTCTAATACAGATTTCATTCAGAAACTATTCTGTTGAGTGAGCTTGCATGCATGTTTTCCATTGTGAGCAAAGAAAAATAGATTTAGCACTAAAATGTACCATCTGTGTCAATATGTGTCAATATGTGGTGGCATAGATTTAAATCTGAGCACATTTGTTAGTTTTAATTCTAAGGCATCCAGGGCTGCAGTCATTGTTTCCCCAGGCTTCTGAAGAAAGATCTTCCTGAGATCACCAAATCCTTTCTTAGAAGTCAGGTCAAAATTCTACTGAGAAAGGTCTCTCTTGGGTAGGAGCTACCCAGAACCTTCCTGCCTGACTTGCTCATTGAGTCTTTTTACACCTAAAACGGCACTGTGTAAAAGGCTACTGAGAACAGAGTTAGAAGTGAGATCTTTTTATCTTTATCTCTCATACCACAAATCCTTTCTCTTTTGCTTTATGCTTTATGTTATGCCTTGCTGCAATACAAACATTTAAGATTAGTTTTTTACCCCCAAGATGCCCCCTGTATTAAGAAGATTCTTCCTAGTTTGAGCCAGGATATCAGGAATGTGGAAAAGCCAGTGAAGTTTTAATTGGATTAAACTCTGTGTGTCCCTCCACCCCACAACCTCCTCACTGGCAACTTTCTTGACAGCTTAACTAATGAGATAATATGCAACAAAGAGATGTGGCATTCAACAGGGCCTCCTGCCTTACCTGGGGGGAATACACCTGGGCCAGCTGTGAGTAGCAACAGGATAACAGGTAACTGACAACAACCCCCACTCTGATACTGTCACCAATTCTCAGGCTTTGTGCATTTCTGAGATGAAATTCAAACCTTAAATTTTAGCTGCTCAAAGTGATTGGATTCAGCAGGCGCCTCCTGAACTTGCGGTGGAAGTGCCAGAGGGGGAGCAAAGCCACTTCCCTGGTCTTTAATTCCCTTAGCCAAAAAAATCAAAATCTGTCCATTTGGCACCTTTGAGAGGGAAAAAGGGCAACACAAATTTTCCTTAATAAAATAATGCCGGCTATTAAAGAGCAGTCTTCCTGATGTCATTTGACGCCCTTCTCTCACAGGGCTGGCAGGCACAAGGCCAGGGTGTAGGGAAGTGCAATTGGAGACATTAGTTACAGCACCTTAGGTACGGTAGCAAAATAATATTTGATAAATGAAAATAAGTCCAGGCAGACACAATTTCCAAATAGTTTTTAGAAGTACCTGTCACTTCCAGACTCTCTTCTTAAGCGTAACCCTTGGTGAGCGAATCCATTTTACCGCTTCTTCCAGGTAGAAAATTTTAGTGTGCCCTTAAATAATTCAGTATTTCTAGAAGGAGATTGACAGTCACATGTTCATGAGAATGGGAGACTCTGCAAAAGCTCATTCCAAATAGTTTTCATCTAAAACTGGAGTTATTGAATGCCTGTACTTCCACTTCAAAAGCCTTGGGAGGATCAAGTGACCCCCAAAATATTGACCCCCACAAGCAGAAGTGTTAGTATCTCAAATACCTTTCACAAGAAGACACCCATTTCATTTCATGAGAAGGTAGTTGAGGTGTCTGATGTGCAGTGCATGGCCAAAAATAATCCTGTAAAGATCTGGAGCATTATTCGAGTTAGGGTTTAAATAAAACTCACTGAGACTGGCAGCTGTGCTTAAAAATCCCCACTAAGCAGGGGTGTAAAAGGGTTCTACTTGATCCTGTCCTAAGGACAAGTTTTGATACTGGATAGTGCAAAGAGATGGAGAATACAGGGGAAGCTGTGACCTAGAGATCCAAAGATGAACTTCCTGCCTTGAATGTGTTTTCCACTTACATGCAAAAGATCTGTTAATATGGGGAAGGTTGATCCAAGAGTTCCAGTAACCAAAAGGTAGAAGAGGGGAACAAAAACAGATACTGTGTAAGAATGAAATTAAAATGACCTGAGAAGGGGTCTAATTTGACATAGTTTGAACTGGAAATAGCACAGTGTTTTGACTTTTTGTGTTTTTAGGTTCACTATACCCAACAGTAATAAAGAAAATGTCATCTGTGTGCTGGGAAACTTTTATTGTATTAGAGAGTCAGGAGTGGGTATAGTAGAAAGGTGTCAGGAGACCTGAATTTCAGTCCTAATTTGGTACTTATGGCCTATGGTTTATTACTGAATAGGGTAAGTACCTCCTATGTTACCGGCACTGTTTTATGAGCATCTAAATCCTCTATCTAGGTCAGTTGATCTTGGGAGCTTCAGTTTCTTCAAAATTCATGTGTTTATTATGAAGGCTGAATTTAATAATGTAAAGAAAATAGGATACAAACAAATGGAAGAACATTCCATGCTCATGGGTAGGAAGAATCAATATCATGAAAACGGCCATACTGCCCAAGGTAATTTATAGATTCAATGCCATCCCCATCAAGCTACCAATGACTTTCTTCACAGAATTGGAAAAAACTACTTTAAAGTTCATATGGAACCAAAAAAGAGCCCGCATCGCCAAGTCAATCCTAAGCCAAAAGAACAAAGCTGGAGGCATCACACTACCTGACTTCAAACTATACTACAAGGCTACAGTAACCAAAACAGCATGTTACTGTTACCAAAACAGAGATATAGATCAATGGAACAGAACAGAGCCCTCAGAAATAACACCGCATATCTACAACTATCTGATCTTTGACAAACCTGAGAAAAACAAGCAATGGGGAAAGGATTCCCTATTTAATAAATGGTGCTGGGAAAACTGGCTAGCCATATGTAGAAAGCTGAAACTGGATCCCTTCCTTACACCTTATACAAAAATTAATTCAAGATGGATTAAAGACTTAAACATTAGACCTAAAACCATAAAAACCCTAGAAGAAAACCTAGGCATTACCATTCAGGACATAGGCATGGGCAAGGACTTCATGTCTAAAACAACAAAAGCAATGGCAACAAAAGCCAAAATTGACAAATGGGATCTAATTAAACTAAAGAGCTTCTGCACAGCAAAGGAAACTACCATCAGAGTGAACAAGCAACCTACAAAATGGGAGAAAATTTTCGCAACCTACTCATCTGACAAAGGGCTAATAACCAGAATCTACAATGAACTCAAGCAAATTTACAAGAAAAAAACAAACAACCCCATCAAAAAGTGGGCAAAGGATATGAACAGACACTTCTCAAAAGAAGACATTTATGCAGCCAAAAGACACATGAAAAAATGCTCATCATCACTGGCCATCAGAGAAATGCAAATCAAAACCACAATGAGATACCATCTCACACCAGTTAGAATGGCAATCATTAAAAAGTCAGGAAACAACAGGTGCTGGAGAGGATGTGGAGAAATAGGAACACTTTTACACTGTTGGTGGGACTGTAAACTAGTTCAACCATTGTGGAAGTCAGTGTGGCAATTCCTCAGAGATCTAGAACTAGAAATACCATTTGACCCAGCCATCCCATTACTGGGTATATACCCAAAGGATTATAAATCATGCTGCTATAAAGACACATGCACACGTATGTTTATTGCGGCATTATTCACAATAGCAAAGACTTGGAACCAACCCAAATGTCCAACAATGATAGACTGGATTAAGAAAATGTGGCACATATACACCATGGAATACTGTGCAGCCATAAAAAATGATGAGTTCATGTCCTTCGTAGGGACATGGATGAATTTGGAAATCATCATTCTCAGTAAACTATCACAAGAACAAAAAAACAAACACTGCATGTTCTCACTCATAGGTGGGAATTGAACAATGGGAACACATGGACACAGGAAGGGGAACATCACACTCTGGGGACTGTTGTGGGGTGGGGGGAGGGGGGAGGGATAGCATTAGGAGATATACCTAATGTTAAATGATGAGTTAATGGGTGCAGCACACCAGCATGGCGCATGTATACATATATAATTAACCTGCAC
Source organism: Homo sapiens (assembly GCF_000001405.40). NCBI lineage: Eukaryota > Metazoa > Chordata > Mammalia > Primates > Hominidae > Homo > Homo sapiens. The sequence continues at coordinate 51,334,411 of NC_000006.12, forward strand.
ATTGCGCACATGTACTCTAAAACTTAAAGTATGATAATAATAATAAAAAAAAGAAAACAGTCTCTCTTTCTTTGTCCTCCTTCTCCTCCTCTTCCTTCTCCTCCTCCTCCACCTCCTTCTTTTTCTCCTCTTCCTACTCCTTATCCTTCTCATACTTCTTCTTCTCCTCCTCCACCTTTTCCTCCTTCTTCTCCACCTCCTCCTCCTCTTCCTTCTTCCTCATCTTCTTTAATAAATTCTTTAATGTTAAGCTCTGTTCCTCAGTTTCTTCAGCTATAATATGTGCATAGCAACAGTACCTACTTTATAGGGTTGTTATGAAGATTAAATGAGGCAATCCATCTTAATTGCTTAAGAATGTACATGGTGTGTAGTAACACAGCACTCCTCAATTGATTTTATCAGGGATTAATATTACAGCTATTTGATTATGTTTATGCACGTTGCAATCTGGTGGGAAGTATGCATGAGAATGCAGGATTTCTATCTCCTGTTTTCACTTTTGTCTTTAAGTATAGGAATTTTGTCTTAAGACAAAATTTGTTCTTAAGACAAATTTGGTCCTTTCACAACAGGGCACAGCATGAAAAGCTGCCATGGAGGAGAAACTTTCCATTCCACTGAGGCAGCTGGTGACAGGGACTATCCTGATATAAGAGTAAAGCAGGAGGTTGTGGTCACCCTTTCTATTCAAAGTTGACCCAGTAATAAGAGGCTGGCCTCTCACCATCTTAAGAAAATGAAACTAGACAACTGTACCTTGGACTGCCAGAAAATCCTACTGCCACCTCCTACAAATAAGGGGAAAAAATCTGAAAAAGAAGAAAAAATAATAAAAATTATCCCCATTCTGTAAAAAGCAAACCTGAAACAGGATTTGTTTCACCGCATTTCCGAAGTCTAGCAAGTCGGGCTTTCATTGAAGGTAATGAATGGGTAGTTCATTGTTGTCTTACTCTGCAAAACTTTTAGAAATAAAACATGAAATATTGGGCCTCTGACTAATGACAACAAATATAAAAAAAGAAGATTGAATGCTTAGACTAAGAATTATTTACCTGTGCCCGTGAATCCATAGTAGGTGTATGAATTGACTTCATGGATTATCTGAAAACTCTAAAATTATAAGCAAATTTAGTGGCTCTATGCATGCATTTTTGTAAAAAGAGTTCTGAACTTTCATCTGATGTTCAAAGAGCTCTAAAACTTCAAAAGGGTTAAGAACTCTAGATTAGACAGCAATATGCTACATTTATAAATAAGGGTTATCTTTTTTATCTTCATGTTGCACAAGAAAGTTGCAAAAGCACTCTACAATAACTTGGCATCATGGCTAGAGAAATGTTGACTCTTGCTTTACTGAGAGCCAACAGGAACTGTAGGAGTACGAAGTGGCCAAGGCCTGTGTCTTTGGCTTCCATTGAGGAGGTCAGTTAACTTTTCTTGCGTTGAATGAGTGTGGGAGTTTTCTGGTTCTGTCCTAGACTCTGGAAAAAACATCCAATAGTGGCCATCATTTTTCCTGAACATGATGTGGCTTTTCAGAATTCTTCCCACTTCCATCAGACCCTTCTCTAAAATTAGTTGCTGTAGAGGCCATGAGCTTGAAGTTCTCCATTTCATCTCAGGCATTACCTCAAGACACTTTGTGTCTCTCCCCATCCACTGGTCCCAAGGAGGATGAGGCTAGACAGTGAATGGTTCATCACAACTCATTCCTATCCTGGAGACCTACTAACAGTGAGTTAGGAAGGGCATATGTCTTATACTGTAAGTAGAAAGATAATCTTTCTTAATATTAATATCTATCATTAGTGAAGGTTTTCTTGATTGTTCCAAACAGTAGACACTTTATATTTTCACACTTAATCCCTGTAACAACCGTATCCCAGTGTTAAAATTATCAGGATGCAGATAAGTGAATTAGGGCTCACAGAGATTAAGCAAGTTGTCCCAGGTAACACAGCTAGCAAATAACAGAGTTGAGTTGTAATGCATGTTGCAGTCTGTATGACTTCAAAGTTCAAGCTCTTAACTAACGTTCTGTGGCAGTATAATGATTTATATTAGATTGTAAAGTATCGTACAGTTTTGTTTATCCCTAGTTTATTTTGAAAGACATTCAACTCTTTGGTTTTAAACGATCTTCCCTAAACATAAACTTCCTGCATAGTTCCATGACTGATAAAATGAATACTCCTTCTATGTCTCTAAATGATGAGTTGTAAACATAGATACTGAAAGATGGGAGACACAAGAGTGAAGTAGGCTAGCTGGTACTGTGAAATACGACATGGATATTATCTAAACATTTGTTATGCATGTCAGTTTATGGCATACATATTCTTTAAAATTTTTAAAAAATTTATCCATGTAACTAATGTTTTAAAATGTATCCATGTAGTCAATGTTGCATGGATATATTGCATAGTGGTGAAGTCAAAGCTCTTAATGTCTCCATCACTAATTTTTGACAATGCTAACAAAAACACAGTGGGGAAAGGACACTCTTTTCAGCAAATAGTGCTAGGAAAATTGGGATCACCATATGCAGAAGACTGAAACCTGACCCCTATCTCTCACCATATACAAAAATAAACTCAAGATGGATTAGAGACTTAAATGTATGACCTGAGACTATAAAAATATCAGAAGAAAATCTAGGGAAATCTCTTCTGGACATTGGTCCAAGCAAAGAGTTTATGACTAAGACCTCAAAAGCATAGACAACTGAAACAAAAATAGACAATGAGACATACTTAAGCTAAAAAGCTTCTGCACAGCACATATGATTTTTTTATATCAGGATCATAGTTAACAATTAACAAAATATATGAAAGACTACATCTTAAATAAATGAGGACTTTGATTTTCATACTTCAGAAGTGTATAAGTGAGCCATCCATGGCTAGTGTGGTGGCTCAAATGTGCCATCAGGGTCCAGCCTCCTTCTGTCTTCATCTTTTGCCATTCTTAGCCTATTCTGCCTTCATATTCATAAAATAATGACTGTACCTCTGGCCGTTGTTTTCATGTTCCAAGAGGGCAAAGGACAAAGATCAAATAGAGAACTGGGACCATGGCAGCCAGGTCTGCCCTGGTGCCAGTCACACAGCCATTCCTAGCTGTAAGGGAAACTGGGGAGTGTTGTTTCTGAGCACATTGCCATTGAAAACAAAGATGAGGCTATGCCAGTAAGGAAGAAGAGGCGTATAGTTATTGGGCAGAAGGCTATAGGAGCAGCAACAGTTCACAAACGTAAGCAGCCTCAAGGCAATTCAGGGGAAGCTCCCATTTCTCTAGCTGAAAGTCAGTGTTGTCACCTTAGCTACATCACTCCATTACACAAACCCTGGGGTAAAACATAGCTGGGGCCTGCGTTATGTACAACCCCCAGGTTTCTGTTGTGTGCTGTCCCAGATACAAAGGACTCACTGAGAAACTGTGCTCAGTGCTATACAACTGAAAAAGCATGGGCTCGGATTCAAAAGACCAGAGTTCAAGTCTTTCATCTGCCATTTACCACCAGTGTGACCTTAGGCAAATCATCAGCCTCAAGTTCTTCATGTGTAAAGTGTAGATGATAACACTGTCTTAGGAAATAAGGTTTCTGGGAAGTTTAAATGAGATGATGTTTATAAAAACACCTTATGGGAAATTAAGTATAAATACCACCTATGATTATGATGATTTTCAATTGAGCACTCAATTTGTTCATTTACTTTATTTTATTATAGGGTCACTTCATTTTAATAATTGTATATTCAAGCCTTTGCTCTACACCAGGGGATTCCAGTCTTTTGACTTCCCTGGAACACACTGGAAGAATTGTCTTGGGCCACACATAAAATACACTAACACTAACAATAGCTGATGGGCTAGAAAAAAAATACAAAAAAAAAATCTTGTAATGTTTTAAGAAAATTTACAAATTTGTATTGGGCTGCATTCAGAGCCATCCTGGGCTGCATGCAACCCACAGGCTGTGAGTTGGACAAGTTTGCTCTACATGAATCATCATGCTATGCACTGATGCTACAGAAAAAAATATGTAGAGGTATGGAAAGCATCCTTATGGTGCTCACACCTCACAATGCCTGTCTCCCTTTCAGATATGCCCTTCCCCATCTTCTTCTTTAGAATAATTTCTCTGTGAAACTCAGCACTCAGCTCAGAAGCATCTTCAGGGCCTTCCCCAAGCTCTCTGTGGTCCTTTGGCTTCCACAACATTGCACTTTCCTGGTTCTTCTCAAATTGTTCTTCCCTTTTGTTTTTACTTTTTCCTCTTGTCTCTTTCATATTTGGACTACAGACACTCTCAGGTTCTCTGTGCCTCAGTCATGACTCTTCTTAATTGGCAAGTCCTATGGGTTAACCTCAGACACATTCATGCTTCCTGCTATTTCAGTGTGCTGACGACTATCTAATCTGTATAAGTGATTCGGACCTGTGTCCCAAGCATCAGAACCATATATCTGACAGTTTGCTAGACATTGCCAGCAGATATCCCAAACCACTTCAAGTGCAAAATGTTCAAAATGAACTCTTCCTCATCCTGTGGACTGTGATCCCAATTCTATATTCTCTATTTCAGGTAGCCTTACTATCTACCTACCTGTCTGAGCTAGAATACTTTGAGTAAATCCTCATTCTCTCTGTTTTCTGTTCCACATCCAACCATTTATGAAGTTTTTCCTTAGCTCTAATATATTTTTCTCTTCTTCCTCATGACCACCACTGTTGATTTGAAAGCTTCAATCGCCCCCTGTATGAAGGATCTTAACAACATCCTATCTCACTCCAATGCCAGCCTACTGGTCTCAGATGCTGGCGTGAACGACCTCACCAAAACAAAACTGACCAAATCACTCCTCTTCAAAGCCATTGACAGCTCCCTATGGTGTCTCCCACTGAGCATTTCTACTGCTCACTCTCCAAGGCAGAGACTTTTACTCAGCATATCCATGAGTTGCCTGAGGACTCATCCAGCATGGGGACCTCTCTATTTTGGCCTGTGTGCACATGTATGTAATGAAGTCTCCCCACAGCTCCATGGAATTCATATTCTTCAGTCAAGCACTGAATTTGCTGGACTGCACTCATTATTCTATGTATATTTTTGTTTTATGGTTTAGATTGATTATACTGACATTAGCAGTTAAAAAATTGGGAACCATTTTAACACTTAAATGAACTACACTTAAATCTGGGTGTGTGAAGGGTAGGTCTTTTTTGCCCTTATATTCTATAAACCCTGCATCACCTTCCGAAGTGGAATCAAGAAAGAATGTGACAGTTGGAAAATTGATCAGAACTCCTGAGCAGTTACTTGGACTCCGTCTAGATTTTTTTTTTCCCTCACTGATGTAGCAGAGCCCATTAATATGGAAGAACCTGAGTAGTCAAAATTAGTCCCTCCCTGAGACTGCACGTAGGAAAAGCATGTCCTTTGATGTTAACCTTCCTAAAAGGTTCAGATACTCTAACTACAGGCATGGTGACGTCACCCCTTTGTGTTTGTGTGAATGGGCTAGATTAAGGAGATTAAAAAAGGAGTGGGTCAGAGGTAAATGTGGTTGAATGGCAGTGGAAGGGGTGGGGCAGCAAATCCTCACCATCTTAAGAAAACAGTCTTCATTCACGTCTTTACATGCATTTGAAAGCAGAGCAGCAGGTAGATTTTCGAATCACAACCTCTGCTCTAGGCTCTGTGTTCAATTTTTAGCTCTGGCTCTAGCAAACGGAGGACAAGGCTCATTACTGCATACATGAGGTTTTGTTTGCTTTTCAATCGAAGAGGAAGAATCATTAGGTCGTTCTCATAAGATGACACAGAAAGCTTATTGAAATGCCTTTGCAGATAGTGAGGGAAAATGTTGTTACCTAAATTTAATGATTAAGTGCATGACATATTAAACCACCCTCCTCTGGGACTTACATGCTAATGAATAGTTCTAGCATTCATTTCAGGTTTTCAGGTACCTAAGGCAAAATGATGCACACCCTATAGAATATATAAGAATGTCAGCTTTACATATTATGTTTTCTAATTTTTAAAGAAGTTATCGAAATGTACAGATATCTCTTTCCTCACTATTAATGTTCCTGTCTAGTTGTTGGTTCATTAGTGCTGCCAATATGACTTGTCAAAAAATGCACATCTATCCATAGCATTTTCTGGTTTAAAACCTATCAACATAAGATATATTCCAAGCCTCAAGTATGAAATCCTTTACCTTCTGGGCTCTGAGTACATCTTTCCATACTTACTTTCTCCTCACACCAATTTCCTTATTTACACCACATACAAGTAATATATACACACATGTATAAAGGCACAGGCACACAAGCACATGTACATGGGCACACGCCTCACACAAGGACACAAATCTGTTTGCACATTCACAGCTCGTACATGTATACAAGGATGCATATATACAAGTGGGCAAACATATAAGACATACAGCCACATATAAAAGAACATGTATACAAGCATGCATATAGGCACACACATGATGCGCATATACATAGGAATACACATGGGTGCATATACACAAGCATTTATGTATATACTCACCCTGGCACACATGTATGCGCATACACACACATGGGTATGTACTGGCACACAGGCATACATGTAAGAACACACACAGGTGTGCATATGCACGTACACTCATGGAGCTATGTAGAAAGACACACATAGGGACATTCACACATACACACATGCAGACATCCAAGGACACACACACCTATACTCCACTTCATGCAGATTAATTCATGTTCCTTCTTTGATCTCACTCTTATCAAGGTGGTATAGCCTTTTATTTAGTTCATAAACTAACCAGGCTTCTTGCTTTTCCCAAGAGCACATTAATGCTACTCTCATTTTAGCAGACTGCTAAAACACCTGGCTCTTTCCCTCACCCTGCACGTAGAAGTACTCATCAGAGAAATGTGTCGGGGAGCATCATTTGAACTCACCATTGTTCAGAAATAGGCTTTTATAGAGGATCATACAATCATGGGCAGCCCATACATTCTCTTAGACCACAAATATTCAAAAGAAATAGAATGAGAGCCACAGATGTAAGGTACACATATACTGTAAAGTTTTCTAGTAGCCACATTGAAAATAAACAAGAAGAAACATATAAACTAAATTTTAATAATGTAAAGACTTTGCAAAACTCTCTCTGGATCAAATCAAATCAATAAAGAGTCAAGCATTGAAGGCTCAGAAACTTAGAGATAAATGTGTGGCTCATCTCTGGCAAATATGTGTATAGAACTTGAAGCAGGTCTTTTGTAAACTTGCTTAACACCAGATTCATTCATTTTGATCTTTTTATTTCCCTCTGCCTAATTTTTAAGTTGTTTTTCATGTGTTTTGCACCTTGCTATATTAAATCCATTTTTTGGCAGGGTGCGGTGGCTCACACCTTTAATCCCAGGAATTTGGGAGGCCGAGGCGGACAGATCACTTAGGGTCAGGAGTTTGAGACTAGCCTGGCCAACATGATAAAACCCTGTCTCTACTAAAAGTACAAAAATTAGCCCGGCATGGTGGTGCACACCTGTAATCCCAGCTACTCAGGAGGCTGAGGCAGGAGAATCTCTTGAACCCGGAAGGTGGAGGTTGCAGTAAGCTGAGATCATGCCACTGCAGGCCATCCAGGGCAACAGAGGGAAATCCTGTCTCAAAATAAATAAATAAAATAAAATAAATGCATTTTTACAAGCCATTTTAAGTCCTCTTTTTGTTGTCTAGTCTTAAGGCAAGTTAGAAAGAAGGAAAATATAAGAAGATACTCATGTTCTTTCATATTTCCATTATTATCCATGTTTGCCTCTTGGGGAAGACATTTCTGAAGCCTTCTCCCCTTGCCAGGGCAAGGAGCTCCTTGCTCTATGCACTCCAGGGGCTTACAGTACAGTTCATTCTACAAAAATAACCACATTATGTGTTGCTCAAAACCACTGTGTTATAAAAAATCAAGCAGTAAAAACCACAGAACTTACGGGAAAAATGGGATTGGGGCACAACATTTAAAAACTTTGTTAGTGACACATTAACATGAAGAGGATAGAAATCTAATAAAAACGACAACGGAGTTTGACACATATGAAATGGTTAAGAAATACATAAATATTATACTCACAAAAACCACAATCACTTTTGCATTGACCTAATATTACAGTAAATATGGCACTTAAACTTGAAAAGGACTCAAAATTGGCTTGTGGAAGTGGGCATCTGACAGGTTCAGCTCATAAGTTATAATAAAGAGATGGAAGGAGGGTTATCTGAAATCGGATGGAAAGTTGAAACACTGCACGAGGATAGGTGTGTTTCATAAGCCACGAAGTGAGTTGAGGAAGCTGATGCATGTTCAGATGTGTGCATGTGTGAGTTTTTGCAACCCCACATGCTACTCAATTCAATCTGGATTCAGTTTTCTATGTTCATCTAGTGTTCCTTACAGATGCAAAATTCATTTATGCCTACATTGTTCCCTGTGTTAAACAATCCTTGGAACAAATTTGTGTGTTTGAAATTAAGCACTGTAGCCTGAGTGCAGTTATTTCTATTATGGCCATATTTGTAGCTATATATTTTGGGCTGCATTCATGTTGTACTCCTTTTCTGGTCTAGACTGTAGATCCCTTGGAGGTAAGACTCACATGTCATATTTGAATCATCTTTCTATCATCTGTTCTTCCCTAACCCAGTGCCTGACACACAGGGAGCACCTGATGTATTATTCAAATTGTGTTAATCTATGTTATCTTTGACTGTCTTTATATATATATATATATATATATATATATATATATATATATATATATATAATATAAATAAAAATATAAATAAAATATATATTATATATATATTAAGTTCTGGGATACATCTACAGAACGTGCAGGATTGTTACATAGGTATACATGTGCCATGGTGGTTTGCTGCACCCATCAACCCATCATCTACATTTGGTATTTCTCCTAATGCTATCCCTCCTCTAGCCCCCCACACACCCGACAGGCCCTGGTGTGTGATGTTCCCCTCTGTGTGCCCATATGTTCTCATTGTTCAACTCCCACTTACGAGTGAGAATATGTGGTGTTTGGTTTTCTGTTCCTGTGTTATTTTGCTGAGAATGATGGGTTCCAGCTTCATCCATGTCCCTGCAAAGGACATGAGCTCATTCTTTTTTATGGCTGCATAGTATCCCATAGTGTATATGTGCCACATTGTCTTTATCCAGTCTAACAGTGATGGGCATTTGGGTTGGTTCCAAGTCTTTGCTATTGTGAATAGTCGTGCAATAAACATATGTGTGCATGTGTCTTTATAGTAGAATGATTTATAATCATTTGGGTATGTACCCAGTAATGGGATTGCTGGGTCAAATGTTATTTCTGTTTCTAGATCCTTGAGGAATCGTGCCACACTGTTTTTCACAATGGTTGAACTAATTTACACTCCCACCAACAGTGTAAAAGTGTTCCTATTTCTCCACATCCTCTCCAGCATCTGTTGTTTCCTGACTTTTAATGATTGCCATTCTAACTGGTGTGAGATGGTATCTCATAGTGGTTTTGATTTGCATTTCTCTAATGAACAGTGATGATAAGCTTTTTTTCATATGTTTCTTGGCCACATAAATGTCTTCTTTTGAGAGGTGTCTGTTCATATCCTTTGCCCACTTTTTGATGGGGTTATTTTTTTCTTGTAAATTTGTTTAAGTTCCCTGTAGATTCTGGATATTAGCCCTTTGTTAGATGGATAGATTGCAAACATTTTCTCTCATTTTGTAGGTTGCATGTTCACTCTGATGATAGTTCCTTTTGCTGTGCAGAAGCTCTTTAATATAATTAGATCCCATTTGTCAATTTTGGCTTTTGTTGCCATTGTTTTTTGTGTTTTAGTCATGAAGTCTTTGCCCATGCCTATGCCCTGAATGGTATTGCTTAGGTTTTCTCCTCTGGTTTTTATAGCTTTAGTTCTTACATTTAAGTCTTTAATCTATCTTCAGTTAATTTTTTTATAAGGTGTAAGGAAGGAGTCCAGTTTCAGTTTTCTGCGTATGACTAGCCAGTTTTCCCAAAACCATTTATTAAATAGGGAATCCTTTCCCCATTGCTTGTTTTTGTCAAGTTTGTCAAAGATCAGATGGTTGTAGAAGTGTGGTGTTATTTCTGAGGCTTCTGTTCTGTTCCATTGGTCTGCATGTCTGTTTTGGTACCAGTACCATGCTGTTTTGGTTACTGTAGCCTTGTAGCATAGTTTGAAGTCAGGTAGCATGATGCCTCCATCTATATTCTTTTTGCTTAGGATTGTCTTGACTATATGGGCTCTTTCTTTGTTCCATATGAAATTTAAAGTAGTTTTTTCTAATTCTGTAAAAAAAAGTCAATGGTAGCTTGATGGGGATAGCATTGAATCTACAAATTACTTTGGGCAGTATGGCTATTTTCACGATATTGATTCTTCCTATTCATGAGCATGGAATGTTTTCCCATTTGCTGGTGTCCTCTCTTATATCCTTGAGCAGTGATTTGTAGTTCTCCTTGAAGAGGTCTTTCACATCCCTTGTAAGGTGTATTCCTAGGTATTTTATTCTCTTTGTAGCAATTGTGAATGGGAGTTTGCTCATGATTTGGCTCTCTGTTTGTCTCTTATTGGTGTATAGGAATGTGTGTGATTTTTGCACATTGATTGCAGAGACTTTGCTGAAGTTGCTTATCAGCTTCAGGAGTTTTTGGCTGAGACGATGGGGGGTTTTCTAAATATACAATCATGTCATCTTCAAACAGACATAATTTGATTTCCTCTCTTCCTATTTAAATACCGTTAACTTCTTTCACTTGCCTGATTGCCCCGGCCAGAACTTCCAATACTGTGTTAAATAAGAGTGGTGAGACAGGGCATCCTTGTCTTGTACTGGTTTTCAAAGGGAATGCTTATAGCTTTTGTCCATTAAGTGTGATATTGGCTGTGGGTTTGTCATAAATAGCTCTTATTATTTTGAAATATGTTCTATCAGTACCTAGTTTATTGAGTGTGTTTAGCATGAAGGGGTGTTGAATTTTATTGAAGGCCTTTTCTGCATCTATTGAGATAATCATGTGGTTTTTGTCATTGGTTCTTTTTATATGATGGATTACGTTTATTGATTTGTATAGGTTGAACCAGCCTTGCATCCCAGGGATGAAGCTGACTTGATTGTGGTGGATAAGCTTTTTAATATGCTGCTGGATTTTGTGTGCCAGTATTTTACTGAGGATTTTTGCATCAATGTTCGTCAGGGATATTGGCCTGAAATTTTCTTTGTTGGTTGCATCTCTGCCAGGTTTTGGTATCAGGATGATGCTAGCCTCATAAAATGAGTTAGGGAGGAGTCCCTCTTTTTCTATTCTTCAGAATAGTTTCAGGAAGAATGGTACCAGCTCCTCTTTGTACCTCTGGTAGAATTAGGCTGTGAATCCATTTGGTCCTAGGCTTTGTTTTGGTTGGTAGGCTATTAATTACTGCCTCAATTTCAGAACTTGCTATTGGTCTATTCAGGGATTTGACTGCTTCCTGGTTTAGTCTTGGGAGAGTGTATGTGTCCAGGAATTTATCCATTTCTTCTAGATTTTCTAGTTTATTTGCGTAGAGGTGTTTATAGTATTCTCTGATGATAGTTTGTATTTCTGTGGGATCAGTGGTGATCTCCCCTTTATCATTTTTTGTTGTGTCTATTTGATTCTTCTCTCTTTTCTTCTTTATTAGTCTGGGTAGTAGTCTATCTCTTCTGTTAATCTTTTCAAAAAACCAGCTCCTGGATTCATTGATTTTTTGAAGGGTTTTCATGTCTCTATCTCCTTCAGTTCTGCTCTGATCTTAGTTATTTCTTGTCTTCTGCTAGCTTTTGAATTTGTTTGCTCTTGCATCTCTAGTTCTTTTAATTGCAATGTTAGGGTCTCGATTGTAGACTTGTCTCACTTTCCCCTCTGGGCATTTAGTGCTATACATTTCCCTGTTAAACACTTTAGCTGTGTCCCAGAGATTCTGGTACGTTGTGTCTTTGTTCTCATTGGTTTTAAAGAACTTATTTATCTCTGCCTTCATTTCGTTAATTACTCAGTAGTCATCCAAGAGCAGGTTGTTCAGTTTCAATGTAGTTGTTGGGTTTTGAGTAAGTTTCTTAATCCTGAGTTCTAATTTGATTGCACTGTGGTCTGAGAGACTGTTTGTTATGATTTCTGTTCTTTTGCATTTGCTGATGAGTGTTTTACTTCCAATTATGTGGTCGATTTTAGAATGAGTGTTATGTGGTGCTGAGAAGTATGTATATTCTGTTGATTTGGGGTGGAGAGCTCTGTAGATGACTATTAGGTTCACTTGGTCCAGAGCTGAGTTGAAGTCCTGAATATCCTTGTTAATTTTCTGTTTCATTGATCTGTCTAATACTGATGGTGGGGTGTTAAACTCTCCCACTATTGTTTTGTGGGAGTCTATGTCTCTTGTAGGTCTCTAAGAACTTGCTTTATGAACCTGGGTGCTCCTGTATTGGGTGCATATATATTTAGGATAGTTAGCTCTTCTTGTTGATTTGATCCCTTTACCATTAGGTAATGTCCTTCTTTGTCGTTATTTATCTTTGTTCGTTCAAAGTCTGTTCATCAGAGACTAGGACTGCAACCCCTGCTTTTTGTTGTTGTTGTTGTTGTTTTTTGCTTTCCATTTGCTTGGTAAATCTTCCTCCATCCTTTTATTTTGAGTCTATGCATGTCTTTGCACTTGAGATGGATCTCCTGAATACAGCACACTGATCGGTCATGACTCTTTATCCAATTTGCCAGTCTGTGCCTTTTAATTGGGGCATTTAGCCCATTTACATTTAAAGTTAATATTGTTATGTGTGAATTTGATCTTGTCATTATGATGCTAGCTGTTTTTTTGTTTTTTTTGTTTTGTTTTGTTTTTTTGCCCATTAGTGATGCAGTTTCTTCATAGTGCTGATGGTCTTTACATTTTGGCTTGTTTTGGCAGTGGCTGGTACTGGATTTTCCTTTCCATATTTAGTGTTTCCTTGAGGAGCTCTTGTAAGGCAGGCCTGGTGGTGATAAAATCCCTTAGCATTTGTTTGTCTGTAAAGGATTTTATTTCTCCTTCACTTATAAAGCTTAGTTTGGCTAGATGTGAAATTCTGGGTTGAAAATTCTTTCCTTTAAGAATGTTGAATATTGACCCCCACTCTCTTCTGGCTTTTAGGGTTTCTGTAGAGAGATCACTGTTAGTCTGATGGGCTTCCCTTTGTGGGTAACCCTCCTTTCTCTCTGGCTGCCCCTAACATTTTTTTCTTCATTTCAACCTTGGTGAATCTGATGATTATTTGTCTTGGGGTTGCTCTCCTAGAGGAGTATCTTTGTGGTGTTCTCTGTATTTCCTGAATTTGAATGTTGGCCTTTCTTGCTAGGTTGGGAAGGTATCCTGATGAGTGTTTTCCAACTTGGTTCCATTCTCCCGTCAATTTCAGGCACACCAATAAAGCGTTAGTTTGGTCTTTTCACATGGTCCCATATTTCTTGGAGGCTTTGTTTCTTCCTTTTTATTCTTTTTTCTCTAATCTTGTCTTCACGCTTTATTTCATTACGTTGATCTTCAATCTCTGATATCCTTTCCACTGCCTGATTGATTTGGCTACTGATACTTGTGTATGCTTCACGAAGTTCTAGTGCTGTTTCTCAGCTCCATCAGGTCATTTATGTTCTTCTCCAAACTGGTTATTCCAGTCAGCAATTCCTCTAACCTTTTATCAAGGTTCTTAGTTCCCTTGCATTGGGTTAAAACATGCTCCTTTAGCTTGGAGGAATTTGTTATTATCCACCTTCTGAAGCCTACTCCTGTCAATTCATCAAACTCATTCTCCATCCAGTTTTGTTCCCTTGCTGGCGAGGAATTCTGATCCTTTGGAGGATAAGAGGCATTCTGGTTTTTGGAATTTTCAGCCTTTTTGCATTGGTTCTTCCTCATCTTTGTGGATTTATCTACCTTTGGTCTTTGCTTTTGGTGACCTTTGGATGGAGTTTTTATGTGGTTGTCCTTTTTGTTTATGTTGATGCTTTTGCTTTCTGTTTGTTCATTTTGCTTTTAACAGTGAGACCCCTCTTCTGCAGGTCTGCTGGAGTTTGCTGGAGGTCCACTCCAGAACTTGTTTGCCTGGGTATCACCAGCTGAGGCTGCAGAACAGCAAAAATTGCTGCCCCCTCCTTCCTCTCGAAGCTTTGTCCCAGAGGGGCACCCACCAGATACCAGTTGGAGCTCTCCTGTATGAGGTGTCTGTCGACCCCTGCTGGGAAGTGTCTCCCAGTCAGGAGGCACGGGGGTCAGGGACCCACTTGAGGAGGCAGTCTGTCTCTTAGCAGAGCTTGAGTGCTGTGCTGGGAGGTCCACTGCTCTCTTCAGAGCTGTCAGGCAGGAACACTTATGTCTGCTGAAGCTGCACCTATTGCTGCCCCTTTCCCCAGGTGCTCTGTCCCAGGGAGATGGGAGTTTTATCTATAAGCCACTGACTGAGGCTGCTGCCCTTCTTTGAGAGATGGCCTGCCCTGAGAGAGGGAATCTAGAGAGGCAATCTGGCTACAGTGGCTTTGCTGTGCTGTGGTGGACTCTACCTAGTCCAAACTTCCTGGCAGCTTTGTTTACACTGTGAAGGGAAAACTGCCTACCTAAACCTCAGTAATGGCAGACACCCCTCCTCCCACCAAGCTGGAGCATCCAGGTCAACTTCAGACTGCTGTGCTGGCAGTGAGTACTTCAAGCCAGTGGATCTTAGCTTGCTGGGCTTCATGGCGTTGTGATCTGCTGAGCAAGACCGCTTGGCTTCCTGGCTTCAGCTCCCTTTCTGGGGGAGTGAATGGTTTTGTCTTGCTGGCATTCCAGGCGCCACTGGGGTATGAAAAAAAAACTCCTGCAGCTAGCTCAGTGTCTGCCCAAATGGCTGCCCAGTTTTGTGCTTGAAACCCAGGGCCCTGGTGGTGTAGGCACCCAAGGGAATCTCCTGGTCTATGGATTGTGAAGACTGTGGGAAAAGTGTAGTATATGGGCCAGAGTGCACCATACATCATGGCATAGTCCCTCATGGCTTCCCTTGGCTAGAGGAGGGAGTTCCCTGGCTCCTTGTGCTTCCCAGGTGAGGCAACACCTCACCCTGTTTCTGCTCGCTCTCTGTGGGCTGCACCCACTGCCTAACCAGTCCCAAAGAGATGAACCGGGTACTCAGTTGGAAATGCAGAAACCACCTGCCTTCTGCATTGGTCTTGCTGGGAGCTGCAGACTGGAGCTGTTCCTATTCGGCCATCTTGCCTGGGAATCTAACTGTCTTATATTATAGTTTGGGTTTCTCAGGGGCAAATGCCATGCACTTACTCATATCTTCAGGCTGTTTTTCTGCCTAAAACTTAGTAAGTTCAGAATTAACTGGAAAGCAAACACCTGCACAGTAGATATACTCTGCTGCGGGTGCTCATTCACCACCACCCTCTCTTTCCCTTATCCCTTGGAGACTTACCCTCTGCTAGGAAAATGTCAGTGACTTAGTCAATGGATTCAGTGTCTTCACAGAGCAGACTGAGGGGAGCCAAAGCAGGCTAAGGAAACAATGGTCGGCATTGTTTTTCCAAGTCTTTCTCCAATCCCTCCGCTGGCATGGAAACCTTCCAGGCCTCTCTCCAATCAGGGCCACACCCTCACCAGTGCTATGGAAATCCTTCTGCGCAGCACCAAGGTAATGAAACCAGTAAAAACAGTGTTCTTTTCCCATTGGCTAAGCTGGAATAATTCCTCACCCTTAGCAAATGGGCAAGTGGAAATTCTAGTAGGGAATTTAGAACACAGGTCTACACACTGGAAACCCTCAATGGAGTCTAAGGTTCTTTATATACATATACATTGTATACATAAAAGAGTAAAAGAAAAGAAATCAGCTGAATCCAGAGAGATTGTTTTATTTTGTTAGCATAATACCAAAAGCTTTTCTCACTTTTAAATTTGTGGTTTTCAAAGTCTTAAAAAGAATATGAATATCCTTGTGTGTGTCGTTGCCCTCTACTGGATAAGCTGGGTAATATTGTCACTAGTTGTCCAAACATATTAATAATATACTGAACAACATCTTATACTTGGCTAGCATTTTGTCTTTTTATTTTTCAAAATGATTATACATGTAGAATTTTAATTTACCCTTTTCATAATGCTATAAAATAACTAAGCTATTTTTATTCCCATTTTACAGATGAAAAACTGAGGCAGAGGTACATTATTCACTCAATATACATACTTTAATGAAGCTGTATATAAAGAACTACGCTAAGCCATTTACAAAGGTGAATAAGATGATCTATACTCTCTGGGAGCTTAATTTGTTACAGATAAGATATATACCCAAATATCTATAATGAAAATAAAATTGTGATATAGGAATAAATTAAACTAAGAATTATTGATTGTAGAAGGAGCTTATACATGTTACTTTAGCCTCACAGTAACTTTTTTGGTATATGTCATGTGCCTTGTTTTACAAATGACAAAATTGAGGTTGGATGTTTCTAAGTCATTGTTCAGATGCCCCACAGAGAACAATGCTATAGGAAAGGAGAAGAGGAAGAATTTACAACTGGTAAAAATCAAGAAAGGCGTCATAAAGGTGGTGGTGTTTGGCCTAGGGCTTAAAGGATGGGCAGGGGCTGGGTGCGGTGGTTCATGCCTGTAATCCCAGCACTTTGGGAGTCCGATGTGGGTAGATCACTTGAGGCCAGGATTTCGAGACCAGCCTGGCCAACATGCTGAAACCCCCTCTCTACTAAAAATACAAAAAATTAGCAGGGCGTGGTAGTGTACACCTGTATTCCCAGCTACTCAGGAGGCTGAGGCAGGATAATCACTTGAACCCAGGAGGTGGAGGTTGCAGTC